>NC_000016.10:80755682-81380682 GCF_000001405.40 Homo sapiens | reverse complement strand
GCTCAAGAATTTATCTGAAGCACCAGGAGACAGTAATATATGTAGTTTAGAACTACAATTCAAAAAGTAAACACAAATACATTTATCAGGTCAAATAGCATCACACACACACGTACAACTCACTCATTCATCTCTCACACTTTTTCTATTCACAGGATATAAGCACTATCAAAAACAAAACAAAAAACACTTTCAATAAACACTTAAATCTTTGAAAAATCTAAATTTGGATATGCTAAACAAAGAAACAAACTACCTATTTTAGACTGCAGCCTAGGAGAGGTTCTTTAAATATTTACTTATTCTAACCTGAGACAACTTTCCTTCTGAAAATAAATTGCACTTCCCCCAAAGATATTTGTATTTAAAATTTAAGACCTATCCTGAGCCACCAATTCCAACACACACCTGGTAAAAGTGCCTTATCAAGAAAGAAGTATCAAAAAGTTATCAAGAAATGATGTTTCAAGGCATAAGTGGAATGTTAAAACACAAACCTGCATGAAATGAGTCAACATTTATTTTACAATACTGAAATAACTGTAATTTACAAAAGAGTCATGATTAATGTTGGAGCATAGTAAAATTAAATACATCCCTATACTTCAACACAATATTTTAATATTTATATATAGTAAAATAACAGTTTGGCACTTAGCAGCTTTGTTGGTTATTGCATCCCATATTATGTGGCAAATTTATTTTATAAAACATTATCTAATTTCTGCAGTTATAGAGTCAATGAACTGAAATTAAAAAAAAAAAACACTATTTTTATAAAATGAATTTACCAAGTCATGCAGGTACTGATAATATTGCAAGAGGAACACATTCACTCCTAAATAATGAACTGTCTCCTTGGAGAGGCCTGGTGTAGACTGGAAAAAAAACTTTAAATATCAGAAATTAAAAAAGGAGAATTGCTGACGATCGTGGCTTTAACTGGATGTCAGTTACTGTTTTAATGTTCCCCAATTACAGCTGCTGAATGCCAAGGTACTGTTCTGTACAGGACATTTCACCAAAGCAAATTTAGTTTTTCAGCTATTTCCTTCCTCTAAAACTAATATCTAGTTGTAAAAAGAAAAATCTTCCTTTCTTTGCAGAGGCCACATAGTTTGCTTTCATTAAAAAGATCTCCACACTGTCACTACGAAAATGTGCAGACAACAGCTGACTGGTACACAAAACAATTCTGAATTTGGTTTTGACTGACATATTAAACATGATTGAATTACATGACTGTGCGGCACATCTGGCCTGGTGCCTCTGGCATATAAGATAAAAACCTTACACCTTCTCTTATCAGGTATCTTCTGGCTAAAATGGAGAGTTAATGTACCACACTCAACACTCTCTAGAACCCCATAGGCACAGCATCTTTCAGCAACTTTTGACGCATTGTACTGACTTCCAGCAGGTATAAGAAAAAAAATCACAGGTCACCCTTTTTTATGTCTATGGGTGGGAGAACGTAAGTGATGTTTTTCATATGCATGTTAATTGCATATAAACGTTCCATACAGGAAGTTTCTAGAAGAAATTCCTGTTCTCGACTTAAAACCAAAGGATACCTTTATACATGTGTTAATAAGACAAAATGCTGCTTCTTACAGCCATATTCCAAAAGGAAAAAAAAAACCTTTTTTTTAGAAAACAATTAAAAATGAAGTACTGTATATTAAATTGATTAGAAATTTGACATTGCATAAAATTCAATTTAGGAAGGAATCAAGCACTTTGAAGTCCCCGATTTCACACTAGGGTGGTGTAATTCAAGTGGAAAACAAAATATCTTACAAGATACGTTCCACGAACGAAAGACATTTTTCCCCCAATGAGAAGTGGGGTAAAGTGGGTTGAGGTGAGAATGAGAGATAGGAAAGGAGGGAAGGAGGAAAAGATTAATTTGCTCTACTATGAACAGAATGAAATTAAGTTGAGGTAGTTTATTCTACCAGCCAAACTTTACTCGTAACATAATTTGTCTAAAACTCTCACTAGTGAATGCCACTGGGAAACTTCTATTACAAAGACTAGATTCTTAACACAGATTCGCATTCTAAGACAAGTTTTCAAACCCTAAACAGTAGTAAACAAGACTTTGTGTGCTTTCAGACAGGTTATATGAAAAAGTTTCTGATCCCTATGTATTTTGTCTGGATAGCTTTTTTGTTTTTGCTTTTTTAGCCACAGCAGACCTTTATTATTTGTCTGACTCAGGTCTTTCTTTTATAAAATCTCCTACTCACTAATATCCTCATACTTAGAAAATGGTTTTGCTCATTGAGAAGGCAGAATGGCACTGCAGGAGACCCTTCCCGGCTCCACAGGTACTACCCCAGAAAGGATGCGTGACGTGTCTTGATCTAAGTCAACACAGAAGCGAGCAACTTCTTTCAGTTCACATGAGGGCTGCAACCTGACTCATCAATTTACTGAATCTTTACATTACTAAGATAAAGTTACAAAAGAGCAATTTTATCTTCATTTCAATTCATCATGATATAGTTTTAAAAAGATTCTTAGGACAGAGTACTAGGAATAAATGGAGACTAACTGGCATACAGTCCAATCTAACATTTTAGGCACAAACCTTAATTTGTTGGGCAGGGTTAGGCATAATATATCCTTCCAAGTGCAGTGGAAAAGCAGTCTTGGCATGTTTGGATATGTTGATTTGCATATACGGATTTTGTTTGTTACCAAAGCTACGTATTTGAATACAGCAGTCAGACATGAGTTCCCTTCAGGGAAAATGCACCTTAGTATTTTAACTTTGATATTTTACATGATAGCAATTCCCACTCCCTTTTCCTTTTGATATTTACTAGCCTCCCTAGCCTCCAACATCTACAGCCACATTTAACTGGAGGAACTCACTCCTCCCAGGTAGTTTTTCAACAGTTACGTGTTCTCCCAAACAAGAGCTAAAGCTCAAGTTTGTAAGCATCATAAAACCACCAAAGAGTTACCATACCAAAGCCCAGCACAGAGTGAGTTTCAGCTGCCATCTCTGCTCTCCCTTTCGGAGCTATGTTATGGTGCTCTTGGGTCAGGATCTCGC
Source organism: Homo sapiens (assembly GCF_000001405.40). Lineage (NCBI taxonomy): Eukaryota > Metazoa > Chordata > Mammalia > Primates > Hominidae > Homo > Homo sapiens. The sequence continues at coordinate 81,377,615 of NC_000016.10, read as the reverse complement.
ACTCTGCTCTGCTTCCTCCTCAAGGGGAATGAACACGAATACGGAATAAGCCTTGCTGAAGCTGCAGGCGGAAAAGCTTGCAATTCGCAATGCGTAAGGCTGCACATCCTGTACGGCGAAGGTCGGATGGAAGGAGTGGTTTAGTGTGGTGCCAGGTTCCTGTGCTTCTTTTAAACTCACGCACGTAGTCGTAATTGGTACCTAAGCCACAGAAATAAGCAAGGGTGAGAAAATGTACCCAGAATCACCAGGAAACAGTTCCAAGAAAATCACTGTAACACTCTTACCTGTATCAAGATCTCCAATAACATAAATACTGGCTCCTATAGGTACAGCTCCATAAACAAAAGAGGAACTGGCGGGGATGCATAAATTCTGGTCGTTAAGATAGATCCACCTGAAAACAAAGCCCATGCACAAAATTAAGGAAATCAAAAGGATGACAACAACATCTAGGAAGACTGACACAGCAAGCTTGGTGAGTCATCAGCAGTATCAGGCACTGTGCCAATCTCGACCCCACGTTCCACTGCCAGGTAACCACCGACATGCTGCCAGTCGCTACAGATAGGAGTTTTGTCTGTGCTAGAATGAAACATGTATTGAGTCATAAACAGCATGTGCTTTCCAACCTGCTTCTGCTCAGCACAAGGTTTCTGAGATTCATCCACACTGTTGTTTGCATCTGTCATTCATTTCTGTTTATTTCTAAGCAGTACTCCATCATACGGATGTACCAGAATTTGTTGGTTTTTCAGACAGGGCCTCCCGAGTGCAGTGGCACAATTATGGTTCACTGCAGCCTCAACCTACCAGTTCAGGTGATCCTCCCACCCCAGCCTTCCAAGTAGCTGAGATTACAGGTGTGCACCACCACATTCAGCTAATTCCTGTGTGTGTGTGTGTGTATGCGTGTGCATATATATACACATATACACATATGTATATACACACATATATACACACATATATACACACATATATGTATGTATATATACATATACATACATATAATATATACTTATACATACATATATACACATATACACATATATATGTATATGTGTGTATATACATATACACATATATGTATACACACACACATACACACACACACACACACACACACACACACACACACACACACACATATGTATGTATAAAGATGGGATATTGCCATGTTGCCCAGGCTGGTCTTGAGCTCCTGGGCTCAGGTGATCTGCCCACCTCAGCATCCTAAAATGCTGTATAACAGGCGTAAGCCACAGAGTCCAGCCCCAGAATTTGTTATTCATTCACCTGTTGACGTTCCAGTTTTTGGCTGTTATGAATAAGGCTGTCAGGAACATTAGAGAGCAAGTCTTTTTTGCGGACTTATGAAATTGCTGGGCTATATGGTAAGGTTATTGTTTACTGGAAAAAAAAAAAGTGCCCCACTGCTTTCCAAAGCTTTGTGCCATAATTTTGCACTCCAATTAGCAATGCATGAGAATTCCAACTGCTCAGTATCACTGTGAGATCTGAGTATTATATTTTTAATTTTGGCTACTTTAATGGCGTATACTTCCCTGAAGACCAATGATGTTGAGCATCTTTGCCTGAGCTTATTGGTCATTTTATGGAATTTTTTTTTTTTTTTTTTGAGACAGGGTCTTACTCTGTCACTCATCCAGGCTGGAGTGCAGTGGTGCAATCACAGCTCACTGCAGTCTCAACCTCTTGGACTCTAGTGATCCTCTCACCCCACCCTCCCAAATAGTTGGGACCACAGGTGCACACCACCACACCCAGCTAATGAATTTTTTTTTTTTCCATAGAGATGAGGTCTCACCATGCTACCCAGGCTGATCTCAGGTTCCAGGGCTCAAGTGATCCTTCTGTCTTGGCCTCCTAAAGTACTGGGATTGCAGGTGTGAGCCACCATACCCAGCCCCATTTTATGTTCTTTTATAAAATGTCTGTTTAAAGGTTTGCTCACTTTAAAACTGGGGGCCAGGTGTGGTGGCTCAAGTCTGCAATCCCAATACTTTGGGAGGTTGAGGCAGGTGAATCACTTGAGCCCAGGAGTTCAAGACCAGCTGGGCAACATGGCGAAACCTTGTCTTTACAAAAAATACAAAAATTAGCCAAATGTGGTGGCATCTGTCCCAGCTACTCAGGCTGAGGTGGGAGGATTGCTTGAGTCAAGGAGGTCAAGGCTGCAGTGAGTTGAGATCATGCCACTGCACTTCAGCCTGGGCAAAAGTGAGACCCTGTCTCAAAAAAAAAAAAAAAAAGATAAATTAAAAAAAAAAAAAAGGACGTAGCAAGACTGTCTCTAAATTTTTTTTTTAATTGGGTTTACTGTCTTCTTCTTATTCAATTGTCAGATTCTTTATATCCTGTGGATATAGATACTTTGCTAGATAAATGTATTATGAATATTTTTTCCCAGCATGTAGGTGGCCTTTTCATTTTCCTAATGGACTCTTTTGAAGAACAGAAGTTTTTAATTTTGATGAATTCCAATATATCCTTTTCTTCTTTTACAGTCACAGTTTCTGTGTCATTCTAAAAAATCTTTGCCTACCCCAATACGAAGATTTTTCTCCTATGCTCTCTTCTGGAACTTTTAGTTTTATCTTTTACATTTAGGTCTATGATACATTTCAAGTTAATTTTTTGGGTCTGACATGAATCACAGTTCACTTTCTTCCATACAGATAGCTAGCTGTTCCAGCACCATTTGCTAAAGGCTTTTCTTTCCCCCACTAAATTGCCTTGGCACCTCTGTTGAAAATCAATTTAATAACCACTAAAAGGATTTGAGGCTCTATGAAGAAGTGCTTGATCCCAGAGCTGAGGCAGAGAAAATACAAGAGGGGCCTGGGGCATCCTGTCGTGCCAGATAGGAAGTGCTTAAAAAAGGATGGGGGTGTGTCAAAGGACACGGAAGCCACAGTGAAGCAGCTACTGACAGCCGAGGCTGGAACTATGTGAGCAAGAAAATCAATAATGATGGTGCTGGATTTATAACTCAGGAAATAAAATAAATATCCATGAATCCATATACTATAAATAATTGGAAAACATTAACAGGAAAAAGGGACAGGTTTCCTTTACCGAAAAATTCCAATTAATAAATGCAGAAGGAATGACGGGAACAAAATCATCATCAGGCAAACACCACAGTAATGACTTCTGCAGGCTAGGTCTACCAGTGGATGCTCAAATGAGTGCTTGACAGTTTCAGGAGAAAATCGTTTTGCAAATTCTCGAATGATCTCCACAAAAGTATTTAATAATTACAACAAGAAAATCAGTTAACTTTCCAGTGGAGAAATCTAACAGATACCACCTTAACCAAGTCATCAAGGTTAATGTCACCAGCAATAAGGCACATCAACGTGTTCTCCCTGATATGATGCAGAGAAGTGTGTAATATGACTTCTGTGGTATTGCCAAACTGCATAACCTCAGTCTAATTGCAAGAAATCATTAGATCAATCCAAATTAAGAGATCCTACAAAAAAATAACGAACCAATAACCTTCAAGAGGATGAAGGTCATGAGAGTCAAGGAAAGAATGAACCACCTGCTGAGTGCAGTGGCTCACGCCTGTAATCCCAGCACTTTAGGAGGCCCAGGCGGGTGGATCACGAAGTCAAGAGATCAAGACCATCCTGGCCAACATGGTGAAACCTCATCTCTACTAAAGATACAAAAATTAGCTGGGCATGGTGGCACGTGCCTGTAGTCCCAGCTACTTGGGAGGCTGAGGCAGGAGAATCACTTGAACCCAGGAGGCGGAGGTTGCAGTGAGCTGAGATCGCGCCATTGCACTCCAGCCTGCTGACAGAGCAAGACTCTGTCTCAAAAAAAAGAATGAAGAACTATCACAGATTAAAGGAGTCTAAGCAAACACAGTATCTGAATGCAAGGTAGAATCCTGGATTGGATCTGGAAACCGAGAAAAAAGACATTAGAGTAAAAGCTGGTGAAACTCCAGTAAGTCTGTAGTTTACTTAATAATTTTGGACAACATAAATATCCTGGTTTTGATGCTTGTACTACGGTCATGTAAGATGTTAACACTAGGAGAAGCTGATTGAATGGCTTATGGAAATGGGAACTCTTTAACTATTTCTGCAACTTTTCTACAAGTCTACAGTATTATTCCAAAATAAAAGTTTTTTATTTCTTTTTCTTAAAGAGTAAATCTAGACCCTGCTATGTAATAATAATGTTCCCTCAGGGTAATGTAAATGAACAATTGTCTGTTAATAGCTAACAGGCATAGCCAGGTCACAGTGGACTTCAGGAGGACCTTGGGAATGCATCTAAATGGTCTTAAGAGTTACCAAGGTCCAGGCCTACCCTCACTGGAGCACACAGTCATATGGTCATCACTCCATCATCCCTACTCTATGCTGTGAAGCAGCCAGGGCATCTCAATGTCAAAGAGAAATGTACAATTATTTCCTGAAGAACACCATTTTTATTTCAATGAATACTCTTCCTAGACTCTTCTAAGGCAGGTGGCTTCCACATTTTGAATTCCAATAAACACAAAAGTCTAATGACCACAGAACAACTCAGAAACAAAGCTAAGCACCATGTTTCTAAAGCCGTTCATCTACATTTGATTCAACTAACATCTGAATGTTGATGGGTGTCAGGTAGTCTGCTGGGACTGGGATACAGATTTTGGCCCCTGCCTCCCAAATGCCTCCAATAAAATGGAAAAGGGAAAAATCTAAAAGCTTGTGCTGAAAGTGAAAATGGAGGCCCTGAACACACCTTTGAAAGATAATGTTTGAAAAACATCAAACTACAATACTGGTTTATTCACATTTCACGTCTTCAGGCCTAAACATAAATAACTACATCTCGGCATTTAAGTTCTTCCCAGATTCTGAATGAAACCAACCAACATAGTTCATCCCCGGAATGACTGTATTAACCTAAGAAACTGGACTACATAGATGATCTACCAGGTTTTGTCCCAAGCACATCAATGATTCAGTTCCTGGGTTTCAGAAAAATACGCGTAGGTGATCTATTTTAGGTAAAGACAAGGCTTCAAATGAAACAGAACTAATTTGAAAATTTAACTGAATCACATCTTCAGGTGTTGCTGCTTATAAAACAGGTATAAAAGGCCATGAGGTTTTACATGTCATTTATCATCTCACCGACCCTGAACAATTTAGCTATCCTAGCCTGCTTCCTCATCTGTCGAGTGAGATACCAGATACCATCAACAACCTCAAATGACTGTTGTGAGGATGAAATGAATATCAATGTAAAGTATTTTGCATAGTTTCTAGTACTTACAAGGTATCATTAAACGATACTAATTTTTGCAATGAACAAGGCAATATCATGTCTTCAGTTATAATGTTTTCAAACGGGCTTGTCAGTACATGGGGGCTATAATGATGCACCCTCTGGTAACTCAGAATTAAGACTGCCCTGAGTCTGAAGCTTTAAAATACAGCATGGATTACAACAGTGAACTTCAGAGACAGGGAAGTAGAAGGGGAATGACAGGAAAGGAGAGAGGAAGAGAGCTATAGAGGAAAAGAGGGCAATCAATTGAGGAGAAAGGAGAGGAGGAAAGAAAAAGAGAGCTGTAGTGAGGCGTCTGCTTCCAGTATGGCAGAAGTAACTCTTAACAAATGGCTCCTCAGTTGCTCCAAGTGTCAGCCGTAAACTCTGGACAAACTACAACTACCTGAGCACTCTGGAAACTGAAGAAAAGCAGGTAGATTCTGGAAAGAAATGGAAAGTTAATTGAGCAAGCAACCCATATGGACTAAGTTTCCTGTTTCTTGGTAGCTTTCTCTGAAGGCAGCCTCACTGGGGCAGCTCTGGATAGCTAAACCCCTAGAGAAAATATGGCCATCTTTCTGGCTACAGGACTCAGCAATCAGGAAAAGGGGTCTTGGGGCAACCAGGATCTCCAAAGTGTGGTGGAGAACCTGAGAAAGAGGAGAGGTAGAGAAGCACCCCTCAATTTGTGCGCATCCACTCATCTCAAGTCTTCAACTAACCCTGGAACCATCTATGCTTATGACCGAGGCTTCGAGAACTGGACTGAGATTTCAGCTGCCACCCATGGCAGGTGGCACAGCTTGCAATTTAAGTCTAACCAAGTCAATTGCTGACTAAAACTCAGAGCAACACTCTAAAGCAATATAAGAAAATTCAAAGCTTCAAAAACATAATAGTAACCATATCCAGGATTCAGTCCAGAACTCCTCAACAGAAGAAGAGCCAGAAAAATTAGAACCCATTTCTCAAGGGAGCAAACAATCAATAGACGCCAACTCTTGAGATGACTCAGATACTGGAATTAACAGGCAAGGACTTGAACACAACTACCACAGTGATGCTCAGTAAGGGAAAGGAAAATATGCTTGTGATGGAAAGATAGGAAATTTCAGCACAGAAAATTTAAAAACCTAAAAACAAAGTACACAAACATTTTAGAATTACTAACATAAATAAATAACTAACATAAATTTGAAATAAAAAATTCACTGGATGGAAATAACAAAAGAAAGCAGCAGCAAACAAGACAGAGCAACAGAAACCATCCAATCTGAAGAAGGAAAAATGATACTGCAGACTGAATGGTCATGAAAATAAAACATATCAGCATGTCCAGCTAGAGTGGTGCTCTGTGGAAAGTTGAAGGCTTTCATGGTGTGCCTTAGAAAAGCAAAAGATCTACCATAAGTAATCTAGAATTCTACCTGAAGAAGCTAGAAAAGAGTAAAAGAAACCCAAAGTAAGTAAAAGGATGGAAGTAATATAGATGAGTGTAGGAATCAATGAAACAGAAAATACTAGGGAGAAATGAACCCAGTGTAGAAGCTGGTCTTTTGTTCACAGAGGGTGCAGACTGGCAAGGCCAGGGGCCAAAGGGCCACTATGCCGCTGTCGGCTGCCTTCCTCTCACTCCTCCTGTGCTTGCTCCTACCAGCATGCAGGAGACCAGGGGTGCACACTCTCCAGCGGCCTCAGCACACACACTTCCAATGGGATGAATCTCAGCCCTGTGGGATGGGGAAAATACTTCCTGATTTGTTCCTTCCTTGGGTGTTTTCCCTCTGCCCTAAAGGTAGCAGCTGTGCTTCCTACATTAGCTATTTCTACAGTTTTCAGAGTCCTCTTTTCCCACTTTTAGCAGCTGTCTCTTACTAGTGGTAATTACATATATTACATTTTCCCTGTTCAAAAGACTGGTGTGGTTTTTGCCACTTGACTGGACCATGACTGAAACAGATGTGGTTGGGGGTGGGGTTCATCTTTTATCCTCTAGTTCACACGTCTTACAAAGGCATCTGAAAGTACCTGTTTCTTCCTAACCATAAGATACAAACAGCACAATGTGGTCAGTGGGGTAGACCAGTGAGATGTTTTGTGGAACATCATGATGATTAAAATCTCTGTGGACTAATATACAGCCGACATTAGCCCATTATATATTAGTTGATACAGCCCTGAGGCAAGGCTGTGGAGGCATACTGTTGCCCCTGACAAGTAAAAGCAAACTGCTTCTGGTGACCCTTGCAAATTGGTATGAAGAAAATACATTAGCTATGTCAACGGCTGCCATACTAAGGTTGGGAACTGTGCCTCATAAAGATACAACATTTGTGTGAGGATATTACGTCTGGGAAAGAATTTGGGATCAGTATGATCACCTGATTAAGTTTATGAAAACTTTCTCTGTGTGCATTAAAAAAGCAAAACATCGGCTGGGCGCGGTGGCTCATGCCTGTAATCCCAGCACTTTGGGAGGCCGAGGCGGGCAGATCAAGAGGTCAGGAGATCGAGACCACGGTGAAACCCTGCCTCTACTAAAAATTAGCTGGGCGCGGTGGCGGGCGCCTGTAGTCCCAGCTACTCAGGAGGCTGAGGCAGGAGAATGGTGTGAACCCGGCAGGTGGAGCTTGCAGTGAGCCGAGATCACGCCACTGCACTCCAGCCTGGGCAACAGAGTGAGACTCCGTCTCAAAAAAAAGCAAAAGATCTACCATGAGTAATGTAGAATTCTACCCAAAGAAGCTAGAAAAGAGTAAAAGAAACCCAAAGTAAAAGGAAAACCTAAAAACAAGCTACACAAACATTTTAAAATTGATAACATGTTTGAAATAAAAATTTTCCAAGATTTTCCGAGATCCACTTTACTTTTCTACTTTTTCTAGGTGAATTAAGTGGGGATGTGATAGGCATCACCTCTCCTGCATTTTCTACTCTTTCATGGTGGCATGGTTTTTGCAGATTCACCCAGGATGCAGTATTGTTTCTGGTTTTCTATTTTGGTAGGGAAGCAGAGCTCCGGGGACTTCCACTTAGCCCTTGTTGTCATGGTGGCTCCCAATCCATGTGTCAGAGAACCAGCATGGTGATTTTGCCAGTTGTCAAGTATGTCTATTCTAGTTATATATTCAGGAATCAAAAGAGGAAACTGACAGATCTCAACTTCAAAGAACAGTTAATTTAACTTATATACTGTAAAAAATTAAAGTAGAGGGGCATCTAGGCTAAGCGAATGCACGGAGGCAGTAAAACACAAGAGGATTTAAAAAGTGAGCTGGAGTATACGATATGTGAAAGAAAGATACTAAAAAAGGGTGAAACTTTTTCTTAACCTCAAATCATGGAGAACCCTGAGTAGGTGGCTAAGAACTATTACCTTTGTTTAGTAAGCAGTGGGAAACAGTCAAGAATTCTGAGAAGGGCAATCAAAAACTCTGAGCAAAAAGGTATGTGCCACTATGCCTGGCTGATTTTTGTCAGGTTCATCTTTCAAAACCACAAATAAGTAACTGCACTGGCAAGGCTGGCCAGAGGCTAATGACACTACACAGATGCAGGAATAACTGTGAGGGTAGCAGCGGGGCAGGGAAGGTGGGAAATGTGAAAAATGCTACCAAGATTTAAAAAAGGACCAGACCTGGCAACTGATGAGTTGCAAAGTACAAGACAGAATTCAAGATGATTCCCTTTTCTGAGACAGGGTCTTGCTCTGGCACTCAGGATGGAGTGTAGTGGCACGATCATGGTCTACTGCAGCTTCCACCACTTCCCAGGCTCAAGTGATCCTTCTGCCTCAGCCTTCCAAGTAGCTGGGACCACAGGCGTGGACTACCATGTTCAGCTCATTTTTGAATTTTTTCAAAATTCATAGAGACAAGGTCTCACTATGTTACTCAGGGTTGTCTTGAACTCCTGGGCTCAAGGGATCCTACCACCTGGGTCTCCCAGAGTTCTGGGATTATAGGTGTCAGCCACTGTGCCAGCCAAGATGACCCTTTTTTGAACATGGATGACTGGGAGGATAGTAGTGTTACTAACAGAATATGGACACAAGGAACAGAAATAGAGAAACCGTCATTCTGGGTATATGAAGCTGTTGCTCTGGCTTGGTAATACTTTATGGCAATTTCTTTGCTTTCCTTTCAAGCAGTTTTGCTTTTATTCAGAAAAACAGAAAAGAATAAGATATGGCTTTTTTCCCAGAAAGTTTTAACCTAAAAATAGGGAACAAAGACAGGAAAGACAAGAGATTACTTAAAAACAATCGACATGGTCTCCAATCAAATATGGACTGCTCATCCGGCAACTACAGTTTCCACACTATGCCAATATAACACATTTGCGTCTGATCTTTTAAGAAATAAACTACTCCTACATGTTATTTTGTTCTATCGATAGTTATAGGAAAGCCTATATTTTTAAGTCAATCTAGCGTGGTAGTTGAAAAGGTGGACTCTGGGGCCAGAACGCCTGAGTTCAGATCCCACCTCAGCTTCTTGCTCCTTGTGTGTCTGTGGGCACACCGCTCACCCTTTCCTCATATGGAAAATAGGAATAGTAACAGTACCTACATGCGCTTCAGAGTGCTGTTTTGAAGATTAAATACATGGCATTTGGTGTTATATGTGTGTTTAATGTTATCTAAACATGTTAGAATCTTATATTGGTAAGATAAATTAACAGCTTTCTTCATTCTATTTACAAACATCAGAGAGCTTAGAAATAAGGAACTGAATATACATTAATTTTATTTGGAAGTGCTCTTATTTATTTAGAGACAGGGTCTCGCTTTGTTGCCCAGGCTGGAGTGCAGTGACACAATCTCGGCTCACTGCACACTCCACCTCCTGGGTTCAACCAATTCTCATGCCTCAGCCTTCTGAGCAGCCAGGACTACAGACACGTGCCACTATGCCTGGCTAATTTTTTTTTTTGTACTTTTAGTAGAGACAGGGTTTCACCATGTTGGCCGGGCTGGTTTTGAACTCCTGGCCTCAAGTGATCTGCCCGCGTCGGCCTCCCAAAGTGTTGGGATTATAGCCTGGAGCCAGTGCACCTGGCGAGAAGTGCTTTTAAACAGCAAAGAAGGAACCACAGTCTTACGTTTAATTATTATGAACTTAAAGCAAGTGATAGTTATATTAAAAGCTTATCCAGTACAAATATGTAACAACCTGATAGGCCAGGTGCGGTGGCTCATGCCTGTAATCCCAGCACTTTGAGAGGCTGAGGCGGGCGGATCATTAAGTCAGGAGTTCGAGACCAACCTGGAAAACATAGTGAAACCCTGCCTCTACTAAAAATACAAAAATTAGCCAGGCATGGTGGCATGCGCCTGTAGTCCCAGCTACTTGGGAGGCCGAGGTGGAAGAATCGCTTGAACCCGGGAGGCAGATGGTGCAGTAAGCCGAGATCACGCCACTGCACTCTAGCCCGGGCGACAGAGCGAGACTGTCTCCAAAAAAGAAAGAAAGAAAAAAAAAGACTTCATCCCTTGGGCAATCAGCCCTCCCAGTCATGTATCAAGGAAGGAAAAATGTAGAGAAGTCTGAAAATCTGCCCCTACCACAGCAAGTATTCTCTAAACTGCTCTCTAATAAATTTTCCTAAGATAGTCTATTCCTGTAATTGAAAAAAAAGGCTATGCAAATACCCTAAATTTAAAATACATGTTAGGCAGCATTTACATGCATTTGCAGCATCTTTGTAACTGCTCACTGCGTGCCCTCATCTAAAACAGCATGAAATTAAACATTATGTTATGGCACCCTCTTCTGGTAGCACGACTGAACTACTCTAATAAAATTACGTTTAGCACAGCAATTTCCCCTTAGGATTTAAACATATTACTGCAATAAGAATACTGCTCAGTGGTTACAACAATAAAATGTGTGAGGAAAGAGAGAAGACATCGAGAAGGATGTTATCTACCCTACAAGACATACGTGGCACTTGTCAGAGGTTTTAAGAATCTCAGAAATCAAGCCTCAGCCACTTAATCAACATTTTACTAAGCATCTGATACAGACAGGTAGGATGCTGGAAGCCAGGATACAGAGCTGACGAAGGTGGACCTTGCCCTGAAGTTGCTTGCAGTTAACAGCTACAACCCCAGAGACTTGTCTGGAGGGCATGGAATCATAGATGAAGGGATAAAAAATCAGACTAGGAGGCATGAGAAGGCTTTCTCTAGGTTTTGATAACTAAGCAGTTTTGAAAAAGGCCAAGCTAACTGGATGGACAGCGGGAAGGGAGCTTTTAGGCAAGTAGCAGCAATACGAACAGAGCTGAGACAACCACACATGTTTGCAGGGGAAAGTGGCTCGGTATAAAGTATCTGGGTCAGTAGCAGAAAAAGCAAAGGCCATATCACAAAAGGCTATATATGCTAAGTTAAGGAGTTTATTTATTTTTCTTTGGAGAACAGGGTCTTGTTATGTGGCCCAGGCAAATCTCTAACTCCTGGGCTCAAGCAATCTTCAGTTTCTACCTCCCTAAATGTTGAGACTACAGGTGTGAGCCACCATGCCCAACAAGTTAAGGAGTTTTAAACTTTTTCCTAAAAGCTATAGGGAGCCAATAAATGATTTTAAGCAACTAAGCGTCAAGATCTCATCTACATATTAGAGATATTTTCTATTTGCAGACATTTTAAGTTACTAGCACTTGTGAAGTCACTGAATAAATATCTAGTATGCATGAGACGTTATCTCCTAAATCCATAATTTAATAAAGTGACTGAAAACAAAACTAAACAAAGCTAAAATACGACTGAAAGCACAAAGAAAAAGTTGCAGTAGCTATGTGAAACCATTCTTAGTTACCTTTTAAACTCATCATGGTAGAACTCGGACTTGCAAGTTACCATCTCGCTACCCTGGGCGTCCTCACGACTTCGGACTCCCCCAAACACATACAGCTCCATAGCAACTCCACAGGCCACCGCTCCAAACCTGAAAGGCCACACACAGCGTTATCAGGCACAAGCTGTACAATGCGAGATCTCACTCCCGCGTTCCTCTTATGCTGGTTTAACTCTGCAGCATTACTACGTGGGCCTTCCTTTCTCAGGAAATGCCAAGTCAAAGAAAAGGTTACTCTGAAAGAAAAGAACAAAAGCCAGGCAGGGTAAGGGGCTCCAGACCCAGTGAACAGCAAGGGAATCTACAAAGTCCACCCCACAGCCACGTACCTCCTCTCTTTTAGTGGACATATGGCAGTCCACTGCTGGGTCCTGGGATCATAACACTCTACAGACTCAAAAAGCTTTCCGTAGGAGCCTCCACCCATGGCGTAGATTTTCTTTTTCATAGCTGCATAGCAGCCGATCTGAAAGCAGAGAACAATGGTGGGGGAGAGGCAACATTTCTCATTCAGGTCAGGTGAACAGATATTAAACTGTCTGGGCCATACTTAAAGAGATTTAGGAAGGGGTTTGATTTCTAACCGTAAAACGATGGTGCTTTTCAGTATTACAACACCGGACTTTAAAATGAGAAGAGCAAAGTAAGACACATATTCTTAATCTTCAGAAAAGGAGCTCTTACTCCAACTGATACTATTTCACTAACTGAAAGAAGTTCAAAAGCCTCATTTTTATTTATTTATTTATTAGAGACAGGGTCTCGTTCAGTTGCCTTGGCTGGAGTGCAGTGGTGCCATCATAGTTCACTGCAGCTTCAAACTCCTGGGCTCAACAGATCCTTCCGCCTCAGCCTCCTGGGTAGCTGGGACTACAGGTGCACAGCACTGTGCCCGGCTAACTTTATTTAAAACTTTTTTGTAGAGATGGGGGATCGCTTCAGCCTAAGAGTTCAAGACCAGCCGGGGCAACATAGTGAAACCCTATCTCTACTTAAAAAAACAAAAATTAGCTGGGTGTGGTGGTGCACACCTGTAGTCCCAGCTATTCAGTAGGCTGAGGTGGGAGGATTGCTTGAGGCAGAAAGAGGTTGCAGTGAGCCAAGATGGCGCCACCGCACTCTAATCTGGGCAACAGAGTAAGACCCTCTCTCAACAACAAAAGGAAAGAGAGAGAGAGAGTAAGAGAGGGAAAGACAGAAAGAAAATAGGTTGGGAAGATGTGGCTGCTGCACCATTTGCACACTCAAATGTGGAGCTTGACACACAGCGGTGCTGCACAGGGCCCACAAGCAGGATAAACTCTCACACACGCTCACTTTCCTATCTTGGTGTGTGGCTGATGACAGTGAAGGCAAACTACCGATAAAGAGAGTTCTATAAAGTTAATTCTTTTAACACCATCAGTTATATTAAAGGTTTATTCAGGATATGAAGACACATTAAGTTTAAAATCCAATGTGTACACAGACTAGTTATCACAAAATGCAGTCCTCACCTTTCTGACCATGGTCAAATCAGGTTGCTTTGTCCAGGTTTTAGAATAAATATCGTAACACTCCATGGAAATCAGCTCCTTTTCACCATCCTCTCCTCCCAAAATGTACAGCATCCCATCTATCTCCACAATTCCGAAGTTATGTCTTGCCTGAAATTACATTAGCGATCCCTGAACACACAAGGCCAATGATCATATTGAAAGCTGATATTCATACACTTAATAAAAATTAGAGAAACATAAAGATGGCAAAAATAGACAATGGGGACTCCTAGAGCAAGGAGACAGGGAGAGGAGCAAGGGCTGAAACACTAACTATTGGGTACGACGCTTGGTACCTGGGAGACTGGATTAATCTTACTGCAAACCTCAGCATTATGCAATATACACACATAACAAACCTGCACATGTATCCCCGAGTCTAAAATAAAAGTTGAAACTATTTTTAAAAATTAGAGAAATCTTTTTTCCCAGTGTTCCAGCATGGAAGTACCACGTTCAAAACCATTTCTCCGGTAATGCTTCTTAAAGATTTCTGGCTTCCCTAACAGCCCACTCTTCCAGCACAACAGCCAGAGAGGCCAAAGCCACTTCTCAAAACAAACTTAAGAAATACATGGTGAGTTCATCAGAAAATCCTCACTTTTTAACCCATAATAGCTCACAACAAGAAAATGAACTGTTACCTCTGGTTCAATACAATTATTTTTGCATAACAAAGGGCAGTGTTTTCAAGTTGACGTGGGAAAGGCTAGTATAAACTATGGCAGAAAGGGCTGTGGAGGACAGGGTCAGGCCAAGGCTATTTGGGATCATAGAAGCCCTAGGTGTTTCATGTCCGTTTGTCAATGAATATTTATGTAGTAAACCCTACGTGCCAAGCACGATTCTAGTGCTGAAAATGAAATACTGACCAGAACACATGTAATTCTCTGCCATCAAAGAGCTTATGTGAAAAACTTTAAATGCCTGGTCCGTGAGATGGTGAGACGTCGTACGAAGACGGGGACAGGAAAGCTAAGAGGCAGGAGGGAGGCCCGCTGAGAAGGTGCTGCGAGGAGGGGGCAGGCCACGCTGGCATCTGCACAGGGCAGGATAAATGTGAAGGCTGGGGTGAGGGCATTCCTGGAAGATTTCAGAAACTCATGGAGGCCAGAAGGAGTGAGGGCCAGGAAGGGGAGGAGAGCCGGGCACTAGAAGGAGAGGTTGGAGCGAATGAGGCAGGTGGCTTGACAAGGCTGCCGTTTCTTCCCTGAACTCAGACACAAAACAAACAGAAGCGCTAAGGGGAAAGAGAAACACATCAAACAAACCAACCAACTAGTGTTTTACCTCGTTCATAGGTGGCAATGCTGTCCATGTATTTGCATCTGGATCATACTTTTCTCCTGAGCTAAGAGTCTGCTTATTTTCATCTTGGCCCCCGAATACAAACAAAAATCCTTCTGCAAAGATCAAAGGAAACACAAATATGAAATGTGAGTCTTCAACACCCATAAACGCCACAGCATATATAGAAACAGCATCTGAAGAAACTCTCTGATGACAACAATGTTCTCTTTGGATTCAGGGCTTTTATCACATCCCATTGGATCCTTGGTGATGGAGCCAAACCATCACTTTGACCATTTTGCTTTACTCATTACTGTCTTTGAGGGGATTTCCACCACCCTACAATGAAAAAGGAAGCCTGGCGTCACCCGCTCAGTCACCAGGCAACTCTGGGCCATCTCAATTCATCTCTTCTGTTCCCTCTCAGCCTCTGGGATTCTCATACAACTTTTGCACCGCAGCGCACATCTGTTCATTCTAGACCCCAGGAATACCCAGATCTGAGGCATCCGTGTGCACTTTCTATTCAAAACAGGATCTAAGAGCAACTGAACTTCCGATTTCATGTAATGGCGTATTAGGTTATTCTTCTGCAAAAAACAATTTGCTGGATAAAACATTTAAAAAATAATCTTAGCCGGGTGGTGGTGGCTCAGCACTTTTGGAAGCCAAGCTACAAGGACTGCTTGAGCCCAGGAGGTTCATAGGAGGCAACACAGCAAGACTTCATCTCTACAAAAAATAATGAAATTAGCCGGGCATTGTGGTATTTGTCTATAGTCTCAACTACTCAGGAGGCTGAAATGGGAGGATCGCTTGAGCCCAGGAGTGTGAAGCTGAAGTGGGCTGTGATCATGCCATTGTACTCCAGCCTGGGCAACGAAGTGAGATCTTGTTTCAAAAATAACAACAATAATAATCTTCTTAGAAGAGGAGAAGCCAACAAGATAACAAGGCAAAACTGAAGGGAAAATTAGGACCTACAGAGGTTATCAAGCATGAAAACCATTTTACACTGAGGGCATTTCTAATCTAGGAAAATTTAAACCTTTTGTCCTGGGGATGAAAAAGACAGAAGTTTAAGCTCCAGGTCCACAGAAAACGTGGCTTCTGGCAGGAGATCCTCTCCAAAGTTCTACACTGTCAGGATGAAGGCCAACCAGAATTCGTACTCAGATTTAAATCTCCTTGCTATCTGGGAAATCATGAGCCTTGAACTTAACTTACAGTTAATACCAAATTAGTAGTGTTTTCAGTCAACTGGCAGAAACAAATGCAAAACTTCTGTAGAAGGACCTTAATCTAAGCCTTAGATTCTAACATCCCAGGACATCTAAGGCAGAAAGTTATTGCTACAAATAATTTTTTTTTGATTTTTTTTGTTTTTTAAAGACAGTCTTGCTCTGTCGCCCAGGCTGGAGGGCAGTGGTGCAATCACAGATCACTGCAACTTCTGCCTCCTGGGTTCAAGCGATTCTCCTGCATCGCCCTCCTGAATATCTGGGATTACAGGCACATGCCACCACATACCCAGCTACTTTTTGTACTTTTAGTAGAGATGGGGTTTCACCATGTTGGCCAGTTGATTTCAAACTCCTGACCTCAAATGATCCACCCGCCTCAGCCTCCAAAAGTGCTGGGATTATAGGTGTGAGCCACTGCGCCCGGCTGCTACAAATAATGTTTAATAAATGAGCAGCATGCAGCCACAGATATCAGACATACCAAAAATTAGACTCTAAGAAAAGACCAGCAGAAGCAGATCATAGGAAGTAGTCTTGCAAAGATTTCAAATATTATAGTAACCAGAAAGATGATTTTTTTCAAGTTGGGTGATGAAGAATAAAGTCTAAAATTTATTTAAAAAACAAAGATAATTTAAACAAATGCTTATCATGTTTAAAAAATAAAAATTAACTGGAAGATAACTCCAGGTAACAGGGAACTATAGAAATAAGAGAGGATTTGAAGGTAATGGTGGATTAAGTTATTCTCCTGTAAAAAGACAAGAATTTGTAGAAATTAAAAAAAAAAAATCAATGGATAAATGTAATAGCAGATTAATCAGAGTTAAGGAGAAAAGAAGATAAATCAAAAGATAATAATCAAGAAAACAGCACAGTGAGACAAAAAGATGGAAAATAATAAGAAAATTTTAAATACACACCAGAGAAGAGATTTTTTAGACTTGCCACTGACTTCACAACAATGGAAGGCAGAAGTCAGTGGAATGACTTCAATGTGCTGAAAAATGATAAATACCAAAGCTGAAATGCTATACTCAGCAAAAATATCCTTTACGAATGAAGACAAAATAATGACATTTGCAGGCAATCAAATCTGAGAGTTGTCCACCAAAAGACCCATATTAAAGGAAATTCAAAAGGATGAACTTCAGAGAGAAGGGAGATGATCCTAGGTGGAAAGTCTGAGGAGTTAAGAAGGAAGAACGAAGAAAGTGGCAAATCTAAATGAACACTATCTACCTACCTACCTGCCTGTCTATCAATCATCTATCTACCTATCTGTCTGTCCATCCATCTATCCATCCATCCATCCATCCATCCATCCATCCATCCATCCATCCATCCATCCAACATATATCAAAAAAAGACATATTGTGTATATAGTAGCTACCCCTTATCTGAAGTTTTGGTTTCTGTGGTTTTATCACCCATGGTCAACTGCAGTCCGAAAATAGGTGAGTTCAGTAAAGTAAGATATTTTGAGAGAGACCACATTCACATAACTATTACAGTATATTGTTATCGTCGTTTTATTATCAGTTATTGTCGTTAATCTTTTACTGTGCTGAACTTAAACTTTATCATGGGTATGGATGTATAGTAAAAACACACAGTATGTACAGGGTTCAGCACTATCTGTGGTCTCAGACAACCACTCGGGGGTCTTGGAATGCATCCCTCATTGATAAGGGGGATCTACTGTACATATTTATTAGTGATAATGCATTTTAAAACTGTAAGAGTATGGAAAATGGAAAATGAAGAAAAACTCTCCTGAAGAGAACACAGGTACTGACTAACTTTGGACTTTGCTAACTTAATACAGGCTGTAATTTCTAAGGTAATCTTCCTAAAGGACTATTAACAAGAATGTAAGTCCCAAACTGGTAGAGAAGAAAAATTGAATGACAAAAAAACAGTCAAAATCAATTTTTAAAAAGGCAAAAAAAAAAAAAAAAACAATGCAGCCTGGACAAACGGAAGGACCTCCTCAATCACTCACTTCTGTTTCCATCAATTCCACTGTACACAGTCGCTCCTTCCATTGCTGGGTTTCTGAAACACCAATCCCTCTAGCAAACTTTCAAATATTAGTCATATAGGAGCCTTTGTGACAGACGTGTATGTGTGAAAATTAGGAATATGTGTATATATTTTGGGGGAAATGTAAGGGAGCTAATTCTGAGAAGATGCAACAGGGAAACTAGACCTACATCCTGCAGGCTATACTACTCTGTCCAGCTCTTCACTACTGACAATAACTAATAATTTTGGGACTCATAAAATGACTCCACTTCTATACTATGGTAGAGCCTTGGCCATTTGTATGATGCACTGTGGTACAGTATAGCTTTAAAAATATTATAGCCTGGGCAACATTGCAAGATCCCATCTCTAAAAAGAAAAATAAAATAAAAAATAAAATTTTAAAGATAATGTTGCTGGGCAAGCAAACACAATTAAATAAGGACTGCAGGAGGGCTGCTGACCACAATTAGGATGACATGAGATGACACTTATCAGGTGGACAAGGGAGCAGGACCACGGCGAAAAGACAGGCAGCCAGCAAAGGCAATGCCTCAATGGCTATCTTTTCTATCAGCTCCTTAAGGGAGAGCTTTGGATAAAGTAGAGCAGTTTTCAAACTTGTAAAGGTCAAGTAAAGCATTTTCCATACTAAATAACTTTAAGCCATTGCCTATATAAGTAGCATTTCCTAAAGTCTCATAACTTCTCTTTTTTTTTCTTTTTTTTTTGAGACAGGGTCTCACTCTGTCACCCAGGCTGGAATGCAGTGGTGTGATCTTGGCTCACAGCAGTCTCGATCTCCTGGGCTCAAGAGATTCTCCCACCTCAGCCTCCCAAGTAGCTGGGACCACAAGTGCATGCCACTATGCCTGGCTAATTTTTTTGATTTTTAGTAAAGACAGTTTCTCTCCTACATTGTCCAGGCTGGTCTTGAACTCCTAGGCTCCTCTCACTTTAGCCTCCTAAACTGCGGGGATTACAGGTGTGAGCCACCACACTCGGCCTTATATAACATATTTTATATAATTACATATTGTAATTCTAAGCTGCATGAATTTCAAAGATGGGACTACCATGGTGCAAAGAAACGCTGTGTTCCAGGTGTGGCCCTACAGCTACTTAGTGGTAAGCATCACTGAAGTTTGCTCTCCTGACATTAAGTCATCAAGTAACTGCTTCTCCAGTAGTTCTTAAAAGCAGCTATGTGCTGAAGATACAGAGATAATAAGGACTGACAGAAAATACGGTTTTCCTAACCACGGTCTCAGAAGCTAGAACTACACTAAAAATGTCATGTAGAGATAATAAAATTGTATCTTTAAAAGGCTCTGAGTCATTCTGTAAAACCTTGAGATTACACATTACTTGATCTGCTGTTTAAGGAAAATTTGCCACAGAACGGTACCTGCTGAGAGAACTCCATGGTTAATTCTCGGCATGCTTAAAGGGGCCAGTTCGATCCAAAGCTGCCTGTTAGGGTCATAGAGAGGGCACATGCATCGCATCGCTGCTGTGGGTTTCCGTGAACTAAGGAAGTAAATAAGTGATCAGTAGTTAATGTGCTTCATACAGTTCTTTTTATAAGTAGCCATCACTAGTTTTAGTTTACTAAAGAATATTTAAAACATTTTTTAAAAACCCTTGTGGAAGTCAGTGTGACGATTCCTCAGGGATCTAGAACTAGGAATGCCATTTGACCCAGCCATCCCATTACTGGGTATATACCCAAAGGACTATAAATCATGCTGCTATAAAGACACATGCACACGTATGTTTATTGCGGCACTATTCACAATAGCAAAGACTTGGAACCAACCCAAATGTCCAACATTGATAGACTGGATTAAGAAAATGTAGCACATATACACCATGGAATACTATGCAGCCATAAAAAAGGATGAGTTCATGTCCTTTGTAGGGACATGGATGAAATTGGAAATCATCATTCTCAGTAAACTATCGCAAGAACAAAAAACCAAACACCGCATATTCTCACTCATAGGTGGGAACTGAACAATGAGAACACATGGACACAGGAAGGGGAACATCACACTCTGGGGACTGTTGCGGGGTGGAGGGAGAGGGGAGGGATAGCTTTAGGAAATATATCTAATGCTAAATGATGAGTTAATGGGTGCAGCACACCAGCATGGCACATGTATACATATGTAACTAACCTGCACATTGTGCACATGTACCCTAAAACTTAAAGTATAAAAAAAAAAATCAAATGTAATTATGTTTTAGATACTGAAAAGCATTATGAATTCTTGTTTACATGGAACTACCTCTTCCCATACACCACTTTTCAAACAAGTCCCACCTCATACTTACACTCTCTCTTCTCCACCAACAGTCACGATGCACTCAGAGTAGCCCCGGGGTTTGAAGTTGGCCAGCATCGCCTCCCCTTGCTGCGGCTGGCTGAGCGGTATATTGCTACACTCTTTGACAATTTCTCGTACTAATGGTTCATTCAGCATCTGTTCCCGTAAATAACTGGAGTCCAACCCTGAAACCCACAGAGCTGACATAACATCCTTCATGTGGACCTGCAGAAGAGGGAAGAAAGATGGGGCGAAAACAATGGAAAATGCAACACATCATTTTTAGAATCTACATTTTCCACCTCATGGAAAACAAACTGTTAACACTCAGGTTATTACCAGGCAAGTGAGACACACTCGTGCTGCTTGAATATCTTCTCCTGGCCCTAACTGTCTACTTCCCAGAGTCTTGATAAGTAAAAGTTTAATTTTTAAAAATCATCAGTTTATTTGAGGTATCACTGTAAAAGTTTCAAGCAGCTTCCTTTACACCTTAAAGGATTCCCATTTCAATAGGAAAAGACAGGAAAAGAACCAGCTATAATTTGCTTTATTTCACACATTTGGATGTGCCATGAGTTAAATCATGTTTATACAAATATTATATACAGTAATAGCTCAATACAATATGGTAAACTTAGACATCAACATTAATAATACAAGAAAAATATACAAAAGCCAAAGTTTAAAAAAAAACCTGAGTACTATATAATCATTTTTGCAGTAATTACTGTTCAAAAATATCTAAGACGACTAATATGAATTTACACTTTTACTGCTCAATCACTAAATTTGAACTGACGAAAGTATTTTATAAATGTAAAATAAAACTGTGAGTTTTAAAAATCAACTGTCTTTACAGCATGAAGTTTAAACTGACCAAAGGACAAAGAACTGCCTCGTTTTCCCAGCAACCAGCCAACCTTAAGCATCTCCCTTGCTTTAAGGCAAGAAGAGGGCAGGACGGAAGCTGGCAAGGAGCAGCATGTCCCACTGTGGTCTTGGTGAGTGGGAGCACATAGGAAATTTTTCTCATTTTTCTATCTCCTTTACCAATTTCCCCAACTAACATGGAAAGCAGAACACTACCTGTCCTTACCTGTCCCAATTAAAACCAATACTACAAATATGGTTTCTAAACATGCATACTTATGGGCTTACAGAATTCAAAAAATTATAAGATAATCATCAAAATTTAACAGTCCAGTTTTAACTTACAAGAACAATTAACAGTAAAATTATACATTGTGAGATCCACTCTCTAACACCTAATATATTTCTTATTTTGAAAACAGTAATTGGAGCTAGTGTCTTATTTATAATAATCAGACTTAAAAATGAAGTCCTGGCTGGGCATGGTGGTTCACACTTGTAATCCCAGCACTTTGGGAAGCTAGAGTGGGAGGATTGCTTGAGCACAGGAGTTTGAGACCAGCCTGGGCAGCACAGCGAGACCCTGTCTCTACAAAAATCAAACAATTAGCTAGGCATGGTGGCACACGCCTGTGGTCCTAGCTACTCGGAGGCTGAGGTGGGAAGATCACTTCAGCCAGGAAGGTTGGGACTGCAGTGAGCTATGATCGTGCCACTCTGGCTACTGCCCTTCAGCCTGGGAGACAGACTGAGACTCTCTGCCCCCTCAAAACCCTCAAGTCCTGTGATTTTGCTCCTTCCTCCAAGGTATTCACAATTTGGATCTAGAGGCTGATATTCTTTAAGACCTTCACTCCCAGAACCTTCCCTCTTGAAACTGCACTGCCACACAAACTCCAGAGCCTGCCTGCTTTCTCCTGCGTGGTGTCAATCACACCTGAAGCTCCTCAGGCCCATGCCCCTCCACCCCTGCCATCGATCCACGTGCCACCCCCCTGCCTGCTGCAGGCACCTGAGGCCTGGCAGAGGTTAGCCTAGTGATATAGTAGGTCAGGATGCTGAGAGCAAGGGTGGGGATACTGCGTTTCTATAATCTCCAGCTTAAGCTTGAAATGCATTTTCCCATTAAAAACAACATACAAAGGATATTACGCTCCTTACAAGGGCTAATATTTTCACTGATATATTGTGTGGCATGGGCTTTTGCAGACTGGTCTGAAAAACCAACTGCTTTCATGATATAGGGGAACATGTTTTACAGGTATCTTTTAGATTGCTGCATCGTAAGTCTTTCATGATGAAGAAGAAAAATAAAACAACTAAAATTTGAATTAAAAAGAAATAAAAAGGCAAATTTGACCATGTTATAAATGACAGGTACCTTTCTTATTTCTGTATCATGTGCTATCCATCGAATTACTGCTTCAAAGACATATCTTTCATTGCCAACGTTTAACTTCTCAAGAGAAATCACTTCTTTAAGCTTTTGAGGACTCAGCTCTAAGAATTCTTCCGTGCTGCTGACGTCTCGGAAATGAGTCTCCAGGTATTCTGTGGCAAGGTAATGAACGTGATGGAGGCAGTAATGTAGTGCAAAGTCACGGATACCAATACAGTTCTCAGCAGCAATGCAGCCTTCCAAAAACTCACAGCACAGGGTTTTAAGGTCCGTCAGTAGCAGCAGGTCAGCTGCCTGAACAACATCTTGGATTGTATCTTCATTTAGCCTGATCTAAAAAAGTAGCATAATTATCTTATATTTGAATGTGTACATTTAAAACCCAAACCACTAACCTATTAATTGGGGCCACATGAAATTTCCATTTATTTTAGATCAAAGATAATCGAATATTGGCAATTTCATATGGTTTAACCCAGCATTTTTTTTTTTTTTTCCAAGAGTTGGAAGGCACCAACATAAGCAAATGTGTGCTTGGTTAACTTTTCCCAGCTCTGCCCTTGCTGTACCAATGTCAACCACCAATAACCCTTTTAGGGTGAACTGTCCATGTTGTTCACTTCTGTAATTCAGAGAAAAACCTTAATGACTCAAATGCTTGGGAAATGGAAAGTTCTACATTCTATGGTAAAGTCAACATGATTAAGTACCAGCATCAGAACTGATGAAAATCTTGCCTCCCCACCTATGAAGTTCACTCTTCCGCTAAATGGCATGCCAACCTGAATGCTAACCCCTTGAAGGGAGAGGGGTTTCCAGTGTTTCAGAAGCCTCATTCCGCATCCCAAAACACTGTACGCAGTGCAATTTGGTACACAGACAGATACACTTAGGTCTCAAAACTACTTTTTGGAATAAATCCCTAATACAAGGGTGTTTTTTTTTTCTCATTATGAACATCTACTTTTCCTTAATTTTCTTCAATTTTCTGACTAATGCTTCTTCCTCCACTGACTTCACAGTGCTCCAAAGCATCAGGAAAGAAACAGTTCTCTAAAATATTGCCACAGTCCTAAGTGGACGACCCCAAAGCATGGGCACTTCACCCACATTCGCAAATGCAAGGGAGACTTCATGAGGAGTATAGCAAGAAACATTTTTACATTTTACACTTTTTGTACCACAGATTTTTAAAAAAGTATAATTGCCAATCATCTTAGAAACTGAGCAACAAAAATGTGGAAAGTAGTATGGTGAGTAAGCCACAAGTAGGGGAAAATGTTCCATTTATATGACATTATATTTAGCCACAAGACAGCAGGCAGCTGTAGACTCTTCAAATATAGGCACGTGAAAAAAACACTCAACTGCATTTCAATAAAACAAAACTGCCAATTCAGGAGTTTGTTATAACTTACATTCCAACTATCGTTTTTTTTTTTTTTTGAGACGGAGTCTCGCTCTGTCGCCCACGCTGGAGTGCAGTGGCGCAATCTCGGCTCACTGCAGGCTCCGCCCCCTGGGGTTCACGCCATTCTCCTGCCTCAGCCTCCCGAGTAGCCGGGACTACAGGCGCCCGCCACCTCGCCCGGCTAATTTTTTGTATTTTTAGTAGAGACGGGGTTTCACCGTGTTAGCCAGGATGGTCTCGATCTCCTGACCTCGTGATCCACCCGCCTCGGCCTCCCAAAGTGCTGGGATTACAGGCGTGAGCCACCGCGCCCGGCCCCAACTATCGTTTTAAATTTAAATTGGGAACAAATCACAGAACTCAATCTGTAAATAATGTTTCAACTTTCAAATCCAAGCCTGAACATGAATAGGCTCTTACTGGCTTATAACTCATTATACTAATAACTGCTGCTGGATTGACTTTACAAGGTGGAGGAGAGGTTGGTCTTAGCCCTGGTTATGTGATGCTACAGAGCATCTCTGGGCTGTCCCCAGATTAACTTAAATTCATTTACTTTTAACAATCATACACGTACACACCCACCCACTAGTGCTGAGAGAAGAGAGAAAGCATGAAATCAAACCAAAACCTTCAAAAAGGATGAGAATCACTGCGTTTAACTCTGGACAGAATGAATATATTTAGATAAAGAAAGCAATACATTCAGAATACTTAGAAAATATGTAAGACAAACAGCCCCTACAGAAAGGAAAACAAGAGGGATAAAGAAAGAATAAAGGAGAGAGTAGGGAACAAGATCTCAGAAAGAATAAAGATGAAATGCATTCTCACACAGCCAAAGGTAAGATGCACTGACCTCTTCCTTCTGTTAAAAAAACAAAACAAAAAACTAGCCCTGATTCACACGGAAGATTTTTCTTGAGTCCTCATGCTTTGCTTGAAATCACGTCATGGGGAATGGGTAGTCGGAGGAGGGCAAAGGAAAAGAAAGAAGTCTGATCGTTTATCATTCTCCTCCCTGGGTATCACAAAGTCCCCAGAGGTTCAAGTGGACATGGAGAGGGAAGAGAGAATAAGGGTGGGGCAGGGATGTGGGTACTACTGAGGCAACAGGACCAGGGCATCGTGAATAAGGTGCTTGTCATGTCTGTCAGTCATCTTTCTCTGGGAATGATCTACAAGGAACTCTCTATTTCTACCAAATAATCCACAACGCCCCAGGAAGTTCCTATTTCCATGCTATGGAGACAAAACAAGTTTTGTATCCCCAGTCATATGGATACAAAGCAAGACTGGAATCGGGATTCCAAAGCAAAAACCAAAAACACAGCAGTCAGGGCAGCATCCCATGTTCTTTAATATCTCATATGAGAAGGTGGAGCTCAGAATGGTAGCAACAAACTGAGATTTGAGTCTAAGATCTTACTTCCTCTGCTTCTCTAGGAGCACAGCCATGGAAGAACACACATGGGGTGCCATTACCAGTAGGAAATGTCAGTCAATGCACACAGTGACAGAAGATGAAGATGACAGTGCTACTTTGTCATATAATGGATGAAAGGAGACCCTCACCCTGAGCTTGAGAAGCCTCTACTTAGGTCTTCCTTCCTTTGTTTCTCATCATACCTGCCCACTGAAGATGTAATCCAGGATCTCTCTCATAACCATTACCGATATCCCTTCAAGTTCAATCTTATAAGTTGATCCATCATCTTTTGGAGGATTATAGTTTAACTTTGTCCTAAGAAAGGGAAAAAAATGTAAAATTTCTATGAAAGAACAGAAATAGCTATAAATATTTATGTACTCAAAACTCTATAACGTATAAGATACTTATCAGTATATGAATCCCCACCTAGAAAATTTAGTTCGTTAACTTTAGGTCTATGTATTTCTATAACTTTCAACTACAAAACATTGGTCCCAGGATCCCAAATGCTACTTCTTAAAAAACAAAAACAAAACAGATGACCAAAGAACTAAGATCCACATGACCATGAATCTGTATTTCACCTTGGAAATCCCAGTCCCTTTAGGCTTATTTTCTAATGTATTGAATTCTCTAATTAATCTTCAATAATGTAACAAGGACTCCACAAACCTGCCATCCAAAACAAAAGCTAAGACCTTGTCAATAGCCCGCTTCTAACCAGATGGTCTTCCCCACCAATCCATTCCTCTGCTTCCACCATCTGAAGTAACCATTATCCCAAATCCTATGCTCACTTTTTCCTTGCTTTATTACTGCATCCGTGAAATATATATTTTAAATTTTAACTTGTTTTATAATTAGTCATCCATTTTGCATTATTGTTTTATATAAATGACTTAAAATTTTATAGAGGTGTGCATATCACACTGGTTCTTTAGTTCTTTCTGCTGTGCAATATCCCATTTTCCTGTTGATGGGCATCTGGGGTTGTCTCCAGGTTTTCGATATTGCAAACTGTGATGCTATGACTATTATTGCATATGACTCTTTTGTGCTATGTTAAAGAATTTTTCGGCTGGGTGCAGTGGCTCACGCCTGTAATCCCAACACTTTGGGAGGCCGAGGTGGGTAGCTCACTTGAGGCCAGGAGTTCGAGGCCAGCCTGGCCAACATGGTGAAACCCCATCTCTACTAAAAATGCAAACATCGACTGGGAGTGGTGGTGGCATACGCCTGCAATCCCAGCAGCTCAGGAGGCTGAGGCACAAAAATAGCTCGAACCTGGGAGATGGAGGTTGCAGTAAGCTGAGATAATGCCACTGCACTCCAGCCTAGGTGACAGAGCGAGACTCTGCCTCAAAAAAAAAAAAAAATTAAGTAAGTAAATAAATAAATAAACAAAAATTTCCCTTGGGTCTACTCCTGGGAGTAGAATTATGCTACTTATTCTCCATAGTAGGTGGCGCTGTTTACAGCCTCATATACTATGTATGTGTAAGGGCATCTGCGGATTCATAAACTCTACAACATTTGAATCTGTCACACTTCTTAAGTTTTGTCAATTGAATGAGTGAAATATGGTATCTCACTGTGGTTATCATCTGCATTCTCTTACTACCCAGGTGCTGAACATCTCTTTGTATGTTTGTAGCCACGTTTCCCCTTTTGCAAAACGTTTGTTCATGTTTCTTGTTCATTTTTCACTAACTGTCCTCACATTGCGGTGTAGGAGTTCTTTACATATTTGTGATACTAATCATTTAACAGACATGAACTTTTTAAAAGGGGCCTTTTAAAAAACTTAAAAAAAAAAGACTTCTTAAACAAACTGATGAAGAATTTGAAGAACAATTTTTCGGTCAATGCTTTTTGTTTTAAGAACTTATATCTAGATATTCCTGTTATTTTTTACTAAGAAAATTTAAGGTTTAAAAAAAAATTCAAGTGAAATTTAAAAATAGCTTTGAAACATGCTCTTGGTATGAATTATAACTCTGTTAAATCTCAAGATTGACACTGTGTTACCTGCTACCTAACAACCATGTTTTCTAAGAAAAGAAAAGCACACCTTCAAATACTGTAATCCAAATAGTGAGTTACAGGGAGAACTTCTTAGAAACAAATATTTAAACTCATTATTTGCATTCAGACTTCTACAATAAAGTCAACAAAGGATCAGACTTTTGGTAGACTGAATACAAACAGAACAGGAAATAATATTAACAAAATTTCTTTTATTTTTGTTTTTGAGACAGGGTCTCACTCTGTCACCCAGTCTGGAGTGCAGTGGCGCAATCATGGCTCACTACAACCTCCTCCTCCTGGGTTCAAGTGATTCTCCTGCCTCAGCCCCCCAAGTAGCCGGAACTACAGGCTCACACCACCACACCCAGCTAATTTTTGTACTTTTTGTAGAGACGGGGTTTCACCATCTTGCCCGGGCTGGTTTCGAACTCCTAAACTGATCTGCCCACCTCAGCCTCCCAAAGTGCTGCGATTATAGGCATGAGCCACCGCACCCAGCCAATGAAATTTCATATGCTAGAAAACAGACAAGGGTAACTGACTTGGAGTATCTGAGGAAACTTAATCCTAATTTAGCAGTAAGCAAAGCCGAGACTCAACCTGAATTGGACTGAAGACTTCCCAAAGGCTCCGGGAACTGGTAGTACAGGGTAGGTGAGGACGGGGTCGGGGTGGGGCAGGGGGTGAAAGATAAGCTAAAAACAGAACTGTTAACAAAGTCTTAGGAAATAGTTGAATTTCCGGATTCTCCTTCCATGTGGATACACATCTTCCCTGTAGAGCTCAATAAGACTCTCCCTAGCTCCAGTGGAAGACAAATGACTTATATTTTGAAGAGTATACAACTGAGAGTCTCTGGACAGGGGAGCACCAGGCACATTTGAGGGTAGGTGTATTGTAACTGAGAGGGTTAACAGAATGTTTACATACTGAATGCTGGACCATTAGTCTTTTTCTCTCAACTCTGCTCCTAAAATACTGAAAGCCAGAACATATCTTCCAAGCAAGAAACAAAGACTCTTCTGGAGGACTTGATCAGCCCAAGGGTACAGACCCAAGGGCACAGACATCAATCTGCCCTAAGAAAATGACCCAGTTTGATCACACAACAGCAAAACCTGTGTTCAACAAGTCTAACCTATAGGGCTCTGAGCTTCCTGCACATTTTGAAGCTGTACTTCTAAAACTTTCTCATGTCACATCATACACAGAAAACGTAGTATTACTCTGGGCTAAACAGAGGCGGCCTGTAGGCTCATGGCTGGACAGGGCCCCCAGCATTTGGAGATGCTGCTCAGCTACTCTGAAGACTGACACCATCAGTATCTTCACATACTTGCAACATGTTTTTTTGGCACATTGGTTAAGAAACTGTTTTAGAGCACTGCTCTTAAAATCAAGCAAACAGGACTCATTAGATATTTAACAAAGATAAAAGACAGGAACAAAACTGATAAGAAAAAAGGTAACTTAAAGGAAGTAAAGATTGTGCTAAAATGAAAAGTTCAAGGAAAAAAGAAAAATTCATCGTAATCTTCCCAGAGGGAAAAGACAGGATATTGTGTACATAAAACAAGAGTACGATGACATAAAAAGAAACATTCATAAGCCAGCAAAAAATGGTAATGATTGAAAAAAAAATTTTTTTAAATGTAGGGTCAAGATAAAAAGTTGAGGAAATCTCCTAGAAAAGAGAACAAAGAGACAAAGGCAGAAAATATGACAGATGGCTGAGCACATGGCTCATGCCTATAACCCCAGCACTTTGGAAGGACTGCTTGAGCCCAGGTGTTCAAGACCAGACTGGGCAACACAGCGACACCCCACCTCTATTTTTTTTAAAATTTATTAAATAATTTTTTAAAAAAGAAAATGAGAGATAAGTTAAGAAAACTGGAAGATCAGTCCAGAAGGTTCAACACCTGAAAAAAAGTAATGTCCCCCCAACCAAAAAAGATAAGACTATTAAGGAAGTACTCTCAGTAACGGATGAAAATAGACCCACTCCAGAGCACATCATCATAATAATTCAGGATACGAGAAATAAAGAAAAAAGTCTTACAAGCTTTCAGAAAGAAAAATAGGCTATATGGAAAGGATCAAGAATCAGAATGGCTTCATACTTGTAAATGAAAGTTAAATAATAAAGAAGAAATTACTTTAAAATTCTGAAAGAAAATTATTTCAGACCTAGATTTTTATAACCAGCCAAACTATCAATCAAGTGGCAGGGGGGAACAAAGACATTTTCAGCTATATGAAGTCACAAAACAATTTACTTCCCATGCAACCTTTCTCGGGATGGTGTTAGAAAATGTGCCCCAAAAAAACAAAGGAATATATCAAGAAAGTGGAAGATTCTGGATACTAACAAGATGCAATCCAAACAGGAAGGAAGTGAAAGGGATGCACAATAATGGTGAAGAATGATCCTGGAATGACAGCTATGTACCAGCAGAAGGAAGCCAGTCCATTCTGGTGACAGTAGAAGGCCCTTGTACATCTTTAACATCAAATATATAATGTGTATGACAGTATACAGAGGGTATTTAGACAACTTTCTTTCCTCCCTGTATTTCCTGTCTACTATTCCTGCCCGTACAGTTTCCAGTGAACTAATGGTTTTACTCAAAAGGTACTTCATTGCCACTGGCTGTTGTCTAGGTGTATCTATTTGCCTGATGCTTTTATTAAAAGTGAAGGAAAGAATTTGAGTCAATTCTCCGTCAAGAGAGAAAACAGTGTAAGAATAAAATACCGAAATATCTGGCTTTGAAATGCATCATATAATCTTTTTGGCAGCAGACATGTCTTCACTTAGGATGTCATGACTATTTGTATTTCTCAGTCACTGTGCTGGTTATCAACATATATAGCCTCTCAGCTCCAAATTCACCCTTTTTTGCTTGCTTTGGAAAAATGGATCTGATCCTTTTAAATCATTTTCCTTTGTCAAATAGCACGATGTTAAGCTTCAGTTAAAGGCACTGGAGAGACACTGGAGGAGGTGAGAGTTTTGCTTGCTGGTTCTGGTGAAGAGACCTGCCTCCTGCCAGGCAGTCTTCTCTCCCAGCACCAGGCTCCCACAGTGCACAGCTGCAACCACACCCTGAAGTTTTCCCCAGAGCCTCCTTCAAGTACCTTCCCATGAACAGCTTTCTCAGGCATCTTAGAGCAGCAGTCCCCAACCTTTTTGGCACCAGGGACTGGTTTCGTGGAAGACAATCTTTCCACAGAAGGGAGTTGTGGGGATGGTTTCAGGGTAAAACTGTTCCACCTCAGATCATCAGGCATTAGATTCTCACAAGGAACATGCAACCTAGATCCCTCACATGCCCAATTCACAATAGGGTTCGCGCTCCTATGAGAATCTAATGCCACCACTGATCTGACAGGAGGCGGAGCTCAGGCAGGAAAGCTCCATCACCAGGGCCTCACCTCCCACTGTGTGGCCCAGTCCTAAGGCCATGGCCCAGTCCTAAGGCCTTAGAAGACAGATTTCCAACAAGTTCCACAATGTGGCTTTTCTGCCATGCAGTGAGCCATGGGTGTGTCCTAATAAGTCAGCTCTGGGGTAGCAGATGCTCCATATATCTATTCCTGTATTTTTTAGAGTTTTCTTTACTTCTTACTGGCCAGTCCCTCATTACTCCAATCTCCTGCTGTAGTTAATAATTCTTTATATTAAATTTTCTTTGCTCAAACTGTTCTGTGGTTTCTCTCTCCTGACTAGACCCAGATGGACACTAACAGCCACTAAAAAATTTAGAGGAGGTATCTCCAAAACATGTTCAGATAGAGGAGCTTCAGGATAGAATTAGAGTTCTTATTTTAAAGTAACCCAGGTTCAACCAAGAGCTAGCTGTACTTGCTTGCGCATGTGGCATTAGATTCTCATAGGAGCACGAACCCTATTGTGAACTGGGCATGTGAAGGATCCAGATTGCACATTCCTTGTGAGAATCTAATGTCTGATGATCTGAGGTGGAACGGTTACACCCTGAAACCATCCCCAGAACTCCTGTCTGTGGAAAACTTGCATGCGTCTTGCAGACAGTGGTAGGATGGGGGAAACTAGGCTATCAGGGAAAAGGTTACAAGAAGCCCTCTTTTAAAATTATTATTATACTTTAAGCTCTGGGTTACATGTGCAGAACGTACAATTTTGTTACACAGGTATACATGTGCCATGGTGGTTTGCTGAACCCATTAACCCGTCACCTACATCAGATATTTCTCCTAATGTTATCCCTCCCCTAGGCCCCCACCCCTAACAGGCCCCAGTGTGCGATGTTCCCCTCCCTGTGTCCATGTGTTCTCATTGTTCAACTTCCACTTATGAGTGAGAACATGCATTGTTTGGTTTTCTGATCTTGTGACAGTTTGCTGAGAATGATGGTTTCCAGCTTCATCCATGTCCCTGCAAAAGACATGAACTCATCCTTTTTTATGGCTGCATAGTATTCCATGGTGTGTATGTGCCACATTTTCTTAGTCTATCATTGATGGACATTTGGGTTGGTTCCAAGTCTTTGCTATTGTGAATAGTGCCGCATCAAACATATGTGTGCATGTGTCTTTATAGTACAATGATTTACAATCCTTTGGGTATACGCCCAGTAATGGGATTGCTGGGTCAAATGGTATTTCTAGTTCTAGATCCTTGAGGAATCGCCACACTGTCTTCCACAATGGTTGAACTAATTTACACTACCACCAACAGTGTAAAAGTGTTCCTATTTTTCCACAACTTGTCCAGCATCGGTTTTTTCCTGACTTTTTAATGATCGCCGTTCTAACTGGTGTGAGATGGTATCTCATTGTGGTTTTGATTTGCATTTCTCTAATGGCCAGTTATGATGAGCATTTTTTCATGTCTGTTGGTTGCATAAATGTCTTCTTTTGAGAAGTGACTGTTCATATCCTTTGCCCATTTTTCGATGGGGTTGTTTGCTTTTTTCTTGTAAATTTGTTTAAGTTCTTTGTAGATTCTGGATATTAGCCCTTTGTCAGATGCATAGATTGCAAAAATTTTCTCCCATTCTGTAGGTTGCCCGTTCACTCTGAGGGTAGTTTCTTTTGCTGTGCAGAAGTTCTTTAATTAGATCCCATTTGTCGTTTTTGGCTTTTTTGCCATTGCTTTTGGTGTTTTAGACATGGTCTTTGCCCATGCCTTTGTCTTGAATGGTATTGCCCAGGTTTTCTTCTAGGATTTTTATGGTCCTAGGTCTTATGTTTAAGTCTCTGATCCATCTTGAGTTGATTTTTGTATAAGATGTAAGAAGGTCCAGTTTCAGTTTTCTGCATACGGCTAGCCAGTTTTCCCAGCATGATTTATTAAATAGGGAATCTTTCCCCATTGCTTGTGTCAGGTTTGTCAAACATCAGATGGTGGTAGATGTGTGGTGTCATTTCTGAGGCCTCCGTTCTGTTCCATTGGTCTATATATCTGTTTGGTACCAGTACCATGCTGTTTTGGTTACTGCAGCCTTGTAGTAAAGTTTGAAGTCAGGTAGCGTGATGCCTCCTGACTTTGTTCTTTGTTCTTCTTGTCCAGGGTTCTCTTGGCTATGCGGGCTCTTTTTTGCTTCCATATGAAGTTTAAAGTAGTTTTTCCAATTCTGTGAAGAAAGTCAGCGGCAGCTTGATGGGGATAGCATTAAATCTATAAATTACTTTGGGCAGTAAGGCCATTTTCACAATATTGATTCTTCCTATCCATGAGCATGGAATGTTTTTCCATTGTTTGTGTCCTCTCTTATTTCCTTGAGCAGTGGTTTGTAGTTCTCCTTGAAGAGGTCCTTCACATCCCTTGTAAGTTGTATTCCTATGTATTTTATTCTCTTAGTAGCAATTGTGAATGGGAGTTCACTCATGATTTGGCTGTTGTCTGTTATTGGTGTATAGCAACACTTGTGATTTTGCACATTCATTTTCTATCCTGAGACTTTGCTGAAGTTGTTTATCAGCTTAAGAAGATTTTGGGCTGAGATGATGGGATTTTCTAAATATACAATCATGTCATCTGCAAACAGAGACAATTTGACTTCCTTTCTTCCTATTTCAATACGCTTTATTGCTTTCTCTTGCCTGATTGCTCTGGCCGGAACTTCCAATACTATGTTGAATAGGAATGGTGAGAGAGGGCATCCTTGTCTTGTGTCAGTTTTCAAAGAGAATACTTCCAATTTTTGCCCATTCAGGATGATATTGGCTCTGGGTTTGTCGTAAATAGGTCTTATTATGTTGAGATATGTTCCACCAATACCTAGTTTATTGAGAGTTTTTACCATGAAAGGCTGCCAAATTTTGTCAAAGGCCTTTTCTACATCTGTTGAGATAATCATGTGGTTTTTGTCGTTGGTTCTGCTTATGTGATGGATTATGTTTATTGATTTGCATATGTTGAACCAGCCTTGCATCCCAGGGATGAAGCCAACTTGATCGTGGTGGATAAGCTTTCTGATGTGCTGCTGGATTCGGCTTGCCAGTATTTTATTGAGGATTTTCACATCAATGTTCATCAGGGATATTGGCCTAAAATTCTCTTTTGTTGTGTCTCTCCCAGGCTTTGGTATCAGGATGATGCTGGCCTCATAAAATGAGTTAGTGAGGATTCCCCCTTTTTCTATTGATCGGAATAGTTTCAGAAGGAATGGTACCAGCTCCTCTTTATAGAACTCGGCTGTGAATCCGTCTGGTCCTGGACTTTTTTTTGGTTGGTAGGCTATTAATTATTGCCTCAATTTCAGAACCTGTTATTGGTCTATTCAGAGATTCAACTTCTTCCTGGTTTAGTTTTGGGAGGGTGTATGTGTCCAGGAATTTATCCATTTCTTCTAGATGTTCTAGTTTATTTCTGTAGAGGTGTTCATAGTATTCTCTGAAGGTAGTTTGTATTTCTTTGGGATCGGTGGTGATATCCCCTTTATCATTTTTTATTCCGTCTATTTGATTCTTCTCTCTTTTCTTCTTTATTAGTCTTGCTAGCAGTCTAACCATTTTGCTGATCTTTTCAAAAAACCAGTTCCTGGATTCATTGATTTTTTGAAGGGTTGTGTCTCCATCTCCTTCAGTTCTGCTCTGATCTTAGTTATTTCTTGTCTTCTGCTAGTTTTTGAATGTGTTTGCTCTTGCTTCTCTAGTTCTTTTAATTGTGATGCTAGGGTGTGGATTTTAGATCTGTCCTGCTTTCTCTTGTGGGCATTTCGTGCTATAAATTTCCCTCTACATATTGCTTGAAATGTGTCCCAAAGATTCTGGTACGTTGTGTCTTTGTTCTCATTGGTTTCAAAGAAAATCTTTATTTCTGCCTTCATTTCGTTATTTACCCAGTAATCATTCAGGAGCAAGTTGTTCAGTTTCCATGTAGTTGTGCGGTTTTGAGTGAGAGTCTGAATCCTGAATTCTAATTTGATTGCACTGTGGTCTGAGACAGTTTGTTGTGATTTCTGTTCTTTTACATTTGCCTAGGAGTGCTTTACTTCCAATTATGTGGTCAATTTTAGAATAAGTGCAATGTGGTGCTAAGAAGAATGTATATTCTGTTGATTTGGGGTGGAGAGTTCTGTAGATGTCTATTTGGTCTGCTTGGTCCAGAGCTGAGTTCAAGTTCTGCATACCCTTATTAATTTTCTGTCTCATTCATCTGTCTAATATTGACAGTGGGGTGTTAAAGTCTCCCATTATTATTGTGTGGGAGTCTAAGTCTCTTTGTAGGTCTCTAAGAACTTGCTTTATGAATCTGGGTGCTCCTGTATTGGGTGGATATGTATTTAGGATAGTTAGCTCTTCTTGTTGAATAGATCCCTTTACCATTATGTAATGGCCTTCTTTGTCTCTTCTGATCTTTGTTGGTTTAAAGTCTGTTTTATCAGAGACAAGGATTGCAACCCCTGCTTCTTCTGCTTTCCATTTGCTTGGTAGATCTTCCTCCATCCCTTTATTTTGAGCCTATGTGTGTCTTTGCATGTGAGATGGGTCTCCTGAACACAGCACACTGATGGGTCTTGACTCTTTATCCAATTTGCCAATCTGTGTCTTTCAATTGGGGTATTTAGCCCATTTACATTTAAGGTTAATATTCTTATGTGTGAATTTGATCCTGTCACTATGATGCTAGCTGGTTATTTCACCTGTTAATTGATGCAGTTACTTCACAGCATCGATGGTCTTTACAATTTGGCATGTTTTTACAGTGGCTGGTACCGGTTGTTCCTATCCATGTTTAGTGCTTCCTTCAGGAGCTCTTGTAAGGCAGGCCTGGTGGTGACAAAAATCTCTCAGCATTTGCTTGTCTGTAAAGGATTTTATTTCTCCTTCACTTATGAAGCTTAGTTTGGCTAGATATGAAATTCTGGGTTGAAAATAGTTTTAAGAATGTTGAATATTGGCCCCCACTCTCTTCTGGTTTGTAGGGTTTCTGCAGAGAGATCCACTGTTAGTCTGATGGGCTCCCTTTGTGGGTAACCCGACCTTTCTCTCTGGCTGCCCTTAACATTTTTTCCTTCATTTCAACCTTGGTGAATCTATGTGTCTTGGGGTTGCTCTTCTCGAGGAGTATCTTTGTGGCATTCTCTGTATTTCCTGAATTTGAATGTTGGCCTGCCTCCCTAGGTTGGGGAAGTTCTCCTGGATAATATCCTGCAGAGTGTTTTCCAACTTGGTTCCATTCTCCCCATCACTTTCAAGTACACCAAACAAATGTAGATTTGGTCTTTTCACATAGTCCCATATTTCTTGAAGGCTTTCTTCATTTCTTTTCACTCCTTTTTTCTCTAATCTTGTCTTCTTGCTTTATTTCATTAATCTGATCTTCAGTCACTGATATCCTTTCTTCTGCTTGATCGAATCAGCTACTGAAGCTTGTGTATACTTCATGAAGTTCTCATACTGTGGTTTTCAGCTCCATCAGGTCATTTAAGGTCTTCTCTACACTGGTTATTCTAGTTAGCCATTTGTCTAACCCTTTTTGAACGCTTTTCGATTCCTTGCGATGGGTTAAAACATGCTCCTTTAGCTTGGAGAAGTTTGTTATTACTGACCTTCTGAAGCCTACTTCTATCAACTCATCAAATTCATTATCCATCCAGTTTTGTTCCCTTGCTGGCAAGGAGTTGTATTCCTTTGGAGGAGAAGAGGTATTCTCTTCTCCTCCAAAGAATTTTCAGCCTTTCTGCTCTGGTTTCTCCCCATCTTTGTGGTTTTATCTACTTGGGTCTTTGATGTTGGTGACCTATGGGTGGGGTTTTGGTGTGGATGTCCTTTTTGTTGATGTTGATGCTATTCCTTTCTGTTTGTTAGTTTTCCTTCTAACAGAGAGGCCCCTCAGCTGCAGGTCTGTGGGGGTTTGCTGGAGGTCCATTCCAGACCCTGTTTGCCTGGGTATCACCAGTGGAGACTGCAGAACAGCAAAAATTGCTGCCTGATCCTTCCTCTGGAAGCTTCGCCCCAGAGGGGCACCTGCCTGTGTGAGGTGTGTGTTGGACAAGGAGCCCTTTTATTGTTTTCTTTTATTTTTATTTCTGACTCATGTGACTGGATGGGTTTTATTATTTTTTTTAAGGATTATTCTACTGTCATATGTTTCCACAATGAAAGAGGATCATTTCTAATGAGTACAGGTTTTGGCTGGGCACAGTGGCTCACGCCTGTAATCCGGGCACTTTGTAAGGCTGAGGTGAGAGGACTGCTTGAGCCCAGGAGTTCAAGACCATTGTGGGCAACACAGCAAGACCTCATCTCTATTTAAAACAAAGAAACGAACAAATATAAAGAATACAGGTTTTTCTCAGCAGGTGGCAGAGGATACACAATGGCTAAGAGGAAGGAATAAGAGACTTCCTGAAATACGAGCATGGACCATTTCAGACTTCCATAAAATGTGATCCTTTCCAAAGCCCATGAAAAAATGAATTGCTGTACACTTGAAGTCTCCAAACACCTGAAGGTTAAGTATCAAAACTTTAATTACGGTTTAAATTCACATCCTTACATCTGCCCCTGACACCTTCCCATCATCCTATCCTGCCCTTAACCTCCCCCAATACCATTTGTGCCTGCCCAATTCCCACCCGTCTTTGAAAGATCAGTTGTAATGCCAGCTGTTCTACAGATTTTTCCTAGATCACTCCATCCTGCCACAAGCTGCACCTCCGCCCTTACCTCTTTGTAGGTAAAAATAGATTCCTGTTATGAATTTCCCCAGCACCTTATCAATAACTTTATTATGACATACTATGGAATGATCAAGTTCTGGCCTACATTATGGTATTTCTCTATTTCCTTTAGTAAACTCCAAGTTCCTTGAGGCTGGAGCCCTCTTTATCACTGTATGCTGACAACCTAGCCCAGCAGTTTACAAAGTGAAGATGCTGCTTGATGATTACATGTACAATAAACTTGAAGCTGACAGTGGTCTTTAAATACTCAAGTCTTTAAATGTGAAGTGCTCTCACATATGATTTTTTCTGATGACCTTAGGTACAACAAAGCTGAACCAGATCAAAAACAAGGAAGAACGTTTAATAACTGTATCTGTACAACGCTGAAAGGATTAAGGCCCAGTGCTTCTCAAACTTTAATGCTCATACAATTCAACTGGGAACTGTTCAAAACAAGGTTTTTCTGATTCAGAAGGTTGGCAATGCAGCCTGAGTGCTTGTCTTTGTAATGAGCTCTTGGGTGATGTGGATTCTGTCGGTCTCCAGACCACTCTTTGAGTAACAAGGGGTTAATAGGTGCTTCTTCAATTATCTGTGCTATGTTTTTTGTATTTCCAATTAATCCCAGATGAATATTTTGTAAAATATAATGACTTAATTCATAGATAAATTCAACAGACATAAATTACTCTGTCAAACTGCTAAAAGAGTTTCTAAACTCTTGAGCTTCTATGATCATGGGCAGGTAACAATGTGCAGACCATCACCAGCCTGCACATGCCATCTTAGTAGCATCATGCTGGATGATCATCTACCTGTCTGCCAAGAATGAAGTGAAAGTTGGAAATCAGGGCCTCTCAAAGGGCCTCCCTTCCAGTCTTGGACTGTAAGCATCACTCAAATCTATCCGGAAGCAGTCTTGCTCCACAGCCTTCTGCCATTCACAGCCACTTCCCTCCCGCATTTCTGGGACAGTCACCGTTCCTTTCTAATTTAGTAACTACACAAACTTGTCTTATTCTCCCTTATTGTCTTCACTTTTCCCCCAACTTCCCAACTTAAATCTCTATATACCTTTAGTTTTATTCCATTCTGTTTTGCATTTCTTTCCTTCCATATACTTTCATTTTTCTAATACCTACCAAAACATTTTCGCCTTAGATTTCCCTTTTTTATCTAGAATTTTCTCATCTTGCACTTTGTTTTTATCTCTGCCACATATAACTGAGAAGTCAATGGACTGTACTGAATGAGTAATGAATAATCATTTAAAAAGAGCTAAGCTAAAGGGTTAATAACTGATCATTTTTTCCTTGAGTGAGCCTATGAATCAATAGGCCTTTTCTATGTTCTCTGTCCCCACCTCAGGAGGCTACAGGATCATACATGTAAATTTCTTGGAAGTCTTAATATTCTTTTTAATTATTACATGATGTCAATTTACAAACTCTCCTAGAAAATGCAGCAACCTTAAAATATCACCTTGACAATTTTATAACACTCTAAAAAAAATTAGAAACAATAGAAAGTATTATAAAAATGGATCTCAGGTGTTCAAATATAAATACTATGCATGTCACATTGTTCCGCGTTTTCTGTTTCTAGGGCAAGACATTTCCCCTCTCTGCCCCGTCTGCTGATCTGTAAACAGAAGAGATTAAGGTGATTTGCAATCTCTTCCATCCCTGAATATTTCTTGACTGAGCTGCTGAAACCAGCTACGTAGAATTACTGCAGAGACTCAGCCCTGAGACCTACCCTAGTGAGTCCTAGAGGCTTAACTCTGGCCAAATCAATCAGTACTTAAGGATTTATAATATACTTCTTGCACATCATGTGGTCTAAGTTTATTTTTCTCCCAAGCACCCATCCTTTGGCCAAACTTTTTAAAAAATTTTTCTGTTCTTCTGTTCTATTAAAGTAGAGCAGGAAGTGAAACAATATTCACGTTACTTTTTCTTGACAATATGGAAAAAAGGACATAAGAAAAGTCGTTGGCTACTAGCTAATAAAGAAGATGGTATTATTCAAAGTTTTACATCCATGAAAGGGGTCTACAACTTGTAAGTAATTAAAATTGAGCCAAAGTCATCCACTGGGTACGTATAGTCCCCTTCTTGCTTCCAAAATGCTGGAAAAGTTCACTGTGTCTAAAAGCCACAACAAACCACCCAGGTAATAGGCCTGGTCATCGTCTTCCAAGAATCATTTTAGACGTGACTGAATGGGGCTTGACATAACAGTGATAGAGAATAAGTCTAAGTGACTTTTCTTCCCCTCTGATGTAAAAGCTTGTCTCCAATAAAAGCAAGGAAACATATTTAAATAGAATGCAAGAGAATGTAATGTTCACGAAGTCGAGATTTGCAGAAATTTGGGGGTGATTCATGGGCATTACTCATGATTTCGAATGAATCATGTCATCATGTCACCTTGGATTGTGTAGCTATCAGGAACGGACCCTGAGATATTTGAAGAGGGGCCTGTGTAGCCTCTTCATTTACCTGCTTATGCCAAACTAATAATTCACATTCCTGTAGGGAATTTGTTTCACAGATGCCCTCCAACTGCTTTTTTGTCTTCAGGAGCTCCTGAAAGCACATCAAAAATAGACCTTCAGGGAAGAGGATTTTTAGGGCAGTGAAACTACTCTGGGTGATACTGTAATAGTGGATCCATGTCATGACACATTTGTCCAAACCCATAGAAGGCACACCACCAAGAGTGAACCCTGACGTCAACTACAATCTTTGAGTGACAATGATGTGCCAATGTAGGTTCAGGAATTGTAACAAATGTATACCACCCTCGTGTGGTATACTGATAATGGGGGAGGCTGTGCATGGGTAGGGATGGGGGAAAGGGGATATATTTGTACTTTCCTCTCAGTTTTGCTGTGAATGTAAAGTTGCTCTAAAAAATAAAGCTTCTGGCATGGTGGCTCACACCTACAATCCCAACACTTTTGGAGGCCGAGGTGGGAGAATCACTTGAGCCTAGGAGTTTGAGACCAGCCTGGACAACAGAGTGAGACCTCCTCTCTACAAAGAAAATTAAAAAAAAAAAAAAAATTAGCCAACTGGGGTGGTGTGCACACCTGTGGTCCTAGCTAATTAAGAGGCTGAGGTGGGAGGATCGCTTGAGCCCAGTAGGTCGAGGCTACAGTGAGCTGTGCTCATGCCACTGCACTTCAGCCTGGGCAACAGAGTGAGACCCTATCTCAAAATAAATAAATACATAAAAATAAAAAATAAAAGGATGTTTTTAGTACCCATTCAACTTAAATGAAATATCAATTTGCAGTTAATGTTTCCATCAACAGATGGCCTTGTCTCACACAAGCCTTTTACAGCCCACTTTTGTGGGTGGAAAAATACCAACCCCTCTATCTCACAGTTCCTGCCATCCAAGAATTCCATCTACATGGAAGAAGAGCATTTCCACAGACGTCTGAGACACAACCAGAGGTCTCAGAGGGAAACCCAAGGAAGCTCCTCAGCAGGTAGTGGGGTGTGGACTGGGTGCCAGGGGCCTACAGGTGAGCTGCCCTCCATACAGCTCCATGAGCTACACAGGCTAACACCAAGGTGCTCTTCCTACAGGATTTGTCCTGTCGGAAGACATGTTAGAGGAGTGCTGAGGGTAGGAGACAGCAACAAGACACAGGATGGTCTTGGTGACCTGCCTGGGAACCACCATCAGCCTCACACTGGTGCACTGAGAGCAAAGGGCATAAGGCAGGGGAAGGGCAGGAACCCGCATGGGGCACCCACCTCCTCTCACTGAGCTCAGAGCTGGACTCTTCACTATTTCCTTTTAATTTTTCTCTATTCATTTCTCTCTGCCACCAATTCTTTTTACCTAGATTACGGTTTTTACTCACCAAAAAAACTTTTTTCCTCACACAGATCTTAGAATGACTCATCATTTGAATGGATTTTTTTTTTTTTTTTTTTTGAGACTGAGTCTCATTCAGTTGCCCAGGCTGGAGCGCAGTGTCGTGATCTTGGCTCACTGCAACCTCCGCCTCCCGAGTTCAAGCGATTCTCCTGCCTCAGCCTCCTGAGTAGCTGGGATTGCAAGTGTGCGCCACCACACCCAGCTAATTTTTGTATTTTTAGTAGAGATGGGGTTTCACCACATTGGCCAGGCTGGTCTCGAACTCCTGACCTCAGTTGATCTGCCCACCTTGGTCTCCCAAAGTGTTGGGATTACAGGCATGAGCCACCATGCCCGGCCATGTATTTTTAGTAGACACAGGGTTTCACCATGTTGCCCAGGCTGGTCTTAAACTGCTGACATCAAGTGATATGCCCGCCTCGGCCTCCAAAAAGTGCTGGGATTACAGGTGTGAGCCACTGTGTCCAGCCATTTTAATGGATTTTAAGAGTAGTTCCCCAGTCGACCTTCTCAGAATGTTCAGGAGAGCTTTATAAAAAAACAGATTCCTAGGTTCCAAACTGGGCCAATTAAATCCAGTTCAAGCATATGCATATTAAAAAAGTTCCCAGCTTGTCCTGACCTCCTCCCTGCCTGGAACACCCCTCCCCCCACCCCATAGTCACACAGTTTAATCCTTCCCTAGATCCAGTTCTCTGCTCCAATAACACCTCCAAAGAGCAGCCAAGGTACCCACCATGTCTAAAACAACAAGCCTCCAACCCCCTTCCCTTGCTTTATTTTTCCATAGAATTTATCACCATCTAATAAGACGCATTTGTTTAATGTCAATATCCATGAAAATAGTGACTTTGTTTGTTTCCTGCTCTATCCCCATACCAAATAAAATGGTACTGACCAGGCACTTGATAAATATGAATTGACTTGATAAATGAGCACGCAGCCAGGTTAGAGAACCAGTGGATTTTAATATTGCGATGTTGGTGACTATTCTCATGTGGTTCTGAAGTCAAACGACCACACTGTTTAGAATGGCATCATGAACCGGCTGAGTGGTTGTGAGCTTTTCTGCACTCCATCCCACTGGTTTGTCCTCAAATGAGAAGGGGATACTTTCTCTCCATATCGGCCCCAGGGTGTGCTGGACACTCAGCAGTTCAATTCAATGCTCAAATGTTCCACTATCCACAGTTCCACTATTGTCCCCAGTGCAATAATCCGAATGGGAACCGGACTCTAGGGCTGGCCACAGGAGGAGGCTTTCATTTGGGAATAAACCTAGTTGCACCCCATCTCAGCCCGCTTCTCTGCTCACTACTCAATACCACATGTGCCCTGCCTGGGAAGATTCGGAGATGCAATGTAGTGAAAAGTCAGGAAAGGTTTCAGGAAAATCAAGGGTTTACTTTCCAGGTGTCTTCATCCCACCAACCAACAACACAGTAATGAAGGTGACGGAGACCCACCTTCACAATGGAGGTGCAGAAGCAACTCCCAGGAGGCCACAGCCACAGTCCTATCCTTCCCCGACAGCCTCCCTTCCCCCAACTATGCAACACAGGCAGATCCACAGAAACCTTTTCCATTCTCCTCTTGATATCACATCATCCACTTTGAAGAGGAAATATAATGTAGCATTTTGTATTTAGCTTTGCTCTGCATAACCATGTCCAATTACATTTGTATCTGGAAGAAATATGAGAATAGCAATTATGTATCTTTGAGAGTCATGTGATTTGAAGAAAGGAGAAATTTATCTCAAAGAAGGTTATGTTTTCTGAAAAGAGAACATGGCAAGTGTGAATTACAAATGAAACGGGAAGGCAGTGCAATGAAACTTCTGCAGAGTGTGCATGTGT
The DNA here is from genome assembly GCF_000001405.40 of Homo sapiens. Classification (NCBI taxonomy): domain Eukaryota; kingdom Metazoa; phylum Chordata; class Mammalia; order Primates; family Hominidae; genus Homo; species Homo sapiens. Next base: position 81,333,944 of record NC_000016.10, on the reverse strand, counting down.
TTGGGGGACATGAAGCAGGGAAGACAGCACACACACAGCACCCCAGGATTGTGGACGTGCACAACTATAAGTAACAACTGGACCAGGCAGGAATGCAGCCATCCCTAGAGGGACAGCTACAACGTGTAACCAAACCAGTGAAAACTGGATTGGTGGATAGGTGGTGTTGTTTTGTGTAGCTAGCCTCTCACCGCACCAGGTGAGATATTAGGTACTAAGTATGGATTCAGAAATAAGATCTCAACTAGTTGGTAGTCTCCATCCTTGAGGAACTGACAAACTTTTACTTCTAACCATAGACTTAATGTCAACAAAATGAATTGCTATGAATCATTTCTATTTGGATTTTAATCCAGTCATGTAAGCCTCTAGCATTATGTTTCATGATAGAAAGTACCCATTGTGTTACATAAATCCTTTTCCCCCCAGGCTATGCATAGCCTATTCCTCCCCAGTTGTCCCTAACTAGTAAACGGTACTATTTTCTACCCACCTGCTTAAGTCTAAAATTTCAGAGTCCACCTAATAAATACAGAAGGATGGACCGGGTTATAAAACAGAAGTGGATACTAAAACTGGTGAATGCAGGTTAGTGAGGAATGGGATATTTACATAATCTCAAAGTGTTGCTCCCACAACTTATTAATTATAAAGAGAAAAACAGACTAACCTAGTGGATTCCTCCTTTTTTTTTTTTTTTTTTGAGATGGAGTCTCGCTCTGTTGCCTAGGCTGGAGTGGAGTGGCGTGATCTCAGCTCACTGCAACCTCCATCTCCTGGGTTCAAGCGATTCTCCTGCCTCAGCCTCCCAAGTAGCTGAGACTACAGGTGCGTGCCACCTACCTGGCTAATTTTTGTTTTGTATTTTTGGTAGAGATGGGGTTTCACTGTGTTAGCCAGGATGATCTCGATCTCCTGACCTTGTGATCTGCCCACCTCAGCCTCCCAAAGTGCTGGGATTACAGGCATGAGCCATTGCACTCGGCCCTAAACCTAGTGGATACCTCTTAAATAACGTGATCAAACTGAACAATACCAATGTTGGGACAAATTAACATCACGGCCTCCTGATATGATGCACTGAAGAGGACATGATATCACTTCCATGGGGTTCTTGCCAAAAATGCAACCCTCCCATCCAATCTAATCGTAAGAAACCAAACAAAACCAAGACAAGGGATATTCTATAAAATAACTGACTAGTACTCACCAGAAGAGCTGTGGTCATGAAAGACAAGGAAAGACTGAGGAACCACCACACACTGGAGACTAAGGAGACATGGCAGTTGCAAGCACTGTGGAGCAGGCATGTGCTATGTACAAGGGAAGGCAGAATCAGCTCTTGGGAGAGAGTGGTCACAGGAGGCTTCACAGAGGTGGCACCCGACTCAGGTTGGCTGAGCACTTGCAGGCATACTTGGAGGGAGAGCAAGTACACCAAGGAAGGGGGACAGCAAAAGCATTACAGTAAAAGACTACATCCCAGGTGTGAAAGTTGATCATACAAACTGGGTCATTCTAGTCATACCCAGTTAAATATGAGTCAAGGACCAGTGTAGAAAGCACTTAGGGCACATAGCTCCTGCTGCAAGAACTAACTTTTCCACAAGCCCAGTTGCTGAAACTGCCTGCTGCAACCCCACAGCCAGTCTGACCTGGTAGCTTGCTGAAATGACCTGCAACGTCTCTGACTGGTTTACCCACCACCGTTGCTTGCCAGTTCCTGAAAGCTTCTCTAGCATCCATGAGCTTCTTTTTTTTCTTTTTCTTTTTTTTTTTTTTTGAGACAGATTTTCCCTCTCGTTGCCCAGGCTGAAGTGCAATGGCATCATCTCGGCTCACCGCAACCTCTGCCTCCCAGGTTCAAGCGATTCTCCTGCCTCAGCCTTCCAAGTAGCTGGGATCACAGGCATGCGCCACCATGCCCGGCTAATTTTGTATTTTTAGTAGAGACAGGTTTCTCCATATTGGTCAGGCTGGTCTCAAACTCCCGACCTCAGGTGATCCGCCCGCCTTGACCTCCCAAAGTGCTGGGATTACAGGCATGAGCCACCACGCCCGGCCTTCCAAGAGCTTTCTTTCACAGTATGTCCCAGCCTTCTCTTTGTTCTTCTGACATACTGAAGACCCCAGTCTGGGCGTACGGCCCAAAATGTAATTCTTGCTTCCCAAATAAACCGTTTTAAATTTAGAGATTTGCTCTATATTGTATACAACTTCAACAAAGAAATGAGAGAATGCAAGGAGTTTGGCAAAGCTAGAGAGCGGGGTGCAGCCATGTGTATGAGGGGACAGGGTGGGACGTGGGGAAGAGCCGTTCCTGAAGGACTTCCCACAAGCAAACTTGGACTTTGCCTTGAGGGAAATGGAGCCGCTCCTTAGGAATTTGGTTTTCTTTTTTTCACCTACTGATTTTGAAATAATTTAAGATTTTTAAAAAAGTTTTTAAAAATTGTACTGAGTTCCTTTGCACCCTGCAATTATCCAAACTCAGAAATTAATATTGTTACAGAAATACTAATTAAACCACATGCTTTATTCCAGTATCACCACTTTTCCCCCGCAGTGTCCTTTCTCTGTTCTAGGATCCAATCTAGTCCCATCCTGCAGTTAGTTGTCTTGTCTCTAATCAGTGACAGTTTGTCCTTCCTTCCTTGTCTTTCATGACCTTAGCACTTTGATGTGCACTGGTCAATTAATTCGCATCTCGTTCCTCAACTTGGATTTGCCTTTTTTCTTTTTTTGAGACATGGTCTCTGTTGCCCAGGGTAGAGCGCAGTGGTGCGAGCACAGATCACTGCAGCCTCAAACTTCTGGGCTCAAGTGATCCTCCTCCCTCAGCCTTCTGAGTGGCTGGGACTACAGGTGTGCGCCACCATGCCTGGCTAATTTTTAAAGTTTTTGTAAAGATGGGATCTTGCTATGGTACCCAGGTTGGTCTAGACTGCTGGGCTTAAGCAACCCTCCTGCTTTAGCCTCACACCTGCCAGGATTACAGGCGTGAACCACCATGCCTGCCTGTTTAATTTCTTATAATTCCACTGAGGTTATGCATTTTTAGCAGATACACTACGGAAATATCGTATCAGGCAGAAGATGATATTATTATGTCTTGTTCTAATGATGCTGACCTTGGTCACTTGGTTAAGGTGGTACCTCTTGGGTTTCTCCATGGTTAAGTTATAATTTTTCCCTTTGTAAGTATATTCAAGGAGATAATTTGGGAATACATAAATACCTTTTTCTCCTCAAAATCTCACCCTTTTTGTAGCCATCAGTAGATACTGTCTGCAACAATAACTGTGGTACTTCAATGATGATTTCTATCCTCTATTTCTTCTACATATACGAATTGAAATTCTTTTATAAGAAAGACCTGTCTCCTCTCCTCCATTTATTAGTTTATTCATGCATTCATTCATTCACTTATCCATGCACAGACACATGGGTGTTTATCTTATTATCTGGAGTAGAATCCAATGTTATACTGTGATTTATTTTCTTGCTCACATTGCTGAGGTATTGGCCTCTGGGAGTCCCTTCTGGGTGGCTCCTGTGCCCTGCACAAAGCCTGTCTTCTGAGCTCCTCAGTGCTTTCTGGCACAAAATGCTCCAGCCTCTTGGTGTCTTTTTCCTGCCCCAGCACTGAATCAGCCTTGTCTCTGGAGATATTAGAGTTTTAAACATTATCCGATTACATTCTAGAAACATCACTCTGGCGGCAGCAGTGTGGAGACTGACGGGGGCTGAGCAGGGAGGCAGACAGACCAGTGAGAGGTCCTGCCACAAGTCAGAACTGATGAAAGCTGGCACTTGAGGAGGGGCAGGGCCAGTGGCAATGGTGAAGAGAAGGCAGATTCCAGAGATCTGAGAGGTAGAAACGAGAGGTCTGGGCATCAATTAGATGCTGAGAGTGAGCGAGGTGATGATATCTCTGCTGCCTCCTAGATTTCTCCTGGGGAGTCTGGTAGTATACTAACCCACACAGTCAATGGAGGACAGCCCACTGGCTGGGGGAGGGAGCTAGGTTGACTGGGTTTAAGGTGGCCATGTAGCGGGCTTGGTATCAGTGGGTCTGGGGCTCAGGAAAGAGGTCAAGGCAGTAGCTTCTCTGGGGTAGATGAGATCACCGTGGGAGACAGTGCAGGGTGAGAATGGAATCTTATGTCTAATCAAGGTATAGGGACAGATGGGGAGGAGAGCCAGAAAAACAGGCTGTGAGGAACATGGGACAAGAGGTGCCACAGAAGCCTGGAGAGACCAAGTATCAACAAAATATATCAACAAAATGATCTGATAAATACAGCAGACAGGTCAAGATAAACACTTAAGTTTTCACTTGATTTGGCAATTATACACTGCAATTTTTTAAAGAACAGTTTTGATGGAGTGGTAAGACATGAGCCTAACTGCAGACTGAACAAAAACCAGGAGCTGAGACTGTGCACAAGATAAAGAGATACTTTTCTTTCAAGAAGCCTGGTTGCAAGGTCAGGGAAATTATGCACTTGTAAGAAGAGGATGCAGAGTCTGTTTACTTTTTTTCTTTTTTTCCAATATAAGTAGAGAGTTTATTTGGCCACATTTGAGGGCGGCAACCCAGGAACACGGATTCCAGTTGCCCTGAATGAATCTATGCTTCCTCTGCTTGCTTTTAACAGATGCGTTTGTTCAACATGTGCACATCTCCTACACGCCAGGCACTGGAAAAGATGAGCAGACTTTTCTGCTGGGGCAAAGAAGCCAGGAGAGAAGGAAAAAAAAAGAGAAGAGAACAAACAACAGGAGAAAAAGGGTGGGGGAACAGGAGATGAGACAGTCAGGGAGGATAGGCCTTGACTATCAATCTTTGCTCTACAGAAGATTGGCATGTAAATCATCATTATGTCTAATTAGCATTTTAAACATGACCTTCAGAGTTAAAAGATTTTACGCCCAGATTTTTAAACATCTAATACTGTAGATGAAACGGTGACAAATTACAACCTGCTGCCTGTTTAGCCACGGAGATAGAAATGGTTGTTATATTTTTAAAAGGTTATTAAAACAAAAACAAAGAAGAATATGTGACCAAGACCACATGTGGCTTGCAAAGCACAAAATTATTTCTAACCCTTCAGAGAAAAAGTCTGCCAATCCCTGCTCTGAATATTTTTACAATAGCAAACACACAACACTTTAAAATCCAGTCTAACAGATAAGTGAAGTAACGATTTTTGAGAAATGATTTCCAAAAGTGATGAAGGAATGGTGATAGATCTAAAAAAAATGGTGATAGATCTAAAAAAAAAAAAATAAGATACACACTGGTAGGGTCTTTATATGATAAGACAGTTTTCCTGGACAGTAACCTGGCTTCACACAACAAATAACAAATCTGTTTCTATCTTCAGATCTGGGATATAGTCTCCAAAGTAGGTTTACCTGTAGTCACAAAAAATACAAAAAGAACCCAAACTCTTTTTCTGATTTGTTTATGGTGTCATCATTCAGCCTGCAAATTAAATGGCAAAGAGAATGACATTTCTGAAGCACAGAATATGAAACAGTAATATGATGTAATAACAGCTATTAAAAATGACAACTATGGGCATTACATTGAGATACGAGAGAGATGTGAAATGAATTCAAGTAAAAAGACGAACTGTAAATAACAGGTAAATATAGATTTCAACTACTTCAACTGTAACTATACATTAAGTATACTGTTCAGAACCAGAAATTGAGGGCAACATAAATGAAGCTCCAATGTAATTTCCCAATTTTTTGTGTGTATAGATTTTTTAAATTTAAATCTAGTTCGCGTCATTTTGAAAGTAAAGCAGTCAATAAAATTTCTCTCTTAAAAGACAAGGTTTGAAAATGCATGTTAAAATTTTAAGAGTTCAAAGACGATTAAAACGATGACGCAGCAACTGGTGAAGCCAAGAAATTCTGCTTCAATGAAACAAGTCTGATTCCTTGTTCTGGTCACACCCTGACCTTTTGGAAAGGTACATAAAAGGAAGGCATTCGTGCCACAACCTGTCAAACAGTTCTAGATTTTCTACTTTGCTATTCTATTTCGGAGGCTATTAAAAGGCTCTTTCTATATAACCTTAAGACCCCCATGCAAATGAGCATCTCAAGAATAAGCCCCTTCACTTTGGGGAGCACTCTTACAAGTTTCCCCTGTCTAATTAAAAACTGGCTTATCTGGTTCTTTCTTGCTACAGTACACAGGCAGCACTTTAAATACTATAGGAGCTCCATACTTCAGAAGCAAGTTCATGTTTCTACTCACTTTCCATTTTCTCTTTCCCAATGTAGAGAGTTACAAGGAAGATTTTATGCCTTTTCAAAGAAAGTAGGCCTCCTAAATAAATCCAAAATGAAAGCAGGAATTTATGTGAATTTATTATTGTCTTTGTACTTGTCTTTTTTGTGTAGTTCAAACCGAAGCATTAAGTGAACTTTAAGAGACTGCCCCCTTTTTCCTTTTTTAGGAAAGGAGATAGTGGAGTAGGGGAAACAAAAACTACAGCCTCCAGTACACCCCTCCAGTTCCCTTTAATAAATAAGAGGCAGCTCCAGGATGAACTTCCCGTTAGCATGTTTAAGCTCCATCTGAAAACCACCTTTTTGCTTCTGGCGCCTCCTTAATTTATAATCCACTGCTATAAACTTCTCCAAACAACTTGAAGCTGAAAATGCCTTCCAAAATGTTGTCAAGGAAATGAATGCTTCTCAATTAATTCTTTAGTCATGTTGGGACAAAACGCTCTCTCATCAGAGCTACTCTTTCTGAATAAAGAATTCGGTCTCTTCTTCTCTCAGCTTTCTTGGCATCAGAAATTGAATTCGTGGGAGCTGACCATGCCATCTAAAACAGTCCAAAAGTAAGACTCTAAACTCTGTTGCAAAATGGTTTATTCTGTCCCTTTGCCCTACCCCACAAACGTATTCAGCTACATAGTAAAATGCTATGGCAGAAAGTTCAACCTTACTTGGATGTAGTATATTCAGCATCCTGAACTCTGACCTTTTACTTTTTCGGCAGGACAGTCATGTAGCAGGTAACGATGTTTCAGTCCGTGATGGACAGTATATACAACAGTGGTCCCGTAAGATTATCATGCCATATTTTTGCTGTGGCTTTTCTATGTTTAGATACACATATACTTGCCGCTGTGTTGTAACTGCCTACAGTGTTCAGTACAGTCACATGCTGTATAGGTCTGTGGCCTAGAAGCAACAGACTACATCAGATAGTCTAGGTGGGTAGTAGGTTATGCCCTCTAGGTTTGTACACTCTGTGATATTCGAACAATGACAAAATGCCCAATGATGTATTTCTCAGAACGTATTGGTGTCATTAAGCAATGCTGACTGTACATACATATCACAGACAACTCAATTATCCTTTTTTTTTGAGACGGAGTTTCACTCTTGTTGCCCAGGCTAGAGCGCAATGGCGCGATCTCGTCTCCTCGCAACCTCCGCCTCCCGGGTTCAAACAATTCTCCTGCCTCAGCCTCCCGAGTAGCTGGGATTACAGGCATGTGCCACCACATCTGGCTAATTTTTTTTTTTTTTTTTTTTGTATTTTTAGTAGAGATGGTGTTTCTCCACGTTGGTCAGGCTAGTCTCGAACTCCCAACCTCAGGTGATCTGCCCGCTTCAGCCTCCCAAAGTGCTGGGATTATAGGCTTGAGCCACGGCACCCAACCAACTCAATTATCTTACGTATGAAAGTTCTGCTTACGGACTGAGTGCCCCTGGCCCTGGACAAAAAAGATGATGGGCTTTAAAATCACCCACTCCATATGTCTACTGGTTTTCCACACTAAATGAGGCGATGATGCACTCCTTGCTGAAGGCACACACCATGAACTAAAGGAGTCTGCTGGAGGGAGTGATTATTTGGCAGAGTTGGAAAAATCTTACAGAGGAAGGGATACTTGAACCAGGCCTTGAAGGATGAATATGAAATTATCTGCAAGCAAGAGTAGGAAGTCAAGAAAGGCAGAGAGACAAGAAACACATGCAGAAAGCAAAACATATTCACAGACAGGTGAAGTACTCTGCAGAGCTGTCAAGGGCTAGAAGAATATAATTAAGGTGTTTAAACAGCAATGTTAATTCAAATTCAACACATTTAAGACAGACTGTTGTCTTCCCCACTTTCCCTAGGCAGCCAGGCTCAAAACTGTTATCTCTTCTTTTTTCTTCATTCTTAGTTCTCATGTTCAATTAGCATCCAGTTGATTTCCTCCTTAATTCTGGAGACCCACCACCATCTTGATGCCTAGGACACTGTCCCAGTGCGCTGCTCTCAATTGGTCTAGTAGCTCCATGTTCATCCCTTCCTGGTCCTGTAGATACACAGCAACTAAATGCCTTCTTAAAGTAGGGCTTCAGTATGGTACTAGTCTTTAATGATTAGCAACTGATGATAAAGTAAAAATCTAAACCAATAACCCGGCATGCTAGAATATGTCTTACCTTCCTCCCAGCCACTGTTCCTATTCACTACCCCAAACACAAGCCTGATGTTCCTGCATTTATCCTTTGTTCTGCCTCAATGGCCCTGCTGTCCCCTTTCACCCACCCAACTCCTACTCATCCTCTCCAAGGCTTTGTTCAAATACCATTTCCTCCATATGTGATCGCCCAAGTAGTTCTTCCCCTCGCAATTCCTACAGCTAGAAGTATCTGTAAAATTAAAATAGCTTTTGTTCTATACTTTGTTTTTTCACAACTAAGCTGTAAAACTTGAGAGTAAGCTCTGTATTTCACTAGTCTTCCTAAACTGTCCTGACTTTAATGCCTACTGTAAGTGTGATGAACATCATCTGTTGGTGACGATGAAGAAGCCAACAGCATGCCTGGGAGCATCCGTGCCTGGGAGCCATCCCTGCCTGGGAGCCATCCCTGGCTGCGAGTCATCCCTGGTCTGCCCTTTTCCTCATCAACATGTCCTGGTGCCAAATGTCTGTAATCCAGCTGCTGTGTCCGCCTCCACTGCCAAACCTGGCCCAGGGCATCCCACTTTCCATCTGAACAACTGCAGCACCTGCTGAAACGGCCGCTGGTTCCACTCTTGGCTTTTATAGAGCACACCCAGCAGCACTGCATTGGAGTGACTTTAAAACAATACACAAACAAATATTCCTCTTTTAAAATACACCACTGCCCATCCATAGCCCGTAAGATAAAGCCTAAACTCTCTATCAGACTCAACTATGCCATCAATTGCTTTTTTGTCCCTTTCTCATATCCTATCACCTCCCCAGCCAGCTCCCAATACACAACATGGCAGCAGAAGTTTCATCTTCTTTGGAAGCAGTCTAAATGCCAGCTCTAACTCAGGGATCACAGGCCTTCCCAGCCTCTAATCTGTTGTCGATGCCATCCCACCCTTTGCTCACCATCTCCAGGTATGTGGTGTTCTGTTCCCAGAGAGGCCTGACCTAGTCCTGGTGCCACCCCTGATCCTGGTGCCTCCCCCTGCTCTTCTCATGCCTAGGTCTCCTCCTCCCTCAGATCTCAGTTTCAATGGCACCACCTCGGAGCAGGGATCCCGTCACCCAGGCCACAGCAGCAGCCATGCTCATCCTCTGTGGACTTCCTTCGGCAAACTCATATGGCTCTGTAATTAGACCCCTTTACTGCTCACCTCCCCAGGTAGCCCCCATGGATGCTGGCACTCCGTCTAGAAAGGGCAATGAACAAACGGGCATATTAGAGAGGCTTAGCCAAGAACTGATGTTCTCTACTTAAAGAAAGTCATTTCTGTAAATGTGATTAATTGGGGTAACACTATAATAATAAAGGGTCAAATCAGCCAATTAAATTCTTTTAGGGCAGACTATCAGAAGTTTCTACTCTGATAAACACAGCAAATCTATTCTCTGCTCATTCTTGAGATTCTGAAACTACCCATAACACAAGGATGTTATAAAAAAACTAAGTGAAATCAAAAGTAATCTTTAAATCTTTAGTTTTATGTTTATTTCCTTCTCCAGCCCCACAGAGATAGAAAAATAAATAGACTGACATAGGTCTCCACATACTGGGTTAGTTTTGATACTCTCTGTGGGAGGCCACTGAATACAATGCTCCAATGGCAGGCAGCACAAGAGGATGGAGTCCTGGAGGGCGCAATCCTCTGTAAATGACTGAAATGGAGGCTCCAGGAGGACAGTGGCCTTGTCAGTTCGTTGCCACCATCTTGCCAGTACATAGATGCTGCTGAGATGTCTTGAGTTATCTCCTGTGTATGTATTAAACGACTAAACCTGTAATCAACTCCCTAAACAACACCCTAATTATATAGAAGGTCCCTTTACTGTGAAATATATCTGTGAAGAAACAATACACAGTATATCTCAATAACTTTAGACAATGCTAATTCTTGAACTGCAATCTATTATTGGTAAACACAACCCCACAGCATATGGGTTAAGGCAGTGATGACATTTCTTAAGGATGTCCCAAGACTTATTATGACAGTGAATATTTTCATAACCCCTTTTCTGATCACTATGAAAGAAGCCTATAAATAAAGGAAATGGTAACCTCTTTTGCTCAAGCACCCCACTCAGGGGGTGATAAAAATGAGATGTCTATTCCTTTCCTACCAACAGCAGGCATTGTAATTTTTAGGCGGGGAACAAAGTTGATAGCTTTGGTCGCACAAGACAGTAGCTGTTAAGGAGGCCAAGCAGGAGAACAAACAAACCCACCAAAAACCCCGAGAGAAGTCTCTTATCTGTTATACTAAGTGTCAAATCCCTGTACCAACTTTCATGTAAGGAAGAGAAGCTAGAAGTTGTGGGAAACTATTCCCTGGACTAACCAAATGGAAGACTATACAATTAACCAATGGGTCCTGCTGGCCTCCAGCTCCATCACTGAAGTAGACTGGGGGCTGTAGCATGGAGAGGAGAATGGCAAACACGAATATCAGGGAACTTTCTAAGGATTTTCATTGTCCTTCAAAATCCCGCTGTCCTTAAACTTCTGGCTTCATTTCTAGTGAATGTTCTCTGTGGGTTAGAAAAGACTCATATCAAACTCACAGCCTAAATGTGAGGTTTCAGTATGAAGTTTCTTACAATTCAGGGACTGATCAATATAAACAATTTAAGTGACAAAAGTGCAAATATTTTGAGCTCAGTAATACTAAACCATTTACTATTATTCAGAGGTGTAGGCAACTGGTTACTGATGAATGCTAATAGGACCATAAAACTATGTTTCAAAATATATCTAGTCATATTAATATGTTACCATAAAAATCACAAGCATCAAATGGTCTTTAAAATTGTTCTTAAAAACATAAACAACTTTGTAGTTGAGAGAACCACAAAATATCTACGAGCAAAAATATACATTTAAGTTTCTATAAAAACTCAAATCCAAATAAACCCCAAAGATATTTAATTGGTCTGTATTTCATTATTCAACAGTCAACTTTTAAAAACTAGTCCTCCTATCTTCCATTTATGATACGCATTGGCCCTCTAAGCCTTACTCTATTGAAATGGAGGCTCCAGAAGGGCAAAGGCCTTGCCAGTTGGTTGCCACCATCTTGCTAGTACCTAGCCGCTGCTGAGATGTCTTATCTCCTCTGCATGTGGTGAACACTGGAGATAACCAACAAAATATTTCACCAAGATCTTATTTACCTAAGTATTCCATTTTTCTAACTTATTTGAACAGAGGAAAAGTCCAAATCCCTTCACTATAATAGCAAATGGCAAAGTACTACGTATTTCTATTTTGCAGTATTTCTGTAATAATCTTTATGAGAAATTAGGGCATTCACATTCCCAGAGAGAAATGAATGCAGCAAACATCTGACCATCATTCTATGGCTAAGTCACTCTTTGGCCCTAAGTACTTAGGAAGATGATTTAACTCTGCTCTTCCAAGCACCAGAATCAGGAACTCTGGTAGAGTGTCGGGCCATCTAGATGGACATAGAATCTTTATCCTCCACAGAGCCAGAGCTGCCACCTTTACCTGAGCCTTTGATTTCCTTCCTTCTTTGGATTTGTTGTGGCTTAGGAGGAAGAGAACCCATGGGAAGCGCTCAAATGCAAGGTCGCAACCATAGCCTGCCACGTGTCACATCTCACACCCCCGTATCTCCACCCTTAACCCAGAATTCAAACTCACAAATCATTCATTTATATTACAGCTTTAGTACACAAAATGATAGTCTTGTGTCTTTCAGAAGGATGATGCAACCCTGTGAAGAACTTATTGCATGGCACTCACAGACCAAATGAACCCTTATTTGTCCTAATTATGTTTTCCTTACAAATTATAAATAGATTTTAAGTCCCACTTTGATATCATAAGAACTCATTAACACTTTAAACAATGGATAAGGCGGTTTTGAAAACTGGATGCTTACTCTATATCATCCAAATATAAATCCTAAGGAACCAGAGTTTCTATGTGGAAGAGCATTTTACTTCAATCCTAAATTATATAACAAAAACTAATTTAAGAACATTGAAGGAGACATCACAGGAGAAAATGCAAACTATAAGAAGAGGCAGAAGTAAAAACAGTATAGGTAAAAGAGTGAGGACTTATCCACTAGAGAAAATTAACCAGAGCTAGGTTTTACTCCTATCACATTACTATTACTCATAATAACAATCCTCGGGAAAGTTCTACGATAAATCTGAACACCCCACACTTCCCTCTATGCTACAGACACTAGTCTAACAAGAATTTTGTTGATTTGTTTCATCATTTGAAACCTTCCAAAAACCTCTCCAGAATTAGAACATCTACTGCTACTAATAGTGGCAACCACTGTGTTATATAAAATAAACAAATATCTTTAAACTGACATGAGTAATCTGTGTTAAATTGAAATTTACAAGTGCTTAGTTTCCTTAGAAGCCTGGATAAAATATGTCTTTGATCTTCTGAAACTGAACATAGTTATTATCGCTTTTGAAAAACTCAGTAAGAATAGGGTTTAATCAAACAAGGTTGTGATTACAAAAAAGAAAAAAGGAAAAAAAAAAGAAAAGGAAAATCACTGAGAACCATTAAACTATCAAGACCTTCTGGACAAATTTCATCTTCTGAGCAGTTGTTAGGAACGCCTTATAGTAAGTAGATAAAAACAAAGTCTAGATCCCTTAAAAGAGACTCAAGCCCAGCTTATTTTCCATCACCATAAGAGTACAAGGAACAGGTAATGTCAATTTTATTTTAAGTGTGCTCAGGATTTCAAAAGATACTCAGAAACTGGAGCTTCTAACTGAACCCCTGAGCACTAAGAAACTTCACAGGCTACAATCACTATTCAAGATCCTTATGACAATCATTCGGGAGCTGCTATGAAGACTATAAACTCGAAACACAAGTGAAGAAAAGATTATGAAAATATTGTAAAGAAAGCAAAACATTATTAACTGAACATTACTGTGAAATCACTTTGCTTCACAGCCAGACTCTCATTACCAGGGAACACTTAGTGGATACTGCTGCCTCGGGAGTGTATTCTCAGCATTAACAGGGAAGCAAAGAATCTAATAAGAGGCTATGCAGTTATTCACATAAATTAATCAACAAAAGTAAACTGGGGATGAAAAGCAGGCTCTGCACACACCACATAGTACTCACGGACTTTAGTGCCCATGTGACATTAAACTACAGTGTATGTTTCAGATATTCAAAAAATAATGTCTATGTTACTATGAAACTTGGACCTCCTACAGAGATCCTATTAGTCTCCTTAAGTAGTTTCATCAGTATCATCTGTGAGTCAAACTTTATATTTAAATGGCAAAACAGGCTCATCAATAATTAGGCCTTGGAACATACCCAGATTAACAGCATAAAATAAATGATTGTTGTGATACAACTCTACAGGCCTGGATTTATACAACAGAATACCCAATAAAGTCCTGTATGACAGGGGAATGGAAATGCTTTAATATTAACATAAAACAAAACTTTAAATGACACAATAAAGCTATAAAAACAGAAACAGGTCCTCCTCCTCACAACACATACACATGAGGCAAAACAAAAATAGCATAGAGCTACATAACTTAGACTTAAAGGGGATTTGCTGTCCATGTAGCCCAACCACCTCACTTCACAGATAAGGAAGCTAGAGCCCAGAAAAGTCGCTCATGATGACCTAGGCTGGATTTGAGGCCCTATGTCTCATTCTATCCTCACTAGACCTGCCTTCTCTCAAAAAATAAGGGGGGGTCGGGGGGAAGCCACTTACATTCTTAGCTGACTCATCAAAGGATCTAAAAATCTTAGGAATCTTTTTTTTCATTTTCTCTCCAGGACTGAGAGCTAAACAAACTTTTGTTGCAATAGGTCTCCAGAAAACCCTAAATTTTACAAGTGATCACAGGACTGGAAACCTGTACAGAGCCACCATAATGTCACTGCAGAAGCACATAGCCGTTCATTTTCAAATCCTTTTCACATACATTACTCACCAAGAACCACAGCTCAGGAGAGAAATGGGTCTGAACTTTGCATCAGATCAATGGGACTGTGCCAGAATCGGAAGAGCCTCAGACATGAAGCAGACCAAACTGTAATATTCAAAAGAAAAATAAATTTCCTGCAAGCCGCAGGGAGCTTTCCCCAGAAGGTCTCAGAGTTGATGAGAAAGAAAAGGCTCTGTGGGTGCTTATGACTATGAATTCGGTTTTGCCATTCTTAGAAAGGTTGTTAGATATATATATATATATATAATCTATATCTATTTTTTTTTTAATTTAAGAGACAGGGTCTCTGTCACCCAGGCAGGCTGCAGTGCAGTGGCAGTCATAGCTCACTGCATCCTGGAACTCCCGGGGTCAAGGGATCCTCCCGCCTCAGCCTCCCGAAGTGCTGTAATTACAGCCATGAGCCACTGCGCCCAGCCTGTCAACTACTTTTAGGTTTAGTTTCCCCAACAAACCAAAGAGAAAATCTCACCCAGGAACCAAAAGGAGGAAAAGCTTTGGGAAAGGAGCATGCTGGGAAAGGGGCATGCATGCCATTTACTGAGCTGAGGGACCGCAGGAGGTCCTGCCTCCTTCCTGGAGCAGCTGCACCCTAGGGCTGCATGACACGTGCTCTCTCTACATAACCCGGGGATGCCAGTCCTCTCTGAGCTGACCATGAGGGTGTGTTGCCAAAGCTGAGTTTTCTGGCCTTTTCCTTTTATATTTAAAATCTTTCTAATATGGTAGGATTGCTAAGGGTGTCAGCAGGAAAAACAAGGGCTAGACCAAAGATAAAGCAGAATAAAAGATTAAACCAATAAGTCAAAAGACTTTTCTATATTAAGTAGAAAGTATGCCAAACAAGTTACTTTAATTCCCAGTGTGACAGAGTTGGACTGGCTTCCTTTGTTGGGCACATAGTAAGCAAAAGACAATACTGCTCCTATTTTTTATATACATGATTTATTATTGTACAGACTGGGTCTCACTATGTTGCCCAGGCTAGTCTCGAACTCCTGACCTCAAACGATCCTCCCGCCTCCACCTCTCACAGTGCTAGGATTACAGGTGTGAGCTACCATGCCAGGCCATACCACTGCTTCTAAACCACACAATCACACAACCACTTATGACAGTTACCAACACTAGGCCAAACACAGACATTAAACAAAATCAGAATTTTATAAAACTTCAGAGATTACCAAACTTTTGAACATTCAATTCACAGATTAATGATATCACAGATCTAAATGCTTAAGTTTCAAAAGGGAAAGATAAGAAACATCAAGTTCTAGAATACATAAATATATTTTGTTTCAATATAATTCTCTAAAGTGCTATTCAAACAAACAAGTACATTATAAAAGCCCAATATTATTGGTATTAAAATTACCAGTAAAAATACAAAATTAACAAATTTCTTTCTAGTTAGTGATACAGATTCGTCAAATTACTTTGAAACAGCTTCGGAATTGATAATTTTTAAAAACATCCCAAGACATTCTATCACTTCAATAGCCAAATAAACTTAAAGCAATTCATCTGTCACTGATGAAACACATATTGACTGATTCATGTTTATCCACAAAACATAAAAAAAAAAAATCTGCCTTCTCTTTAAAGATGATTGAAAATGGAAACCAAAATGACACAGTATGTAAAAGTGCTTGATAAACATTTTAATTCTAAGATATTGTAAGCCAGCTAACAGTAAAGTTTACACAAAGAGAACGGTGAAATACAAGTAATGCTCTAACGTGGTAGGGCAAGAGTAGGAAGGCGGTTAGCCGTAATTAATTTGGAGTCTAATCCTAGTTCAACCATTAAGTACTAATAACCTCATAACACAAGTCACTAATGTCCACTGAGCCCCTATTTTCTTATTTAGAAAGTGAAAGAACCGGACTACAGATATTTCCTAATTCAATGGGTACTACCTTTGAAGACATGGGAACAGACCTATGAGGTGTCAACACTATTACGTATTTCTTCACAGGTGTGATTAAATGAGAAGACTCATTTTTATCCCTCATTCATCAGATTAGTGAGCTGAAGCCTTGTCATCTACCAGCAACTCACAGCTAATATGAGTAAAAGCTGGAAGCACAAAGCGGGTCTTCAAACTCTGAATCCAGTGCGTTTCTCAATTAGGTATAACTGAGCGTCTGTGTACTATGAAAATGTGATGGTGCCAATTTTCTAATGTACACATTTGCTGTGGTAGAAAGAAAGGCAGTCATTCATTCAATACATTAACTGATAGGCACAGTTCTTTCTGGGTGCAAAGAGTAAAGCAGTGAATAAAAGAAAACACCGCCGGGTGCCACGGCTCACGCCTGTAATCCCAGCACTTTGGGAGGCCGAGGTGGGCGGATCACGAGGTGAGGAGTTCGAGACCAGCCTGGCCAACATGGTAAAACCCCGACTCTACTAAAAATACAAAAATTATCCGGGCGTGGTGGCGGGCGTTTGTAATCCCAGCTACTCGGGAGGCTGAGGCAGGAGAATCGCTTGAAACTGGAAGGCGGAGGTTGCAGTGGGCCGAGATCACGCCACTGCACTCTAGCCTGGGCTAAAGAGTGAAACTCAGTCTCGAAAAACAAAACAAAACACCACGACCTCATTGAGGTCACACTGTGGTTGGGAAAGACCACCAAAGTAAATGTGTAAAATATGGGGTACGTCAAAGTGGTAAGTGCTATGGAGAAAAACGAACAAGGATAACAAGCAAGGATTCGGCAATTTGCAATTTACTTCTTTTAAGCCAAACGGATGCCATTTAAAGAACTATAACAATAATGCATCTAAAGTAGTTTTCTTCAGCATTTTCCCAAACAGGGAAGACTTTGGTCTGCTGACTCCAATTTGGGATGGGTTGCTCAAACCTCGGAACTGCCAGCTAGAAGCTGTCTGTCACATTAGCAATCCAAATTCTGTACTAACGATGCTACCCCAGACCCTACTGCCGCCCCGCCCCCCCACCCCTCCACACTCCCCACCGCCAAAGAGCGCAAATGGATTCACAAAACAAATCCAAGAGAAACCAGAAGTTACAAGGGCACTTGAATTTCTTCTAAGTTTAGCACAGATATCTCCCCAATGCAAAGGTTAAAAGTGTAGCGTGCGTGGTGGTTTTGCTGGGACAAAGCGCTAAGAATACACATCATTTTGCTTTTTCTGACCTGTCAATTGTAGTGATATTCTCTACCACTAGCTTATATTTAACCAGCTTACTGGTCAGTTTCTCCAGTTTTTAGCATTCCCCCCTTTCCTTTTATTAAAACAGCAACCTAGTTTGCAAGAAGGTTGCTAAAAGAAAAGATAGTCTCCTGCAAGATCTGATACACTTGTATAAGCACTGTCTTATCAACCTTTTAATTAACCTGGTTAGTTGAGTTGGCAAATCAGGTTAAGCTTTGCTTTACTAAAGTATTAAAATGCCCTTTGTCGCAAGGCTCTCACGGTCCTCGGGTTGTAACAGCATCCTGAGAATTCGCTACAGTTTACTTCAACGTGTAACTCCTCTTTTAAACAGTTACCAGAATGGAGCGGAAAAGACACGTTTGGCAAGGAGAATTTCGCCCGGAGGTTCGGACTACCAACCCAAGGAGAACATCGAGAGGGTTTTCTCTGCCTGCACCCAGCGAGGCGCTGTCTGTCTGGCCTCCCAGCGGGCAGGGCGCTCCCCGCCTGGTTGGCGGCGCCGGCCCAGCCCCCGCGCGTGGATTCAGAGGCGAGCGACTGGCGAACTTCAGCGGGGACCGCGGGCCCGGCCTGGGCGAGGGGGTGACTCTTCCCCGGCGCGGCCTCGCCCAGCCCGCAGGTGCGGGTCCCGGCCGGCCCAGGACGGCGTCTGGGGGCCTCAGGGTCTCCGAGGTCGGGCGCTCGCCGCGGCGGTGGGAACCGGGAGGGACAAGGCGGGGGATCGCGGCCCGGGTCCGGGGACAACTCCAAGGGGCGCGGGGGTCCAGTGGGGAGCGCGGGCCTGGAAGCCACAGAGGCCGCCTGGGGGACGCGGTCAGCGGGGCCGGGTTCCGGCGCTTGCCGGGAGGGACGCCGCGCCAACGGTGACGCGGGGACCCCGGCGCCGGGGACAGGGGACAGGGTCTGGGGGCCACGCCCGGCCCGGCCGCCCCGCCTCCGGCTCCGGGCAGCACCGCCGCGCCCGCCCGCCGTAGCCCCCTCCCCACCTGATGTACGGGCTGGCCGCCGCCAGGATGTTCTTCTGCACCGGGATCTCCTCCCCGTCGAGGACCAGGTGCGCGTCGCAGAAGCGAGACTCCTCGCGGAAAGAGCTGAGCGCTCGCAGCAGACGCGCGGCGTGCTGAGGGTCAGACACGGCACTGCCCTCAGCCATCGCGGCGCCCGCTCCTCTGCCGACGGGTCCGGCTCCCGACACCGTCCGGCCGGACCCCTCGAGCGGCCCGAGTCCTGCGCGCGCGCCCGCCCGGCCCGGCTCTCCGCGCTCTGAGCAGAAGCTGGAGCCCCCGGGACGTGCCTGTGCTATCCGCGGCGCGCTGGGCCGGCGCCTTTAAGAAGCCGCGTCATGAAGTCATTTCTCCGCGACGCCCCCGCACCGTCGCTCCCCGCCTTCTCGCCTCCGCTGCTGGAGATGGCCAATCAGAAGCCTCCTTCCTCCGCCCGCCTGACCAGCTGCGGCTGGGTGCAGCGGAAGGTGTCTACGGATGAGATAGGTCGCTCCCGCGATGGAGGGATGTGCGGGCGGGCTAGGATTCCGTGGTTAAGCCTGTGGCCTCTGGAGCCGCGAGTTTGAATCCTGGTTGCAGCTGTTCCACTTACTAGCTCTGTGGCCATGGGTAAGGTGCCCATCCTCAGTTTCTCCGTCTGCAAAATGAAAGCGAATTCTTAGTGTTGTTGTGGACTCATGAGATGATGCATGGAAGCAAGGGCGAAGTCGCTGTAGCTTTCTTTATTTATGAGAGAAAAGGAGCTGCCCAGGTGAGAGGACAAAAACCCGAGAAAACAGACCCGGAAAAGATGGTTTTGGTTGCGGGCTAGGAAGGAGATGTAGCAGATGAAGCTGGAGAAGTCCGAAGGAGGCCTTAAATTTTGCAGGGCCTCCTTGGTGTGGGAAGGAGTTTGGTTTCTGCAGTGGTGAAGAACCATGGAAGTACCGTATTTAGCAGGGGATTTTGTGCAGGTCACTCAGCTCCTGCGTGGAGAATAAGGCGGGGATGGATGTGCTAAAGGCAGATCGATGCTTAGGTATTGCAGGACTAGAGAGAAGGGAATGGGCACCTGGATGAAAGGGTGATGCGGGGGCGGGGGTAGACAATAGTGGATTGTTTTAAAAGAAATTGTGAGGGAGAGGGAGTTAAGGATAAATATTCTGTTTGAGTAACTGCATGCATGTTTGCACCTTTCAGGGAGAGCTAGGAAATGCTGAAGGGGTGGGCAGTAGAGAGGCAGATGTTTAGATTCAGACAGGCTCCCAACCCAGTGAAGATCAAAGCTGTGATAGAAAGGATCGCTGGGTCAGCTCAGCTGGCAGGCCAAGCCCCACGGTATCTGAAGTTTCCCTGGAGGTTGCTCAGGGCACATGGGAGTGTGGAATGTAGCAACCATTTTGTGCAAACGTTAGGGACTCCATAAGCCTCTAAAAAATTAGCAATTGTATGAGGACTCCGGACCAGAAGAATGTGGCTAGCATTCCAGGCAAGACAGGATGGAATTTTCACTGTCCTTCAACCAACTGAAAGGCTCCAATAAAGTCTTGGGTATTTACCCTGAACCAGCCAAGGCTTTGGAGTCACTGGCAGGAATCCGAGTATCTAACTGTTTTCAGGGCAGAATAGATGGGGAGGGTACGGCTGTGGAAGACACATGCATTTCCACTTTCTTCTGTAAATGCAGCTCAGTGTTCCCGGATGCAATGATAAAGATGTCTAGGATTTGCTTCAAAACAAAACAAAGGGATGGGGAAGCAGATGGGAGTGTAGATGAGTCAAAAGTGGCCGCAAGTTACTAATTGTTAAAGCCACGTAATGGGGATGTGGAGATTCGTTGTACTGTCTCTATATTGTTGTGGATGTTTAATGGGGATGTGGAGATTCATTGTACTGTTTCTATATTTTTGTGGATGTTGAAAAATATTTTCTTCTTTCTTTTTTTTTTTTGAGATGGAGTCTCCCTCTATTGCCCAGGCTGGAGTGCAGTTGTGCAATCTCTGTTCACTGCAACCTCCGCCTCCCGGGTTCAAGTGGTTCTCCTGCCTCAGCCTCCCAAGTAGCTGGGACTACAGGCATGTGCCACCATGCCTGGCTAACTTTTGCATCTTTAGTAGAGATGGGGTTTTACCATGTTGGCCAGGCTGGTATCGAACTCCTGACCTTGTGATCCGCCCACCTTGGCTTCCCAAAGTACTGGAATTACAGGCATAAGCCACCACACCCGGCCGAAAAATATATTTAAAAAGGTAAGAAACACACAAGACAAGCAGCTTGGACTTATCTTCTCCATGATACCTACCCAGTATCCCTGTGAGCAGCTGACATTCCTTTCTCCAAGCAGTTGCTGTATTTTGAACATTGCTCGAGCAAGAAACTTTTTATAATGGGTTTATTTATCCATGTCACCTGCTATACTATGTTTATTGTAGCTCAGCATGATTTCCAGGTACCAAGCACAGTACTTGGTGCGTAATAGTGCTAACTGAATGTTGGATGGATGGAGGGATTAAAAAAAAGAAAAACACCTGAATATCAGACACTTAATAAATGTTTCTTGGGAGGCCGAGATGGGCGGATCACGAGGTCAGAAGTTCGAGACCAGCCTGGCCAACATGGTAAAACGCCGTCTCTACTAAAAATACAAAAATTAGCTAGGTGTGGTGGCAGGCACCTGTAATCCCCACTGCTCAGGAGGCTGAGGCAGGAGAATCACTTGAGCCCGGGAGGCAGAGGTTGCAGTGAGCCGAGATCACGCCATTGCACTCCAGCCTGGGTGACAGAGCAAGACTCTGTCTCAAAAAAAATAAAAAATAAAATAAATAAATGTTTTCTGAACTGTATTCTCTATCTGTTCTTAGTTAATTTGTGTTTGCCATTTTTAAAGTCAAAAACCAGGGAGAGTTCTCTACACAATGTAAATATTTGATAAGTACTTATTAATTGCTTATTGTGCTAGTCTATTCTTTAAATATCAGAGGTTCCAAAACAAAGAGCTCCAATAGTAGGATCACAGTCAGGTAACCAATTATCCGAGTAGGAAGGTTGCCTTAGTTGAAGTAACTGGAGGTGAATGGGGATTTGTCAGGCAGGCTCTTCCAGATAAAGGTGAACCTTCCCTGTTGTTTTGATAGAAGGAGGAAATGGAATGACCATCAAGAGAAAGGTA
The DNA here is from genome assembly GCF_000001405.40 of Homo sapiens. Taxonomy (NCBI): domain Eukaryota; kingdom Metazoa; phylum Chordata; class Mammalia; order Primates; family Hominidae; genus Homo; species Homo sapiens. The sequence goes on along the minus strand of NC_000016.10, from coordinate 81,312,114 downwards.
GTTGCTGGCTTGAGAGGATCATCTGTGCAACAGGCAGCTAAGCAGAAGAAGACTTTATATATATTTTTAATACCACCCACACTGTTGCTAGTATTCCCCACCACTCCATTGGCCTGGTGAACTCTTATTCATCCTTCAAAACCCAGCTTAACCATGGCCTTCAGGAAATCTTGAGCTGGCTTCCCAGGACAGAGTGGGTCAGTCCTCTGCATGCTCCTGCTGCTGTGCTGTACTCACCATACTGTACTGTAATTTACTGGTTTGTAAGTCATTTCCACTGCTGGGTTGTGAGCTCCTCCAAGGCAGGGGCTTTGCCTTATCTGCCTATGTTCCCAGGACTTACACAGTGCCTGATGTGTAGTAGGTACCCCATGAATGTTTTACATAATTAGCAGGAGCGTATCAGGTAAATTAGCAAAGCAAACTGTGGGATGTGGGATGTCAGACAATAGGAGTAGGTGGGCTTATGGGAGCTGAAGAGCACATGCTCCTCAGCTCTGATTGATTGCTCTGTGCGATAGGGGCCCAGTGGTGGTGGATCTAACAACTTTTTAAGAGATTCTGACAATTCAGACTTTACATGTTGAATATTCCGGATTTTCAACATTAGCAACTAATTCCATTTGGAGGAAAAAATGTAGCATGGGTCTACAGACAAGATCTGGCTGTAATTCATGTTCAGAGGTAATCAGGAAACGATTAGTTTACTGAAAATGTAGTCGACAATCAAATGGCTGCTAGGTTGCCAATAAAATGTGTTGAGTGGAATTCACATGCCCCAGAAAGCTCCTCCTGGTGCTGTGGGCAAGGAAGAGGGCCCAAGTGTGGGAAGAAGGATTCAGGAGGCAGAGCCAACTCTCCCAGTGCTGCCGGAGCCACTCTTGCTTGAGCTGAAGTACTGTGGACTGTTTTGCAGCCTTCTTGATATTGCTCAAACTGAGCCACCCTTGATATTGTGCCTATCAGAATGATGGATTAAATGTTATTGTTTCCTTATATTCCATAGGCATCAGATATCAACTGTCATTGTGAAACATATTACAATGTAAGAGATTTGATATTGTCCTAACAGCTTTAGTCTCTGGTGGCTTTACTGAGCTCTTCTGGTTTAGAGGTGAAACAACCCAGAGAAAGGATTTATTTATGTATTCGTTTTTGGTCTGAAGACCAAAAAGGATGTTTGCAAGATATTAACAGTAATCATTCATTCAACAACTGTTTTTAAAGCACCTGCTGTACGATACCTGCTACAGATACAGTGATGGTGAAAGTATAGTTGTCTCAGTGTTATTATAGAAGCTTTTACTCTGTATTTTCCTCGATTTCTATTTTCTGTACTGATCATGCATAATTTTTTACAATCATTAAAAAAACAAGAAAGCAATGTCTTTTTGCAAAAAGGGAAAAAAAAGCTTTCTTTTGCTTTGAAAAATGTGCCCTCAAGAGAGGAATCCACTTGGGGGGTTGGGCTTTTATTTCCTAAAAACTACTTAGAGAGTCCAGTAAGAGAAATAATGCAAAGAAAATATTAACAGTTTGAAAATTCTTTAGCAAATATCAAGTCCAACGGATTTATCTTATTGAAGAGAAAACCAAAGTACAGATGAGCAAATGACTCAGTCAAGGTTATAGGTGTGACCCAGTCAGGGCAGAACAGACTAAGGTCTAGATCTTCTGCTTTCCAGCCCTGTAAGCTTTTCCATTACACCAAGTCGACTTGTCATAAACATTCATTTGTTTGAGACAGTCTCTTCTGATTCATTTTAAGGTAGTCTTCAGATATTTTATTGGGTAAATCTTTCATTTGTCCAAATCTATATATAGCTGTTTTCTTTCCAAAAAAAAGTCTAGGCTCTTTCAAATTGCTGAGTCAGAGAACATCTCAGTATTTATAACGCTTCAGAGTTGGTTCTATATATTTACACAGTACTCAGAGAAGTGTCTCAGAAACCGGTGAACTAATTAAATTGTAATGAAACTCCATGAAGGTCGTAACTGTTCCTATCCAAATTCATCATGTATTCTACCCCAGCACCCAGTACAGTGCCTGACACACAGTAGGTGCCCAATAAATATTTGCTGAAGGAATAAATTCTAATAGAATTGAGATTTTTCTGTTTACAAGGGATTACTTCACATGTTATTTTTCATATTTCCCCAATGAACTCAAAACGGAAATATTCACCAGCCTGCTTAACATTGCCATTTGAATAATAGAAACCTAGAATTTAACACCTCAGAAAGTAAGCTTCTACTTAAAAAAAAAAATTAGCTGGGTGTGGTGACACCTACCTTTAGTCCCAGCTACTCGGGAGGCTGAGGTGGGAGGATCACTTGAGCCCAAGAGGTCGAGGCTGCAGGGAGCCGTGATCATGCCACTGCACTCCAGCCTGGGAGACACAGTAAGGCCCCATTTCAAAAAAAAAAAACAAAAAGTCCTGATTTTACCCCTAAACCTACTCATTTTCCAAGTAAATGGCAGCAGCATTCATTTACCTAGAGACAGAAACTTAGGGTCATTCTTGACCTCTGTCTCTCATACCCTTCATCCAATTCTCTAGTGAATCCTGCAGCTCTTCCTGCAGACTACTTTTTTTTTTCTTTTCTTTTCTTTTCTTTTTTCTTTTTTTGAGACAGAGTCTTGCTCTGTCACCCAGGCTGGAGTGTAGTGGCTCACTGCAGCCTCCACCTCTGAGATTCAAGTGATTGTCCTTCCTCAGGCTCCCCAAGTAGCTGGGATTACAGGTGCCCACCACCACACCCAGCTAATTTTTGTATTTTTAGTAGAGACAGCATTTCACCATGTTGGTCAGGCTGGTCTCGAACTCCTGACCTCAGGTGATCCGCTCACCTCAGCCTCCCAAAGTGCTGGGATTACAGGTGTGAGCCACCATGCCCGGCCCTGCAGGCTAACTTCTGAATCCAGCCACTCCTCCCCACCTCCACCAAGACCACGCTGATCCAGGTACCATTCAGCTCTCCTGCAACAGCCTCCTAACTGCTCCCCCTGCTTTCTCTCTTGCCCCCTTATGAATTGTTTCTCCTCCTAAGGTAATCAGATCAAGTCACTTCCCAGTTCAAAGCTCTTCCATGGCTTTCCTTCAAACTTAGGGAAAAAACCCAAAGCCCTTACCATGGTCTAAAAAGCCCTGCGTGATCTGGCTTCCTCCATGGCCTCATTTCCTGCCATTCTCCCCTCAGTGTGCACCAACCAAACTGGCCTTCTTGCTCTTTCTTGAACAAGCCTAGTATATTCCCACCTCAGGGCTTTTGCACTGGCTAATTGCTCAGCCTGGAACTCTCTTTCCTCACATTCTCATAGCTTGCTCTTTCATTCTTAAATCAGAGCTGCAATGTCAGCTCCTCAGAAAGGCCTTGGCTCACACTCCTGCATAAATGCCTCCCCTTAACTGGCTTCATCTTTCTTCACTGCATGTAATCACTACCTAAAATTATATATGTTTATTAGTGTATTATGTGTCTCTTCTGATTATAAGGCTTCATGAGGCCTGGCAAAGATTCTTATTTTATCACTGTATTCCTAGCCTCTAAAGCAATGCCTGGCATATAGTATGTGCTCAATAAATGTTTACTTATTGAATGAATGAATGAATATTTTCCTGGACCTTTTCATCTCTTGCTGCCTAACCTAACATTGCCAACTTGGAGGAAGATGAGTTATCAAAACTGATTCAAAGGACCTGAAATAAACGTTCCAAACCTTAGAAGGTCACAATATAGTAGCTCTGGGCATAGGTTGCCCCAATAACTTCTTTCAAGCTAGGTCCAGTGCAAGAACCTTATTCTCCCCTGTCAAGACACACCACTTTGCACTTTTCACCCTTTAAATTTAGTTTGTATATTTTATGTTGTTTATACACCTGAAAGCATATAAAAGGTGCTTGTCTTCTCCCTAGAATTCTAGCCAGGATACTGCTGGGTGTACAATGAGCTGGATTATTCTGCAGAATTTACATCACATAAGTAATTTGCCTGTGCCTTAGATCTGTTTAAATATCTGTGAAGTCATTTAAATTCATTTAACTCAAGGGATTTCCTAACAACCTCCCTCTTGGTCTGTTCTCCCAGACTTAGAAGTTGCTTCTTCAATTTCTCCCTCTGTAAAACTGGGGCAATCGTAGCAGTTCTTACAGAGTGGTTATGAGGATTAAATGAGACAGCAGTGATGAAGTGCTGACAAGAAGATCCGGCCCGTAGCAGGTGTTCAGTGAATGCTAAGAGCTGTTACATGTATCATTACTATCACCACCATCATTCTTGTTTTCAATGGCATCCTTGCCCAGCTCAGAAATGATTAGCTTCTAGTTGACTTTCAAGTCAATTAGTCTCTTCACCCCCCAGTCAGGGCCCACCAGTGATACCTCCTCCAGTTCTGGTTGACAGTCTCATTGCTTGTTTTTCTCTAATATTAGTGCTGGGTTTTTGGTGAATTTCATCTATTTTCTAACTCCACCTGACATCTTCATTTTCTACTCCAGGGCTTTAAACATCCCATTCTACACCTTTTATTGCATGTTCCTTGCCTTTATTTTTTTTTAATGTTTAAATCCATCCTTGTGTTTTCTGAAATATGTCAGACCTCTTCTTTAACCAGTAAGTTTTGAAACTAATTAATACTTTAATACATTTAGCTTTTAAAAATGTCTTTATTGAGGTATAATACACAGTAAAGTGCACTAATCTTAAGTGCACGGCTGAATGAATGTTTCCATGTGAAATGGAAACATTTCACACGTGTGAAATCCCCAGCCACGTCAAAATATAGAACATTTCCAGCAACCCAGAGGCTCCCTAAGGCCCGTTTCCAATCGGTGCTACCCAAAAGAAACTGGCCGGGCGCCGTGGCTCACGTCTGTAATCCCAGCACTTTGGGAGGCTGAGGCGGGCGGATCACAAGGTCAGGAGTTCAAGACCAGCCTGGACAACGTGGTGAAACCCCGTCTCTACTAAAATACAAAAAAAAAAAAAAAAATTAGCCAGGCTGGTGGAGGGTGCCTGTAATCCCAGCAACTCGGGAGGCTGAGGCAGGAGAATCACTTGAAAGCAGAAGCCGGAAGGCAGAGGTTGCAGTGAGCCGAGATCACACCACTGCACTCCAGCCTGGGCAACAAGAGTGAAACTCTTGTCTCAAAAGAAAAAAAAAAAAAGAAAGAAAAGAAACCACTGTTATGGCTTCTATCACTATTGATTTGTTTTTCCTGTTCTTGAACTTTTGCATTTGGTTTCTTTCACTCAATGTGATATCTTCAAAATTCTTTCGTTTTGTTGCTTGTAGCAATAGTTGGTTCTTTATTGCTGTGAGTATACCATTGTGTGACTACTCCACAATATATTTATCCATTTTCCTATCGATGGATAGATAATTTTTCCATTTCAGGGCTATTCTAATAAAACTGTTATGAACATTTAAAATATATGGTTGGCACTTTGGGAGGCTGAGGTGGGCAGATCACTTGAGGCCAGGAGTTTGAGACCAGGCTGGCCCACATAGCATCTCTCCTAAAAATACAAAAATTAGCCATATGTGGTGGCGGGCACCTGTAATCTCAGCTACTTGGAAGGCTGAGGCAGGAAAATCCCTTGAGCCCGGGAGGCGGAGGTTGCAATGAGCCGAGATCGCACCACTGCACTCCAGCCTGGGCAACAGAGTGAGACTCCATCTCAAATAAATAAATAAATAAATCTCCAATAAATAAATAAAATAAAAATACATGGTTGAATTTATGCACTTTTTTCCACAGGAGGATATGGCCAAGAGTTCAGCTGCTGGGTTGCAGGGTTGGCACATATGTTCAGCTTGAGCTGCCAGTTTTCCAAAGTGGTTGTACCAAATTATACTCCCACAGTAATGTCTGAGAGTTCCAGTAGCTTCACATGCTCCAGTAATTGGTGGTATCAGTCTTTTAATTATGCCTGTCCTGGTGGGTGTGTTGGTGTCCTGGTAGGTGTCTTATTTTCATTCGTATTTCTCTAATGAATAATGATGTTGAACACCTTTCTGTAGGCATTTTGATCACTTGGTGATTTTTTGGGGTTAGGTGATTACTGAAGTTTTCTCTCATTTTTAACTTGGATTTTTTTTTTTTTTTTTTTGAGATGGAGTTTCACTCTTGTTTTCTGGGCTAGAGTGCAATGGTGCAATTTCAGCCCAACACAACCTTGGCTCACTGCAACCTCCACCTCCGGGGTTCAAGCGATTCTCCTGCCTCAGCCTCCCGAGTAGCTGGGATTACAGGCATGCACCACCACGCCCAGCTAATTTTGTATTTTTAGTAGAGACAGGGTTTCGCCATGTTGGTCAGCCTGGTCTCGAACTCCCAACCTCAGGTGATCTGCCCGCCTCAGCCTCCCAAAGTGCTGGGATTACAGGCATAAGCCACCGCGCCCAGCCAACAGTTGGATTTTTAAATTAACATTTAGGTGTTCTTTATTTTATATATATAATAATATATAAATAAAGACAGATTTCTTCTCCTAGTCTGTGGCTTGCCTTTCTACCCTGTAAATGGTATCTTTGATGAACAGATATTCTTAGTTTTCATGAAGTTCAATGTATCAATATTTTCTTTTATGGCTGGTGCTTTTCATAATCTGTTTAAGAAATCTCAGCAATCATGAGATTCTCCTGTGCTTTCTTCTAGAAGCTTTTTTTGTTTTCCTTTTCACAATTAGGTCTATGATCCACCTCAAATACATGCATTTTCTTGAATCCAGCTCAAAATCTATCTCTTTTCAGAGACTCATAGACCTAAATGTAAATTCACGCATGCTTTTAATCACTCATTCATTAAAAAAAAAAAAATTTAAGCACTACCATATGCCAGGCGCTTAGGGGAAACCAAAAGCAATAAGAATCAACATTTAATTTAAGAAACATATTGGCTAGCAGGGGAGGGAGTGAGACTTGCACGTGAACAATATCTAAAAAGTAATCATTTAGTTGGAAAACCTGATGTGCCCTGATCATTCAAACATGCTGCGTGGAGTCACCTCCTTTATAACATAGGCAGGTGGATTCTATTCCCTAAATGCCAGTGATCGTGTCTTCAACACCCTTTACTAGTACCCCTTTACTCCGGTAAAAGTCCAGGTCTTTGTGCCTGGTGCTTGAGGTGTCCACCATCGGGCCCCTCCCTCCTTCCTCAACCTCATTTTCTGAATGCTCATTATCCTTCATCCAAACCCTCCACACGGACTCACCTGAATTCCTGAACAGAGTCAGCTGATTCATCCTGCCAGTTCTTTGTCTCTGCTTTTCCCTCCTGCCTGAACTTCTCTCCTGTGACTTTGATGCCTGAAAAACCTCTTGCCTCTACTGCATTACCTCTGTGAAGCCTCTTCCGGCTTGCTTGCGCGTTGAAATCTACCTCAGGAGGCAGATTGCAAGGTGCAAATCCAGCTTCTATCACTTTCCAGCTCTGCAACCCTGGACATGTTACTTAAGCTGCCCAAGCCTCAGGTTCCTCATTGGGAATAATTGCAATTCCTGCTCTATATGGTTTTGCACAGAATGAACAAGTGTGGCCAGGTGTGGTGGCTCACGCCTGTAGTCCCTGCACTTTGGGAGGCTGAGGCAGGCAGATCACCTGAGGTCAGGAGATTGAGACTGGCCTGGCCAATGTGGTGAAACCCCGTCTCTACTAAAAATACACAAATTAGCTGGGCATGGTGGCAGGTGCCTGTAATCACAGCTACTCGGGAGGCTGAGGCAGGAGAATCGCTTGAACCCAGGAGGCAGAGGTTGCAGTGAGCCAAGATTGTGCCACTGCACTCCAGCCTGGATGACAGAGCGAGATGCTGTCAACAACAAAAAAAAATGAACAAGTTTATCCAGATACAGTTGGGTAGCGCAGTGTCTGGCACATAGTAAATTCTCAGTAACTGTTAGTCTAAAAAAACATAGTCACACCCATCACACTAATGACATTTATTTGTTAACATTTTGGTCCTTACACCAGACTGGAAGTTTCTTTTCTTTTTTTTTTTTTTAACATTTACTTATTATTTGTTTGTTTTTTAAATTCAAGATGGGATCTCACCATTTTGCCCAGGCTGGACTCCTGGGCTCAAACAATCCTCCCACCTCAGCCTGGGAGTTTCCTGAAATCAGAGCTCTTTTTCTTAATTCTTCTGTGATTCTAGTGCCCCTCTGTGAAGTTCTTATTCAGTGCAATTCCCTGTGCAGGGAGCTTTATGTTTATTACCCTCAATGAATCCTTGCAACCGCCTACAAGATAAGAATTAGGGTCTCCATGTTATGGTTTAAAAGATGGAGGCTTGCTGGGTATGGTGGTTCACACCTGTAATCCCAGCACTTTGGGAGGCTGAGGCGAGCAGATCACCTGAGGTCAGGAGTTCGAGACCAGCCTGGCTAACACGGTGAAGCCCCATCTCTACTAAAATACGAAAATTAGCCAGGTTTGGTGGCACACGCCTATAATCCCAGCTACTTGGGAGGCTGAGGCAGAAATGCTTGAACCCAGGAGGCAGAGGTTGCAGTGAGCCGAGATCACACCACTGCACTGCAGCCTGAGTGACAGAGTGAGATTCTGTCTCAAAAACAAAAAGATGGAGGCTCAGAGAGGTGAACCCCTGTCCTATGCTAATATCAACTAATTCATGGTATAGCCAGGGTTTTGAATCTTTGCTTCATTGCAAAGTGTATGAGCCATTCATCATACATCGCTTCCTCTCTGTGCATCCCCAGCACCTACACAGTGAACTCGGGAAATATTTGATGAATGGAATTGAATTTGTTAAGCCCAGAGCCCACCCAGTGTTTCCAAATGTATCATGGGTTCATTTGAGCTGCTAATGGTCTCAATGTGGCCCTCAAAGCCTAATCAATCCAAGACTGAGAACCTCTGGCAAAGAAGATAGCATCTAGCACAGCTGACTGTGTCTTCTACTTTTCCCTCTTGGGAAACAGTGGTTTCAACATCATTAATTTGTACTTTGCGACTTCAAGGTGTGCTCTTTAATTGACACAATGTTGCCTTTCCAGAGGAACAGGTTGTCACTTTTCACAAAATTTGTCCTATTTAATGGAACTTTGTCTGGTGTCTAATTACCTACTGTTTCTTCTCTTGCTTTATGACAGTTCTAAGCTTCTAAATTGTGTGCCAAGAGTCTTGGGAAGACCCTTTTCACTTCTGGAAGCTTGGCCTCTCTAGCTCAATTGTAAATGTCTTGAGAGCAGGGGCCACATTGTAACCATCTATATCTCTCATGGCACCAGACTCAGGCAGCAATGCAATAAGTCTTTGCCACATTCATTATCTGTGTACTTGTTACTTGCTGGACACTGGGCTAGGTTTTGGGAAGGAGAAAGGAGGAATCAGATTGAGATCTTGTCCTCTAGGAGCCTACAATCCAACAGGACATAAGACTGAAACACAAAAGTCTAACGTGGAAAAATGGTGTGTGTGGTGGGGAGTGTGGCTGAGAGCTATGCTAGGCTGCAACCATTCTCAAAAGCATCACTTGTACTTAAAGATTGGTGGGAAATTCTTTGATATGAAAACAAGTGTGGGTCTAATATGGAGGTAAAACACAGATTTGAAGATGCTATATTAGATAGACTCTTCCCTCCATCTCCCTCATAGGTGACTTCCCTTAGGAGTATTTTGGTAGGTGATATTAACAGACATTGCCATTGGCATCAGATAGAATTAGATTTTCAATTCAAAGTCTGCACTGTCACTTCCGAGCTGTGTTGTGTGACTTTGAGCAAGTGACCTGGAGAACGTTCTCTGAACCTCAGTTTATTCATGGTTTTTGGGAGAATAAGTTTTTTCTTTTTTAATTTTAATTTTAGAGATGGGGTCTCACTGTGTTGCCCACACTGATCTTGAACTGCTGTCCTTAAGCAATTCTCCTACCTAAGCCTCCCAAAATGCTGGGATTACAGGGGCATGCCACCGTGCCCCGCCAGGATAAGCGTCTCATATAAAGCTTTGTTCACACACATGGTAGCTTTCATACTTACTGTGAGGAAATGAATGTTTACAGAGTGGATGGATGGATGGATGGATGGATGGATGGATGGATGGATGGAGCTGGGAACAAGACAGTCTGTTGCCACATAACAAAAAAAGGCATATATTCCCTTTATCATTAATTCTTTGCAATTCTATAGTATTTTGTACCCTCAAAGTACAAAAAATAAAGAAATTAGAAGTATCCCTATTTCACCTATGAGAAAAATAGAGGCCTCAAGAAATGCCCACAATCTTATAAAAATTGAGATTAGTCCACTTGAGATTTGGACCAGCACCTGGTTTGGGATCTTTAACACAATTGGTTAGTCTGGGGGTAGGAACAAGGAGAAGGTACACACCTGTCACACGACCGCCTTTCCTTTCTGAGCTGTGTGCGGCCTGTGAATTTCAGCCATATATCACCAGTCACAGAATCACCGAATCCTCAGAGCTGGGGCAGTGCAGAAGTGCTTCACTTCCCTATTGAGAATCTGAAGCAAGCTGTGGATTCTACTGTCCTTGAGAACACGCATGCACACAGAAAGTCACATGCAGTTTCAGGAAGCCAATGGGGCACCCTGAAGCCCCTCCATCACACCTCCTCAGGTACTCATGACCACTCTACAGTGAACAAACCGAGACTAACCAACCCCAGAAACCACAAACTCATTACCTCCAGGCACATTGGTGGAAACAGTAACACCCAACATCACAGACTCTGGCAACTTCAGCCAGGGACAAATCACTATCTCAACTCTGTGATCATTTTAATTCTAAAATGTTTATCCTTCAGTAACTATTCAAAGCCAAAGCATTCATTTCCCTCCCAGACTTTCACAAGTCTTGGTGGAGATGAGAATTGAGGTTATCTGTGTTTTAGAGATCAAAATTGCCAGTGTGGTAATGGAATGGGGTGGAGCCCAGTGAACAGGATAATCCATGGGTTACTCAACAATCGATTGGCTTCACAACAGGCCATGGCTTCATCACCATGAAAGCCAAGATTGGCCACCGTAGATAACCAGATTTGCAGCTGAATGAGGGTTGGGGAGGCCATTCAGTTTACACGTTAATTCCACAACACATGTACTGAGTACCTGCCATGTGCCAGATACTGTTCCAGATGCCTAGAAGACATCTGAGACTAAAACATGGAAACTCCTTGCCCCACGAAACTTACATCCTAGTGAGAAAGGTGGACAAATACCAACAAACATAGTAAGTAAATTATACAATATATTAAGTGACAAAAAGCTATGGGGAAGAAGTAAACTTAAGTAGGGTAAGGCAATGGGGAGTGTGTGTGATGGAGGGGCAAGCTGTGATGTTAAATTAGGGTCAGGAAATCCTTACTGAACAGGAGATTCGAACAAACTTGATGGAAGAGAAAACACACATTCCTGAAAGGACTGAGCCAAGAGGCTGCCAACAAGGATGCTAAACAGTTAAAATTGATTCATGCACTCAACAAATATTTATTGAGTGCATTAAGAGCTGGGTGCTTGTGGTCATCGAAGTAGTGGCCCCCAAAGATACCCAGGTCCTAATCCCTGGAATCTGTGAATGTTGCTTTATGTGGCAAAAGGGACTTTGCAGATGTAGTCAAGGTAAGGATCTTGATATGGGAAGAGTCTCCTGGATTATCTGGGTGTGGCCATGGAAGCAGGGGGAGAGAGGGTGAAGGAATGGGGCCACAAGCTAAAAACTGAGGCAGCTGGAAAAGTCAAGGAAGTGGATTCACCTATAGAGGCTCCAGAAGAAACAGCCCTGCTAAGACCTGGGTTTTCATCCTTGTGAGACTCATTTTGGATTTCTGACCCCCAGAAGTGTAAGAAAATCAATTGATGTTTTAAGGCATTACCAAGTTGGCAGTAATTTTTTTGCATCAGCAGGAAACTTGTGTTCATGTGTGAAGTGCTGAAGCGTAGTGCTCAGGCCAGCATGAGTTGTCAATAGACTTTAGCGGTTATTGGTGTTGTAATTATTATAATAAACAAGCTCAATTCCTGCCCTTACCTAGAGAGGATGCACAAACAACATGTACATCACTGTCCCTCTTATACTAATTCCAATGGTAATGCAAATAACCCTGAACTAGACCACGGCTTCTTGCTTTCCCCAACCAAATGGCAGACTGAAGACAAAGTCACAACGCCAAGATGACCTTCAGGCAATCCAGGCCTTCCACCAGTCCCAAAGCCACCCCCCAACTTTCCCACCAACTCCAGGATATCAATCCCCTTCAGTCCTCCTGGGACACAGTTGATGTACTCACCTAAAGAAAATACTGGTGAATCCCACCAGGACGTGTGACTCTGAATGGAGCACAGGTATGCTGGACTAACATGAACCTCACCAGGACCCTGCGATGAAGACAGAGGAAGTCGTTTAAATCTCCACTGCAGAAAGAGCCTGGGACCCACCACTGACAGGCATCCATCTGGGTTTCCTGGTCTTGAACTAAGTGAGCCTTGCTGGGGCCAGCAGAGAGCTGCCCTACAACTGCTTCTCTTGGAATGAAGGAAAAATCTAGGAAAAGTTGGAGGGAAAGGGGCAACTTTTTTTTTTGCCCTATCTGGACGGCATATCAACCCCAAATGGTGACTTTTTTGTTGGCACAACTAGATATCCATGTATAAAAGAACAAAGTTGGACCCCTGCCTCACACTGCATACAAAGATTAACTCAAAATGGATCGTAGACATAAATGTAAGTGCCAAAATGGTAAAATTATTTGAAGAAAACATAGGAGTAATTCTTTATGACCATTTCCTAGATGCGACACCAGAAGTGCAAGTGATCAAAGAAAAATTAGATAAATTGCACTTCATCAAAGCTTAAAAACTGGCCGGGCACAGTGGCTCACGCCTGTAATCCCAGCACTTTGGGAGGCCGAGGCGGGCAGATCACCTGAGGTCAGGAGTTCAAGACCAGCCTGACCAACATGGAGAAACCCCATCTCTACTAAAAATACAAAATTAGCTGGGCGTGGTGGTACATGCCTGTAATCCTAGCTACTTGGGAGGCTGAGGCAGGAGAATCGCTTGAACCTGGGAGGTGGAGGTTGCAGTGAGCTGAGATCATTGCGCCATTGCACTCCAGCCTGGGCAACAAGAGCAAAACTCTGTCTCAAAAAAAAAAAAAACTTAAAAACTTTTGTACTTCAGGGAACATCATCAAGAAAGTGAAAAGACTAGCTACAGAATGGGAGAAGATATTTGAAAATCATATGTTTGATAGAAGGTTTACATCTATCAGATATAAAGAACTCTTGCAACTCAACAATAAAATGACAAGTACCCCAATTAAAAAAGGATTTGAGGCTGGGCGCAGTGGCTCATGCCTGTAATCCCAACACTTTGGGAGGGTGAGGCAGATGGATCACTTGAGGTCAGGAGTTCAAGACCAGCCTGGGCAACATGGTGAAATCTCTACTAAAATATAAAAATTAGCCGGGCATGGTGGCGCATACCTGTAGTCCCAGCTACTCAGGAGGCTGAGGGAGGAGAATCACTTGAACCCAGGAGGTGGAGGTTGCAGTGAGCTGAGATTGCGCCACTGCACTAAAGCCTGAGGGACAAAGGGAGACTCCATCTCAAAAAAAAAAAAAAAAAAAAAAGGATTTGAATAGACATTTCTCCAAAGAAGATATACAAATGGCCAATAAACACATGCAAAGAGGCTCAACGTCATTAGTCATGAGGGAAGAGCAAATCAAAACCACAGTGAGATGCCGCTTCAGTCCCACTACGCTGGCTAAGCTAGGAAAAGCAGACAATGCCAAATGTTAGGGAGAATGTGGACATACTGAACTCTCATACATTGCTGGTGGGATTGTAAAAATGCCACAACCACTTTGTAAAACAGTTAGGCAGTTCCTCAAAATGTTAAACATAGAGTCATCATGTGACCCAGCAATTCCACTCCTAGGCATACACTTAGGAGAATGAAAACATGTCCACACAACAACTTCTACATAAATGTTCATAGCAGCACTATTCATGACAGCCAAAAAGAAGAAACAGCCGGGCATAGTGGCTCATACCTGTATTCCCAGCACTTTGGGAGGCTGAGATGGGAGGATCACTTGAGCCCAGGTGTTTGAGACCACCCTGGGCAACATAGTGAGACCCTGTCTCTACCAAAATAAAAAAAAAATTGGCCGAACATGGTGGGTGCCTGTAGTCCCAACTACTTTGGAGGTTGAGGCAGGAGTATCCCAACAGCCCGGGGAGAGGAGGTTGCAGTGAGCCAAGATTGTGCCTCCGCACTCCAGCCTGGGTGACAGAGTGAGACCCTGTCTCAAAAAAAAGAAAGAAAGAAAGAAATTAAGAAACAACCTAAATGCTTACCAACTGATAAATGGATAAGCAAACTGTGGTATATTTGTGCAATGAATGTTATTCAGCAGTACAAAGTAAAGAAGTCGCAATTTGTGCAACAACATAGATGAAACTTCAAACAGAATTAGTGAAAGGAGGGTCACAAAAACCCCATATATTACATAATTCCATTTATATGAAATGTCCGGAATAAGCAAATCCACAAAGACAGAAGGTAGATTTGTGGTTGCCTGGGACTGGGGGGTGCAGAATGAGGAGTAATTCTAATGAGTACAGGGGTTTTTTTGGAGTGATAAAATGTTCTAAAATTAGGCAGTAGCGATGGTTACACAACTCTCAATATACTATACTAAAATCATTATATATATATGCCCGGCTGGTCTTGAACTCCTGGGCTCAAGCAATATTCCCAGCTTGGCCTCCCAAAGTGCTGGGATTACAGATATGGGCCACCATGCCCAGCTGAGTTGTACATTTTAAGTGGGTGAGTTTTTTGGTATGTGACTTAGATCTCAAAAAAGCCACACATATATATAATCTATTTTAAAATATGTATTATATATATTTAAAATAGATTATATATATTTAAAAATATGTATTTTACATATATATTAAAAATATATGTGTATATTTTAATGAATGTCAGTCCTTGATTGTCCTTGAAGCTACCTTTGGAGAATTCTCTTTAGTTAATGCCAGTTTCATTTCTGACCTGAGTGCAGATAAAGTGGGGGTCTGCTTGAAGCTGTCTTTTGCTGTGGCCCCCGCCTTCTGCCCAGCAGTTCAGGTTTTCCAGATTCCCATATGCTTCCCTGACTCCAGGGCCAGGCACACGCCCCTTTTTAAATCTGGATCACCTGTTCACCTTGCCAACTGCTACCATCCTTCCCCTTGCGGCCGTCCCTGGCTAAGGTTGCAGAGGGTACGCCCACTTTTCACCTCCATTCCATTGTATTGTGTTGGCTTTTCACAAAGCCATATACTCCCTGAGGACAGTGAAGCACTGGTTTTTTCCAGCACTATATGCAAGCACAGTCTTGATTATCACTGAATGAGTGAATGAATGTGTGAATGTATGCCTGAAAAAGAATATGTATTTGTGGCCAGGCACGGTGGCTCACGCCTGTAATCCCAGGACTTTGGGAGGCCGAGGCAGGTGGATCACCTGAGGTCAGGAGTTCGGGACCAGCCTGGCCAACATGGTGAAACTCCGTCTCTACTGAAAATACAAAAAAATTAGCCGGGTGTGGTGGCGCATGCCTGTAGTACCAGCTACTTGGGAGGCTGAGGCAGGAGAATCGCTTAAACCCAGGAGGCAGAGGTTGCAGTGAGCTGAGATCGTGCCACTGCACTCCAGCCTGGGTGACAAAGCGAGACTCCGTCTCAAAAACCAACCAACCAAACAAAAACCATGCATTTGTATGGAGTGGAAGAATATGGAGAAGTGGAAAGACTAGGGAAAAGGAAGAAGGGAGAATTTGAACTAAAATGATATTACCATATACCCATGTTTTTTCAGTTTCCTCACAAATGTGTTTTCTCAGCCCTATCACCATTTTGACCATTTGAGCCTCAAATATCCAAGATTGTCTTCTTGGTTTCAGTCTTATGAATCAAGCCAAACCTTTGGCCTTTCAAGAAAACACCCATTACCTTGTTTTCCTACTCTTTGGCTCAGAAATTTTCAGTGGGGAATCTAGCTGAAGATAATAACAGTAACAGCCACCCAAATACAGGGTAGGGGATGAACTCTAGAATTTTATGCAGGACGTTACTTATCAGGGCCTTATGTATAATAGCCAAAAATTGGAAATAACCTAAATGTCCAACAGTAGGGTAGTCTACATTACACCATGCCCCCAAGAAGGAATAATATGCACCCATTAAAAGAATTTAATGACCTGGGAAAATGCTTGCATCATATGTTAAGTGAAAAAGAGTAGGTTATAAACTGGTGATCACTAATATGTAAACGCTGCCCACACACACGCACTCAAAAACACCTGGAGAAAAACATATCAAAATGATTTCAGTGGTTTCCTTTTGGTAATGTAACTGTGGTATCTTTCTCATTTATTTCTTTAACTTATCCACGTGTTCTACAATGAACAGATAAGATTTAACACAGGAAAAAAAACAAAAAGCAAATAACAAAAAGCCCTAAGCCTGACTCTGTCCACTGCTCTTTCTTGGGAAATTCCCTCTGCACCTGCTTTGTTCAGGCAACCACATCTGTCTCCAAATCCTAGCCCTGCACTCCCAACCTGGCAGGACCAGCCCTTTGCCAGTTCCCTCTGGCCACTGAGGCAGGTCCTCAAGTCCCAGCCCTCCAGGAAGCCTTTCTTTTTCTTTCTTTCTTTCTTTTTTTTTTTTTTTTTTGGTTTGAGACGTTGTCTCACTCTGTCGCCCAGCCTGGAGTGCAGTGGCACGATCTCAGCTCACTGCAGGCTCCGCCTCCCAGGTTCACGCCATTCTCCTGCCTCAGCCTCCCAAGTAGCTGGGATTACAGGTGCCCGCCACCAAGCCCGGCTAATTTTTTGTATTTTTAGTGGAGACTGGGTTTCACCGTGTTAGCCAGGATGTTCTCCATCTCCTGACCTCAAGTGATCCTCCCACCGCGGCCTCCCAAAGTGCTGGGATTACAGGCATGAGCCACTGCGCCTGGCCTTGGGAAAGCCTTTCTTAGTTATGAGAAAGAAACTGTTCTCTTCCCCACCCTGGCTGAATACAGTGCCGCCACATCTCTGTTTGCTGGTTGTGTCCAAGAAAATCTGCCTCTTAGCTGGGGCTGGACCTCAAAGGATGCTTTTTGATGTGGCACAGGAGCTGGGGCAGTTGGCGCTGTGTTTTTCTGTGCAGGGTCTCTGAGTCTAAACTCCCAGGAAGAAGTTCAAGTGTTGAGGCCATACATCTCATCACTGTTGGATGTTGAGAACGGTGGTGATGACTTTTTGGTCTGCATGTACTGATTTGTCATGAGAAAGACATCTCCTGGCCATTTAAAAACCACCCAAACAGTCTTTAAACAGTTTTTAAGAAGCCATCAAAGGTGTTTATACTTAACCTGGACCAGCAACCTTCTTAAAGGAGTCAGGCTGAACTTTGGTCAGGAGGAAGTGTTTGTGCAAATATTGTAGATGTCACGCCAACACACTTAGATTTTTCGTGAGTTGATTGCCCAAGTGTCTATCCAGCTTATTCCTGAATTGGGATTAAATTAGAGAAAGCTTTGGTGGAAAAAGTTAGTGGGTCAGCAAACATTTGGGTTTCCTAGCGTGTTCCTGACGCTTGCAGCATAGAGCACTTGAGAAATGCTGTGGCTTTATCAAAGCAATAAACAAATCCTGCAGAACTTCCTGGTCATATATTCCACCCACATGAAACATAACAAGGAAGGCTCAGAGGGTAAGATGGAGCGTCTCTTGGGTCCTTCAAGAACGGAGCACGCATCATAGCTCTTGTGGAGTTTTGAGCTAATTACCCTGGCTTATGTATGAAATGTGTCAGAATTAAGGACCCAGATAAATTGAATATCTTGGCATCAACTTTTGGTGTTTTTGAAACTGAGAAAGAAAGATTTGGTGTGCCAGCCTCCCTCATCAGTCTGGTATTCTACCTGTCATCTTCAACAAGATAAACAAACCACGGACATATTTTTCTTCCCCGCAGAACTGCACCCTTTTTCATGACTAGTTCTGGGTACTGTTAGGCAATAGGAATCTAGTAGAATGGAGGTGGGGAAGCATTTTTTAATTCTACCCTCTTCTCAAATATTTAAAGTAGAAGAATGAGTGGTTGAGGGCCTGTCACATTTTTCAATTCTTTTCCATTCCTGCCACCCAAACGCAGCCCTTAATCGTGCTTTTTTCAGGCCACTAGAGTTGGCATTTCCCTTTTGTCTATTCTGCTTTATTTTATTTTGTTTTGTTTTGAGACAGAGTCTCACTCTGTCACCCAGGCTGGAGTGCAGTGGCGCGATCTCAGCTCACTGCAACCTCCGCCCCCTGGGTTCACGTGATTCTCCTGCCTCAGCCTCCTAAGTAGCTGGGATTACAGGCACCCACCACCAAGCCCGGCTAATTTTTGTATTTTTAGTAGAGACGAGGTTTCACCATGTTGGCCAGACTGGTCTGGAGCTCCTGACCTCGTGATCTGCCTGCCTTGGCCTCCCAAAGTGCTGGGATTACAGAGGTGGGCCACCACGCCCGGTCCCCCTTCGTCCATTTTATCAAGGCTGGAGGTACTGAGGTTCCCAAAGACGATTCTGAGGAAGAGCAGATGGTCTTTGTCCTGCCATTTCCATGGCTTGCATTTTTGTTGAACAGGGTATGTAAGCTTAGGGCAAAAATGAAAATGCTGAGAACGATAGGAGGGGTATTGAGGGACCAACAGGGAGGAGAAGAGAGAGGGGGTGATCAGGGGTAGCAGGAGTGAGGAAACTTAGCAGGGAATTGTGTGTGTTGTCATTGGGCTCCATGTGGGACTCGCTTCCCCATCTCCCAGGAGCTCTCCAGTAAGACATCCATTTCTTGTTGATGCATTGACCAGTTGAATCTGTTGGGAGAACTGGTGCATTCGTTCATTCAACAAGTATGTATTGAGTGCCTACATTACACGAGGCAGTGTTACAAGTGTTGAGGATAAAGTAGTGAGTCAGACACACCCAATGCCTAATGACTTGAATGAATACCCACCATGACTGGATGAATCTTCAAGGAATTCTGCTGTGTGAGAAAGGCCAATCCCAAAAGGTTAATACCGCATCATCCCATTTACATAACATTTTTGAAATGACACCATTTTATGGTGGTTGCCAAGGGTTAGGGATCGGAGGTGAGGAGGGCAGGAGGTAGGTTTGGTGATAAAAAAAGTGACATGAGGGATCCTCGTGCTGACGTGCTATTTGGTATCTTGCCTGTGATGGTGGATGCAGTCTAGAATTTGTCTAGAACTATACACACATACACACAAATGAGTACAAGTAAAACTGGGAAATCTAAATAAGATTGGTGGATAATATCAATATCCTGGTTGTGATATTATACTATATCATTCTGCAAAATGTTACAAATGGGGGGGAAACTGGGTAAAGTCTGCATGAGATCTTTCTGTATAATTTCTCAACACTGCATGTGCATGTACAATTATCTCAATAAAAACTTCAACTAAGAAAAAAAAAAAGGCTTGGCTGGACATGGTGGCTCACGCCTGTAATCCCGGCACTTTGGGAGGCTGAGGTGGCAGATCACCTAAGGTCAGGAGTTCAAGACCAGGCTGGCCAACATGGTGAAACCCCATCTTTACTTAAAAAAACAAAAAACAAACAAAAAAGAAAACAACAGCACAAAGATTGCCAGGCATGGTGGCACGTGTTTGTAGTCCCAGCTACTGGGGAGGCTGAAGCAGGAGAATAGCTTGAACCCGGGAGACGGAGGTTGTAGTGAGCCGAGATCGCACCTCTGTACTCCAGCCTGGGCGACAGAGTGAGACTCTGTCTCAAAAAAAAAAAAAAAAGAAAAGAAAAGAAAAGAAAAAAAAAGACTGGGCAAGGTGGGTCGTGCCTGTAATCCTAGCACTTTGAAAGGCCAAGGCGGGAGGATCACTTGAGCCCAGGAGTTTGTGACCAGCCTGGGCAACATGACGAAACCCTGTCTCTACAAAAAATACAAAACTTAGCTGGG
This sequence comes from Homo sapiens, assembly GCF_000001405.40. Taxonomy (NCBI): domain Eukaryota; kingdom Metazoa; phylum Chordata; class Mammalia; order Primates; family Hominidae; genus Homo; species Homo sapiens. The sequence continues at coordinate 81,292,089 of NC_000016.10, read as the reverse complement.
TGTGGTGGCGCATGGCTGTACTCCCCACTACTCCGGAGGCTGAGGTGGGAGGGTCGCTTAAGCCTGGGAGGTTGAGGCTGCAGTGAGCCAAGATTGCACCACTGCATTCTAGCTGGGGTGACAGAGCAAGACCCTGTCAAAGAGAAAGAAAAGAAAAAAAACCTAACTCCCTGGCCTCATGGAGCCTACATTTTGGTAGAGGCTAAGTATGGCTTCATGGTGGGTGCAGGGCAAAAGCTAAGACCATCCTGGAGGGAGCTGCCCCTCTGGGGGATTCCATGCGGTGCCACTAGAGAGTCCTTCCCATCCTCCAGACACGTCATGGAATCCCCATTGGTGACTGAATGAAATCCAGATTCAGGAGAGGAAGTAAGTGCAGAATAAGGCTGTGAAACCCAGCTCCCCCGATCCCATGACCTGGGAATTATCCAGCCTGCCTTTGTTTCTTTAAACCATGCATCAGGCACCCACTTGACTGTAGACTCAGATGCCTATGGGGCTCCTGGTAGTGGTGTAGCATCCCATTTGCCTTGTTCCCAACTTTCTCCATCCCCATCACTACCTGGCTCAGGGGCCTTCAACCTCCTTCCACGCTGCCCAAAATGCCTGGTTTATCTCGGCAGCACGTACAAGCTTGGAGAAACTCCTTTTATCTACGCACATGGGCACAGCCCACTGCTCTAGTTCTCAGCAGCAGGGAAGAACTCCTCATGCCAGCCCAGGCCCTGGGACTCAATCCTGGGTTTGAGCCCCTCGGCCGTGGCTAGCCAGGTCAATGTCCAGTACCTATTAATCCCCTCTTGCAAAGAGGAGTCCCACAGCAATCTGTTAGTCCCGTCGATTGTACAATGAAGCATCGTGCTGGCTGTGAACCATCAAGCTCTGCAACTATTTTATTGCCTTAGAAGACCTTCAGAGGGAGAAGCCATGTAAAAATAAAGTCTGAGCAGACTTTAAAGTTTTTATTATTTTATATTACGCCATGACTTGCATGGAATGACCACAAAGTGGCATAACCTTCCTGGTCATGTAACTTAACTCATCAGGCCTGGCTAGAAAGTGAGAACTCCCAGATACACAATTTAGTCCACCAGAAACATGGGAGGGAGCAAAGGAAAGAGAAAGAGACAGAGGAAGGCACAATGATAAATAATTATCTGCCTCTTCTCTAATAGGTTAGTGGCTCGTTCTAAAAATGATGATAATGTCATTGAATACAATCTCTGATTCATGGTCAAGGTCTTTTTGTTAAAGGAAAGGAGGTTTCTTAGAAGGACTGGATCTAATCAATACATATTTGATGTTCAAATGTTTGACTTTCAAACAAAATTTTTACAGCCAAAATAAAATGAAAGAAATGATACTGACAAGCTCTCTTGCCATGCCCTTGTCAAAGCACCCACAGAAAGAATAAGTGCAAAAGGTAACAAAGGCCCTCCCCTCCATCCAAAGAAACATATCCATGGAGTTCTGACAGCCGAGCTCCCCTCCCCTACCCAAACCCCAACACCATCAGGTCAGAGGAGCCCCGTGGCAGTCGGAAGCCCTGTCCCGCTGTTCCTCAGAAGCGGCCTGCTTTTTTGTGTCCCAGTCCATGTCTGTAATGAATAATCCATGGAGATCCATGTGCATATCGACATCAACAGAGGCACGGGCCAATTCCGTAAAGCTTTTGGCATCCAGAATGAGCAGAAAAGGCAGCTTTTGGGGATCAGTAGAGACAATGGCTGATAAGATTACTCCTTTAGGGAAACAGAAAAAAAACACTTCGTAAAAGTGCAGGCTTCAGTCGGAGGGATGAATTTCTCAGCATGTCTCTCTGCCCTCTTTAAACATATGTATCTAACCAAAACAGGAGGGAGTGAATTTGAGACACTGTAACAGAAGGGAAAGGCCTGGCAACTAGGCATCAGAAAACCTGGTTCTAGGCCGGGCGCGGTGGCTCACGCCTGTAATCCCGCCACTTTGGGAGCAGAGGTGGGCGGATCACTTCAGATCAGGAGTTTGAGACCAGTCTGGCCAACGTGGTGAAACCCCATCTCTACTAAAAATACAAAAATTAGCTGGGTGTGGTGGTGGGTGCTTGTAATCTCAGCTACTCAGTAGACTGAAGCCAGAGAATTACTTGAACCTGGGAGTGGAGGTTGCGGTGAGCCGAGATCGTGCCATTGCATTCCAGCCTGGGTGACGGAGTGAAACACGGCCTCAAAACAAACGAACAAACAAACGAATGAACAAACCAGAAAACCTGGTTCTACCCTTGGCTGGGCCAGTCCCTTGACCTCTCGGAGCCTCAGTCTCTTCATCTGTAGAGATGCGATAATCTCACCTACACTCCACAGGGTTGCCGAGAGTATCTCCTGAATGATGGATTTTGAAAGCACTCTGTAAATTATTGCAGGCATCGAAGAGTGGTATTCGGTTTTTTGTTTGTTTGTTTTGCTTTTTTGAGACAGGGTCTTACTCTGTTGCCCAGGCTAGAGTGCAGTGGTGTGATCACAGCTCACTGCAATCTCGATCTCTTGGGCTCAAGCTATCCTCCCACTTCAGCCCTCCAAGTAGCTGGGACTACAGGCACATGACACCACGTCTGGCTAATTTTTGTATTTTTTGTCAGATGGGGTCTCCCTATATCGCCCATGCTGGTCTTGGACTCCTGGGCTCAAGCGATCTGCCTACCTTGACCTCCCAAGTGCTGGGATTACAGGCATGAACCACCGCACCTGGCTTGAAGAATGGCATTTCAATGGGCCCAATTCATCTCTTGCACATGTAGCAGTGCTACTAAACTCATCCTTCCCCTCTGTAAAATGGAAATACTCTCAATACTCACTCTGAAGGGATAGAGAGTTAAATGAAATAATGCATATCAACTTCCTGCAAATACTCTCAATGCCTCCAGAGGGTCCCAGGTGGAAGAGCAGTTGAGCATCGTTGAGGTCAGATTGGCCTGGATTTAAATCTTACCTCTGAATGTAAGGGGTGTGTGACCTTGGGCAAAAAGGTCACTCTCTGAGCATCCCATTGGTAAAATGAAGACAACGATACTCCCTCCTCACAGAGAATGTAAAGGAAGTGTCCCACTGAGTGGGAGAACGACCTGAACAGGAGGCAAGGCCTGTGGTCCCCCGCCTTGGAGATGACAGTGACACAGGGTTGCTGGCCTGGCGTGCCATGCCATGATCAGTAGGAAGACAAGGCCCAGGTGGAAAACCACTCCCTTGTGACCTGAGGGAAGAAGCTGGCAGGCTCAAGTGGGGCAGCCTGCCCTCCTTGCAGGTGTGGCAGCCCCATTGCTGGTGTGGCCAGGTGGCATCCCCACCTATGGTTCTAGTTACCCTCCTTAGCCTCCTCAGGGCTGTGGGCAGGGCATTTCTGAAGCATTTCTGAGAATGGAAGAGGGAAAGCATCATTCAGTCAAGTGGAAACCTAGAAAATAGAGGTGGGCCACAAATACACATTTCCAGCGGCTCTGTGAAACATTTACATGCTTATACATTGTTAAAAATTTGGATCCGGGATCCAGGCCAGGTGCACTGGCTCACACCTGTAATCCCAGCACTTTGGGAGGCCAAGATGGGAGGATCGCTTGAGCCCAAGAGTTTGAGACCAGCCTGGGAAACATAGTGAGACCCTTTCTTTACAAAAAAATAAAAAGAATGAGCTAGGCATGGTGGTGTGCCCCTGTAGCTCCAGCTACTTGGTGGGCTGAGGCAGGAGGATCACTTGAGCCCAGGAGTTTGAGGCTGCAGTGAGCTATGATCATGCCACTACACTCCAGCCTGGGCAACAGAGCAAGACTCCATTTCTTAAAAACATTTGTTTGGGATCCAGCCACTGCAATCAATTTTAAAACCAAGATTCTGCATTCTGAGAGAGTTTAATGTCACTGAGTGGAAAGGAGATGGACTTTGTGCGGTAAAAAACTTAAACTTGTCTAAAGAGGGGGCTGGCTTTTGTCCTCAGCTTCTGGGAGGTCACCTCTATACCCGTCGAATGTCCTGCTTGATACAAGTATCTTTGTATACCTGGGGGCCTTGGGCCACATCAGGCAGTCTACCCTTACAGTGGGATTTATGGTGGGGCCTTGTGCCGTGTGGTATGAACTTGATCTCCAGGAGGACTGAAGACTAAATAAAGGTCAGACACACAGGCAGTCAACCATGTTTACATGACTGAGTCCCAATAAAAACTCTCCATACTGAGTCTCAGGGGAGCTTCCTGGCTGGCAGTAATACTCGGTGAGTATTGTCATACGTCATTGTCGGGAGAAGTCAGTGCTATCTGTGACTCTACTTGGAGAGGCACCTGGAAGCTCCTGCCTGGTCCCTGCTGGGCTCTGTCTTGTGCATCTCTTCCCTGTGCTAATTTTAGTCTGTATCTTTTCATTGCCACAAACCAGAACTGTGAACATAAGCACTTGCAGTGAGGTTGGTGATTTAATGAATTATTGAAGCTGAAGGCTATCTTGGGGACCCTCAAACTTTGCAATTGGTATCAGAAGTAAAGGTGGTCTTGGGGACTCCCTCACCCTTTAGCTTTGACCCAGACAGATGTACACTTCAAAGCACCAATCCACCCCCTTTATGACCTGGGGGGGTCAGCTGCCCCCAGATGGTGTCTCTGTTGGAGGGCGATCTGCAGTAACGTGCAGCAACTAGGCGTGGCTTCTTAGAGTCTTACCGTCATCCTCATCCTTGGCACCTGGCGCGGGCACAAACAGGGGTTCCGCTGGCCAGCAGTCGTCCTCTCTCCATTTTAAGGATGACTTTGTGAGAATGTCATATTTTATTATCTGTACATCCAACGAGGAAAAACACATAAATGACTTGTTTGAGAGAATACTATTCTCTGCAAATAGGAGTGCATGAAGATCCACACAGAGGAGATGAAGCCCATCGGATGTAGACTTTTGACGTAGTCTCCCAATGACAGCTACCTCTGGTGAGCACAGCCAAGAAAGGACAGGAGCTAACTCTCCTCCCCCAGTTTTTTGTTTGTTTGTTTGTTTTTTGAGACGGAGTTTCCAGGCTGTTGCCCAGGCTGGAGTGCAATGGCGTGATCTTGGCTCACTGCAACCTCGGCCTCCCGGGTTCAAGTGATTCTCCTGCCTCAGCCTCCTGAGTAGCTGGAATTACAGGCGTGTGCCACCACACCTGGCTGATTTTTTGTATTTTTAGTAGAGACGGGGTTTCACCATAGCCAGGTTGGTCTTGAACTCCTGACCTCAGGTGATCCGCCCACCTCAGCCTCCCAGAATGCTGGGATTACAGGTGTGAGCCACCGCGCCCGGCCTCCTCCCCCAGTTTTAAACATGGGTCCTCTGGCCACCACGTAGCTGATACTGTAGAAGGAATTCTTTTAAAAATTAAAATCTTTTAAAATTTATTATTATTTTTTAATATAGAGACAGGGTCTTGCTATTGTTGACCAAGCTGGTCTCGAACTCCTGGTCTCAAGCAATCCTCAGCCTCCCAAAGTGCTAGGATTACAGGCGTGAGCCACCACACCCTGCCTAAAAATATCGAACATATCTTGTATTTGAAATTGCACTGCAATTTTATATGAGTTAAATAAATGAATATATTCAATGCAAACATTTAAAGTACAATACAACCCCTTTGTTGCTTTAAGGGTGCAATTCCCTGAATCTCTCTTAATCTCCCAATAGGCCTATTTCCCTCTGGGGTTTGGGATTAGTGGAGAGTGGCTTGGGGTATGGAGGGGTGGAGGCTTAATTTTTGGCTGTGTACATTCCTGCTCTGTTTGCATTTTAAAAAAAAGATTTTCCATTTTATTATGAAAAATGAAGACATTAAAAAGAAGTGACACCTGCACAGCACTTAGCACAGTGCCCAGAACACAGTAAGTGTTTGACAAATGGTAGCTTAAGAAGCAAAATGGGCCAGGCATGGTGGCTCGAGGCTGTAATCCAGCACTTTTGGTGGCTGAGGCAGGAGGATCCCCTGAACCTAGGAATTCAAGACAGGCATGGACAACACAATGAGACTCTGTCTCTTTCTGTATTTTTTTTTTAAATAAAAAGGAAAAAACAAAACAAAACAAAAAAAGAAGCAAAATAAATCCTCTAAGTTTCAGCTACACCCTCTCTGCTGGAGAGGGTGAGTTCCTTAGGTCAGGGATTGGGAATCTCCCTGCTGACTTCCTTACCCTCAGTGCCTACCACATTGTAGCCCATAATTGGTGCTCATTAAATATGTATTGAATAAAGAAATCAGTGAATAAACTCCAGCCACAACCTCTTACCTGAACCTTAGCCCATTAGGTACCACTCCCTCTCCCAGCTGAACATCCTTACTTCAAATTTATTTTATCCTAGGCTTACTCCTTCTGACCTCCTCTTTTCTAATCAACGTCTCAGAACCTTAGAATTCAGCTTTGCATATAGACACAATCACTGTAGGAAAGGCTTGTGAATACACAGAGACCAGTACCTTGGTTGGGATTGGACTCCACTGAACTCCTGTAGCAAAGACATATCGGTATTGCTTTCCATTGTGAGCATAATTGACCCGTGGAAGCTCTAAGCCTACAAGGAAATGAGGAGGTGGATGAAGCCCCTATCATTGGGGGCTGGGAGCATCCACCCTTCCTGTCAGATTGGGTAGCCTTTCCTCAGAATCCGTTTCCACACCAAGATCCTTGAGCTTGATTTAGAGCCTGCATTGGATCAAAGGTGGTCAAAGGCAGGGGAGGGAGCCTCTGGTAATTTAATTACCCCAGCTCTATTAGAGAGTCCAGGAGCAAGGTACTCCAGACCTAGGTTTTAAGTGTATAAACATCTTTAATTATCCAACATAGAAATCAAAGAGAATTGCATGATTAAAATCAGAGGCTACTGCAATTTCTTAAAGCTTTTTTTCAAAAAAGTGCTGATGTGTATATATGTGTGCGTGCATGTGCACATATGTGATGAGAAATGGGAAGCTGGCTGGGCGCAGTGGCTCATGCCTGTAATCTCAGCACTTTGGGAGGCCGAGGCGGGCAGATCACTTGAGTTCGGGAGTTTGAGACCAGCCTGGCCAACATGGCAAAACCCTCCCTCTACTAAAAATACAAAGAAAATTAGCCAGGCATGGTGCCGCATGCCTGTAATTCCAGCTACTCAGGAGGCTGAGGCAGGAGAATCACTTGAACCCAGGAGGCAGAGGTTGCAGTGAGCCGAGATCGTGCCACTTCACTCCAGCCTGGGCCACAGAGTGAGACTCTGTCTCGAAAAAAAAAAAAAAGAAAAGAAAAGAAAAGAAAACAAAACAAAACAAAAAGAAAAGAAATAGGAAGCTGTGCTAGGCATGGTGGCTCATGCCTGTAATCCCAGCACTTTGGGAAGCTGAGATGGGAGGATCGCTTGAGGCCAGGAGTTTGAGACCAACCTGCTCAACATGGCAAGAACCCCATCTCTAAAATAAAAACTAAAAAATAAAACAGAATGGGAAGCTGTGGAAAAGGGTGTCAATGGAGAACAGTTAATTAAATCTGGTGAATTCTATAATAACATTATGGAAAAACAACATTTACAAATGATTTTAATAACATGGGCAAGTGTCCATACCATAAGGTTAAGTGTAAAATGCTGGTTATAGAATTATTGTATCTCCGCTAGGTTACAAATGAAGAGAAAAAATTTGGAAGCATTGCTGGGGTTCTAACTGCCTTACAGTTTACATTTTCTATGATAGAATCTAAGTTTCTCATTATGTGAAATTTTCATCATGCTTATTATTTTTACATAATCAAAAATATTATTTTTTCTCTGTAAATGTGTGTGTATATATAAATATATATTTATATATAAATATATAAATATATATTTATATATAAATATATAAATATATAAAAATATATATATATATAGTTTGTTTGTTGTTGTTGTTTTGAGATGGAGTCTAGCTCTGTCGCCTGGGCTGGAGTGCAGTGGCTCAATCTCAACTCACTGCAACCACCGCCTCCCAGGTTCAAGCAATTCTCCTGCTTCAGCCTCCCAAGTAGCTAGGACTACAGGTGCGTGCCACCACATCCGGCTACTTTTTTTTTTTTTTGTATTTTCAGTAGAGACAGGGTTTCACCATGTTAGCCAGGATGGTCTCGATCTCCTGACCTCATGATCCGCCCGTCTCAGCTTCCCAAAGTGCTGGGATTACAGGTGTGAGCCACCGTGCTTGGCCGTAAATGTGTATATATGTATATATGCCTATTGCATCAAATTGAATTTCTAAGTCTGAATACTGAAATGGATGTTCAACTCTTAGGAAATATTCTAGGTGGTTGCCGCCAACTGCTGGTGAAGATATAATGTCCAAGAAAAGAGGAAGCAGAGATACATCCATGGATAAATGCTGATTAGGCTCAGTGGGGCGGGAAGGGGAATGAAGTATTGAGATGGGAAGCAGATGTCCAATCCCACAAATGAGAAAGCATGAAACTTCCAAGGGACAGGCCCAGATGAAGGTGAGGCAGAGGGAACACTCCCATACTTAGATAAGAAGAAGGTGCCTGCCCTTGACCTCAAAGTAGGCCTGAGACTTCCAAGATGTTCCTGGGCCCCTCTCAGACCAGCGATTCTCCTGCCTAAGCCTCCCAAGTAGCTGGGACTACAGGTGTGCACCACTACCCCCGGCTAATTTTTGTATTTTTTTTTTTAAATAGAGATGGGGTTTTGCCATGTTGTCCAGGCTGGTCTCAAACTCTTGACCTCAGATGCCCCACCTGTCTCAGCTTCCCAAAGTGCTGGGATTACAGGCATGAGTAATGCCTGTAATTGCCATTGCGCCTGGCCAGTAGTTACATGAAATTAAGGCTTGGCCTCCCAAAGTGCTGGGATTATAGGTGTGAATCACCATGCCCGGTCCTTAACAGCCATGTTCTTGAAGAATCTTCAGGATGTGGGAAAATACTCAGGTTACATACATTAAGTGCAAGAGGCAGCTTCGGAACATTCTAGATGATATGGAATGCATTTTGCAAAAGTACAAATGCAGAGGCAATGGGCTCTGGGATAAGAGACTGCTGGGGTCAGAACCTGGCTCTGCTGCCTGCCTTTTGGCAAGTTTTGAGATTGTCTGAGCCTGCTTCTTAGGACTGTTCTAATATTGCTGCCAATGGCTGGACTCTCCCTATAGGCCAGACCCCACACTAAGCCCTTGATGTACGTGAACAAATCTAATGTCAACAATAAAAGAATGACACTGCCGGGATGAAATGAGAGAGTCTGAGAACTCGCCAGAAGGGACCCGGCCTATGTCACACAATCCATGCATGATGGGAGGATTGGATGGGTAGCCCAAAGCGCTGTCACGGGGGCAGGGATTACGGGTGGTTTCTTTATTGTTACACTTTTTAGTGTGGACAATATTGCAACAATAAACAAGCGTGGTCTTCTCAGGAAAAAAAAAAAAGGGATGTGGTGGGTGAGCAGGGATGGGGGTTGGGGGTTGATGCCTTCAGACCTGGCATCATCTATTGATTCATTTCTAAAGACTCCAGGGGAATGAGTTGCATCACAGAACCGGTTATGGGATGCATGGGATGCCTTTTACAGAAGTGGATTCTTAGGTCAAATCCAAGGGTCATCCTAAAAGAGTCCCCAAGTCTATGTGCTCTTCCAGATGCCCAAACCTCCTGGCATGGGGCAGCTGATGGAACAAGGCTCTCAGGGTTTTTTGTTTTTGTTTTTGTTTTTTGTTTTTTGTTTTGAGGCAAAGTCTCTGTTGCCCAGGCTGGAGTGCAGTGGCGCAATCTCAGCTCTCTGCTCTGCCTTCGGGGTTCAAGCAATTCTCCTGCCACAACCTCCTGAGTAGCTGGGATTATGGATTACAAGCGTGCACCACCATGCCGGCTAATTTTTGTATTTTCGGTAGAGATGTGTTTTCGCCATGTTGGCCAGGCTGGTCTCAAACTCCTGGCCTCAAGTGATCTGCCCACCTCAGCATCCCAAAGTGCTGGGATTACAGGCGTGAGCCACCGTGCCCAGCCAATGCGCTCAGTTGAAATGCACTCTGTCCCACTCTCTAGCTGAGTCTCCTTGGACAAGTCCATTCATTCTGCACTTTGGCGTATGGAACACAGACCTCTCTATGCCAGCCTTTGTGTCATGTGCTGCTGATACGCTGTGAGCACAGCAACACAATTCTCGCCTCACGGGCTTATATTCTGGGGCAGAAGTTCTCCATCATGGCAATGGTGCTCCCATGAGATGCTGGCAATGTCTGGAGACATATTTGGCTGCTCCAATTCAGGATGGGGGTCTTCCTGGCTTCCAGTGGGTAGAGGCCAGGGATGTGGCTAAACATCTTACAATTCCCTGGACAGCACCCACTGCAAAGAATGACCCAGCCCCAGATGGCGATGGTGCCCAGATTGAGGAGCCCTGCTCCACGGGTGTGACTCCTGTTCTAGAGGGTCTGCTTTCTGTGTGTACCTCAAGGACTCCCAGGCCTAGTTTTCTTCGCTATATTACGGGGCCGATAACACCTATTTTTGCAGGATATTGTGGATGTTGAGAGGAAGAAATGGAAATGTATTGTGCCTGTTCAGTAAGCCCATGTTCAGTAAGGGACAGCATTTGCAGAAGTCATCTGGCCCAACAACCACCCACTGCCTTCCTATTTTTATTTTTATTTTTGTGAGACAGTGTCTTGCTCTGTTGCCCAGGCTGGAGTACAATAGCACAATCTCAACTCACTGCAATCTCCACCTCCTGGGCTCAAGTGATTCTCATGCCTCAGCCTCCTGAGTAGCTGGGACCACAGGCATGCGCCACCACACCCGGCTAATTTTTGTATTTTTAGTAGAGATGGGGTTTCGCCATGTTGCTCAGGCTGGTCTTGAACTCCTGGCCTCAAGTGATCTGCCTCCCTCAGCTTCCCAAAGTGCTGAGACTACAGGTGGGAGCCACCGTGCCTGGCCTCACCCATTGCCTTCCTAGGAAGCATTTGAAGATAGAGAAAAGAGAAATGTCCCCAGATGCTTTTCACCAGGGCATCCCAAGACCCTTTCCTTTTTGGCCCTTGTCCATGCACAGGAGGGAATTATTATGTAAAGAGGCCTCTGGGCTCCCTGTGAAAATCTGCCCCTTTCCTAAACTCAGGACAAGAGGATGCATTTTACCTTCATAAAGAAATTCCGGCTGGCAGTAGACTTGGCCATCTTCTTCCTTCAGGGCCGTGGCTGTTGTAGATGCCACTTTGATTAAATTTGTGCCCACTTCTGCATTCTGAAAAAATTCAGTTTTCAAAAAGTAAAATAAAAACGTGTAATCCAGAGCAAACATTTGCTTTAGTGTATATATTTTTTAAAATGCTTGAATACATGTCATCTTGGCTTAGCCTCACATTAATCATAGGAAGCAGCTCGTTTCCTGTTGTTATCCTTAGTCTCAGTTTAAAAAATGAGGATTGGCCATTTAAGGTGACTCCTCCAAGGTCACATACCTGGTAGGTGATAGGACTCTTTTCTCTTACTCTGAGCCTGCCTTATCCCTCACAGGGAAAATTAATGTGCTTCTGAGAGTAAGTTCTCACTTTTAAAGTACTAGATGATTCACCTATAAAAAGCTGCATCAGTCGTTAAAAGGATGCTTCTAAAGAGTTTACAACAACATGGGAAATGCTTATCACATAACACTGAGTAAAAGCAGCAACAGGACAAATTGCGTATGCAGTCTGAGCTCAACCACATTAAAAAAGTTACACGGAGAAGAGACAGAGAAATATACTAAATGTGTGTGTGTGTGTGTGTGTGTGTGTCTGTGTGTGTGTGTAATTTTTTTTTTTTTTTTTTTTTTTTTTTTTTTTTTTTTTTGAGATGGAGTCTCACTCTGTTGCCCAGACTGGAGTCCGGAGTGCAGTGGTGTGATCTTGGCTTACCGCAACCTCTGCCTCCCAGGTTCAATCGATTCTCCTGCCTCAGCCTCCAGAGTAGCTGGGATTACAGGTTCATTCCACCATGCCTGGCTAATTTTTATATTTTTAGTGGAGATGGGGTTTCATCATGTTGGCCAGGGTGGTCTTGAACTCCTGACCTCAAGTGATCCACCCGCCTCGGCCTCCCAAAGTGCTGGGATTACAGGCGTGAGCCACCACGCCCAGCCAGAAATATACTAAATATTAAAAATACAACAGATGATGGGATTGGGGGGACTTTAATTTCTTTTTTGTATGCCTCTCTGTATTTTCAGTATTTTCTTCTAGGAAAAGTTATCACTGCAGAAATGAAAACAAACATGCAATAAAAATTATTTGGTGGCAAAACAGCCTTCAAGGACATTTCTTGGTCTCAATTTACAGTCAGATTTTGCTGTGTTCAGTATCTTACTGTCATCAGTATAAGCAAGGGGAGGGATTTAGCATGATTAAATATTTATTGAGCATCTACTACTCCCTGTTTCCCTCATGTACTAACCGTGGGGCCTTGAGCAAGTCAGTTGGCCTCTCTATAGTTCCGTTTCCTTATGTGTATATTAATAGCATATGCATCTTTGAGTTATTGTGCAGACTGAATGACATCATCTGCACAAATGATTCACAAGAATGCCTGCTTCACAATAAGTGCTAGATGAATGTCAGCTGCTTCTATTGATGACGTTGTTATATTATTATTACTATTATTACCATACTACTACTACTATCACTTATTATTATTATATTGCTGCCACCACTACTGGAGGTGACTACGGGTTAGGCTCTGGAAGATATTGAGGAACAAGAGGATGGAACATTATTGTTATGGCTGACTTCTCATTTAAACTTTTCTCTACTTTCTACATTTTCTAAGATAGCTTCTATTTTATTTTGGGACAGGGTCTTGCTCTGTCGCCCAGGCTGGAGTACAGTAGTGTGATGACAGCTCACTGTAGCCTTAAACTCCCAGGCTCAAGTGATCCTTCCACCTCAGCCTCCTGAGTAGCTGGGGGACTACGGGCATGCGTCACCATCCTTGGTTAATTTTTGTATTTTTTGTAGAGACAGGGTCTCACTATGTTGCCCAGCTTGGTCTCGAACTCCTGGGCTCAAGTGATCCTCCTCTCTTGACCTCCCAAAGTGCTGGGATTACAAGCATGAGCCAGTACACCTGGCTCAAAATGGCTTTTATAATTAAAACCAACCTATTTTAGGGATAGCAGCATTTTTGTTGGAGAGCATGAAAAGTTTACTGCAACTTAGCAGCTGAACCGCAAGGGTCCTCGGAAATTTGTTTAATTCAGTCTCGATTTGTAGAAGTAACTGAGGCCTAGAGAAGGAAAGGGACTGGTCCAAAGTCACATGGAGAGAAGCAGACCCTGTGCCTGGGGCCTTTGCATTGATTCTTTGGCCCAGAAGCAAGAGCATTGCTGGTAGAGGGTGAAGGCAGTGCAAAGGCCCTGAGGCTGGTTCTTCCCCAAACCCTGAGGTCTCAGAAGAAACACCCCTTCCCTAACAACTCCATTGGAATCTGCAGTGTCTCCAAGGCACTGGCCCTGAGCTGTAATTATCTCCTTTATGAAGCTCTTTTCCTTATTTTAGCTTGTCTGCCGCATGAAGCCAGGGACCAGATTTTGCTCAGTGCCTGGCACCTAGTGCCCAGGAAGTAATCGCTGAATTAATGAGTGAATGCACAACTCAATAAGCTTTTCTTTGGGCTGTCAAGGGGCAAGACTTGTTTTGCACGGTGGCTGTAAGAATCAAATGAGAGGAAATGCAGAGACAAAGGAGCCCAGCACCTGGCACATCGGTGGCTTCTTAGAAACATTTAGCTGAGTGCGGGGGCTCATGCCTGTAATCCCAGCACTTTGGGAGGCCGAGGTGGGTGGATCATCTGAGGTCAGGAGTTCGAGACCAGCCTGGCTAACATGGTGAAACCCCATCTCTACTCAAAATGTAAAAATTAGCCCTGCGTGGTAGCACATGCCTGTAGTCCCAGCTGCTCAGGAGACTGAGGCAGGAGAATCGCTTGAACCTGGGAGGCGGAGGTTGCAATGAGCCGAGATCGCGTCACTGCACTCCAGCCTGGGCGACAGAGCGAGACTCTGTCTCAAAAAAAAATAAAATAAAATAAACAGAAACTTTCAATGCCTCCACCTCCATGGCTCTGCAAGCTGGTGGGAGGCCCTTCCTGGTACCTTGCTAAGCATGTGACAGCAAGAGACCTCTGGGCACATTCCAGCCTTGATTCTTAGGGAGTTGGTCTGCACAGACATCTTATAACTCCAGCCCCAAACTGGTCGGACTGGTTGAGGAATAAACTGTGAATTTTTCCACACACAGCAATAACAAACATGACTTGGCTGCTTTCAGTGGCCAGCATGCTCAGTTTTAGGAAGACATCACTTTCCAGCCAGAATCCAGCACCATCTTGCAAGCTTACATTGAAATCCCGACACTTAAGGGAACTCTCATAAGAAGCAGTCATCACTGTCATCCCCTAGAATGCTGCCTGCCATATGAAATTCAACGCTGTGGTTTTCCATGCAGATTCGAGCAGACCTCTTTTTCTCAGAGCTAGTTTCCTCCACTGTGTAAAATCGGGGTGGTGATTCATAACTTTTAGTGTGGTGCTGGGTATAAGTGAGGCGGTTTCCACCTGCATCTGAGCATTATGTTAGGATTAAATTAAATAATGGTTGAGAAAAATAGGCTGGTCCAGGGCCACACACATCGTGCAGGCAGACAGGCGTACATTCCAGTTCCAGCTCAAGTCCTGGGGATGATTCTAAAAAGTTGGGCAAGTTACTTTCTCATCTGTAGACGTGGGGGATCATAAATAACTTAGAACATTGTGATGAAGATTAGCAAAGCACTTCACAGCCCCTAAAATTCACAGGAGCCAGGAGGAGAGTACAAGTGGAGGCCCACCAACCTTCTGTCTAAATACACCAAGCAAATTAAGTCCAACACCATCTCTCTCCCTGCCTTGACACGCAGCCCTTCATGATGGCGTGGAACAGGCTGTCCCAAACGGCAATCGCTAGCCATATGTTGCGATTTAAATTTAATTTTATTTTATTTTACTTTTTTTTTTTTTTTTTTTGAGACCGAGTCTCACTCTGTCATCCAGGCGGAATACGGTGGCACGATCTCAGCTCACTGCAACCTCCGCCTCCCGGGTTCGAGCAGTTCCCCTGCCTCAGCTTCCTGAGTAGCTGAGGTTACAGGCATGAGCCACCATGCCTGGCTAAGTTTTGTATTTTTAGTAGAGATGGGGTTTCATCATGTTGGCCAAGCTGGTCTTGAACTCCTGACCTCAAGTGATCTGCCTGGCTTGGCCTCCCAAAGTGCTGGGTTTACACGCGTGAGCCACCATGCCTGGCCTTAAATTTAATTTTAAAATAAGCTTAAGTAAAATTAAAAATTCAATTCCTTAGCTGCACCAGCCACATTTCAAGTGTACAATAACAACTCGTAGTTAGTAGCTACTGTGTTGGACAGACAGAATGTTCCAGCAATGCACTGTGCTGGTCTGAAAGGATGACTGTGAATTGAGAACCCCAGGACTCCTTAGAGTTCTGAGCTGGAATAAGGCAGTCTCTGGCCCTTGGCTCCTTCCTGCCTCATCCCAGGCTCCATCCCTCACTGCGTGGATGCCCTAGCCAGCACAACCAAGGCAACAGCCAGCCCTGGCCACCTCATGGGCCTGTGGCAGGAACAGCAGAGTGGCAGTCTGCCCTTAGGAAGACGGGTATTGGAAGCAAGGCTGGGCCCTTCAGGAGCTTCTGGGATCCCAGGTGTCCAGCACATGGTTGGGGTGGGGGTGGAAGCACCCCTCTGGGTAGTCAGAATGCCTTGGCCCTGTGAACTCACCCTGTGGAGTACGGGTCCTGCTAGAGAAAGAAAGCCTGGACCACAGTCCTCCAAAGTGCCAAACCCAGAGCAGGGGCCCCTCTTGCCAGGGTCTAAGAGCAGAAAAGGCATTGAACACAGAGCCTGGCACCTAGCGGGTCCTCCATGAATGGTGCTTCTCTTACTGGAGTGTCTGCATTTGTGCATTTGGAGACAGAAACCAAACCCACTGATCCAGTCATCAAAGCCATCCCTTCCAGGTCCACAGTGCTTCCTCCTGTGAATGCCCCTTAGGCGTGGGTGCACACGAACCTCGGGCCTCACACAGCGCCCTGCAGCACCAGGGCAGGGCCAAGGTCCAGATGACCCACCCCTGCCCACACCCCTCCCAGCCACACCCCGCCACTGCTAAGCCCTGCCTCAGGCACCCCCACACCGCCCTGCGTAAACAGGCCCACGGTGCCCAGAGGCCCTGCCAGCCCTGCCTTCCTTTGACCCCAGCTGGTCCCAAAGCAAGAGAATCTGGGACATTCAGGACCTCCTGGCCTTTTAAATAGAATTTGCTATTGCCTGTTCTATGTGGGAAGCACTTTTCACTTGGGACGGGTTCCAAAGGCTGAAGGAAGATGCTGCGCCCTTTTAGAGAACTTGCTTCCCATTTTTCATGTATTCATCATTCATTCATTCATTTCAAATATTTAAGAGCACCCTCTGAGTGCAGCAGATGAACTGCTGATGAGACAGAGTCCCTGTCCTCCCAGAACTTAGGCTTGAACAGGAAGAGGGAAATGAACAAGTTACTTACACTTGAGATAAATGTTGACAAAGAGTTACAAGGCGCCATTAGAGGATACGGACTCAGCTGCGGGGTCATGCTGCTGATCCCTGACCTTGGAGGTTCTCTGCCACGGCTGCACTGCAGAATCACTGGGGGTTTCTGAGACCACACCCGGGCCTGGGCTTCCCCGGTCTGGGCGGAAGCCAAGGCCCGGACATGGGGGTCTCAGGGCTCTCCAGGGGATCCCAATGTGCAGCCAGCCAGGGGGAGCAGGAGTGTCAGCCCAGGAGGACAGGGTTTCAGACAGAGGGGAAAGCAATGTCCTGCAAAGGCCTCAGGCCCAGAGGGCATCTGAGTAAGGGCAGCATCTTCCTGAAGTCGCTTCTCCAGTAAACCTCTGGATGGGGTGGAGCCAAAGCTGCTGGATCAGGGCATGTAAGGCTCTGTCCACCTGCCTGACTTTCTGATTTCACTATGCAGGCGGAGCCATTGAAAGTGCAGTAAGAAGACATATTTAAGGGACAATAAGTAGCAATTAAAAAGCGTGGCTGGAGCTACCCATCCCAGGGCTTGCTTTCCTTTGCTAGTTTCAAAGCAGCAGATGGTTCATATGACAGCTTTCTTTTTTTTTTTTTTTGAGATGGAGTCTCACTCTGTTGCCCATGCTGGAGTGCAGTGGCGGGATCAGGCTGGAGTGCAGTGGTGGGATCTCAGCTCACTGCAGCCTCCACCTCCTGGGTTCAAGCAATTCTCCTGCCTCAGCCTCCTGAGTAGCTAAGATTACAGGCAGGGGCCACCACGCCAAGCTAATTTTTACATTTTTAGCAGAGACAGGGTTTCACCTTGTTGGCCAGGCTGGTGTTGAACTCCTGACCTCAGGTGATCACCTGCCTGGGCCTCCTAAAGTGTTGGGATTACAGGCGTGAGCCACTGTGCCTGAACACCTGATGGCTTTTAAAGATACACAAGCTAGGGGGCTGGGCGCAGTGGCTCACGCCTGTAATCCCAGCACTTTGGAAGGCTGAGGCAGGCGGATCACGAGGTCAGAAGATCGAGACCATCCTGGCTAATACGGTGAAACCCCGTCTCTACCAAAAATACAAAACAATAAGCCAGGTGTAGTGGCGGGCGCCTGTAGTCCCAGCCACTAGGGAGGCTGAGGCAGCAGAATGGCGTGAACCCGGGAGGCGGAGCTTGCAGTGAGCCGAGATCACGCCACTGCACTCCAGCCTGGGCGACAGAGCGAGACTCTGTCTCAAAAAAAAAAAAAAAAAAAAAAAGATACACAAGCTAACATTCTTAGCTTGGTTCCAAGGCAGCAAAGCATTCTCGAGCATGACAAAAGGTTATAAAATCTTGTAAGGTGTGGCAGTGGGAGGGAGTATGTTCCTCTCTGTGTACTATCCCTAGGCTGAGGTCAGCCTTGAGACTTACTACCTTTGTGCCTTGTTACTCCTCAGTACTTCCTGGAACCAGGAGAAAGTCTGAGGGGCTGCACTGCGGTGCTTCTGGAGCAAGGGGTGCAGGCGCCCAGGGCTCATGTGCTGATTTCATGGGACGTGGCTGTTCATCCAATAGCCCTGAGTCACATAGGGGAGAAAATCAATGCCTTTTTCTCTTCCAGTTGTTCTGACTAGGTCAAGGAGAGTCTCAGTGCGGTGCCACGATGTCTTTAATGCCTAATACTTTTAAAACTTGGCTTTTTCACAGAGAGATCAGGTCTTGGTAAGCCACAGCCCTCTGGCTGGAGCTCAAGACCTCTGCTTTATTTCCACTATTTTATTCTCATGCTTGTCTTCTCTGTGCAGCAAGCATTGCCAGCTTTCTACTGGGTAGTGATGTGTTTCCTTTCAAATGAGCTAAGTAGAGAGTGAATTGATTGAAATGAAAAAAAAAAAAGGATTTTTAAATGTTAAGTAGAGGTGATATAAAATATGACAAAAACCATGGCAGAGACACACAAATGGCCATGGGTGGGAAAATGCTGGAGAGATGGGAGAGGACCCCAGCTCTGGAGTCAGACAAACCTCAGTTCAAACGCCAGCTCCCCTGCCCGCTGGCTGGGAGGGTGGCTGAATTCCTGCACTGAGAAACTGGGCGGTAAGGGTGGGAAAAGGCTCCCTGGACACTGTAGGACCGTCTGCCAGGCCTGCAGAGTGCCAAGTGTGGCCCATCTGAGGCTCTTTCCTAGGACTTAGGGCTACTGGGGAGAATAGCAGAGTTCCTCCTCCTTCGTAGTTACAAACAGGGGTTTAGGGCCGGCCACGGTGGCTCATGCCTGTAATCTCAGCACTTTGGAAGGCCGAGGTGGGTGGATAACTTGAGGTCAGGAGTTCAAGACCAGCCTGGCCAACATGGTGAAACCCCATCTCTACTAAAAATACAAACAAACAAACAAAAAATGAGCTGTGT
This sequence comes from Homo sapiens, assembly GCF_000001405.40. Lineage (NCBI taxonomy): Eukaryota > Metazoa > Chordata > Mammalia > Primates > Hominidae > Homo > Homo sapiens. The sequence goes on along the minus strand of NC_000016.10, from coordinate 81,273,126 downwards.
GTGCTGGCACATGCCTGTAATCCCAGCTTCTTGGGAAACTGAGACAGGAGAATCGCTAGAACCCAGGAGGCGGAGATTGCAGTGAGCCGAGATTAAACCACTGCACTCCAGCCTGGGTGACACAACAAGACTCCATCCCCCACAAAAAGAAAAAAAAAATGGGGGTTTAGAGACAGACTGGGGCAGGTTCCAGTCTTGGCTCTGCCACTCTGGGCTGTGACCTTGCCCACATTTCTTAACTTCTCTGAGCCTCAGTTTGTTCATCTGTAAAATGAGGCTTCTACAGGGACGTTTCCCACAGGTTGTTTTGATCATTAAGTGAGGTAAGAAAAACAAAATGCTTAGCAAAGTACCTGGCACATAACTTGCATTTAGTCAATGTAAGCCATCAACATTTAATTGAATTGAATTTGGTTTCACTTAAATTAATTAAGTCATGAAGTCAGTGAGTTCTGGAGCCAGAAGCCTTTGTAAGTCTCTGTAAGTAAAGCCCAGAGCCTGGGCCACATCACCCTAATTGGGGATAATGTCTGGCCTGGTGGTCATTCTTAGTGCAAGAACGGAACTTCCAACATCAGAGAATTGTGTAAGCAAATGGTGATGAATCCCTGCCATGAACGATTAGGCAAATGTTTAAAGTGATGTTTCAAAGAATATTTAATGTCATGGAGAGATGTTTCGATACATAAATAGGTAGAAAAGCAGTCTGGGCCGGGCGCGGTGGCTCACGCCTGTAATCCCAGCACTTTGGGAGGCCAAGGCGGGCGGATCATGAGGTCAGGAGGTTGAGACCATCCTGGCTAACACGGTGAAACCCTGTCTCTACTAAAAAATACAAAAAAAAAATTAGCCAGGCGTGGTGGCAGGTGTCTGTAGTCCCAGCTACTTGGGAGGCTGAGGAAGGAGAATGGCTTGAACCTGGGAGGCGGAGCTTGCAGTGAGCTGAGACTGCGCCACTGCACTCCAGCCTGGGCCACAGAGCGAGACTCCTTCTCAAAAAAAAAAAAAAAAAAGAAAGAAAAGAAAAGCAGTCTGTAAGATAGTATGTACCTATTAATCCATAAAAAGAAATGAAGTACTGGCCGGGCACTGTGGCTCACACCTGAAACCCCAGCACTTTGGGAGACGTAGGGGGGCAGATTGCCTGAGTTCAGGAGTTCAAGACCGGCCTGGGCAACATGGCGAAACTTCACCTCTACTAAAAATACAAAAACTTAGGCATGGTGGTGGGCACCTGTAATCCCAGCTACTCAGGAGGCTGAGGCACAAGAATTGCTTGAACCTCAGAGGCAGAGGTTGCAATGAGCCGAGATTACACCACTGCACTCCAGCCTGGGCGGCAGAGCGAGACTGTCTCAAAACAAACAAACAAGCAAAAACCAACAACAACAACAAAAAGAAATGAAGCACTTATACGGACTACAACACAGATGAGCCTTGACAACACTGTGCTGTGTGAAAGGAGCCGGACACAAAAGATCACGTATTGTAAGACTCCATTTATACGTGATGTCTAGAAAGGGCAAGTCTGCAGAGACAGAGAGCAGATGACAGGTTGCCTGGGGCAGGGAGGGGAAGACTAGGAGGTGATGGCTAAGGGGTGTGGGGTGTGTTTTGGAGGTGATGAAAATGTTCTAAAATTTATCGTGGTGGTGGATGCACAACTGTGAAAACATACCAAAGGCTGTCAAACACTTTAAATGGGCAAATTAGGCCAGGCATGGTGGCTCACGCCTGTAATCTCAGCTCTTTGGGAGGCCAAGGTGGGTGGATCACCTGAGGTCAGGAGTTCGAGAACAGCCTGAGCAACATGGTGAAACCCCGTCTTTTCTAAAAATACAAAAATTAGCTGGGCGTGGTGGCAGGCGCCTGTAATCCCAGGTACTTGAGAGGCCGAGGCAGGAGAACCGCTTGAATCCAGGAGGCAGAGGTTGCAGTGAGCTTAGATCATGGCACTGCACTCCAGCCTGGGTGACAGAGCAAGACTCTGTCTCAAAAAAAATAAAAAAAAAAATAAATAAAAGGGCAAATTGTATGCTGTGTCAATTACATCTCAATAAAGCTGTTAAAAATTATGTAAGACAGCCAGGTGCAGTGGCTCACGCCTGTAATCCCAGCACTTTGGGAGGCCGAGGCGGGTGGATCACGAGGTCGGGAGATCCAGACCATCCTGGCTAACACGGTGAAACCCCGTCTCTACTAAAAATACAAAAAATTCTCTGGGCATGGTGGCGGGCACCTGTAGTCCCAGCTACTCCAGAGGCTGAGGCAGGAGAATGGCGTGAGCCTGGGAGGTGGAGCTTGCAGCGAGCAGAGATCGCAACACTGCACTCCAGCCTGGGTGACAGAGCGAGACTACGTCTCAAAAAAAAAAAAATTATGTACAATATGATTAAAATGAAGATTCACACACACACACACACACACACACACAGACACAGAGAGAGAGACTGGGAGACAAACATATATATCCACAGTGATCATCTTCGGTGGTAGGTTTATAGGGATTTTTTTCTCCTTTTTACTTATCTATATTTTCTAAAGTTTTTATTATGAATCGGTACTACTTTGGGAAAAACAATGAAAACTTTTTTTTTTTTCAAGAACAGTTCATTTGGATTTCAATGTCAATCAAATAAGGGCCAAAGTAACTTCCCACCTGGGCCGATATCTCTCTAGAAAGAAAAGGGACCTCCTTGGAAGCCATTACCTTGTCCACGTGGAGGGGCACGGCAAACCTCCTGAGGGTGGGGACCGAGGTGAGCCTGGAGTTCTCCTTGAAGTCCTGGTTCAGGTTGGCCAGGTAGAAGAGCTGGTAGAGGCTGTTGTCCTCGTAGGCAATGACGTCAAACACGATGCAGCCGTCCTCTTCGTAGGCGTTGACGTGATGGAAGACCACCATGGCGTCTGTGTAAAACTTGGTCTGCACAGGCTGCCTGGTCCTTTGGTCGATGATGTGGATATAAGTCTGAAAAAGGACACATATCAAGGGCTCAGCTCACCCTCTCTCAGCCTGGCACTGTGGCATCTGGGGGCTGAACAAAACCCAGCCCCGCCAGGAGCTAGGCTCAGGACTATGTCCCCATTCTGCATTCTGTGTGTGCTCCACAACACCAGACAGGCAAAAGTGCCCCCCAAAATGAGAGCTGTTTATTGTACTTCCATAAGTATATCTTTCAGATGGAGAGGAGGGATGCTTTGCTGCCAGAGTCTTTGCAGTCACTAGGAGGACAGTGTTTGGAGAGACGCTCCAGTGTGCACGGTCCCCTTGTTCCATTGTCCTGACATCCCAGCTCCCTGGCAATGACCAAGTTGGGGAGAATCTGCCAGGTGCCAGGCTCCATCTAAGACTGGAGCCTTGGCAGGGCACAGTGGCTCATGCTGTAATCCCAGCACTTTGGGAGGCCGGGCAGGTGGATCACTTGAGGTCAGGAGTTCAAGACTAGCCTGGCCAACATGGCAAAACCCCATCTCTACTAAAAATACAAAAAATTAGCCAGGCATGGTGGCACTTGCCTGTAATCCCAACTACTCAGGAGGTGGAGGCAGGAGAATCGCTTGAACCCAGGAGGTGGAGGGTGCAGTGAGCCAAGAATGTGCCATTGCATTCCAGCCTAGGCGACAAGCATGGAACTCCATCTCAAAAAATAAATAAATAAATAAATTCACTAGGCATTGTGGCGTGTGCCTATAATCCCAACTACTCAGGAGGCTGAGAGAGGAGAATAGCTTGATACGTAGGCGGAGGTTACAGTGAACTGATATCGCACCACTGCGCTCCAGCCTGGGTGACAGAGTGAGACTCTATCTGAAAAAAAAAAAAAAGAAAAACTAAAAGTGCACGTGAAGGCAGAGATGGTGGAGTAACACAGTGTCAGTGGGTAGCAGTGGCTCCCTTCAGACGTGGGGGTGGATGGGAGGCAGGAGGGGGGAAGTGAGTTGGGGAGGATTTTATACATGGCTTTCTATACTTGTATATTCTTTGAATAGGTAACACTGAGAACTACTGGATATTTTACAAAAGTGAAGTGACAACGCAAAAAAAAAAAAAAAAAAAAAAAGACCAGGTGCAATGGCTCACACATGTAATCCCAGTACTTTGGGAGGGGAAGGGAGGAGGATCACTTGAGTCCAGAGTTTGAGGCTAGCCTGGGCAACATAGCAAGACCCCAATCTCTACAAAACAACAAAAAATTAGCCAGGCATAGAGACATGTGCCTCTGGTTCCAGCTACTTGGGAGGATCACTTGAGCCTGGGAGGTTGAGGGTGCACTGAGCTGTGATTGTACCAGTGCACTCCAGCCTGGGTGACAGAGCAACACTCTGTCTCAAAAACAACCCCCCCACAATAAAAACCCAACAAGTAAATAAACACTAGTAATACATACATACACCCATGCACACGTACATGTATTCATACACATATGCACATACATGCACATATACATGTACACATATACATGCATATGTGCATATACAAGCATGCAATACGTGCATACATACTTTGAGCACTCAGGTGTACCTGAATGGAAGGAGAGGTTTCTATTGAACTGTCTGGTGGAACATACTGTCATTACAATGTCTAAACCTCTGGCCGCTACCGCCCCAACGCTACACACTGGTAGCAGACATGGTTAAGGGGTCTTGTCAACAGGGCGGAGGTGGGGAGGAGCCCAGCTCTCCATAAGGACTGAGGACTCACTCCTTTTGCTGCTGGGCATATGGGGACTGCCAGGGCTTCCATGTTTGCCCAAGATGGCACCCCCTTGCCTGGACAGCCTCATCCAATAACTCATCACCGTGGGGGTACAAAGGCCTGGGGGCCATTCTGAAGGACCATCCAGCTTCAGAACTTGCTGGAAGGTGGGTAGATGCCTCTGGTAGCCTCCTCCCTCTTCCATGCCACTTCCTTGCCTTAAACTTCACCCTCCTGCACACCAGCCTCCCTCCATGGTCAGCCAGCACCCACTGGGCTAGAGTCCAGCCAGACCTCACCTTCTCCTCCCTGTGGAAAGCCAGGCAGGAGGCCCAGCTCATTCTCCGGATGTATGCGGTTGCCATCTTGAGAATATCCAACCTGAAAGGCTGCTCAAGGAAGATGACATAGTTCTCGGTGACTCCAAAGCTGTGGTAGTAGCTTGGGGAGAGCAGGGAGCGGGATGGGATGGAGCAGAACACCTCTGTGTGCTTCCAGGGGCTCTTCCCCTGCTTCTTGCCCTCTAGCAAGACAAAAAGCAAGCCTCAGGAATTGTGCAGGATCTGGCTGCCCCCCCAAGACCACACCACCATCACCTACAAACTGACTTGATTGCTGAAAAAAACCTTTACATTAAACAGCAACGTGTAGACAGACAACAAGGTTGCTGCAGCTGCTGCAGGGGGCCAGGCTGAGACCTTCCACTCAGCACCCACCCCATATACAATCTGAAAACCACTGAACCAAGAGGGAGCCCTCCAGGTAAGGGGTCTTCACCTATAGCCTGGGGGCTAAATCCTGCCTCCACCGGTTTGTCTGAGATAGAGTCTCCCTCTGCTGCCCAGACTGGAATGTAGGGGCACGATCTCAGCCCACTTCAATCTCCGCCTCCCAGGTTCAAGCAATTCTCCTGCCTCAGCCTCCCGAGTAGCTGGTACAATAGGCTCACGCCACCATGCTTGGCTAATTTTTGCATTTTTAGTAGAGATGGGGTTTTGCCATGTTGGCCAGGCTGTTCTCGAACTCCTGACCTCAGGTGATCTGCCCGCCTCGGCCTCCCAAAGTGCTGGGATTACAGGTGTGAGCCACTGCGCCCGGCCATAATTAGGGGTTTTATATAAATGCAGATAGTCAAGCGGGGCTGTAGAATGGCCATTTTATAGATGGGAAACTGAGGCTTAGTGGAATGGGCTATCATTATGGTCAGAGTCATAGGGTTAAGCCAAGAAAACACAGCCCCCTTCGCCTTCCTCCTCTTTTATCAGGGATTACGACTCTCATACAGTGAAGGTAGAGAACAGAATGAAATAAAGCAGTCATCCATGTGCCTCGCCCTGCACCCAAACATGGAAGGTGCTCAATACGTGTTCAGTTTTCTTATTCCTCTGCAAGCATGAGTCACTCGCTGGTCAAAAGGCCTCCCCACCCAGGCCTACGGCTGGCTTATAATGAGTTATCTGCAAACTTCCCCACCTCTCTTGTGGCCACCTGTGCACCCTGTAAACAGCTGGCTGGTGGGAGGGATGCTGTGGGGTTGTGGGATAGTTATCGTCTTTATAAAACAAATGGAACACAATGCAAACTGAAACGAAAAGCACTGTGGCCTGGGAGGAGCAGGATGGGGCATGAGTCGCAGTGCCACCGCCAGCATGGAGCAGGTGCTCAGAGGATCTCTGCTTGCAGGATGTCAGTGGCTCCTGGGAGCTGTGTGACTGGGGTGTGTCATCTGATCCCCTGAGCCTCACAGTCCTCCTCTGTAATACAAGGTGGCAAACTCAAATGCCTAGACAATCCCCAGGTATGGCATTCTAGGATTCTGAGCTTGACCCCTATATCCCTTTACTGGCTTAATTAATGAGAGTTCTATTTAGCAAGTACACTCCGTGTACCTTCTGACCTCGAAGGCTCATATCTCCAGGCAGTGCCTGGTAGTTTGCTCAGGGGGCTCTACAAGACAGTGGGGGATGGGGGAGCAGCAAGGATCACAGGCAGAAACTAGTTTTTTTTAAACTAGAAGGTCAGAGGAAGCACCGTTGTAGTTCTGCACTGTCTCCTGAGTCCTGTCAGCTGTCCTCACAGGCCTAGGTCTCCTGGGTGTGGTTCCCAGGAGGGTCCTGGACAAACATGGGCTAAGAGCCTCCGCCTCCTCCCCCTCAGGATCATGCAATCACAGTCAGCCTGGGCTTTGCTCCAAGATCCCAGCCCCACATGGAGAAGGTCCAGAAGGCCTGGAGAACAGGGCAGGGATCTGGAGTGGATCCCAGCAGGACTGAGCTCCCTAAACAGCCCTGGAAACTTGGCTGCAGGGGCTAGGAATGAAAGTAGGTGGCATAACCTTGTCATAGAAAGTTTTGTCAGGAGACTGAAAAACTGAATGGATGGAAGGATGAATCGATAGGTGGGTGGGTGGGTGCATGCATGAATCGGTGGATAGTAGACAGATGGATGGTGGGTGGATGGATAGATGGTGGATGGAAGGATGGTGAGTGAATAGATGGGTGGTAGATGCACATGGTAGATGGATGTTGGGTGGGTGGATGGATGGATGGTAGATGGATAGATGGATGAATGGTGGGTGTATAGATGGTGGGTAGATGGATGAATGATGGATGGATGGGCAGGTGGGTGGCTCAATGGATGGATGGTGGATAAGTGGATGAGTGGATGGATGGCAGAACATGTAGATGGATGAATGGATTCATGGTGGGTGGGTGGATGGGTAGGTAGATGGATGGTGGATGGATGGTGGGTGGACGGATGGATGGGTAGATGGTGTGTGGGTGGATGGATGAATGGATGGATGGTGGATGGGTGGGTGGATGGATGGATGAATGATGGATGGATGGGTGGGTGGGAAGCTCAATGGATGGATGGATGGTGGGTAAGTGAATGGGTTGATGGATGGGAGAATGGGTAGATGGATAAATGGATTCATGATGGGTGGGCGGGTGGGTGGGTAGATAGATGGTGGATGGGTGGTGGGTGGATGGATGAATGGATGGATGGTGGATGGGTGGATGGATGGGAGAATGGGTAGATGGTTGAATGGATTCATGGTGGGTGGATGGGTGGATGGGTGGGTAGATGGATAGTGGGTAGATGGATGGATGGAGGGATGGTGTGTGGGTGGATGGGTAGGTGGGTGAATGGATGAATGGATGGATGGTGAGTGGCTGGCTAGATAAGGGGTGGATAGGTGGATGGGTGGACGGATGGTGGATGGGTGATGGATAGGTGGATGAATGGTGGGTAGGTGGGTGGATGGATAGTGAGTAGCTGAATGAATGGTGGATAGATGGACGGTGAGTAGATGCATGAATGGATGGATGGTAGATGAAGGAATGGTTGGATGGTAAATAGATGATGGATGGATGGATGGTAGATGGGTAGATAAATTAATAAAATAATAAACTGGAGCCTAAATAAAAGGAAATTAGAATAGTAAAGGGATTTCTTTCTTCCAAGAGGAATCCCAGCATCTCCTCTTCTCTTCTAAAGGAAAGTACTGACTTCATGGTCCACCTCAATAATCTACGGGAGAAAGTACCACACTGGATCTTGTGTCATCAACGAAAAACAGAACTCTTCAGAAGAAGCCACACTTGGTTGTTTGTGTTTTATTCAATTCCCCAGAGTGGCCTACCTGGTACTGTGGCAGGGATCTTAAAAATCACATACTTTGTCTTCCCCTTTTCCACAATGGATGTGCCCATGTTTAGAACATTTCCAGCCTCATCATAATGGGGATGTGACGTTGCCAGATTTACCGCCACGTATTTACGATAATCAACCTGCAAGATATGACACCTCCTGTTTTTTAAAGTATTTACGATAATCAACCTGCAAGATATGACATCATCTGGTTTTTCAAAGGAGAAAGGTTGAAGTCCTATGAAAACGTGACTGATTCTAGGTTCAGAGAGATGAGGGATATTTTTGCACTCTGTTGATCTGAAAACGATACAGAATTTGCTTTTAAAGAAGACTTTCACTCTTGTGACCTTATACAACCTCACATGGGGATTTGAGGGACTCAGACAGCTAATAGGTTGCAGGGGAGTTAGGGAGCTGGTGTGCTTCTGTGGCTATCGTTCCAATCCTGTTGCCTGACCTTGCTGGAATCCTCAACATGGAAACAAGATTCCTCACTGCAGAAAGCTCTGAGCAATGACCTGGGCAGAGAGGTAGCCTTCGAGCTAATCTTGGCCACAGTTCTGTCATTCTGGCTTAAATTCTGCCCTTTTGCATTGCACAGAAGCATAAATCTCTAGGCCTCTCTTAGACGATTATTCTGGGAATGGAGAGGTTACAAAAACATTTGGTCAAAGTGAAGTTTGATCAACGAGCTGAATAATGACCCTCACTCTGCAGTCCACAGCTGCAGAATGATGGAGTGGCCGCAGACCAACCGTCTGCGCTTCCTCCCCTAGAAAAACACAACCTCCAGCCCAGAGTCAGATAACTCCTTTCTCTTCCAGCATTTCCTCTCTGTAGCCCTGTGGAAAGCATCATCAGTTGGACCGATGCCGTCTAGCTTAAAAGGAGCTGGACATAATTTCACAGCTAAGAAAAGCCTCATCTCTTTAACAGATCGTTAAAACGTATTGCAGAGACATCGGAATTTTGAACAGCCAGCTGGAGAAAATTGAAAGTGGGTCTATTGATTCCCACCAAAATGTTGACTTGATTCTTCCCAGGAAAGGTATGTGCTTGGGCACTGATTTTTGTGCCCTAGCTTTTTGCCTAATGCCTCCCTCTTCAGGTCAATAGAAGGTAGGATTGCTGAGAATCGCAGGCATTTCAACAGTCATTCATTCAAATTCTCAGTGAACTCCCTCAGTGCCAAGAATTATGAACAGAGTTATGGGTTGAATTGTGTCTTGCAAAAAAGATAGGTTGAAGTCCTCACCTTGGGTACCTGTGAATGTGACCTTACTTGGAAATAAGGTCTTTATAGATGTCATTAAGTTAAGATGAGGTCATACTGCACTGGGGTGGGCCCTAATGCAATGACTTGTGTCTCTATAAAAGGCAGAACATGGTTGGGTGCAATGGCTCACGCCTGTAATCATGAGGGCCAATCATGAGGTCAGGAGATCAAGACCAGCCTGGCTAACACGGTGAAACCCCATCTGTACCAAAAATACAAAAAATTAGTGAAGTGTGGTGGCACGTGCCTGTAGTCCCAGCTACTCAGGAGGCTGAGGCAGAAGAATCGCTTGAACCCAGGAGGCGGAGGTTGCAGTGAGCTGAGATCGCACCACTGCACTCCAGTCTGGGCGACAGAGCAAGACACTTTTTCAAAAAAAAAAAAAAAAAAAAGGCAGAACATTTGGACACATAGCCCCATAAGGAGAGGCAGTGTGAAGACTGAGGCAGAGGCTGGAGGGATGCATCTACAAGCTGAGGAACACCAGGGGTTGCCGGCAACCGCTAGAAGCCAGGAAGGGGCCAGGGAGGACCCTCCTCTAGAGTCTTCAGAGAGAGCATGGCCGGGCTGACACCTTGGTTTCAGACTTTTAACCTCCAGAACTGTGAGAGAGTAAATTTCTGTTTTTTTATTTGTTTGTCTTGTTTTTTTTTTTTTTTTTTTTGTTTTTGTTTGAGACAGAGTCTCACTCTGTCATGCAGGCTGGAGTGCAGTGGTGCAATCTGGGCTCACTGCAACCTCCCCCTCCTGAGTTCAAGCGATTCTCCTGCCTCAGCCTCAGAGTAGCTGGGATTACAGGCACATGCCACCACGCCTGGCTAATTTTTGTATTTTTGGTAGAGATGGGGTTTCACCATGTTGGCCAGGCTGGTCTCAAACTCCTGACCTCAGGTGATCTGCCCACCTTGACCTCCCAAAGTGCTGGAATTACAGGTGTAGGTCACCACACCCAGCCAATTTCTGTTGTTTAAAGCAATCTTTTTTGTAGGACTTGGTTACATCAGCCCCAGGAAACTGATACAGACACGAAGATAAAAACAACACAGTCCCTGCCTAGCATCTAGCAGTAAGTGTGGCGCTAGGGCACGGGATCCAACGGTGTTAGAGGAGGGGCTCCCCTGGTAAGCTGCTTGCAGGCTGAGCAACCTCACCCCGGCCGTCGCCGACTCTCCCTTTCTTGAGTCAGGAAGTGATGCTGGTTACATATGTGTTGATACCTTCTCCAGGGTTTCCAGAGTCTGTGGGTTGATTTTCCTGATGTAATTGGTCTCTGAGGTCGCGTAGAAGTCTTCTCCGCACTTCATGATGTTGATCAGGCAGTTGTCGGTGAAATCGGGGATGGTGTGAGACAAGTAGGAGAAAGCTCTGGGGAGAAAAGCAAATCAACAGAGTCAGTGGCTATGTCCACCCAGCCAGAGAAGTCTATCCTTGATGGCTTTAGTTTTCCTACCACTTAAAAATGCTTTACTTCGGCCGGGTGCCTGTAATCCCAGCACTGTGGGAGGCCGAGGCAGGTGGATCACGAGGTCAGGAGATTGAGACCATCCTGGCCAACACGGTGAAACCCCGTCTGTACTAAAAAATACAAAAAATCAGCCGGGCGTGGTGGCAGGCGCCTGTAGTCCCAGCTACTCGGGAGGCTGAGGCAGGAGAATGGCGTGAACCCGGGAGGCGGAGCTTGCAGTGAACCGAGATGGCGCCACTACACTCCAGCCTGGGCGAAAGAGCGAGACTCTGTCTCAAAGAAAAAAAAAAAATGCTTTACTTCAACTAAGGAAGAAAAAGCAACTGGGTCCCAATGGGTCACCTGAGGAATCCTAAGAACTCAGACACCCCAAAGACACCTCCACGTTGAGTTAGCTAAGAAATGAGTCGGCCGGAATGCCATGGTCACCAGCTGATCCTCCTGGGCTCCCCAAAACCCAAAGGTCTCTAACATCAGAGCCAGCAAGACATACTGTTCCAAAGTATGTCAAGAAGCTCTACGGAAATCGTATATGAACCCGTAACGGCTCCCAAAGCCTAACAACGTAGCTGATATCTGCTTTGCCAGGAATGTGAGTCCACACTGGTTATCTCGAATTTATCCAGGAAATTAGTTTTTAATTTAAAAAGGAAAACAAACTAATTATGAGTTAAGAACACATAGCTCATTTGATCAGAAGGTATACTCAAAGCAAGAAGAAAGAAAAACCAGAGGGGTTTATGGGTGATGAAATTGGCAAATCCTGTATCGGTGTATTGGGGAGTGCTCCTCCTACTGGCAAACACTGGAACAAAAAGGAGGCTTGGTTCCAGGACCTCCAGGTCGTGGTTTCAAATTCGTGATCCTGCTATCTCCCCTACCAGGTAAGTATGGTGGTTTTAAATTCCTTTGCTCTTTCCTCCTCCTTTCTCACTGGCTCCTACTCCACACCTCCTATTTGCAAATGTGAATTCAGTGCTTGCTCTGAGCTAGCCCTAGAGCTGGATACTGGAATGGGAGAGATGACTTCAGTTCTCAAAAAAGCAGAAGCAATCTTCCATCTCTGGGCCAGTCCACCCTTCAACTCTTTCATAACTCTTCTACATCTAGAGAGTTTCAGAAAGAAGATACTGATGGCAGGCCTGATTCCCTGGCCAAGAATTTAACTGTCAGATATGTAACACATTCATATGGATACTAATCCAGATGATTTAAAATGTATACAGTGGCCAGGCGCAGTGGCTCATGCCTGTAATCCTAGCACTTTGGGATGCCAAGGTGGGTGGATCACCTAAGATCAGGAGTTCAAGACCAGCCTGATCAACATGGTGAAACCCCGTCTCTACTGAAAATATAAAAATTAGCCGGGCGTGGTGGTGGGTGCCTGTAATCCCAGCTACTTGGGAGGCTGAGGCAGGAGAATCACTTGAACCTGGGGGGCAGAGGTTGCGGTGAACTGAGATTGCGCCATTGCACTCCAGCTTGGACAAGAAGAGTGAAACTCCATCTTAAATAAATAAATAAATGAATAAAATGAAATGAAATGAAATAAAATATATACAGCAAAAAATCTCTCCCTCTCCTCAACATCCATCTGCCCCTGTGCATCCTTTCCTAGTTTCTTTATGCATGTACAAGCAAAATTTAATTTAGATTTCTTACTGCTTTTTCACACAAAGTACAGCTTATAACATGCTCTTTCTACACCTTCCTTTTTTTTTTTTTTTCCACTTAGTCTATCTTGGAAAAGCTTCTGTAGAGTGCAAAGAGAACATCCTCATTCCTTTTTACTTCTACATGGCATTTTCTCGTACAGTTTTACTGTTACGGATTTAACCAGTCCTCTTTTAATGAACATTTGGGTTGTTTTCAGCTACTTGTTATAACAAATGATGCAGCCATAAATGACAAATACCTGGTGCATGTGTCATTTTCTATGCAAGTAAGCAGATCTCTAGGCTGAAGGGAATACGCATTTATAATTTTGACAGATGATTCCAAATCGCTTTCCCACCAGCCATGTGGGAGGGCTTCTAATAATTTGTCAAATGCTCTTAGTCTCTCTGGCAATCAGTGATCAAGAACTGTGTAGCACCTCTGGTTAAAGGGCAGTCATGTGGAGTTTTCATCTACCCTAAAGAGAATTGTCAGAGGAGCAAATGCTGGTTATTTCAGCCATCAAGGATAGCAAAAAGCATGAAATTTGCTCAGATTTAAAATAGGCAGTTACTTGGAAAATATGTTTTTGCAGGGGTCCGGATAGGCCATTGTTCCAAACTCAGACACCACAATCCTGTTTGCCTCAATATTGGTGTTGTAGGTATCGCTTCTCAGGTATTTGCTCCTGTAATAGACTTCACCTGCAAGAGAAGAACCAGCATAATCTCAGGCTGACGCCTTCACAGGGCTTTAAAATCAATGTCAGTCCTTGTATGGGTTTTACTGGGAGAAGAAGGTGGTTATTTCACTAGGACAAGCTCCTTTAGTACACAGGGCCGATACAATTCGCATTTTAAATATAATTTTATTTATTATTATTATTTTTTTGAGTTTTGCTCTTGTTGCCCAGGCTGGAATATAATGGTGCGATCTCGGCTCACTGCAACCTCCGCCTCCTGGGTTCAAGTGATTCTCCTGACTCAGCCTCCTGAGTGGCTAGGATTATAGGCATGCGCCACCACGACCAGCAAATTTTTGTATTTTTAGTAGAGATGGGGTTTCACCACGTTGGCCAGGCTAGTCTTGAACTCCTGACCTCAGGTGATCCACCCGCCTCAGCCTCCCAAAGTGCTGAAATTACAAGCGTGAGCCACCATGCCCGGCCTGGAATATAATTTTAGACACACATTTTCTCACTCCTGACTCACAACAGTATGGCTGGATAAGTATGTGTTACGGTTTGAATGTTTTGTTCCTTGCAAATCTCATGTTGAAGCCTGTGATGTTGCAGGTGGGCCTAGGAGGAGGTGTCTGGGTGATGGGGGTGGGTCCCTCATGAATGGCTTAGTGTTGTTCTGGTGATGAGTGAGTTCTCACTCTATTAGTTCATGCAACATCTGGTTGTTTAAAAGATCCCTCCCTCCTCTCTCTCTCTCTCTTTCACCATGTGACATGCCTGCTCCCCCTTTGCCTTCTGCCATGAGCCAAAGCTTTTTGAGGCCCTCGCCAGAAACCAAACAGATGCTGGTGGCTTGCTTCCTGTACAGCCTGCAGAACCGTGAGCCAAATAAACCTCTTTTCTTTATAAATTACCCGGTCTTGGGTATTCCTTTATAGCAATGCAAAATGTGATAATGCAAAATATGTCAATGCAAAATATGTCTGTTCTTAGCTCCATTTTCCATAGGAAGGAACTCAGGCTCAGAAACATTCTTTCACCTTGCCCAGGGTCACCCATCTGAGAGTGCTGACCAGAATCAGTCATCCCTTCCACCCTGTTTGTGTCCCTCCAGGGAAGGAGCAGAGCTGGAGGACTAATCTAGAAGGCTGCATATGTGGGGTGGTTTTCCCCAGGGCCCCGTTCAGTCCTGGGAGCGCTGCCTCCAGAAGCCCAGTTGATCACTTCAGTCTCCCTGGAGTAACGTTTGATATTGAACACAACCAGGAGGTGACCTGATGCCCAATCCTGCATAGCAATAGAGGGTCAGACCTGTGTTCAATGTCTAATTCATCCAAATTCTGCAGAGAGTCTAACTCATGGCATAAATCTCTTGACCAGTCCATTGAGACCAACCTCAAAATATACCAGATGGTTCTAGACCCGTGTTAGTTTTCTACGGCTGCTGTAACGACTTACCCCTCACTTAGTGGCTTCACACAACATACAGTCATTATCTCAGAGTTTGGAAGAAAGTCTGAAATGGGGATTACAGAGCTAAAATCAAGGTGTCCACAGGGCTAGTTCCTTTTGGAGGCTCCAGGGGAGGTCTGTTCCTTGATTTTTCTAGCTTTGAGAAGCTGCTGCCTTCCCTGGTCATGGCTGCGTCACTGTGACCCCTGTCTCCTGTCCCGGTATCACATCTCCTCTGAGGCTGACGCTCCTGCTTCTCTCTTGAGATTACACTGGGCCCATCCCTAATGTCAGATCACCTCCCCCATCTCAAGATCCTTCATCTAATCACATCTACAAAGTCTCTCTCTTTTTTTTTTTTTTTTTGAGATGGAGTCTCACTCTGTCACCCAGGCTGGAGTGCAATGGTGGAATCTTGGCTCACTGCAAGCTCAGCCTCTCTGGTTCAAAAGATTCTCCTGCCTCAGCCTCCCCGAGTAGCTGGTATTACAGGCATGTGCCACCATGCCCAGCTAATTTTTAAAATATTTTTAGTAGAGACAGGGTTTTGCCATGTTGGTCAGACTGGTCTCGAACTCCTGACCACAGGAGACCCACCTGCCTCGGCCTCCCAAAGTGCTGGGATTACAGGCGTTTGCCTAGCCTGCGAAGTTTCTTTTGCTATGTAAAATAACACATCTAGGCCAGGTGCGGTGGCTCACGCCTGTAATCCCAGCACTTTGGGAGGCCAAAGTGGGTGGATCACCTGAGGTCAGGAGTTTGAGACCAGCCTGGCCAACATGGTGAAACCCCATCTCTACTAAAAATGCAAAAATTAGCTGGGTGTGGTGGCACACCCTTGTAATCCCAGCTACTCAGGAGGCTGAGGAGACAGAATTGCCTGAACCCAAGAGGCAGAGGCTGCAGTGAGCCGAGATCGCGCCACTGCCCTATAGCCTGGACGACAGAGCGAGACCCCGTCTCAAAAAACAAATAAACAAAAAAACGCAACAACAACAAAAAACCCACATCCATGGATTCCTCCTGGGGCAGGGGTGAGAGGAGGTCCTTCCCAGCTGGGAATAAGTCAGGAGAAGCTTCAGGGAGGAGGTGGTGCATGAAACAGCTCTTAAAGGATGAGTAGAATTTGACTGCAATATGCTGGGGAGAGAGGGCAGAGCTGTCCTGTTCACCCGCTAAGAGGTCTGTAAGCAAAGGCCTGGAGTTGGGAAAATGCAGAACCCTTCTTGCAGGCGTTGAGTTCGGCTGGGCTGGAACATTAGAGAGGGATTTGGAGGACAGGAGTGAAATGAAATTGGGAAATGGGTTGAGGGGTCCTACTAGGTTTGCAGGCCTGATAACTTTTTTTTTTTCTTTTTTTGAGATGGAGTCACTCTGTCGCCCAGGCTGGAGTCCAGTGGTACGATCTTGGCTCACTGTAACCTCCACGTCTCAGGTTCGAACGATTCTCCTGCCTCAGCTTCCCAAATAGCTGGGACTACAGGCATGTGCCACCATGTCCGACTAATTTTTGTATTTTTAGTAGAGACGAGGTTTTACTCTGTTGGCCGGGCTGGTCTCAAACTCCTAAGCTCGGGTGAACTGCCTGCCTCGGCCTCCCAAAGTGCTGGGATTACAGGCATGAACCACCGCACCAGCCCTGAGAACTTTATTTCCTGGGCAGTTTGAAACCTCGGGGAGGGGCCTGAAAGAGGCAGTGTTTTATTTTATTTTGCTGTTAATTCGCAAATGACATTAAGATTTTTTCCTTTTACAGAACGCATTTCATTTTCGTGGTATAGTATGTGCTTCCAGTGTTGCTACAATTACAACACACGGAAAAGCCAAGCCTGGGACACAGTGACATTGCATTCCAATAAGCAAAAAGTTGACCTCAGAAACGCCCATCATATGTTGACTGCCACAGGATGGGCTTAGAGGAGAAAACATGTTTCCAAGAAATTCTCGCCCAGTGCCTTTTGATATCTTAGGAAAAGGAAACTAGTACTAACAGCCAGCATCGATTGAGCACCAGCATGCTAAACACTGTGCTGGGCACTTGATGTGTGTTATCTGGTTTCATACTCACAACACTGGAAGCAAGTAGAATACTCCAACCAGAAATGCATTCGCTGGAAAAAAAAAAAAATCGGCCATGCGCAGTGCCTCATGCCTGTAATCCTAGCAATTTGGGAGGTAGAGGCAGGTGGATCATTTGAGGTCAGGAGTTCAAGACCAGCCTGGCCAACATGGGGAAACTCCATCTCTACTAAAAATACAAAAAAAATTAGCCGGGGTACTGGGCACCTGTGGTCCCAGCTACTCGGGAGGTTCAATTGCTTGAACCTGGGAGGCGGAGCTTGCAGTGAGCCGAAATCGTGCCACTGAAGTCCAGCCTGGGCAACAGAGCGAGACTCAATGTCAAAGATAAATAAATAAATAAATAAAAAGAAAGAAAGAAAGGCTGGGCATGGTGGCTCACTCCTATAATCCCAGCACTTTGGGAGGCTGAGGCAGGCGGATCACAAGGTCAGGAGTTTGAGACCAGCCTGGCCTATACGGTGAAACCCTGTCTCTACTAAAAATACAAAAATTAGCTGGGTGTGGTGGGAGGCACCTGTAGTCCCAGCTACCAGCTACTTGGGAGGCTGAGGCAGGAGAATCGCTCGAACCCAGGAGGCAGAGGTTGCAGTGAGCTGAGATCACGCCACTGCACTCCAGCCTGGGCAACAGAGCGAGACTCCATCTCAAAAAAATAAAAAATAAAAAAAAATAACATAATGTCATTTGTTAATTAATAGCAAAATAAAGCAAGATCTAAACAGTGCTTAAAGGTTCCAACTTTTTTACCAAATGAAGTACAAAGGGCTTGGGTACTCACAGCCCTGCAGACTTATTTCCCAGCTAATAAAATTGAGGCACAGAGAGGTTAAGCAGCTTGTGTTAAGCCACACAGCTAGCGAGTGGTAATCTGGAGTCGAAGGCCAGCAATGGGCATCTAAAGCTGGCCCTCTTAACCAAGATCCTAACACAGCAAGAACAATCAGTTTGAGTGTTCTGTCTGCACCTTCCAATTAAAATCACTCCTACAGAGATGTGCAGCTTGATGACATCCAGCCTGCTGAGGTTTCACAAAGGGGAGCTACCCACGCAAACTACATCCTGATCAAGAAACAGGACCTGGGGCCAGGTGCAATGGCTCATGCCTGTAATCCCAGCAGTTTGAGAGGCCCAGAGGGGAGGATCGCTTGAGCCCAGGAGTTCAAGACTACTTGGGCAGCATGGCGAGACCCCATCTCTACAAATAATACAAAAATCAGATGGGTATGGTAGTCCCAGCTGTTCAGGAGGCTGAGGCGGGAGGATCACTTGAGCCTGGGAGGTCAAGGCTACAGTGAGCCAAGATCGCACTACTGCACTTCAGCCTGGGCAACAGAGCAAGACCCTGCCTCAAAAAGAGAAACAGGACCAGAGCAGCCCCCTGAACGCTAGCCTCATATATCCACCTTGTCACTAACCTCTTCCCCCTCCAGGGTAACCGCTATCTTGACTTTGAAGAGTTTCAACTTGTTTTGCCCTTGGGGTTGTGTTTCCATGTCCATTGCCAAAGGATTTGAATGTACATTCCAGTGGCAATGACTCCCACCTGTGCACTTGGATGGACATAATGACAATAATAGTAACACTAATTATAAGAAAATTGAGGGGAGGCGTGGTGGCTCAGGCTTGTTGTCCTGGCACATAAAAAGGTGAGGCTAGGTGTTCGAGATCAGCCTGGGCAATGTAGGAAGCCCTTATCTATTAAAAAAAAAAAAATGCTTGGTGTGGTGGCTTATGCCTGTAATCCCAGCACTTTGGGAGGCCAAGATGGGCGGATCGTCTGAGGTCAGGAGTTCGAGACCAGCCTGGTCAACATGGTGAAACCCTGTCTCTACTAAAAATACAAAAAAAAAAAAAAAAAAAAAAAAAAATTAGCCGGGCGTGGTGGCACGCACCCATAGTCCCAGCTACTCAGGAGGCTGAGGCAGGAGAATTGCTTGAACCCAGGAGGCAGAGGTTGCAGTGAGCTGAGACTGTGCCATTGAACTCCTGCCTGGGTGACAGAGGGAGACTCTATCTCAAAGAAAAAAATATACAATAAAATAAAATTGAGGGAGATCATGAAAGACCTGCTAGTTCCTCCTCCAGTCTTCAGGAGGTTATTTGTGTTCCTAAGAGACAATCATCTAGCCTTTATGCAAACATCTTTTCAGGGGTGGTTACTGTGTGAATAAGTGTCACTGAGATATTTCTTTCTCCTTTCTTTGTGAGACAGGGTCTTGCTGTCACCAGGCTAAGGGCAGTGGCGCAATTACAGCTCACTGCAGCCTCAATCTCCCAGGCTCGAGTGATCCTCCCACCTCAGTTTCCCAAGTAACTGGGACTATAGGTGCGTGCTACCATGCCTGGCTAATTTTTTATTTTTTGTAGAGATGGGATCTTGCTATATTGCCTAGGCTGGTCTTGAACTCCTGGACTCAAGCGATCCTCCCGCCTTGGCATCCTGAAGTGCTGGGATTACAAGTGTGAGGCACGGTGCCCAGCCTCACTGAGATATTTCTGTAGGGGGAGATTTATTCCTGGGCAGCAGAAAGAAATATGGAGGAACGGTTAGGAGCCTGAGCTTTGGGGCTGACCAGGCCCTGAGTTCATGCTTTCAACCATTATTTATTAACTGCCCTGATGGGCCAGGAGTGAAAATATAACAATGAGCAGAATGGCCAGGATTCCTGTTGCTAAGGAGGCTCAATCTCCACATGGATATGAATCCTGGCTTCATCATGTACCAACCATGCACTTGACCTTGGTAACAGTCAAGAATCTGTCCCCTCCACTATGACATGAGGATCGTGACACAGTCCTTGCAGAGTCACGTGACATTTGAGGCTTGCAAAGCACTGTGCACATAGTAGGTGCTCAAGAAAAGCTGCGTAGAGTATTGAGATGCAGTAGACAGAGTGATCAAGGCTTCGGCTCTAGGTTTCATCTCATCCAGGTTGGGTGACCTTGGGCAGGTCTCTTAATCTCATCGAGCCTCAGTCTCCTTGACTGGAAGCTGGGAATCACATAGTCCTCCCCTTCTAGGTGGGCAGTTTTATTATCTTTATTTTTTATATTTGAGACAACATCTTGCTCCGTCACCCAGGCTGGAGTGCAGTAGTGCGATCTCGGCTCACTGCAACTTCCACCTCCTGGGTTCAAGCAGTTCTCCTGCCTCAGCATCCTGAGTAGGTGGCATGACAGGTGCCTGCCACCATGCCTGGCTAATATTTGTATTTTTACTAGAGAGGGGGTTTCACCATGTTGGCCAGGATGGTCTTGAACTCCTGACCTCAAGTGGTGAGGTGGGCAGTTTTAAATGAGATGTGGTAATGTAAGGGGTCCTGCGCATTGACTCCCAGCATGCACTTCGTAAACAAAGGCTGTTGAAACTGCATTGTCCAAGAAAATCCGGGTGGCAGGCGGACTCATCTGTGGGTGAGCAAGGCCACACATACTCACTGGTCCTCAGCTACATGCTACATGGAGACAGAGGCCCACTTAAGGCCACCCTGATCTCCCCTTTGAGCCAGCCTGTCTTTCACTGGTTACTGTTGCTGGGAGTCACCACCCACAAGGCATTGGCTAAGGTGCTTGACCTGAAATGTTGAATTATGTTCACTTGAAATATTGGCTGGGTGCTGTGGCTCACGCCTATAATCCCAGCACTTTGGGAGGCCGAGGCAGGTGGATCACCTGAGGTCAGGAGTTCAAGACCAGCCTGACCAACATGGTGAAACCCCGTCTCTACTGAAAATATAAAAATTAGCTGGGCATGGTGCCGGGTGTCTGTAATCCCAGCCACTCGGGAGGCTGAGGCAGGAGAATTGAGCCTGGGAGGTAGAGGTTGCAGTGAGCTGAGATCATGCCACCGCAATCCAGCCTGGGTGACAGAGCAAGTCTCCATCTCAAAAAACAAAACAAAACAAAACAAAACAAAAACACACACCCACACACACAAGAAAAGAAAAAAAAAGAAAGAAAGAAATATAAACACCCAGGCTGGGTAGTGAACAGGCTGCCCATTTCCTATAAACATCCAGCCCCAGAGCATGGAGTGCCTGGTGACCACAGGAAAGTAGGTGTCTGGAATTACTCAAGGCTGACCCTGGACTTTGAGGTTGAGATTACAGAAGGAGCCTCCATGCATTCCCCAGCAGTCTGCTTTCAGGAGAGCCCAATTAGCCACATTCCTTCTGAAGGGACATACGCCAACAGACGTGCTCCTGCCTGGGATCTTCTAGAACTAGGTCAAGTTTGATATTTTGGGGAAGAAGGGAAGATATAGATATATATACACACACACACACACATATATGTGTGTGTGTGTGTGTGCGTGTGTGTGTGTGTGTGGGTATATATAAAAGAAACTTTCCAATGTTCAAATCCTGGTGGGACAATGACTTTGCCTGTTAATTTTATCGGAAAATTAACAGATATCATTAATGAGGGAGACTTGGAATCACTCATTTCTATGCGTGCTTTGTAAAAACTTTTTGCTTTGAAATAATTTTAGATGTACAGAAAGGAGTGTTCTTGTACCCTTCACCCAGCTTCTCCCTCTGTACTCTGCTTTTTTTGTTCATATCTTTGTTATTTTTTACATGTTTTTCTTTTTTAATTTTTTTTAGATGAAGTCTCACTCTGTCACCCAGGATGGAGTGCAGAGGTGTGATCTCGGCTCACTGCAGCCTCTGCCTCCAAGGCTCAAGTGATCCTCCTGCCTCAGTCTCCTAAGATGCTGGGACTATAGGTGCATACCACCACGCCTGGATAACTTTTTGATTTTCTGGTAGGTACCAGGTCTCACTATGTTACCCAGGCTTGTCTTGAACTCCTGGGCTCAAGGGATCCTCCCACCTCAGCCTCTAAAAGTGCTGGGATTATAGGCATGAACCACAACCTCTGGTCCCTCTTTGTTTTTTTTTTAGAGCATTAATTTCTACTGGCCTCTGCTGAAGGCCACAAGCTATTTTCTGCCTTTTTGTTTCTTGCTCCAAAGTCTTTTCTCTAAGTTAGATGTTTGGTCTTAAGCACCTAACCTGCATCTACACTGGAATCACCTGGGTGCTTTAAAAAGGTACAGAAGGCTATTCACTAGCCCATGGTTCTTCTGATTATTAGTATTAATAACATGGTTTTGGTTAGGCCTGGGCAGCCAGGCTAGAGGCCCATTGTGGAGGGATTGTCAAACCTCAGAGGGCTCGGGGTCACCTGGGAAGTGTGTTAGAAACACAAACGCTATCTTTGAGGACTATGATGCACTCAAGCCCTGTGCAGCTTTCAGGATTCAAAGCTTTACTGAATGGCCAGACGCGGTGGCTCACACTTGTCATCCCAGCACTTTGGAAGGCCCAGGCAAGTGGATCACCTGAGGTCAGGAGGTCGAGACCAACCTGGCCAACATGGCGAGACCCTATCTCTACTAAAAATACAAAAATTAGCTGGGCATGGTGGCTCATGCCTGTAATCCTAGCTACTCCAGAGGCCGAGGCACGAGAATCGCTTGAACCTGGGAGGCAGAGCCTGCAGTGAGCTGAGATCGTGCCACTGTACTCCAGCCTGGGCAACACAGTGAGACTCCATCTCAAAAAAAAAAAAAAAAAAAAGCTTTATTGAGAAAGGAGGCACACAAACCACTTTTTGAGAGTTATTGGCTTTGTTTTCAGCTTATCAGGGACCCCAACTTCCCCACGTGTTCTCTTCTGAACCCGCTAGAGTGGAACTGAACATTTCTGGTGTATCTTCCCACCATTAGACAATGGGGTGCCACGGAGAGTCCTAGAGGAGAGGAGAGATGAAGCCAGGCTATGCCACACCAGCATTGGCAAGCTGGCAGCACTGAGAGGATTGGGATGGAGAGATGGGGAGGCAGGAGCTGGTGGGAAGGGGAAACAGGGCTGAATTGCACAATGGTTAGGACTTGGGATTCTGAAGTTAGA
The DNA here is from genome assembly GCF_000001405.40 of Homo sapiens. NCBI lineage: Eukaryota > Metazoa > Chordata > Mammalia > Primates > Hominidae > Homo > Homo sapiens. The sequence continues at coordinate 81,250,245 of NC_000016.10, read as the reverse complement.
GAGTATTGCGTCTATGTCTGAGCTTTACCAACTCTTAGCTGTGTGCTTCTGGGTAAGTGACTTGGCCTCTCTGGGACTTCATTCCTTATCTCTAAAACTGTGGTAGTCCCCAGGCTATCCTCCTCAGGAGTGACGGGGAGGGCTGAGTTGTGGATGGACATGAAACACTTGGGGCAGGGCCCAGCAAACCCTCTTTGTAGTAAATATTGAAGAGTTTGACTGGGAAAGTATTGCCTCTGTCTACCAAAACAATGACTGCCTCACTGTACCATCTCAGCTCCATATACAGTTTCCAAGCGCCCCTCTGGGCCAGGCCCCATGCTAGATGATGAAGACACCACAATTCAGGCAGGCTCCCCGCACTCTGGGCCTTCCCACCCTATGCCACAGATTGGCAAAATGATGCCTGCCAAGCAGAATGGGGCATGAACCCTCAGACGCTGGCCTAGGTCTAAGAGAAAGATGGAGGGAAAACAAATCATTGGGTGTAATTCCTGGGTTTCCTATTTTCCCAGCCAATGCCAGATTGTGAATAAAACTGACTCGGCCGGGCGCGGTGGCTCACGCCTGTAATCCCAGCACTTTGGGAGGCCCATGCTGGTGAATCACCTGAGGTCAGGAGTTCGAGACCGGCCTGGCCAACATGATGAAACCCCCATCTCTACTAAAAATACAAAAAAACCTAGCCGGGGCCGGGCACAGTGGCTCACACCTGTAATCCCAGCATTTTGGGAGGCCGAGGCGGTCAGATCACGAGGTCAGGAGATCAAGACCATCCTGGCTAACACGGTGAAACCCCGTCTCTACTAAAAATACAAAAAATTAGCCAGGCGTGGTGGTGGGAGCCTGTAGTCCCAGCTACTCGGGAGGCTGACACAGGAGAATGGCGTGAACCCGGGAGGTGGAGTTTGCAATGAGCCGAGATCGTGCCACTGCACTCCAGCCTGGGTGACAGAGCCAGACTCTGTCTCAAAAAAAGAAAAAAAAACTAGCCAGATGTGGTGGCATGTGCCTGTAATCCTAGCTACGCCGGAGGCTGAGACATGAGAATCACTTGAACCTGGAAGGCGAAGGTTGCAGTGAGCCGAGATTGCGCCACCACACTCCAACCTGGGTAACGGAGTGAGACTCCATCTCAAAAAAAAAAAAAAAAGAAAGAAAGAGACCATGGAGGAGCTGGCAGCCTGGGGAAGCAAGGCCTCATGGAAGGAAAACCACTGGTGCTTTTTTTCTTGAGACGGAGTCTCACTGTGTCACCCAGGCTGGAGTGCAGTGGCATGATCTCAACTCACCACAGCCTCTGCCTCTTGAGTTCAAGCAATTATCCTATCTCAGCCTCCCAAGTAGCTGGGATTACAGTTGCCTGCCACCACATCCGGCTAATTTTTGTATTTTTAGTAGAGATAGGATTTTCCCATGTTGGCCAGGCTGGTCTTGAACTCCCGACTTCAGGTGATCTGCCCACCTTGGCTCCCCAAAGTGCTGGGATTACAGGCGTGAGCCACCGCGCCCGGCCACCACTGGTGCATTTACCTTCTATGTTCCTCATCCAGAACAGTATTTATTTCCAAGAATCATTGGGAACTTCTGTTTAGAAAAGAAAGGAATCATTAAGATTTAGTGCTGTCAGCAAAATATGGAACCACCCATTCTGTAGCTGAGTCACAGTAAAATCTGCAAGGTATTGCAGACTCAGAGCTCGCGCTTTTCACCCATCGTGTCTCTATTCATGTGTAAATGTTAGAGCAAGGCACTGGCATAGAGTACACATTCAAAAAATAATTGCTGACTAGCTCAAAAGAAATTAATAGTTATATAATTTTTTTTTTTTTTTTTTTTTGTGAGAGGGAGCCTCGCTCTTGTTGCCCAGGCTGGAGTGCAATGGTGCAATCTCAGCTCACTGCAACCGCTGCCTCCCGAGTTCAAGCGATTCTCCTGTCTCAGCCTCCCAAGTAGCTGGGATTACAGGTGCTCACCACAACGCTCAGCTAATTTTTTGTATTTTTAGTAGAGACGGGGTTTCACCATGTTGGCCAGGCTGGTCTCGAACTCCTGATCTCAGGTGATCCACCCGCCTCGGCCTCCCAAAGTGCTGGGAATACAGGTGTGAGCCATCGCGACTGGCCAGTAGTTATATGAAATTAAGAACAAATGCTTATTGAGCAGGTGTTGTGCACGAGACATAATACAGAGCTGTTTACACATTCGTTTAGATCTAATAGCAGCTCCATGAGATACGCTATTGATATGTCCATTTTACAGAAGAGACTGAGACAGACAGGGTCAGTACCTTGGCCAAAGTTACACAGTTTAGGTGCATGTTAGCTAGGATGGTGGAGCTGGGATTCAAAGCCACAGATAGTGGTTTTATTTTTATGTTTAATTATTTTTTTAAAATAAATTAAAATAGAAATGGGATGGGCCGGGCGTGGTGGCTCATGCCTGTAACCCCAGCACTTTGGGAGGCCGAGGTGGGCAGATCACCTGAGGTTGGAAGTTCGAGAACAGCCTGACCAACATGGAGAAACCCCATCTGTACTAAAAATACAAAATTAGCTGAGTATGGTGGCGCATCCCTGTAATCCCAGCTACTCGGGAGGCTGAGGCAGGAGAATTACTTGAACCCAGGAAGTGGAGGCTGTGGTGAGCTGAGATTGCACCATTGCACACCAGCCTGGGCAACAAGAGCGAAACTCTGTCTCAAAAACATAAATAAAAATAAAAATAAAAAATAAAATAAAATAAAATAGAAATGGGGTCTCACTATGTTGCACAGATTGGTCTGGAACTCCTGGGATCAAGCAACACTCCTGCCTCCGCCTCTCAAGGTGTTGGGATTACAGGCATGAGCCACTGTGCCTGGTCAATGGTGATTTTTAATCTCTTAAGCATCTACCAGGTGTCAGGCCCTTGCTAGAACGTCCAATACTTCCAATGATCCCAACAGCTCTCCAGGGGAGGATGAACAAGCTCATTTTACTGATGAGGAAACTGAGGCTGAGAGACTTAACGTAATCCCAGTTTGACCACATTAGAACACAGGAATTAAAGAAAAATTTTGGAAAGCCTGGAGCATTTGGACACAAATCTGTCCACTGTGTGACCCGAAGCCCGCTAAATCCATCCTGGACCTCTTTAAGAACTCGGCTCTTGATTTTGTAGCATAAACTGGCTCAATGGCCAACAGCAAAGAATTTACATCCCACCTCATGAGCCAGACACCTGAACTCAGAATTCGCCTTATTTGTGATGCCCTATATTTATCCATTTCCCTTTCCACTCAGGGAGATCCCTCGGCTTATTGTGTAAGTGGTCTGGCTCTGTCTTGCTTAATGGGCAATATATGCAGCTTTGCTCTTTCCAGCTCTGTACTCTTCTTTTTTTTTTTTTTTTTTGAGACAAAGTCTGGCTCTGTCTCCCAGGCTGGAGTGCAGTGGCACAATTTCAGCTCACTGCAACCTCTGCTTCCTGGGTTCAAGCAATTCTCGTGCCTCAGCCTCCCTAGTAGCTGGGATTACAGGTGTGTGCCACTATGACCAGCTAATTTTTGTATTTTTGGTGGAGATGGGGTTTCGCTATGTTGGCCAGGTTGGTCTCAAACTCCCGACCCTGAATGATCTGCCTGCCTTGGCCTCCCAAAGTGATGGAATTACAGGCATGAGCCACTGCGCCCAGCTACCAGCTCTGTCCATTTCCTGTTTCAACTTTAGGCATGTCTGATTCCTGTACTCTTCCACCTGCTCTTGCCTACCTGATTGAGGATGTATATTATTTTGCAAGATTAACTATTTGAAAAAGAACCTTGGCCTCCTTTTTAGGAAAGTCTGTGCTTGCGGTTGGCTGAATAATGCACCCCTGACAAATATCTCCACATCCAAATCCCTAGAACCTGTTGAATGTGTGACCTGACATATCAAAATGGACTTTGTAGATGTGAATAAGGATTTTGAGATGGGAGATTATCTAGGGATTATCTGAGTGGATTCAATGTAATCACAAGGGTCCTTATAAGAGGGAGGCAGGAAAGTCAGTCAGAGGAGGAGGTGTGAGGATGGAAGGAGAGAGAGAGAGATTGCAAGACAAGATGCTCTGCTGCTGCTTTAAAGATAGAGATGGAGGCCGGGCGCAGTGGCTCATGCCTGTAATCCCAGCACTTTGGGAGCACGAGGTGGGCGGATCATCTGAGGTCAGGAGTTTGAGACCAAAAGTACAAAAATTAGCTGGGCATGGTGTCACATGCCTGTAATCCCAGCTACTCAGGAGGCTGAGGCAGGAGAATCACTGGAACCTGGGAGATGCAGGTTGCCGTGAGTCAAGATTGCACCATTGCACTCCAGCTTGGGCAACAAGAGCAAAACTCCGTCTCAGAGAAAAAAAAAAAAAAAAAAAAAAAAAAGACAGAGATGGAGCCACAAGTCAAGGAAAGCGGCTTCTAGAAGATAGAAAACGGAAGAACGTGGATATTTTTCCTAGAGCCTCCAGAACTGAATGTGGCCCTATGAACACCTTGATTTCAGTTCAGTGAGACCCGATTTAGACTTCTGACCTCCAATCCCTAAAAGAATAAATTTGTGCTGTTTTAAGGCACTGCATTTGGGGTCCTTTGCTGCAGCAGTGGCAGCACACTCGTGGGTGTTCTCACCGTCTCTGATGGTGAAGCTGTGGAGCAGGGCAAGGCCGTCGAACCAATGGTTGTATCTGGACTCCCCAACTGTGTGCATCCCAGGCCCATTGCGGAGCAGGGTTCCCTGCAGCCATGCTGGAATCTTGCCTGAGAAAAGAGAGAATGTTTAGTTTCCCGTTTCCACCTGCAAACCAAAATGCTGGAAGAAATGGTCATGGAAAGGAATTTGAGAGTTGTGGTCCCAGTACCACTCCTTGCATCTGTTCGTTTATTCTACAGTCATTTCCAGAAAGTGTATAATGTGTTGGGCAGTTGGCTAGCACTGAGGATACCAAGATGGAGACACTGTCCCTGTCCTCAAACTGCCTACTGACCATTAAGAGACAGATGAATAAACAGACACCCAAGATCCACTGTGGTCAAGGCAATGCTGGTTGTGTGTTGGCTCACGCCTGTAATCCCAGCACTTTGGGAAGCCTAGGTGGGTGGATCACCTGAGGTCAGGAGTTCAAGACCAGCCTGGCCAACATGATGAAATCCCACCTCTACTAAAAATACAAAACATTAGCTGGGCGTCATAGTGAGCGCCTGTAATCCCAGCTACTCGGGAGGCTGAGGCAGGAGAATCACTTGAACCCAGGAGGCAGAGGTTGCAGCGAGCCGAGATTGTACCACTGCACTAAAGTCTGGGCAACAAGAGCGAAACTCTGTGTCAAAAAAACCCCCCAAAAAAACATAGCTCATTGTGGTGGCATATGCCTGTAGTCCCAGCTGCTTGGGAGGTTGAGGTGGGAGGATCGCTTGAGCCTGGGAGCTCCAGGCTGCAGTGATCACACCACTCCACTCCAGCCTGGGCAACAGAGCAAGACCTTGTCTCAAAAAATTAAAAAAAAAAAAAAAAAAAGATAGGGGCAACGCTACAGACGTAGAAAAAGGTTCTTTGTGAAACAGAACAGCCCTCGGGTGGGCTGAGAGCAGGAGGGTGTGGTCAGCTTCCTAGAGGAGGCAACCTGGCTAAGTCTTGAGGGAGAGTAGGTATTCGCCTCACAAAGGCAAAAGGAAAGAACATTCTAGAGCTGTACTGTCCAATATGGTAGCTATCAGCACTTGAAATGTGGTTGGTCTGAAATGACATGTGCTATAAGAATGAAATATACACCAGATTTCAAAGACTTAGTATGAACAAAAGTGAACCATCTCATTAGCAATTTTTTAAATATTGATTTCATGTTGAACTGATAATATCTTGGATTTGTTGTGTTAAAATATACCACTGAAATAATTTCACCTGCTTCTTTTGACTTTTTTCAATGTTTCTACCAGAAAATTTAAAAGTGCACGTGTGGCATAGGTTCTCTTTCTAGGGGACAGCCCTGCTCTAGAGGCAGGGTGCTGCAGAAAATGCTGTTGGTGCCTCCACCCAAGTCCTCTCAGCGTTCGTCCCTTCCTACAGGCTGCTTTCTGCAAATGCCTGCAGCTCCCTGCCTGAGTGCTTGGTTCTGACTGCGGGTGGGGCAGGCTTTGCCTACATGCAGGAAGAGCAGGAAGCACCTCGGATAGGTAATGCCCCTGGAAGCTGCTCTCACCCAGTGATGGATGCAGAATTGGGGGACAAATCCCGCCGTTGCCTTGCCCTCAGTTGGGATCACGAGAGGCATGTTTTACGTCATACCCAGAGGATTTAGCTCCAATGGCCTCAGCAGCCAATGGCTCGACAATGCCCCATTTATTGGTTTCCTTCTCTCTGTTTCCCTGAGTTCCTCCTGATGTTTCTTGGGATCACGTGCCAAATAAACCACTTAGCCTTGAATTCTTGCCTCTGGAGGAACCCAAAACAAGAAGACCAAAACCAGGAGGCTGGGCATGCCGAGGCATACCTGAATCCCAGCACTTTGGGAGGTGAGGCAGGCAGATCGCTTGAGGTCAGGAGCTGGAGACAAGCCTGGCCAACATGGTGAAACCCCGCCTCCACCAAAAATACAAAAATTAGCCAGGTGTGATGACGGGTGCCTGTAATCCCAACCACTCTGGAGGCTGAGACAGGAGAATTGCTTAAACCCGGAAGGGGGAGGTTGCAGTGAGCTGAGATCACGCCACTGCACTCCAGCCTGGGTGACAGAGCAAGACTCCGTCTCATAAATGAATGAATGAATGAATGAATGAATGATCAAGACCAGGAGACGGGCAAGCTGTTTAGTAAGACTGGACCGTCATTTTCAAGCAAGAAAACTGTAAGCAATGAAACTGCAGAAATAACGGGGGCCAGGGGACAAAGGTCAACAGGATCACACTAAGGGTCCTGATCTAATCCTCAGAAGAATGGGGCACCTTTGATGGTTATAATAGGGAAGGACAGGACCAGATATTTTCTGCAATTTAAAAAAATTTGAGATAAAACTCATCATTTTAAAATGTACAGTTCAGGGGGTTCTAGTGTATTCACAATGTTGCGCAACCATCACCTAATTCCAGAACATTTCATCACTCCAAAAAGCCATCTCCCTTATGCATTAGCTGTCACTCCCCCTTCTCCCCTTACCCCAGCCCCTGGCAGGCACCCATCTTCTTTCCTATGGATTTGCCTGTTCTGGATTCCATATAGATCAGTGGTCCCCAAACTTTTTGGCACCAGGGACTGGTTTTGTGGAAGATAATTTTTCCATGGATGGTGGGGTTGAGGGGTCGATTCTTATAAGGAGCGCACAACCTAGATCCCTCCTATGTGCAGTTCACGACAGGGTTCACGCTCACAGTAGGGTTTGCACTCATATGAGAATCTAATGCCACCGATCTGAGAGGAGGCAGAACTCGGGCCGTAATGCTGTGCGGCCCGGTTCCTAACAGGCTACAGACTGGTACTGGTCCACGGCTCGAGGGTCGGGGACCCCTGTTATAAATGGAATAGGAACTTGGAGCTTCGAAGGTTGTCTCCACCCATGGTGTGGATTGTGGACTGGGAAATTCCCTGAGAGAGGCAGGAAGACCAGAGAGAGGACCCGGGGATTCCACAGGGATGGAGAGAAATGGATGAACAAAGATAGATGGAACACACAGAACTGATGGGCCTCTATTTGACTAAATACAGGGGGATGTGCAGTGGAGCACTGAAAAATGACAGCCGAGGCCAGCGCGGTGGCTCAGGCCTGTTATCCTAGCACTAGGGGAGGCCAAGGCGGATGGATCACTCGAGGTCAGAAGTTTGAGACTAGCCTGGCCAATATGGTGAAACCCCGTCACTACTGAAAATACAAAAATTAGCTGGGTGTGGTGGTGGGTGCCTGTAATCCCAGCTACTGGGGAGGCTGAGGCAGGAGAATCGATTGAACCTAGGAGGAGGAGATTGCAGTGAGCCGAAGATTGCGCCATTGCACTCTTGCCTGGGCGACAGAGTGAAACTCCGCCTCAAAAAAAAAAAAAAAAAAAAAAAAAGACAGCCAAGTCTCTTGCCTTGGGCACCTACATAATCGTGGCGCCAGGCACAGGCACCCAGGGCACAGGAGAGGGGGCAGGCTTGAGAAAGAGCAGGGAGAGAGGCATCTGAGAATATAATTAAAGCCCTAGATAGGACAAGAACACTTACATGCATTCATACACCAGCCACTGTGTTCTAGGTGGATTAAACCACTTAATCGTTGCAGCAACCCTATGTGGGAGGTGCCAGGCTACATTCATCAAACAGAAAAGAACACTGAGGCAGGAAATGCTTAAGTTGCCAAAGAGGTCTCAGAACACACGTGTGTCGGCACAGCCAGTTACAAAGCCAAAACCTTTGCATGTGCTCCCTGCATGGACGTGTCAACCCAGGCACAGTTTTTAGTTAGCTGTTTGCCCATGGATGTCACCAACTGATTAGGCTCAACCCAGGCCTGGACGGAGAGTCAGGAGGCCTGTTCTCTGCAGGCTGCCTGGCCTTGGCAAGTCACTGCCCCTCTGCCTCAGTTTCCCATCTGTCAATAGGGAGGCTTGATGTAGAGGAATGGTTCTTACCTTTGGAATCGCCTGAGGGCTTGTGAACACACAGCTTGCTGAGCTCCACCCCCCAAGTGTCTGACCCCGTGGGTCTGGGTAGGGCCCAAGGATGTTTATTTCTACCCAGCACCCAGGTGATGCTTATGCTGCAGGTCCGGGGCCACCCCTTTGAGAACCGCTGCTGATCTTTGGGGCTCACTCAGCCTCTCGTGTTCTAGAATTCATGTTTTCTAACATTTCCAAGGATTTCATGCAGTCATTAAACATGAGGTGTAAAGGGTACAAAATATTCCAGGGCACGAAAAGGTAGGTATCATAGGTGCCTTTTTGTTTTCTTTTGGAGACAGAGTCTCACTCTGTTGCCCAGGCTGGAGTACAGTGGTGCGATCTTGGCTCACTACAACCTCTGCCTCCTGGGTTCAAGTGATTCTCATGCCCAGTCTCCTGAGGAGCTGGGCTTATAGATATGCACCACCATGCCTGGCTAATTTTTGTATTTTTATTTAAAATAAAATTTCAGGCCGGGCATGGTGGTTCACGCCTATAATCCCAGCACTCTGGGAGGCCAACACGGGCGGATCAACTGAGGTTGGGAGTTTGCGACCAGCCTGACCAACATGGAGATACCCTGTTTCAGCTAAAAATACAAAATTAGCCGGGTGTGGTGGTGCATGCCTGTCATTCCAGCTATTTGGGAGGCTGAGGCAGAAGAATCGCTTGAACCCAGGAGGCAGAGGTTGTGGTGAGCCGAGATCGCGCCATTACACTCCAGCCTGGGCAACAAGAGTGAAACTCCTTCTCAAAAAAAAAAAAAAATTAAAATTAAATGCATTGAAAGTAATGGCAAAAACCGCGATTATTTTTGCACCAACCAAATAATAAAGACAGTGTTTCACCATACCAGGTTGGCCAGGCTGGGGTGCCTGGTTTTTTTTTATTTATTTATTTTTGAGACAGGGTCTCACTCTTGCCAAGGCCAGAGTGCAGTGGCACGATCTCAGCTCACTGCAACCTCTGCCTCCGGGGTTCAAGCAATTCTACTACCTCATCCTCCTGAGTAGCTGGGACTACAGGTGCATGCCACCACCCCTGGCTAATTTGTGTATTTTTAGTAGAGAGGGATTTCGCCATGTTAGCCAGGCTGGTCTCAAACTCCTGGCTTCAAGTGATCCACCCTCTTTGGCCTCCGAAAGTGCTGGGACCACAGGCGTGAGCCACCGCACCTGGCCGTGGGGTGTCTTTTTAAAAAATAAAATATGTACAGATGAACAGTCAAATTGAGAAAAAAAATAAAAATGTAATAGTATACATTTGCTTTTTGAAAAACTGTTTACAAATATAGTAATCTATCAATTGATCTACCTATGTTTTAAAAAGTTAAAGGAAATAGACCCAAATATTAATAGTGGTTAAGAGATTTCAAAATACAGCTGATTTTATTTCCTTCCATGTTCTCATTTGCACTCCTAATTAATTTATATATAATTTAATATACATACAGCTATATATATATACAGATTGATAGCTATAGATTGTGCCTTACCTTTGTAACCAGGAAAATATATACATAAAAGCTATTTTTTTTTTGTTTCAAAAGACTCCCAAGGCAATTGCTCAGTTGAAAAGCTTCAATCTGATGTTCTCACGAAAATCACTCACAGTTGTCCTCTCCTTATGAACAATTCCAGTCCATCTAGCAGATGAAAATGCCTGCAGGCCTGAGCTGACTCAGCTGTTCTTAAAACTGAGCGAGCACCACTCTGGGGACCCGGGAGTCCAGAACCAGGAACTGCCCTTTAGAGTCGAAATGGTACCAGGAAAGTGGCAACTCAAAAGAGGAGGAAAAAGAGATATAAAAGATTAAGCGAAACACAGAGCCTCTAAAGGATAGAAGGTCCTACTCCTATAGGCTCTGCAGGAGCTCACACCTGTGAGTTCCTGAGAGAAAATCACATCAGACTCTGCAATCCCCTGCAAGTGTGCGTGGTGGATGTGCATGCGTGGGAGCTCATGCACGCCCCTCTAAGCATTTTGAAACTAATTTAGAATGCATACATTTGCACAAATACATCATGCATCTGAGACAGGCAGCAGTTTGCAGATTAATCCCATTGTCTATGTACCCACTGGGGCATTCCAATGCTTTTTTCCTGGGAACAGTGAGACTGACTCTCCTCCCTTTGCAAACGGAGTTATAATGTGTAAAAGAATACCTAGATTTTCACAGAAAATGTGTCCCCTCTCTGTACTGTTTTCCAGACTTTCCAAAAGTAATTTACAATTAGTATTACTTATATCATCAGGAAAAAATAGTGTCCATCTAAACACAAGGAAGAAGCCAGGTGCAGTGGCTCACCCCTGTAATCCTAGCACTTTCGGAGGCCGAGGTGGGTGGATCACTTGAGGCTAGGAGTTCGAGACCAGCCTGGCCAACATGCTGAAACCCCGTCTCTACTAAAAACACACAGATTAGCCGGGCTTGGTGGTGGGTGCCTGTAATCTCAGCTACTCGGGAGGCTGTGGTGGGAGGATCGTTTGAACCCAGGAGGCAGAGGTTGCAGTGGGCCGAGATCAAGCCACTGGACTCCAGCCCGGGCGACAGAGCGAGACTCCGCCTCAAAAAAAAAAAAAATAATAAAATAAATAGAAGAAAGAGCCCAGTGTTTATCAGAATGCTCACCTGTCACTTTGGCCCTCACAGGCTCCAGCTGTTCTTTCCTATTCCTGCCAAATATTATATCCATTGCTCAGGGTGCCGAGGGAGATCGATTTTAACAGCAAACAGGTGCTCCTCTGTGTTCACAGGAGATGCTGCTCCCTCCTCCTGCGTTTCCTTCCTGCTCTCCTGCTCCTTCCCTCCTTCACATCTCTGTCTCTCCTGATGCCGTTTCTGCCTTTGCTTTTTCCTTTTTGGCTGGCTCTCACTTGTCCCTCTCCAAGAGCCCTGGATCTCTTTACATTCACAAGGGAAGCTGCGCTGGCGTTACTTATAAGATGTTTGGTTAAAGGTTAATTTCCAAGCCATGTGTCATAGCTAATCTTTAATCCTCTTATTGTTCCCTCAGCTTTCCCTCTCCAGTTTCACTTTTGACTTAACCAAAAAAAAAAAAAAGCTTGCTTCAGACTAGGTTCTAAATAAGCAGAGAGAATTCCGTGCCTGCTGTTATGTTGCCCGACGTAATCCAAGAGCTGGAGTTGTTTATGATCAGAACAAGAAGAGATGCTGGGAATCAGAGGTGCTGGGAATTAGGAGAAACTTGAGCTAAGCTCTGTGATCACTGAATGTCTGCTGCACAGCAGGGAACCCCTTCAGCAGAGACGGGAAAGGTTTTACATTTTGTTTTGTTTTTAGTAAAGGCCCCGATGCTCCCCTCTAATAATCATACATAAAGAGCCACTTAATTCATTATTTTCTTTTTGGAAGAAGGAGACATAAAATGTTTCATGTACCTATTTAAAAAATAACGAACGGGAACCAAAGGCTTTTCTCAGAAACTATAAAGAATAGTAAAAAAGACGGGCCAGGAGTGGTGGCTCATGCCTGTAATCCCAGAACTTTGGGAGGCCATGGTTGGCGGGTCACTTGAGGTCAGGAGTTCGAGACCAGCCTGGCCAACACGGCGAAATCCTGTCTCTACTAAAAATACAAAAATTATCCAGGCGTGGTGGAAGACGCCTGCAATCCCAGATGCTAAGGAGGCTGAGGCAGGAAAATCGCTTGAACCTGTGAGGCAGACATTGCAGTAAGCTGAGATGGCACCACTGCACTCCAGCCTCGGCCACAGAGTGAGACTCTGTCTCAAAAAATAAATAAGTAAACAGAATAGTTAAAAAGAAACTTCAACTTCCTGGCCTATCAAGAGGGCAAAACAATGCCTGAATTTGATCTGAGCTTCCCTATTATTCGTGTATCTTCGTGTGTTGCCATTGCCTGAAATTCGTATTCAACTTGCTATATGCACTGATTGAAGTTAATGAACTCATCTTAACGTATTTTGCTTAAAGAAAGAACCAGTCATTTGCTCTGTGGGTAGAGTAAGAAAAGGCAGTGGCACTGGCCTTTATGCAACCCAGCTGAGAATAATGATGGTCCGGTCTGGGCTGAGAGCACATGCCAGCACCTTGGGCCGTTCATTCCTGACAGCTGTGTGGTCTGGCTGTGCTTCCGCCCTGGCACACATTGGAATCACCTGATTGGCAGTACTAAATGTATCAGTGCTGGGCCTCACTCCAGACCCACTGACGCAGAATCTCTGAAGGTGGATCTCAGCCATCAGTTTTTTTTTTTTATGTTGGCCGGGTGTAGTGGCTCACACCTGTAATCCTAGCACTTTCGGAGGCCAAGGCGGGAGGATCACTTGAGCCCAGGAATTAAGACCAGCCTAGGCAACATATTGAGGCTCCGTCTCTACCAAAAAAAATTAGCTGGGCATGGTGGTGCGTGCCTGTAGTCCCAACTACTTGGGAGGCTGAGGTGGGAGGATCACTTGAGTCTGGGAGGTTGAGGCTGCAGTGAACTGTGATAGCAGCACTGGACTCCAGCCTGGGCAACAAAGCAAGCCCTTATCTCAAAAATAAAACATACGGAGGCAGAGGCGGGCGGATCACGAGGTCAGGAGATCAAGACCATCCTGGCTAACACCGTGAAACCCCGTCTCTACTAAAAATACAAAAAATTAGCCGGGCGTGGTGGCAGGTGCCTGTAGTCCCAGCTACTCGGGAGCCTGAGGCAGGAGAATGGCGTGAACCCAGGAGGCAGAGCTTGCAGTGAGCCGAGATCGCGCCACTGCACTCTAGCCTGGGCGACAGAGCAAGACTCCGTCTCAAAATAATAATAATAATTAAAAAAATAATAAAAAGTACCTACATGTGTGCAGCAGGAGTTGAGAAGACCTGACCCAGAGGAAAGATGCTACATGCCTGAGTTGAAACTAAATTTAAATTATAGCTGATTGGCTAGGCATGGTGGCTCATGCTTATAATCCCATCACTTTGGGAGGCCAAGGCAGGCAGATCACCTGAGGTCAGGAGTTCAAGACCTACCTGGCCAACATGGTGAAACCTCGTTTCTACTAAAAATACAATACAAAAATTAGCTGGGCATGGTGATGGGCACCTGTAATCCCAGCTACTCAAGAGGCTGAGGCAGGAGAATCACTTGAAACCAGGAGGTGGAGGTTGCAGTGAGCCAAGATGGTGCCACTGTACTCCAGCGTGGGTGACAGAGTGAGACTCCAACTCAGAAAAAAAAAAATTGCAGCTCATCCTTTTATATTTTTTGAGATGGAGTCTCGTTCTGTCACCCAGGCTGGAGTGCAGTGGCGTGATCTTGGCTCACTGCAGTCTCTGCCTTCCGGGTTCAAGCGATTCTTCTGCCTTATCCTCCCAAGCAGCTGGGATTACAGGTGCCTGCCACCATCCCCAGCTAATTTTTGTATTTTTAGTAGAGATGGGGTTTCACCATATTGGCCGGGCTGCTCTGAAACCCCTGACCTCAAGTGATCCACCCGCCTTGGCCTCCCAAAGTGCTGGGGTTAGAGGCGTGAGCCATCGCGCCTGGCCAGCTCGTCCATTTTCTGTGTGTCTGGGCCATTCTACCCTCTTTGAGCCTCCTTTTTTTCAACTATAAAGTGAGGCATAACGATATTAGCACCTCAAGCCTATTGTATAGGGTCTAGCAAAAGCACCTGGTCTCAGACAGTTACCAAACAATGCCTTTACCTTTTCCTCCCATTCTCTTAGAGGGCATTTCCCTATGAACCACCTTTCCAGTAAGACCTCCAATAACTTGCCAGTTTATCCCGCTGTGTGGTCTAAACACGTGTATCCATGTCAGAGTTCTTTATTCCTAGCTTGTGGAAGCTGCGTTCTTGTGAGGATTACATGGGAATGTCTGGCATACTCTAAGGGCTCTGGGAAAAAAACGACACCACCACGGTGCAAGAAAGAGCTCAGGGCTTAGAGGTCAGAAGACCTGGGTTTGGACCTCAGCTCTGAGATTCAGCAACCCTGCAGCTTTTGTCACGTGACTTCTCTGAACCTCACTTCACTCGGCAAAATGGGGGTGGCAGTATCTGTGTCACAGGGCTTGTTGGAAGGGTTACAACAAAACCATATGAGTGAAGACATGCCAGGTGCGGTGGCTCAAGCCTGTAATCCCAGCACTTTGGGAGGCCGAGGCGGGCAGATCACTTGAGGTCAGGAGTTCGAGACCAGCCTGGCAAATATGGTAAAACCCCGTCTCTACTAAAAATACAAAAATTAGCCTGGTATAGTGGTGTGCACCTGTAATCCCAGCTTCTTGGGAGGCTGAGGCAGGAGAATTGCTTGAACCTGGCAGGTGAAGGTTGCAGTGAGCTGAGATTCTACCACTGCACTCCAGCCTGGGCAACAGAGCAAGAATCTGTCTCAAAAAAAAAATAATAATTTATATATATATATATATATATATTTATATATATATATATATATATATATATATATATATATATATATGAGTCAAAACATGACTGTGATCTCCCTTCTTGTCAATCTTTGCATATTCAGAAAAGCAACTGAGCAGTTTACCTGCACTGGCTCACCCTGGCCTTACACAGTCCTATGAGATGTGTGTTCCTACCACCATTCTCAAGGTCAGAGAGTACAGGGAAGATAACTTGCTTGCCCTCGGTCTCAAAGTGAGGAGCAGCTCAAATTAGGAGGCACAGCCAGGCAGCCCGACTTCAAAGTACTTACTCTGACAATTCTACACAGCTCCAACGCACGATGGGTGTCTGCTGGATTTTTACTGAATGAAGTAATGGGTGGATGGGCCCTGAGAGGACCAGTCTTGGGTCTTGGGTTGGTGTCACTGCATTCTTATATCAGAGAAAGGGCAAGCTCTCTTATCCAGGTTCCAACTGCACCCAAGGGACAGTTAGATAGTAAGATAAAGGTTTTTGAAAATACAAATGGAGTCCGGGCACGGTGGCTCACACCTGTAATCCCAGCACTTTGGGAGGATGAGGCTGAGGCTGATGGAACACTTGAGGTCAGAAGTCTGAGACCAGCCTGGGCAACACAGCGAGACCTTGCCTCTATGAAAAATAGAAAAATTAGCTGGCAGTGGTGGTGGTGGCAAACACCTGTGGTCCCAGCTACTTGGGAGGCTGAAGTGGGAGGATCGCCTGAGCTCAGGGAGTTTGAGGCTGCAGTGAGCCATGTTTGCACCACTTCACTTCAGCCTGGACGACAGAGACCCTATCTCAAAACAAACAAACACACACCACATACAAAAATACCCCCACAAAAAAAACTAATGGTGGTAATAAATTAAGCCTAACAATAGATATCTGTGTAAGTTTGCTAGGGCTGCCATAGCAAATGCCACAGACTGGGTGGCTTAAACAACAGAATTTTTTTTTCTCACAGTTCTAGGGGCTAGGAGTCTGAGATCAAGGTATCAGGTTTTGGCTGGGCATGGTGGCTCATGCCTGTAATCCCAGCACTTTGGGAGGCCTCGATGAGCGGATTGCCCCAGGTCAGGAGTTCAAGACCAGCCTGGCCAACATCGTGAAACCCCGTCTTTACTAAACATACAAAATTAGCCAGGCATCGTGGCACATGCCAGTAATCTCAGCTACTGGGGAGGCTGAGGCAGGAGAATTGCTTGAAGTGGCAAGGCAGAGGTTGCAGTGAGCTGAGATCCCACCACTCCAGCCAGGTGTGTTTGACACTGCAGTGAGCTATGATTGCACCCCTGCACTCCAGCCTGGGCAACAGAGTAAGACTCCGTCTCAAAAAAGCGAAACCAAACAAACAAAAAACCAAACAAACAAACAAACAAAAAAAACAAGGTATCAGGTTGTTTGGGAGATGAAGGTAGCAGGTGTGATTTCTTGCTGTGTCTTCATATCATCTTTCTCTGTGCGCACATCCTTGGTGTCTCTTGGTGTGTCTGAATTTCCTCTTCTTTCATTTTTAAATTTTATTTATTTATTTAAGAGACATGGTCTCACTCTGTTGCCCAGACTGGAGTGCAGTGGTGCAATCATAGCTCACTACAGTCTCAAACACCTGGGCTCAAGCCATCCTCCTGCCTCAGCCTCCTGAGTAGCTAGGACTGCAGGCACAAGCTGCTGTGCCCAATCAAATTTCCTCTTCTTGTAATGAGACCAATTATATTGGATCAGGGGCCAACCTAATGGACTCATTTTAATTTAATCACCTTTTTAACGACCCTATCTCCAAATACAGTCACATTCTGCCGTATGGGGTGTTAGGGCTTCAACGTATGAATTTTACAGAACACAATTCAGCCCGTAACAATATCATTAAGTCACAATGTGTAAGGGAAGACACTTTTGCTGCAGGTAGCAGAACATCTGCTGAAACTCCAAAGATGTGCATTTATTGCAGACATCAAGCCATCGAGAGGTGGCATGCTGGTTGACGCGGAAGCTCGCCTAGCAAGGGCTTCCACACTTCTAGCCTCAGAAGGTTGTCTTCTCACTGTTGGCTTGTTCAGTTCTGGTTATGAATGATTGCCGTTGCCTGGGAAATCATGGCCTCACATAGAGATGTGGAAAAGCAGGAAGATAAGGCAGGGACAGAAGAGGAGTTTTCTTTGTAGACCTCTCATTTTATGCTGGAGGGAAATCTTTCCCAGAATCCTCTGAGCAGATTTTCTCTTGTGCCTCATTGGCTGAATAGAACTGTGTCACATGACCACCCCTAACCAATCCTCAACAAAGAGGAACAGGAGCGCTTTAATTTCCTCAGACAAACTTTAATTTAATTTCCTCCCAGTCACCCCTGGAGTGGCATCATTGCCACCTGGATCTTGTCAGAATTCCATTATCAAGGAAAAAGGAGGGAATGGCCTAGGATAGGCAACTGACAGTGTCCGCTGCAGGCAGTGCATTCAACACCTTTTTTTTTTTTTTTTGAGACAGGGTCTCACTCTGTCACCCAGGCTGGAGTGCAATGGTGCAGTCTCAGCTCACTGCAGCCTCAACCTCCTATGTTCAAGTGATCCTCCCACCTCAGCCTCTTGAATAGCTGGGACAATAGGCCTGTGCCACCACTCTAGGCTAATTTTTTTGTATTTTGTGGAAATGGTGTTTTGCCATATTGCCCAGGCAATTGGGCAAGTGGTCCCAAACTCCTGAGCTCAAGCGATCCACCTGCCTTGGCCTCCCAAAGTGTTGAGATTACAGGCATGAGCCACCGACCCTGGCCCATTCAACACATATTGATTGAGCACCTACTATGTGCTGGAAATGTAGCAGTGAACAAAACAAATCTGTGCCTTTTTGGACCTGACACCTACTACACGCCAAACTCTGAGGGAATAGAGGTGATTAATGACACCCAGTCTCTGCCTTTTTTGGCCCTCATGATGTTCTTTTTGTTTGGAGGCTGAGGCTGGACATATATTTCCCAAAGGGGAAGGTGTCTCACAGTGGTTTGCAGAACTGCCTTCATGTTGAAAACCCATCGACATGAAGCAGCAGCTGCTCTTCCCCTCAAAAGCTCTGGCATTGCTCTGAACCCATGGAGGCCTGACCCCTGTGTTCTGTTGTTTTCACTAATGTGGGGAGAATGGGATGAGGGGTTGGTTCCAGTAGAAGCTGTCTCCTGGCCTGCTCTCCTCCAGCCTCTGATCTGAATGCTTGCACGTGCTGGTTACTGGGCTAAGTGTTCTAGCAGCAGTCTTTCTTTTAATCCCTCCACATCCTTGCAAGGATGTCAGTAGCAATCTTAATTTTATAGTCTCAGCGATGTGGAGTAACTTGAGGTAGGTCAACAGCCGATCAGTACATGTTCTTCCCCACAAAACTGTAATGCTTCCCACCTTTCAGAGCTGCTGGCTGGGGAAGAGCTAGGAGAGCAAAGGTGAGTGTTTCACAGACAATTTGTATAATGCATTCACTGCCTTAAAACGGGACTGAAAACTGGCCAGTGCATAAGAGAACAGGGGCAATGGCAATGTAGAGAGAAATGGCACATCTTATGTAAGAGTTTTGGTTATTTATTGCTGTGTAACATCCCACTCCAAAATGTAGTGGCTTAAAACAACAATCATCCATACGCTTTCTAAGTTCTGCAGGTTGCGTGGGCTCAGCTGGGCAGTTCTTCTGCTTTCATTGCTCAGCTTTCCTTACATGGTTGCTGGAATTGACTAGGATGACTAGGATGTTAGAGGGGCTGGGCCTTGGCCTCGCTTTCTCTCTGTGAGATCTTACCAGCACAGTAGCCAAACTTCTTATAATACATAGCATCAAATGTCTCCCAAAGGTGAGTGACACGAGAGAGAGGAAGCAGAAGTTGCCAATACCTTTTAAGGCTACACCAGAATTGAGATAGTTTAGCTTCCACTGCCTTCTATTGGTTAGAACCAATCACAGGGCCAGCAAAAATTCCGTGAGGAGGGACCATTCAAGGTTGTGACTATAGGGTCTGGGCTATATGGTCCCTTTGGGGCCATCTTTGGAAACTAGCTACCCCGACAGACTCATTTGCATTTGTGTTTCAGTTCTTCCGCTTACAAACTAAATGTCTGAACCACGTACTTAAGTCTCAGACCCTCAGTTTCCTGATCTCTGAAATGGAAATTATAACATCTGCCTCATTGACTGGCTACAAAGTTTAAATTAAACAGTGTAAAACTGTGTATGTCACAGTGCTTAAAATACAGTAGGCACTCAGAGCATTCTTTCCCCCTTTCTTTTCTTGGGAAAGACAGAAAAACTGAAACGGCCAGCCAATATAATAATCAAACATACTAATTTTGAGTTACTTGCATGCAGTTGAAAAATAGACACCAATACACAGGAACGTTGGGATTTAAGTCTCTTTTAGCCTGGCTGTGAAGCCATATACATACACAGTAAGTAATAATTAGTTGCCTAGAATAGCTGCTCTACAAGAGGCACAGATAGGAACTATCATAGGGGTTCTGAGGAAGGAAAGCTTGGTGATGCTGTGGAGGATTAGGAAAGAAGGCTTCCTGGAGGAGGGGGTGCACAGCTGAGCCCTTGAGAGTGGGAAGTATTTGGATGGGGAAGGAGGAGGGGGTGAACTCTCCAGGCAGGAGGACTATTGGCCATTTATTGAGAGCTTTATATATGCCAGACCCTCTTCTAACCCTTTTACACATACGAGTCCATGTCCTCCTCACAATAATCCTGAGTTTAGGTGGTTTTGCCCCATTTTAAAGATAAGGAAAGTGAGGCACAGAGAAGCTAAGAAACTTGCTCAGTATCCCAGAGCTGGGCTTGGCTCTAGAATCTGTACTTGCAGCCATGTTCATCTCCACTACCTGGGGCTGGTAAGTGGATTAAGGATTGCACTGTGCAGCTTTTATAAGAATATGGCCTTTATACTGCAGGCAATAGCATCCTAGGAGAAGATGTTCAGTGAAGCTATTCATGTGACAGCTTAGCTGTGCTGTTCAACACAGTAGCCGCTAAGCACACTCGGCTATTTACATTTAAATATACGTTAATTGCAACGAAGTTAAATGAAAAAGTGAGCTCCTCATTCACAGTAGCCACATTTCAAGGGCTCTGTGGCCCTGTGTGGTTGGTGGCTGTTATACTGGACAGTACAGTCACAGAACATTTCCATGATCACAGAAAGTTCTATTGACAGTGCTGAGTTAGCAGAACTGCTAAGATGGCATTTATAGGCGACCAAGGGAGGCCAAGGCAGTTATGGCTGGATGGAAAGCCAGTTGAGAGGGTGCAATGTCAGGGAAGTCCGTGGCTGACAATGGTAAAAATGTAAATTAGTCCATGTATCCATTCATTCATCGGTTCCATAAATATAGAACACAGCATGCTTGGCAACAGAGGAAGGTATGGGACATCGTACAAGGCTGGAGGAGCGCAGTGGAGAGCGGACATCACAGAAAGACTAATGTTTGCTCCAAGACCTGAAGGATTGCTAGGCATTGGCCATGTGGAGAAGACAAGAAGAGCGTTCCTACTAGCAGGACCTGCTTGTGCCCAGATTCAATATATTACATGGGGTGGCCGCTACACAAATTGCTCTGGATTGTGGGAGGGAGAGGTGTGCGTTGTGTAGGGCTGTGGCGGGAGAAAAGCAAGAAAGGTGAGCAAAAGAGAGAGGAACGGAGGGAACAGGAAAATTTCCAACAGATTGTGGGAGTGGAGGTGCGAGTTGCTGAGAGGAAACCAGGAAGAAAATTAGAGCATAGAGGGAGAAAGTCTGCATTGCACACAGGCCTTGGGAAGAAACACAGAGCAAGGAGGTCTGCATTGCATGAAGGCCTTTACCAGGCCCCTCCTGGCATTGGTGTCGGGTTGGAGATCTCCTGGATTCCTCACAAGGCACACATGTTTGCACAAGTTGACAGTGCTGCTTCTGTAGCAATCCAGAGATAGCAGAATTGGGTTTGCACTGGGAGGGTGGAAGGCTGGGAGTAGAATCACACACACTCAGCCCTTGGGAGGCTCTAAGATACTCTCAGAGGAAGTAGAATGCCTTCACCTCCTCCTTTTGCGGAGAGCAAAAACGTGAACTTCGGGGCTGGAGAAGGAAGGGAGTTCACATAGAGTGTGCCCCCTTCTCTGCATTTTGCACCCATCGAATCTTCTAATCCTTGCACAGGCACTGTTTGGCAGGAACTATTATTATCCCCATCTTATGGACAAAGCAGCAGAAACTTGGTAAGGTCAGAGATCATACAATATGTGATGGAGGTGGGAGATTTGACCATGGGATCCTTTTCCTTGAATGATTTTGGGAAGGGGCAGGGAAGAGGTGTCGCTCCTTCCCTGAGGCCACTTGTCCCACAGGACGGGTGGAGCCTATAGAACAGTCATGAGGTTAAGAAATAAAAGCGAGTTCAAAAAGTTTTCATGCTATTAAAAACACAACAGCCTTATTTTGTAATTCTATATCTCTGATTACAAAATGATTAGCTAAGATTAGTTAATATTAACCTTTTGGAGATAATATTATCATATTTAAATTACTTTGCAATTTTCCAATTAAGTTTGCTTCTAAATGGTGCCTCTAATTAGCCAGAGCGATAAGTTGACCAGATAACAAAGAGATCTTTGAAATCTTAGATAGCAGAGTCCATAGTGACAGCCGAAGTCCCCTCAAAGGTGGCACCTGCTGTCCCCGCAAAGGGAGAACAGCACGGGTAACCAGACAGCGTCCTTGGGGCTTCTGGAGGAAAAACTTCACTGGGGGCAGTGGCTCACGCCTGTAATCCCAGCACTTTGGGAGGGCGAGACAGGCAGATCACCTGAGGTCAGGAGTTCAAGACCAGCCTGGAGAACATGGTGAAACCCTGTAGCTACTAAAAATACAAAAATTAGCTGGGCATGGTGGCGGGCCCCTGTAATCCCAGCTACTTGGGAGGCTGAGGCAGGATAATTGCTTGAACCCAGGAGGCAGAGGTTGCAGTGAGCCAAGATCTTGCCATTGCACTCCAGCCTGGGCGACAGGAGCAAAACTCCATCTCAAAACAAACAAACAAACAAACAAACAAAACAAAACAAAAAACCTTTGCTACTGAACAAAAGACCATAAATTATGCCATCAATATTTAAGAAGATTCATTAATTCTACAACATTCTACAGAGCAGTTAAGACTAGTGTCATGTGGAGTATTGGAGACAGAAAACTGGAGAATCGTTATCTCCTGACCTAAATGAGTTCAAAGTCTAACAAGGAAGATAAGAAGGCAAGGAACAATTATAAGTGCTATAATTTATATAGCACTAATATCCCATGCGTAGAAGGAAGAATTGATAAGATTGAAATACAGAAGGCATTGCTGATAAATAAATGCATAAAAAATAAGTTATCCTGATGCCTGAGCTGGAAAACCAAATTTCCACCATCTATGTAATTAGGGTTCAATCAAGGATGCTTGACAAAAATTCAATTTAAAAAATAACTATCAAGGCTGGGTGCAGTGACTCATGGCTTTAATCCCAGCATTCTGTGAGGCTGAGGCAAGAGGATTGCTTGAGCCCAGGAGTTCAAGATTAGCCTGGGCAATATACCAAGACCCCCATCTCTATAAAAACTTAAAAAAAAAAAAATTCGCTGGGGCTGGCCGGGCGCAGTGGCTCATGCCTGTAATCCCAGCACTTTGGGAGGCCGAGGCAGGTGGATCATGAGGTCAGAAGATCAAGACCATCCTGGCTAACACGGTGAAACCCTGTCTCTACTAAAACTACAAAAAATTAGCGAGGTGTGGTGGCGGGCACCTGTAGTTCCCAGCAACTCGGGAGGCTGAGGCAGGAGAATGGCGTGAACCCAGGAGGAGGAGCTTTCAGTGAGCCGAGATCTCGCCACTTCACTCCAGCCTGGGCGACAGAGTGAGACTCCGTCTCAAAAAAAAAAAAAAAAATTAGCTGGGGCCAGGCGTGGTGGCTCATACCTGTAATCCCAGCACTTTGGGAGGCAGAAGTGGATGGATCACTTGAGGCCAGGAGTTTTGGCCAGCATGGTGAAACCCCACCTCTATAAAAAATGCAAAAATTAGCCAGGGATGGTGGTGTGCACCTATAGTACCAGCTACTTGGGAAGCTGAGTCAGAGACTCCCGTCTCTAAAAAATAAATTTTTAAAAATTAGCTTGGCTTGGTGGCACATACCTATAGTCCCAGCTACTCAGGAGGCTGAGGCGGGTGGGTCAATTGAATCCAGGAGTTTGAGGCTGTGGTATGCTGTGATCATGACACTGCCCTCCAGCTTGGGTGTCAGTGTGAGACCCCATCTCTACAATAAATAAATCAATAAATAATAAATCAATAAATAATCAAGAGCTCATCATTCCAAAGACTGAGGTTGTTATCAGTTGCTCAAAGATGGTCTCCAAGTACAGAATTGAAGCCATCAGGGAAGCAGTCAGGACCCCAGGACCCCACTTGGCTGTGCGAGGGTACGTCCTGGGATTTGATCTACCAGTCTTAGTCTTCAGGTGGGATCGGTCACATGAGCAACGGAAAGATAATTAATTTGGTTTAAATAGGGCATTGAGTCTACAACAAGAATCATGAAGATATTCACCCCTGTGGTCCAGGTGCCCTCGTCCTGGGAATATGTCTGTCTAGGCTTGGGTTCCCCCAGAAGTAGGATTCAAGAGCAAGAAATTTATTTGGGAGGTTGTGATGGTTAATTTTACGTGTCAACTTGACTGGGCTAAGGGATTCCCCAGAGAGCTGGTAAAACAGTATGTCTGAATGTGTCTGTGAGGTTGTTTCCAGAAAAGACTGGCATTTGGATCAGTGTACTGAGTAAGGCACACCCACCCTCCCCAGTGTGGATGGGCATCATGGAGGACCTGAGTAGAACAAAAAATGAGCTGGGATATCCGTTTCTCCTGCCTTTGGACATCAGAGCTCCTGGTTCCTGGGCCTTTAGACTTGGAGAGGGTTAGACCAGTGGCTTTCGTGGTTCTCCAGGTTGCAGACAACAGATTATGGACTTCTTAGCTTCCATGATCATAATGATTCTCCTGCCTCATTCTCCCACGTGGCTGGGATTACAGGGGCATGCAACCACACCGAACTAATTTTTGTATTTTTTGTAGAGAAGGGATTTCGCTATGTAGACCAGGATGGTCTTAAACTCCTGGTCTCAAGTGATCCACCTGACTCGGCCTCCCAAAGTGCTGGGATTACAGGCATCAGGCATGAGCCACTGTGTCTGGCCTATTTGGTTCCTTTTTTTTTTTTTTTTAGACAGTTTTTGCTCTCGTCGCCCAGGCTGGAGTCTAATGACGCAATCTTGGCTCACTGAAACCTTTGGCTCACTAAAACCTCCACCTCCCAGGTTCAAGCAATTCTTCTACCTCAGCCTCCTGAGTAATGGGATTACAGGCACACACCACCATGCCCTGCTAATTTTTGTATTTTTGTAGATATGGGGTTTCACCATTTTGGTCAGGCTGGTTCCAAACTCCTGACCTCAGGTGATCCACCTGCCTCGGCCTCCCAAAGTGCTGGGATTACACGTGTGAGCCACCGTGCCTGGCTCTGGTTTTTTTTTTTTTTTTTTTTTTTTGCTTTATTTATTGATTTTCTTTTTTTATTATTATAATATCCATCTATCTATTCATCTGTCTATGTGTCTACGTATCTATGCATCTATCTATCTATCTGTGTCTATTGATCTGTCTATCTCCTATTGATTCTGTTTCTCTGGAGAAGCCTAAGATTTGAACCTAGGAAATAACAGCAGGGGAATGAGGACCTAAGATAAAGGAGGAGAAAAGATGTTAACAATACATTCTCAAGCCTATCACCATCATGAGCAACTGAAACTCAGTCTGGCTGGGGATCTCCTGGAGCCGGTGGGAACACGCCTCAGAGTTATCTTCAGGAGTCAGGGCATTGATTCACCAATTCTGCTCAGTCAAGGTTGAGAGTTTCTCCTGAGAGGTGCTAACTTCCAGGCACTTCCATCCTGTCGCACATATGCAGAGGGAGGCAGAGCCACAGATGTCTGCATGGCAGGTGTGTGGGTTAGGGTGAGCACTGATAGTGTCTGCTACAATCCTCAAGAGATAACTCAGCCCAGGCTAAAGCATGCATGCAAGAAGATGTTCAAAGTTGTGTTGAGAAATGAGAAACAGATGACTAAAATCCACATGACCTGTCCAGCAATATGGGACTGATTTAGCAATGTCCATTTAGTAAAAGGAGGCTCTGCCACCACCATGTCAATTTCAAAGCCCATTAGCAACATGGAAAAGCCTTCCTGTCTAATGCTAAGCAGGAAATGCTTATGAACTAATCACAGACACTACAGTAGTGCCTGGGAAAACACCTGTCTTCAAGGGAACAAGGTGTATGAAGGAACCCTGAAGAAATGAAAATGTGTTAGGGTAATGGGACCATGGGAATTCTTCTGCTGTGTTCTCTTTACGATCTAAAGGAGAACCAAGATTAAATATGACTGATAAAGCCGCCAATTCCTATAGAGAAATATACTCCTCTTCCCCGGCCAGGGCTTCCTAGATTCCCCCCCAAATAGACTCCTTGAGGCCAGGTGCAATGGCTCACACCTGTAATCCCAGCACTTTGGGAGACCGAGGAGGGCGGATCATTTGAGCCCAGGAGTTCAAGACCAGCCTGGCTAACATGGTGAAACTCCATCTCTGCTAAAAATACAAAAATTAGCCGGATGTGATGGCGTGTGCCTGTAATTCCAGCTACTCAGGAGGATGAGGTAGGATAACTGCTTGAACCCGGGAGACGGAGGCTGTAATGAGCCGAGACGGCGACACTGCAATCCAGCCTGGGTGACAAAGTGAGACTGTCTCAAAAAAAAAAAACAAAACCCGAAAACAAAAAGCAAATAGACTCCTTGCTCTTAATCTTGGTCTCAGTTGGCTTCTGGGGGACTCAAAGTAAGATGGGAATATTCCCCAGACTGGAATAACTGGAATAACAGGGCATAACTATCTTTATGGTTCTTTTTATGGACTCAATGCCTTATTTTCATTTTTTATCTTTTGAGATGGAGTTTCGCTCTTGTTGCCCAGGCTGGAGTGCAATGGTGCGATCTTGGCTCACCCCAACCTCTGCTTCCCTGGTTCAAGCAATTCTGCCTCAGCGTCCCCAGTAGCTGGGATTTCAGGCATCTGCCACCATGCCTGGCTAATTTTGTATTTTTAGCAGAGTTGGGGTTTCTTTACGTTGGTCAGGCTGAGTCTCGAACTCCTGACCTCAGGTGATCCACCTGTCTCAGCCTCCCAAAGTGCTGGGATTACAGGCGTGAGCCTCTGTGCCTGGCCTCAATGCCTTATTTAAACCAAACTTGCTGTCTTTCTGTTTTCATATTGCTGATCCCACTTGGAGGCTCAGACAGCTGGATCAGATCACTGGAAATAATGCTCACAGGGTCCAGCCATGTCCTGACTACTTTCAGTGGAGCTTCATGCACACAGAGGTTAAGGGACATTGGGAGCTGATGTCAACAAGAAGAACACTGTGCCCAGGAGTCTGCAATTTATCAGAATGTAAAGAATGTGAACATGGAATTTAGCCTGCAGATTTGCATTTGTTATCAAATGTCCCCAAGCAACTTCCATTAGGGACATAAATTAAGCCTTTACCCTTTCTATTATCACTGCGTGTGACTTTCCACAGAGTTTTCGAAGGAAAGTTATTAGAAGGTTGACCTCTAGAGATAACAGGCCTGTTCTGCTCAGCCTGTGTCCTAGCCTGAGTCAGCAACGATCCTGCATCCTATCCTGGGCTCTAGCCCTTTCCCATTCTCTGTCTGGCAGGGTCACTCCAGAAGGATTGCAGTGGTTTCTAGGAAAATGACAGAGGCAACAGGGTAATCTCCAGGGAACTGGGAGATGGGGCCAGGCTGGCAAATATTCCTTGAGTCTTATTATGAGCCAGACATGGGGTAGACAGAGATTAAGAGATGTCCCTTCCCTAAGAAATTCACACAGTAAAACAACCCAAATGTCTATCAACCGATAATAGATAAAATGTGGTTTATCCATAGGATGGGATATAATTCAGCCATAAAAAGGAGTGAAGTACATGCTACAACGTGGATGAACCTTGAAAACATGATGCTAAGTGAAAGTAGCCAAACACAAAAGTCCACGTATTGTATGACTCCATTTAGGTGAAACATCCAGAATAGGCAAATCCATAGAGTCAGAAAATAGATTAGAGATACAAAAATCAGCTGGGCGTGGTGGCACGCGCCTGTAATCTCAGCTACTCGGGAGGCTGAGGCTCGAGAATCACTTGAACCCAGGAGGTGGAGGTTGCAGTGAACCAAGATCGAGCCACTGCACTCCAGCCTGCATGACAGAGCACGACTCCGCCTCAAAAAAAAAAAAAAAAAAAAAAAAAAAAAAAGATTAGAGGTTGCCACGTGATAGAGGAGGGGCAATGGGGAAAGAGAAAGAGTGACTTATGTCAGAGCAAGTTAACGGTCTAAAGCCAAATATTAGACAACTGCATTCTCTAATGTCTCTGGCTGGAGGAATTATATACCTTACACCTTTTCTGAACACTCCAGGGTCTCACCACATTGCAAGTCTCCCTCTGTAACCTCAGATTACTAATTTCTTATGCAGACCACATCATCCAACTATGGGCTTTTATTTTTATTTTTTTGAGACAGAGTCTCATTCTGTCGCCCAGGTTGGAGTGCAGTGGTGTGATCTCGGCTCACTGCAACCTCCGCCTCCCAGGTTCAAGTGATTCTCCTGCCTCAGCCTCCTGAGTAGCTGGGATCACAGGCACATGCAACCACGCCTGGTTAATTTTTTGTATTTTTAGTAGAGATGGGGTTTTGCCACGTTGGCCAAGCTGGTCTCCAACTCCTGACCTCAGGGTGATCCGCCCGCCTCGGCCTCCCAACGTTTTGGGATTATAGGTGTGAGTCATCTCGTCCAGCTCTTGTATGTGTTTTGTTGTTGTTGTTTTGTTTTTGTTTTTGTTTTTGTTTTTTTGAGACTGAGTTTCACTCTTGTTGCCCAGGCTGGAGTGCAATGGCGTGATCTCAGCTCACTGCAACCTCTGCCTCCCAGGCTCAAACAATTCTCCTGCCTCAGCTTCCCAAGTAGCTGGCATTACAGGCATGCACAACCATGCCTGGCTAATTTTTTTCTGTTTTGAGTAGAGACCAGGTTTCACCATGTTGGCCAAGCTGGTTTTGAATTCCTGAGCTCAAGCGATCCACCCACCTCGGCCTCCCAAAGTGCTGGGATCACAGGCGTGAGCCAACGCGCCCGGCCTCTTGTATGTTTCTTATGAGCTATATTATACACATACAAATAAATATTTAGATATGTTTTTATGCAAATGGGACTGAATTATATACAATATCTCATACTTAGCTTTTAATATTAACAAAAATCTCACCAGGTACATTGGCTCACATCTGTAATCCTAGCACTTTGGGAGGCTGAGGTGGGTGGATTGCCTTAGTTCAGGAGTTCGAGGCCATCCTGGGCAACTTGGTGAAAGCCCATCTCTACTAAAATACAAAAAATTAGCAGGGCGTGGTGGTGCCTGCCTGTAGTCCCAGCTACCCGGGAGGCTGAGACGCGAGAATTGCTTGAACCCAGGAGGTGGAGGCTGCAGTGAGCTGAGATTGCGCCACTGTACTCCAGCCTGGGCGACAGAGCGAGACTCTGTGTCTCAAAACAAACAAATAAAAAACAAAAACCTTAGGGATCCTTCCAAATTTGCAGAGGAAGAATTTGTTCATTTTAAAAGTGGTTATATATGATAGACCATGTTTTGTGAACCCGTTTCCTATCAATGGACATTTAGGTTGTTTCCAATTTTTCCTTCTTAACAAATTCTGCCAAGAATAATCTTATTCATATGGCATTTCACACATGTATGAATTTACCTGTTGGTGTAATTCCTAGATGTGTAATTGCTACATTATAGAGTTTGTGCTTTTAAAATTTTTATGGATATTATCACATTGCCCACAATAGAGGTTGTACCAATTTACCACCAGCAAGCAGAGAGACAGCTTGTTTCTCCACATTTGGGAGGATGTGTTTGGAAATACTCTCGGAGGCCAGACCATACAAAGCCTTGTATACAAAGCTAGGAAATTTGAACTTGATCCATGGACCATGGAAACCCACGGGAAGGTGTAAGTAGTGGATAAGGATGGTCAGTTCTGAGCTTATGACATCCAATAAATTTTTTAGGGGATTTTTATTCTCCAGCAGGTATGGGTGATGAATAATGTGGTGAATCAGAGAGGGGACCAAATATCTATTAGGATTTCAGCCACGCTGGGGAGAGAATGGGTATCATTTGGGCACAGCTGCCGCTCGGCACAATGGGCTTGGATATAAAAGCAACTTGGTTTCTTTACCGTCTTCCTGCCTTCCTGCCATTCTCCAACCTTCCTCCCATTTTTCTTTTATCACACACTTCCCACATGCTGATGGCTTTGCACGAAACATACAGCCCTCAGGGTAATGACATAAAACCAATAGCAAGGACTTTTTATCCACCGCTAACAGTTGACTGAAAGATAAGCAGACAGGTGATATAGCAACTTTATCTTTCCCGAGAAGACCATCTGACAAATTAATAGGCTTTGGAGCAGGCGTGGAACAAAGAGCTGGGTGACGCAAAAACGCAGACACTGTCAAGCTGAGCCTTTTGTTTCTTCAACAAAAGGTAGCTGCCATTATGTGATGCAAAGACAGAAGGGAAGATGGATGACGGGTGGATGTGAGGGCACCCGCATATGAAAGTCCCAAGAGCGAGCTCCATCCAGAGGCCCCAGCAGTGGTTCAAGCATGAGTGCAGTGGGCTTGGTACTCCTGGTGCTTGCTCTGAGGCTTAGGGCCACCACTGTTAAGCCAGAGGAAGGCAGCTTTTGCTCTAACAGCCAGGTGGCCTTCAGAGATGCTTGCTATGAATTTGTGCCACTCGGACGCACCTTCCGTGATGCCCAGAGCTGGTGCGAGGGGCAAGGAGGCCATTTGGTCTTCATTCAGGACGAAGGCACCCAGTGGTTTCTGCAGAAGCACATCTCCCAGGACAGGGAATGGTGGATTGGACTCACGTGGAACTTGGCACGGAATGGAACCACGGAGGGTAGGTGCCGTGATCGCTGTTTTATGAGAAACTTGTGTTTGCAATTCTTGCCATCACTTCTCACCCAAAGAAACATGGAACAAATTAATACGACCTAATTCTCATGGTATGGATACCCTTCCCTTTGGTTGTGTTGTGGATTAAATAATTCATGTCTAATGCCTAGCACAGAATCTGGCACATCAAATTCTGACCCTCTAGAAATGTTCGCTTCTTTGCCTGTTCCTAATAGTAATACTCTGACTGCTTTGATTCTTGCTAGGATAGTGCCAGGCACTATCCTGAGTGCTTCGTTGTCACTATCATGTTGAATTCTTACAATAACAATGAGAAAAATCATGTCCCCATTTTTTATTTATTTATTTATTTATTTATTTATTTATTTTTGAGACAGAGTCTCTCTCTGTTGCCCAGGCTGGAGTGCAGTGGCACGATCGCGGCTCACTGCAACCTCTGCCTCCCTGGTTCAAGTGATTCTTCTGCCTCAGCCTCCCAAGTAGCTGGGATTACAGGCAGATGCCACTATGCTCGGCTAATTTTTTGTATTTTGAATAGAGACGGGGTTTCACCGTGTTAGCCAAGATGGTCTCGATCTCCTGACCTTGTGATCCGCCTGCCTTGGCCTCCCAAAGTGCTGGGATTACAGGTGGTAGCCACTGCGCCCGGCCTTATGTCCCCATTTTACAGATGAGAAAACTGAGTCTCAGAAAATAATGACTAAGCTATTTTTTAAAGTGTCCCACTTGTCTTTCCCCACTTGCTCTGACATTAAAGCAGACCAAGTGCTTAGCATAGTTCCATTCACAGTCTAATTTTAATGGTCCTGAAAGTCTTAGTCCTCCTTTATTCTCTGAAGGCTCCTTCCCCCACCCAGTGCAGTCAGGTGAGTCGTTCTCTACGAGCCTGCAGGGCCCTGTTCACACTTCCAAGGCAGTACTTTTGCTGTGGCTTAAACAGCTAAGTTGTCTGTCTCCCTCCTAGACTACAAGCCCTTCAAGGAAAGAACCATACCCTGGCCATTTTTGTTTTCCCAGTGCCTAGACACAATTGAGAATGGACAAGGAGGCTGGGCGTGGTGGGTCACGCTTGTAATCCCAGCACTTTGGGAGGCCGAGGCAGGTGGATCACTCAAGGTCAGGAGTTCGAGATCAGACTGGCCAACATGGTGAAACCTCATCTCTACTAAACATAGAAAAATTAGCTGGGCATGGTAGCACGCACCTGTAATCCCAGCTACTCAGGAGGCTGAGGCAGGAGAATCCCTTCAACCCAGGAGACAGAGGTTCCAGTGAGCCAAGATTGTGCCATTGCACTCCAGCCTGGACAACACAGAGAGAAACTGTCTCAAAAAAAAAAAAAAAAAAAAAAAGAGAGAGAGAGAATGGACAAGAAAACATTTGCATTTAAGCCTCACACGGATCCCATGAGGTAAGCGTGGCTACTCTCCTTTCACGGAGGAGGAAAATGAAGTCTAGAGAGAAAAGACGTGCTCAACATGACATAGCTGGTGGTGCACAGTGGGGTCTCTACCAGTCAGAGCAATGCTAAGCCTGACTTTCCTACTGGGCACCTTGGTACCCAGAGGTTCTCTTTGCCCCTGTAGAAGCTACTGGGTTTGAGAAATGAGACATGGCCTGTGCCGAACAGCCACAGAACAACACCAGCGTGGATGGAAGTGTTTTAATAAATGAGCTACCGGGAAGCTCATTTAAGAAAACCCACAGCCAAGGGGATTTGAATTCTTAAGACGCCCCTGCAGACAATGTCTCCTGAATGGTTTCTTGAGGTGTAGATGCAACAATTGCCGATTTCTGTGTATTGAACATCCTTTCACATCCAGCTAGAGGAGGTGTGCCTATTAACACCTCTCCAGGGATACCGTGTGGCTGTTGCAGAAAATGAGGTAGTTCTAACTAGGCTGATAGGCAACAACCTCCAATATTTAATGTCATTTAAGAAGCAAGGGCCAGATACTGTGTGCAATCACATGACATTTATGTAAGTAGATTTCAGGCACTCATAGATGCTGATGTGTGGATACAATTCAATTCATCCTGGAATCATTTATGAGAAACATAACAATGATGGAGAAGCCCATAGCTTGGAGAGGGAAGATACTTTCATTTTAGACCCTTTGGATTTTTTAAAACCATTTCATTTGCATGAGTCTCTTTCAATAAATTAATAATTACGTTTCTGAGTACCCATAATAAATGTTTGTTTTTTGAGACAATCTCACTCTGTTTCCCAGGCTGGAGTGCAGTGGCGGCACCATCTTGGCTCACTGCGACCTCTGCCTCCCGGGTTCAAGTGATTCCCCTGCCTCAGCCTCCCTAGTAGCTGGAATTATGGCTAATTTTTGTAATTCTAATAGAGACAGGGTTTCACCATGTTGGCCAGTCTGGTCTTGAACTCCTGGCCTCAAGTGATCCATCCACCTTGGCCTCCCAAAGTGCTGGGATTCCAGGCGTGAGCCACCATGCCCAATCCATAGTAAATTTTGATATTTAGTGTTTTCTAGCTCTCTGGTGTCCTCGACATGGTTCTGTTTTACACACACACACACACACACATAAACACACACACACTCCTTTTAAAGAGTTACATCAGTATTTTCAAGGATCTGAAGAGGCCCAAAGTAACAATAACTGCTCATGTTTTAACTCAGCACTGCCCAGGTGTACTTGGCAAGGGACACAGCTTATGAAGAAGATGATATGTTAAAACATCCCTTAGCCCACTTCTGGACTTTATTATTATTATTATTATTATTATTATTATTATTATTATTTTGAGACAGGGTCTTGCTCTGTCTCCCAGGCCAGAATATAGGGGCACGATCATGGCTCACTGTAGCCCCAACCTCAGCTCAAGCAATCCTCCCAACTCAGCCTCCCGAGTAGCTGGGACCACAGGCAGCATGCCTGACTAAATTTTTTTTTTTTTTTTTTTGTAGAGACAAGGTCTCTCTAGGTTGCCCAGGCTGGTCTTAAACTCCTGGGTGCAAGTGATCCTCCCACCTCCACAATGTTAGGATCACAAGCATGAACCACTGGGCCTGGCCCCTGGCTCTTCCTTAGACTGTGCTCAGGGCCAGGTGTGGTGGCTCATGCCTGCAATTCCAGAACTTTGGGAGACTGAGGTGGGTGGAGTTTGAGCTCAGGAGTTGGAGGCCAGCCTGGGCAACAAGACAAAATCCCTGTCTCTGCCAGAAATACAAAAAAATCAGCCAGGCATAGCGGCTTGCACCTGTGGTCTCAGCTACTCAGGAGGCTAAGCTGGGAGGATCACTTGAGCCTGGGAGGTGGAGCTTGTAGCGAGCTGAAATGGCACCACTGCACTCCAACCTGGGTGACAGAGCAAGACCCCATCTCAAAATAAATAAATTATTGATTATGGTTAGACAGAGCTGGCAGCCTCATTTATTTAATCAAAGCACCTTTTGCAAGCTCTCCAATTTGGTGTTCCAGTTCTTACATTGAGTGTTTGATGATGACAGTGAGGAAGAGAACTTTATTGGTCCTGGAGAGAGAGGTCTCCATCCCATCAACATTAATTGCTGACCTGCTGCCCAGCAGCGGCAGAGCAGGCGTGAGTCCTGCATTTGTATAAATGGAGTTTGAAGACAGTTACTGAGTCCTGGTGGTCGTGTTGCCCTTCCAGGGCCGGGGACTTGGTTGGACACCTCCAATGTGACCTACAGCAACTGGCATGGAGGGCAGGCCGCCGCTGCCCCTGACACCTGCGGCCACATCGGGAGAGGCCCTTCCTCTGAGTGGGTGACCTCGGACTGCGCCCAGACCTTCGCCTTCATGTGCGAGTTCCGTGAGTGGCCCGTGCCCCTGAGTTCCCATCTCCCACCCTGTCTCCCTGCCTGCCTGCAGGCCTCTCTCCAGGCTCGCCTCTCCCTCCTGTTCCTGCCTCCATCTCTCTGACCTTCTCTTTCTCTTGCCGCCTCCCCTGTCTCAGTTTTCTCTGGGTCTTTCTTCCCCTTCTGTTTTTCTCTAACTCTTTCTCTTTCTCTCCCTTGGTCTCTGACTCTCTTCCTGCCTCTGTGGTCTCTCTGTCTCCCTCTCGCTCTTCAGGGCCTGCCGGTTTCTGTCCCCATCTCCCTGCTGAAGAGCTGACCTGTGTGTGTTTTTCTGACCTTACCTCTGTCCGCAGCTTTCTCTCCCTGTCTCTATGCATCTCTCTCTGCCCACGTGATGCTCCGTCACTCATCCCTGCCCTGTCCCCATCCACCTGCCCACCTTCCTGCCTGCCCACCTGTCTCATCTCTGTTTCTGTCTTTCCCGCTTTTTTTTTTTTTTTTTTCTGAGATGGAGTCTTGCTCTGTCACTGAGGCTGGAGTGGTGTGATCTTGGCTCACTGCAACCTCCGCTTCCCAGGTTCAAGTGATTCTCCTGTCTCAACCTCCCGAGTAGCTGGGATTACAGGTGCGAGCCACCATCCCCAGATAATTTTTGTATTTTTTTTAATAGAGACGGGGTTTCACCATGTTGGCCAGGCTGGTCTCGAACTCCTGACCTCAAGTGGTCCGCCCGTCTCGGCCTCCCAAAGTGCTGAGATTACAGGGGTGAGCCACGGAGCCCGGCCTGCATGAGGTTTAGTATGAGAGTGGGGGCACAGAGAAGCTAACTAACTTGCTGAAGGTCACACAGCAGCAGTGTGTGGCTGGGCTGGATCTGATCCCAGGGAACCTGGCTCAGCACAATGCTGCCGACAATCATATTCAATTTATCACCCCTGCCAAGCGGCTCCTATCGGGTTCTTGCATCTCAGCCCAACCCCCGGGACCCTCCTCTTCCCGTGAACCGGCACTCACCTGTCTGTAACCGTGAGCCCCCCTAATGTCTTGCCTTCCCTTTGCCTCAGGGGTTGGCCAGAGCCTGGCCTGCGAGGGACTCAATGCCACCGTGCACTGTGGCTTGGGGCAGGTCATCCAGGTCCAGGATGCCGTCTACGGGCGCCAGAATCCCCATTTCTGCACCCAGGATGCCGGGCGTCCTTCAGATCTGGAGCAGGGATGCAGCTGGGCCAACGTCAAGGAGGAGGTGGCAGGTAGGGCCCAAGGGCTCTGCAGCTCTGGCGGCCAGCAGAGGGCAGTTGCTGGTATTCTGTGCTCAGCAAAGGGTTCCGGAAGCCTCTGATAATCTTCATCTCTGACCGTGGGCCTCCAACATGGGGGAAAACTGGCCAGTCCCTGCCCATCGCACGGAGCAAGGAAGCAGGGGGCTGTGGTCCACCCTCCCCGACATCAAACACAGCCATGGATCTGGTGGGCATGGCGTGCCTCGACCCCTGCTGGATGCAGGAAACATCACTTTTTTAACTTAATTTTTAAATTTTTGAAATACTCCAAACGTATAGACAAGAATAGAAAATACTGTAATGAACTCCCACAGATCTACTACCCACCTTCATCAGATCTGAACACCGTGCCTCATTTGCTTAAGATTCCCTCGTTAGAAAAATCAATACAGTCGGGCGTGGTGGCTCATGCCTGTAATCTCAGCACTTGGGAGGCCAAGGCAGGTGGATCACCTGAGGTCAGGAATTCCAGACCAGCCTGGCCAACATGGTGAAACCCCATCTCTACTAAAAATACAAAAATTAGCCGGGCTGGTGGCACATGCCTGTAATCCCAGGTATTTGGGAGGCTGAGGCAGGAGAATCGCTTGAGCCCTGGAGGCGGAAGTTGCAGTGAGCCGAAATCAGATCATCGCACTCCAGCCTGGGCGATGGAACAAGACTCTGTCTCAAAAAAGAAAAAAAGAAAAGAAAAAGGAAAAAGAAAAATGAATACAACACTAGGAGACTCCTGTGGATCCCTCTCTTTATTTTGAGAGAGAGTCTCACTCTTGCCCAGGCTAGAGTGCAGTGGCCCGATCTTAGCTCACTGCAATCTCTGCTTCCTGGGTTCAAGCGATTCTAATGCCTCAGCCTCCCGAGTAGCTGGGATTACAGGCAGGTGCCACCACTCCTGGCCAGTTTTTGTATTCTTAGAAGAGACGGGGTTTCACCATGTTGACCAGGCTGATCTCGAACTCCTGAGCTTAGGCCATCCGCCTGCCTCGGCCTCCCCAAATGTTGGGATTACGGGCGTGAGCCACTGCGCCTGCTTTATTTTCACCTTCTAGGCACGTATTCCTAAACACTACAGACTGTTGCTTTTGCAGGGCTTTTTTTTAAATCTATTTTTTTAATTTATTTTTTATTTATTTATTTTTGAGACGGAGTCTCAGTCTGTCACCCAGGCTGGAATGCAGTGGCACAATTTCTTTTCACTGCAACCTCTGCCTCCTGGGTTGAAGCGATTCTTGTGCCTCAGCCTCCCGAGTAGCTGGGACTACAGGCGTGCGCCACCACACCAGGTTAATTTTTTATATTTTTAGTAGAGACGGGGTTTCACCATGTTTGCCAGGCTGGTCTCGAACTCCTGACCTCAGGTGATCCGCCCACCTTGGCCTTCCTGGGATTACAAGTGTGAGCCACTGTGCCTGGCCACTTTGCAGGGTTTTAATGTTTATATAAATGGTATCATATTGTGTGTCGTTCTATAGAATGCATTTTTCTTTTCATTTTGGTTCCTGTGTTTTGCTCAACATCTTGTTTTTGAGATGTATTATCCGTCTTGATACATGTTGTGCTGGTTTATTTGTTTCATCTGTTGTGTAACTGTGCCGCCATTTGTCTCTTCTCCTGTTGAGAAAGGTTGGTTCTTAATCTCTGTGACTGTGAATAACGCTGAAGCCAAGCTCCTGATAGATGGTATCTTGTTCACGTGGGAGAGTTACTCTAGGGCTTTGTTTTTCTAAATCAGATTAAATCTACTTCTGAGTTGCGCTTGCCCAGTGACTAGGATTCAATTTCCGGGATTATGGGGGTTTCTTGCACCCTGCTAGGAGGTAAAAACTCCTCAGAGACTTCCCTGGTCCAGGACATCGGGAAACCCTCTTCTTTCTGCTGCAGTCACCACTGTCCCCGCTGGAGGGTCCAGGAAAGCAAGTGGCCTGCTGCTTCTTGGCTAAGTGAGGACACAGCCCCGTGTGGCCAGGCTGCAAGCCTCAGGTCCTGGGGGCCAGCCTCCCCAGTTGTGCCTTTTGGCACTCTCCTCTGAGCCTCTGCTTCTGCCCAAAGACCCTTTGAAGATTCAGGGAGGGACGCCAGTACTCCCAGAACTTTCTCCTGCCTCGGGGAACTGAGAATGGCTCCTCTGTCCTCCTGCCTTTTGGAGCAGGCATGGGGAAAGGAAACGCTAAAATCAGCTGGCTGGTTTTCACTGACTCTTCTTACTCCAGCGTTCCTGAGGCTGTGGCCCCTGCAAGGAGAAAGGGCCCCGGACGGGAGAATGGATGTACCTTCCTCACCAAGGCACTGCTGGGGCTTAGTGAGCTGTTTCCTCA
Source organism: Homo sapiens (assembly GCF_000001405.40). Lineage (NCBI taxonomy): Eukaryota > Metazoa > Chordata > Mammalia > Primates > Hominidae > Homo > Homo sapiens. Next base: position 81,212,663 of record NC_000016.10, on the reverse strand, counting down.
AAGGCTCAGCTGCAAGTTCCTGAAATGTGGTACCCACAGCTCAGAGAGCACGTTAGAGGGGAGCCCTGTTGTGGGAGTCGGAGGAGGAGCGCAGAGAGGATCCCGCGGGGTCTGTATCTAAGCACCCTGGTCCCTCATTCATTCAGTTAGCCAATAAACACTTGGTTTTTTTTGGTGGTGCTTTTTTTTTTTTTTTTTTTTTTTTTTTTTTTGAGATGGAGTCTTGCTCTGTTGCCCAGGCTGGAGTGCAGTGGCACAGTCGTGGCTCACTGCAACCTCCGCCTCCCGGGCTCAAGCGATTCTCCTGCCTCAGCCACCCAAGTAGCTGGAATTAGAGGCAAGCACCCTCACACCCAGCTAATTTTTGTATTTTTTGTAGAGAAAGGGTTTCACCATGTTGCCCGGGCTGGTCTGTACCTCCTGGCCTCCAGTGATCCACCCACCTTGGCCTCTCAAAGTGCTGGAATTACCGGCATGAGCCACCGCACCTGGCCCAAGCTCTGTTTTTCAAAGAGCTTGCGGCGGAGTGGGGAGACAGTGATATACAGGCAATTAACTAATGCTGTGATAAATGCCGCAACCCAGAAGAGCAAACACTATCTATTTAGTCATGCAAAACTTATTTTGTACCTACTATGTGCCAGGTACTGTTCTATGTCCTGGAGATGTTGCAGTGAACCAAAAATTTTTAAAAACCTCCGACTTGATTTCCAACTCACTCCCAAGTGATGCCACTTAGGATCCCAAATGTCTTTGGGCCACATTCTGAGCCTCAAGGCATCTGGGGACCTGAAGGGATTTTAAATTTTGTCTGCAAGGCGTGTTAAATCCTGGAATTAGATCAGATTTAGTTTTTTTTTTTTTTTAAGTGGATTATATGTGGCTACGAAGAGTCATAGAAAAAACTCTGTCCTCAAGTTCTGGAATTAGACCTCTCTTTGAGTCTGTTTAATCTGAGAACAGAGATGTGGTGGTGGCTCGTGTTCCCTTTTGATCAGAGGGGCCCCCCAGATCACGGGGTGGAGGTGGGGCTCAGGAAAGCTTTACGGGGGCGGCATCAGGAGCCTGGCTGTGAGGGAAGTGCAGGATCCAGCCACGAGAAAGACTGGGGGACAAGGTGGTGAGGACATGAGGTGGCAGGCTCAGGTGTGGACTGCAGTATGAACCGTGATGGTGGAGAGAGAGCCCAGGATGGTCTCGCTGGGTAACAACAGTATTAGAAAAAAACCTCAGCAGGGACGTGGCCTCTGCGTCTTGAGGCAGTTTATCCATTACAAGGGGATGTTGAATATTATGCGTGGTTTAATTTGTGAGCTGGAAGGTGAGCCCTGCTGCCACCCCCAGTTTGTCTAAGCAAACTGCTTAGACCGAGTCCAAGGATGGGGCAGAACCCCCTGGGATGTGGGCAGCAGGGTACATGGCAAAAGGGCGGCAGGTTGGGGTTCAAATCCCAGCTCAGCCCCTGCTGCCTGGGTGATCCAGGCAAGTTGCAGAATCTTTCTAAGTTTCATGGGGCTCCTGTGAGGGTCAGGAGAACCTGGGGGAAGAGTGTAGCACCTTGTATGCACTCTGCAAATGGGGTTGAAATTTCTGCATGCTCTGTTCCAGCTGGCTCTGGGCCAGCAGTATCGGGATCAGCATCCCCTGGGAGCTTGTTAGACGTGCACACTCTCCAGCTGCACCCCATACTTACTGAATCAGAATCCTGGGGGGTAGGGTCTGAGTCTAGTTAAATGCTGACAGCTGCCAGTTAATTGGAGCTTCCACTGGGGGAACTGCTGTGTCAAGGGAGAAGAGATGCTTAAAAAAAGCAAGAGGCTGGGTACGATGGCTCACACCTGTAATCCCAGTGCTTTGGGAGGCTGAGGTGGGTGGATCATCTGACATCAGGAGTTCAAGGCCAGCCTGTCCAACATGGTGAAACCCTGTCTCTACTAAAAATACAAAAATTAGCCGGGTATGGTGGTGTACATCTGGAGCCCCAACTATTCAGGAGGGTGAGGCAGGAGAATTGCTTGAATCTGAGAGGCAGAGGTTGCAGTGAGCCAAGATGGCACCACTGCACTCCAGCCTGGGTGACATGGCGAGACTCCGTATCAAAAAAAAAAAAAAAAAATGGCCAGGGGCAGTGACTCACACCTGTAAACCCAGTACTTTGGGAGGCCGAGGCAGGTGGATCACCTGAGGTTGGGAGTTCAAGACCAGGCTGACCAACATGGAGAAACCCCATCTCTACTAAAAATACAAAATGAGCTGGTTGTGGTGGCACATGCCTGTAATCCCAGCTACTCAGTAGGCTGAGGCAGGAGAATCGCTTGAACCTGGGAGACAGAGATTGCGGTGAGCCGAGATCGCACCACTACACTCCAGCCTGGGCAACAAGAGCAAAACTCCATCTCAAAAAAAAAAAAAAAAAGAAACACAGCCCTGACACCTTGGTGTCGGCCCTGTGATATGAGCAGAGGCCAGCTGAGCCCACCCAGACTTCTGACCACCATACAGAATTGTGAGATTTAAAAAATCTGTGCTGCTTTATTTTTGTTTATTTTAGTTTTGAGACAAAGTCTTGCTCTGTTGCCTTGGCTGGAGTGCAGTGGCGCAATCTCAGCTCACTGCAACGTCCACCTCCCTGGTTCAAGTGATTCTCCTGCCTCACCCTCCTAAGTAGCTGGGACTACGGGCGCGTGCCACCACACCCAGCTAGTTTTTGTATTTTTGGTAGAGATGGAGTTTCATCTTGTTGGCCAGTCTGGCCTCGAACTTCTGACCTCAAGTGATCCACCTGACTCAGCCTCCCAAATTGCTGGGATTACAGGCATGAGCCACCATACCTGGACAAAAATCTGCGTTTTTGTTTGTTTGTTTGTTTTGAGACTGAGTCTTGTTCTGTAATCCAGGATTGGGTGCAATGGCGTGATCTCTGCTCACTGCAATCTTCACCTCTCAGGCTCAAGCTATTCTCCTGCCTCAGCCTCCTGAGTAGCTGGGATTACAGGCATGTGCCATCACGCCCAGCTAATTTTTGTATTTTTAGTAGAGACAGGGTTTTGCCATGTTGGCCAGGCTGGTCTCGAGCTCCTGACCTCAGGTAATCTGCCCACCTCTGCCTCCCAAAGTGCTGGGATTATAGGTGTGAGCCACCACTCCCAGCCAAATCTATGTAGATTTAAGTCATTAAGTTAGTGGTAAGTTGTTACAACAGTGATTGGAAATGAATACACCACCCTCCAGTCTTTCAGTAGTGCCGGCCATTGGCCAAGCCTACCTGGGAGCCAGTGGCCAAGGGAGTTTGGAAAATGTAGTTCGCTGTGATACAAGCATGGCAGGGTGAGGGTGGCTCTGTGGGCCCAGGGCCAACTGCCCAGAAGAAGTGGGACCTAGCAGGTAACTGGGAGAAGCACAGGTGGGTGTTCTGGACCTGTTTCTTTCTCCCAGGCTTCCCTGTGGGCATCTAACAGATCTCGCTGGGCAGGAGGGAGAGGTGCTGGATGACCCTGAAGCTTCTGGAATGGGCTGTCCCTGCTCCTCCCTTCTGTGGGCATGTGGTACCATGATAGACGCAGGATTCCTAATCTTGCCTCCTCTGCCGGTTCTCTGGGTGTAGATTTCTATTTTGGGCCATCTCTCTAGACGCTGCTGGACCAGTGGTTCTTGAAGTGGGGTCCCTGGGCCAGCAATGTCAGGATCAGCATCCCATAGGAACTGGTTAGAAATGCATATTCTCCAGCTGCACTCCATACCTACTGAATCAGAATCGCTGAGGGTGGGGTCTGGAATATGGTATCTTCACAAGACTCACAGGGGGATCTGTTGCAAGCTGAAGTTTGAGACCAGGATGCTAGACCCTGAACTACTTGAGGACAGAAATCCTACTTCTCCCTCACCTGAGTACCTAGCCCAGTACCTGGTCTTCAGGAGATATCAAAAGCTATTTGTTGGGCGGATGGTGGGTAAATGAATGAGTGGGTGAGAGGCCATTCATCTCTGTACAGCTCTGTTGAATGTATCCTCTTTTGTCTTGCACACCATTCCTGCTTCCGCTGGGATGTGCGTGCTTCCCAGGCCAGTGCCAGGAGCTACAGTCATGCCAGGTGGCAGCAGATGAGACCTACTTTGGAAACCTGTGTCCGACTCAGGGCAGTTACCTGTGGGTGCAGTACCAGTGCCGGGAAGGTGAGTCCCCGACTTGCTTGAGCATAGAAATGTCCCTCTGATTTTATGGCATGTCCAGCTTCCCCTGAAAACAGAGACAGCAGCCACCCACGTGGGCTGATCTCTGTGTGCTAAGAGACTCCCTCATTCAAAGTTGCTCCCCTTGGCTGGACGCGGTGGCTCACGCCTGTAATCCCAGCACTTTGGGAGGGAGGAGGATAGTCTGAGCCCAGGAGTTGGAGACAAGCCTGGACAACGTGGAGAAACCCCGTCTCTACAAAAAATCTAAAAATTAGGCTGGGTGTGGTGGCTCATGCCTGTAATCCCAGGACTTTGGGAGGCTGAGGGGAGTAGATCACTTGAAGTCAGTAGTTCGAGACCATTGGCCAACATGGTGAAACTCTGTCTCTACCAAAAAATACAAAAATTAGCCAGCCGTAGTGGCATGCACCTGTAATCCCAGCTACTTGGGAGGCTGAGGTGGGAGAATCACTTGAACCTAGCAGGCAGAGGTTGCAGTGAGCAGAGATCATGCTATTGCCCTCCACCCTGGGCGACAGAGTGAAACCCTGTCTCAAAAAATAAAAATAAATATTAGTGGGTGTGGTAGCACATACCTGTAGTCCCAGCTACTCAGTCTCTACTGAGGTGGGAAGATCACCTGAGCCTGGAAAGATCGAGGCTGCAGTGAGCCATGATCGCATCACTGTACTCCAGCCTGGGTGAAAGAGCAAGACCCTGTGAGAAAAAAAAAAAAAAAAAAAAAAAGACCCACATAAAAATACTGGACAGGTAGCCAGAAGAGAGTCGGTTATAAACAGAAATGTGCAATTTTGCTTCACAAGTGCATGCAGCATTTTATGTTTTAATCCACAGCCCTGCAGCTGATGGTGTCCAGTGAGAGTTTCATCTTTGACAATGTCACCATCTCCCTGACGTGGCTCCTCTCACCCTACATAGGAAACCTGTCCTGTATAATTAGTACAGGAGACAGCCACACTTTTGATCCCTACAACCCGCCGAGGTAAGAGAAATCTCTGAGCCTTGAGCCAGGTTGTATCATCAGTTTTTTTGCCACATAACAAACCAACCCAAAACTTGGTGGCTTAAAACAATAGTTACCATTTCTTACGGTTCTTTGGAGAGCTGGGCGGCTTTTCTTGTCTGAGTGGAGTTGGCTGGGGTAGGCTGTCCGGGAAGACCTCACTCACTCACATGCCTAGTGGTCAGCTGGATGTCAGCTAGAAGCATATGCTGCTCATCACTCAACAGGTTAGCCTAGGCTCATTCACACAGTGTTCCTAGCAGCGGAGCCCAATGCGCAAACATTTTTTCAAATCTCTGCTTGTGTTACATTTTCTAAGATACCGTTGGCCAAAGCAAGTTCCATGGCCAAGACCAGATTCAAGAGGTGGAGGAATAGACCCCACCTACTGATAGAAGGAGTGTGGAGCCACACTGCGAGGTGCTTCTATATGGGATGGGAGGAACTGTTGCTGCTACTTTTGCAAACACTCTACCTCATAGGTTTTCTTTTCTTTTCTTTTCTTTCTTTCTTTTTTTTTTTTTTTTTTTTTGAGGCAGGGTCTTTCTCCATCGCCCAGGCTGGAGTGCAATGGCTCGATCTCGGCTCACTGCAACCTCCACCTCCTGGGTTCAAGCGATTCTCCTGCCTCAGCCTCCCAAGTAGCTAGAACTACAAGCATGTGCCGCCATGCCTGGCTAATATTTGTATTTTTAGTAGGGACAGGGTTTCACCACGTTGGCTAGGTTGGTGTCGAACCTCTAACCACAAGTGATCTACCCCCTCGGCCTCCCACAGTGCTGGTAGTACAGGTGTGAGCCACAGCACATGGCCCCCTGTCACATTTGTGTTCGTGGCTGCCTTGAATGTTTCATGGTGTCAAATGAGAAACTATTTACAGTGATGTTTTGGGGGCAAATATCTGGGTGATACAAATACCTATGCCACTGTTCTGTGGGTTTCTTCCTGACTGCTATGAGTTTGTAAAGAAAACGACAGATTGTAAGTTACACAATCTTTCAGCCCCCAAATCTTGTAGAACTTGAATTTGGCATAAGTCAAAATTGCCTAAATGTAGCCCCGCTATGACCCACAGCTACACAGGACTTTTCAGTGATAAACAGTGGTTTAGAACAGAAGCAAATGGGACCAAATGTTAATGTTTGTTAAGTCTGGATGGCGAATCCAAGGGTGTTTGTTGTATTATTCTCTGGAAGTTTTTGTGCGATTAAAATCTAAGACACAGCACTGTTTGACATTTGCAGTCTCTCTGGGCATTAGCTCTAAACAACAATCACTGACATTTTTTTCTCTTTCAAAGGAAATAGATGGTGGCACCTCCTCCACCATTGCCCCACCCAAATAGTCCATCTTCCTTTACATTAAAGATTTGTTGGACCTTGAAACTACCCACCCACCTTTTTTTTGGGGGGGGGGGGGGCGGGTGGAGGATTGGCAGAGTCTTGCTCTGTCACCCAGGCTGGAGTGCAGTGGCATGATCTCGGCTCACCGCAACCTCCATATCCCAGGTTCAAGCGATTCTCCTGCCTCTGTCTCCCGAGTAGCTGGGACTACAGGCATGCTCCACCACGCCCAGCTAATTTTTGTATTTTTAGTAGATAGAGGTGGGGTTTTGCCATGTTGTCCAGGCTGGTCTTGAACTCCTGACCTCAGATGATCTGCCCATCTCGGCTTTTCAAAGTGCTGGGATTACAGGCGTGAGCGATTGTGCCTGGTCACCACCCACCTTTTAAAAATCATTTTTATAAACACTGGGAAATGCCTTTCTGATGCCTTCTTATCAATACTAGCAGCCACAGAACTCAGGTTATGATAGGGAAAATAGCATGAATTTTGATTTTTGAATGTACGGAAGCCACATTTTTTTGTGTAAATATCACTGTGCTTTTCTCTTATGTGTTGGTGCAGCCTCCTTTTTCTTAACTCATCATTAGTCTAAGAGGTGAGATGTTTAAATCAAACCCTTCGTATCCATTGTTGATAAATAATAAGAGCTCCTGGGAAGAATTGCATTGCTTAGGAGTCAGAAGACTTCTCTGTTAGAAGCTCCTTTTTACCTTGCCTTATATTCATTTGCATGGAGGGCCTTTTTTTTTTCTGTGTTTGTCATGGAAAATTTTCCACATTTCTGAAACTGTATTACGGGCCTTACAGAACAATTTGCTTTTGGTGAAATCTGTGTGAATCCAGCGTTGGTTAGCTGAGCGCCACCTTCTGGCAAATCTAGGGATTGACATTGTTCTTCCGTTAATCGGCTGCTTCTGCGCACAGCTGATATTGGGCGTGCAGAGATTTGTCTGAAACTAATAATCCACAAAACAGCAGGAGCCTTAGAGTGACCTAGAGCTAAAGTCCTCTCTCGGGGAACCAGAATTATAAGGCAAGAGCAATGGATCTAGAGAAAAGAGAGTAGCATGGACCTGAAAGCATGTGGCGTATTCAAATAACTGCAAGGACCTCGCCATGCCTGGAGTTCAGGACTCTGTGGAAGAATGAAAGATGCTGAAAAACTCAGCAGGAGCCTGGTCCTGAAGAGCTGTTGATGCTAGCCAGTCTAACGTAGGTGGGGTCTGTCAACTAAAGAAAAATCAAGCTTTTTAAATAATTAAAGTTAGTTTTGTTCAGGACGACAGACTGAGAACTACAGCCTGGGAGGTCTTTCAAAGAGGTTCTGCCAGACTGCTCCAAAACAGTGTTTCAGCTCACAGCTTCTATATGGGTTGTGGAGGTTCAGTCCACGTAAAATCACATCAAAGTTTGGGTGCAAGAGTGCATCTGCCTCTAGATGACTAAAGTATATCTTGTTGGCCGGCTTCGGTGGCTCATGCCTGTAATCCCAGCACTTTGGGAGGCCAAGGTGGGCAGATCGCTTGGGGTCAGGAGCTCAAGACCAGCCCGGTCAACATGGTGAAACTCCATCTCTACTAAAAAAAAAAAAAAAAAAAAAAAAATTAGCTGGACGTGGTGGTGCATGCCTGTATTCCCAGCTACACAGGAGGCTGATGGAGGAGAATCGCTTGAACCTGGCAGGCGAAGGTTTCAGTGAGCGGAGATCCTGCTACTGCTCTCCAGCCTGAGCAACAGAGAAAGACTCTGTCTCAAAAAAAAAAAAAAAAAATCTTGTTGTAGATTGCAGAAGCATAATCACCAGCCATCTCAGATGTTATCTTTTTTTTTTTTTCTTTAAGACGGAGTCTTGCTCTGTCACCCAGGCTGGAGTGCAGTGGCGCGATCTCGGCCCACTGCAAGCTCCTCCTCCCGGGTTCACGCCATTCTCCTGCCTCAGCCTCCCAAGTAGTTGGGACTACAGGCGCCCGCCACCACGCCTGGCTAAATTTTTTTTTTTTGTATTTTTGTAGAGACGGGGTTTCACCGTGTTAGCCAGGATGGTCTCAATCTCCTGACCTCGTGATCCGCCCACCTCGGCCTCCCAAAGTGCTGGGATTACAGGCGTGAGCCACTGCACCCAGCGAGACATTATCTTATATGTAAGAAAAGGACCAGTCATTTATCTTTTTAGGGATATAGTGACTCAGGCTAGAGACGTGGAAGCCGAGCACTCTATTCTGTTTTGTCTTCAAAGTGTTCTGGAGGGCTGCCTGTCACTGCAGTCAGGGGCTTCCTGTGATTATGCTGGCTAACAGAAATGAGCACACCTATCTCCTTGAGTTTGCTACTTTGTCTCACAGGAACCAGGAAACAGACTCTGTTGTGGAGCATGGGAAGGGAGTAGTAAGATGGGGCAAGAGGAGAGTTGAACTGGGATGCAGGGGCCACAGAGACCCTGACGATCCTGCAGAAACCTCTGAGCAGAGATGGCCCTCAGAGTTGCTTCCAGTTGAGGCCAGAGAGCCAGACCATTATACCCCGGCACTGAGCACTCGTGGGGTGCAGATGTCCATGGGAGGGGAGGTAGGTTTGAGCGAGGCAGCTCCCTTTGGCTAAAAGGGACTCCTGGACATGGATTCAGCTGTAAGCCCTCAGCCACAGCTCACAGGTGTACTGGGGGAATGCATGCTCAGGCTTGAAGGGTGGAATCTGGGGGATTCCCTGTAGCACCCACTACAGAGGATAATAGGAGGGTTTTCAGGCCAGGAACGACATAGTCTAAGTTGTTACTATTATTGCTAGTGTTACTAGTACTCGCTGGATTTTTTTTTTTTTTTTTTTTTTTTTTTTTTTTTTTGAGACAGGCTCTTACTCTGTCGCCCAGCCTGTAATGCAGTGGTGCGATCTCAGCTCACTGCAACCTCCGCCTTCTGGGTTCAAGCGATCCTCCTGCCTCAGCCTCCCTAGTACCTGGGATTACAGGTGTGCACCACCACGCCCAGCTAACTTTTGTGTTTTTAGTAGAGATGGGGTTTCGCCACGTTGGCCAGGCTGGTCTCTGTCTCCTGACCTCAAGCGATCTGCCCGCCTCGGCCTCCCGAAGTGCTGGGATTACAGGCATAAGCCACCAAGGCTGGCCAGCCATACACTTTTAAACAACCAGATCTTGTGAAAACCCACTCACTACCAAGAGAACAGCATCAGGGCGATGGTGCCAAGCCACTCGCGAGAAAACGCCCCTATGAGCCAATCACCTTCCACCAGGCCCCACCTCCAACATTGGGGATTATAATTCAACATGAGATTTGGGCAGGAGCGCAGATCCAAACCCTGTCAGTGCATGTGTAAATGCGTGTCTTTGTGTTTCCCCAACACTGGTCATGTCCCTGACTGTGGCCGGCAATGTGTCCAGCAATGTGACCCACCAGTTCACATCTCCTGGGGAATTCACCGTGTTTGCTGAATGCACAACCAGTGAGTGGCATGTGACAGCTCAGAGGCAGGTGACCGTGCGAGACAAGATGGAGACGCTCAGTGTGACTGCATGCTCCGGCCTGTCCCAGTCAGGAGCCGGCCCTCTCTGCCAGGCTGTCTTTGGGGATCCTCTGTGGATTCAGGTGGAGCTTGATGGAGGTGAGTCTGCAGAATTGGGCACATCAAGGCAAGCTATAAAATCACTGATTTCCTCCAAATCTATCCAACTCCCAGACCTTAATAAATAGTGGGCTGGGTGCAGTGGCTTGAGCCTGCAATTCCAACACTTTGGGAGGCTGAGGCGGGCGCATCGCTTGAGCCCAGAAGTTCGGGACAAGCCTGGGCAACAGGGTGAGACCCCATTTGTACAAAAAGTACAAAAATTAGTCAGGTATGGTTGCACATGCCTGTAGTTGCAGCTACTTGGGTGGCTGAGGTGGGAGTATGGCTTGAACCCGGGAGGTCGAGGCTGTAGTGAGCTGAGATCATGCTACTGCATGCCAGCCAGGACAACAGAGTGAGACCCTGTTTCAAAAAAAAGTAAATAAATAGTAACAAGGATCACCTACTGAGTTCTTTTTTTTTGAGATGGAGTTTTGCTCTGGTTGCCCAGGTGGAGTGCAACGGCACAATCTCAGCTCACTGCAACCTATACCGCCTGGGTTCAAGTGATTCCCCTGCCTCAGCCTCCCAAGTAGCTGGGATTACAAGCATGCACCACCACACCTGGCTAATTTTTTGTATTTAGTAGAGACAGGGTTTCACCATGTTGGTCAGGCTGGTCTCAAACTCCTGACCTCAGATGATCCACCTAGCTTGGCCTCCCAAGGTGCTGGGATTATAGGTGTGAGCCACCACACCTGACCGAGTTCATTTTTAAACTATCATTTATTCATTTATTTAGCACCTAGTGTGTGCCAGGCACTGTTCTAAGTGCTTTGCATAAACTTGTCTACTCATTACATAGTAGTATTATCTTCATGTTACAGATGAAGAAATGAAGACACAGAAAGGTTAAAACATTTGCCCAGAGTCAGAAGGCTAGTAAGGTAGTGAGTGCTCCTAGCCTTCCAAAGGCCCTTCTTTGCATCCCTGTAGAACCGAACTTCCGAGTCACTTCCTTTTGGGAATTTAACTAGGATGAGGTGGCACTGGGACTGCTACCAACTGGGCCTGAGCCCATCTCAGTACAGCCAGCATCGACTAGCTTGGCACAATCAAGTTGCCCCTGGCCAAGGCCAGTATTCAGCTGCACCCACTGGTATAGCCATGCCAACTGTTATGGCTGAGGTCCATTCTCATTGGTCACAGGGTGTTTTCTGATTGGTCACAGAGACTGCTCTGATTGATTGTCATGTCCATTCTGATCGGTCACAGTGTCTTTTCTTTTTTTTTGAGACAGAGTCTTGCTCTGTCATCCAGGCTGGAGTGCAGTGGTGCGATCTCAGCTCACTGCAACTTCCACCACCCGGGTTCCAGTGATTCTCGTGCTTCAGCCTCCTGGGTAGCTGGGACTACAGGTGCGTGCCACCATGCCAGGTTAATTTTTTATTTTTTTCTATTTTAGTAGGGATGGGATTTCGCCATGTTGGCCAGGCTGGTCTTGAACTCCTGACATCAGGTAACCTGCCCACCTCGGCCTCCCAAAATGTTGGGATTACAGGCATGAGCCACTGTGCCTGCCCACAGTGTGTTTTCCTTTTTTTTTTTTTTTTTTTTTGAGATGGAGTCTCGCTGTGTCCCAGGATGGAGTGCAATGGCATGATCTTAGCTCAGTGCAACCTCCGCCTCCTGGATTCAAGCGATTCTCCTGCCTCAGCCTCCCAAGTAGCTGGGATTACAGGCGCCCACCACCACACCCAGCTAATTTTTGTATTTTTAGTAGAGACAGGGTTTCACCATATTGGCCAGGCTGGTCTTGAACTCCTGACCTCATGATCCACCCGCCTCGGACTCCCAAAGTGCTGGGATTACAGGCATGAGCCACCGCGCCCAGCCTGTGTTTTCTAATCGGTCACAGAGACTGCTCTGATTGGTTGTCATGTCTATTTTGATGGGTCAGGGTGTCCATTCTGATTGGTCACAGCATCTATTCTGATTGGTCATGGCATCTATTTGTTGGTCGCAGTGTCTATTCTGATTTATCAGAGCATCCATTCTAATTGGTTGGCGCCCATGCTGTGCTGGTTGTTAAATATTTTAAATTATCATCCTTTCTCTCAATAGAGACTCTCCTGGCTAAGACTCATCCTCACCCAGGGCAGCGTTTTTCCTGAAGCCCAGGACCAGTTTGAGATTAGAATAGAGGCCTGTTGATGTAAACAGGGCAGCAGAGAGCTAGTGCAATGAGCAGGTGGCTCGGTTTGACCTCACATCCCACCTGGAGCCCTCTCATAGCAATAGCTGTGGAAGTCATAATGGGGCTTTAACACAGCCCTCAGGAAACCCCTTCTGTTCTTGCATGTTTGTTGGATGAAGAGGGCTCATATGTTCCCCTGAGGAAACAAAATAATCCTTCATTTATTTACTCATCCTACTAATATAATTGAGTGCCTACTACTCTGCCGGGTGTGGGCGAGGCAGCAGTAAATATGAAAGTCAGGGTTCCCATTCTCATGGGGCTTATATCGTAGTTATCATCATCATCACCCAGATGAGAACTACGCTAGCTTGGTTTTTATTGGAAGGAATCCTAATTTGTTGATTTAAGTCAGATTTTAAGAGTCAACCGCAATATTTATCATCCAGTAAGAACAACCATCTGCAACCTGCAAGGGAGCCCCCATCTTCCCGTGAACGGGCTGAGTTCTCATGTTGGTTTGCAGGGTTCTGGGCGGTCACCAGTGTAGGATGAAGGAATGGCTTTACTTGCTCCTGCTTAAAACAAGACCCAAAGCTAATTCTCATGCATAAAAATCAGCCCCCACCCTTAAGAAATGCTCCCTTTTAGTCCTCCTCCTCCTCCCCCGACCAGGACATCCCTGGCAACTAAATGTGGTAATTTTTTAATTACAAATATTTAGGTTCTCGGGTAAGACATGTATAGTATAAATAAGTTAGAATATGCAAATGAACAGAGCGGACCCCCAGATGACAAAATCACGGCCGGGAGCGGTGGCTTACGCCTGTCACCCCAGCACTTTGGGAGGCTGAGGCGGGCAAATCCAAGGTCAGGAGTTCAAGACCATCCTGGCTAACACGGTGAAACCCTGTCTCTACTAAAAATACAAAAAATTAGCTGGGTGTGGTAGCAGGCGCCTGTAATCCCAGCTACTCCAGAGGCCGAGGCAGGAGAATCACTTGAACCGGGGAGGCAGAGGTTGCAGTGAGCTGAGATCGCACCACTGCACTCCAGCCTGGGCGACAGCGCCAGACCCTGTCTCAAAAGAAAGACGAAATCAGTCATTAACCTAATACTCAGGGATAACCACCATTAATATTTGAGAAGGGGGCATATCCTTACATATTTCTTTATGTCTGCATCTGTATCCAAGTTTGTATCCAGAATCAGGCTTCAGAGACTGACTCTGAGCTGCCATAGTATTATCAACCGCATGGTTGTTACCAACATTCTTTAATTTTTCTTACCCCACTTAGGAACAGGAGTGACTTACACTGTGCTTTTGGGTGACATAACCCTGGCCGAGTCCACCACCCAAAAGGGCTCGCTACCGTACAATCTGATCCTGGACAGAGAAACCCAGAAACTGATGGGCCCTGGGAGGCACCGCCTGGAGATCCAAGCCACCGGCAACACCACCACCTCTACAATCTCCAGAAACATTACAGTCCACTTGGTGGAGCTGCTGTCAGGGCTGCAGGCCTCCTGGGCTTCTGACCATTTGGAGCTTGGACAGGACCTATTGATCACCATCTCATTGGCTCAGGGCACCCCGGAAGAGCTGACCTTTGAGGTGGCTGGACTCAATGCAACCTTCTCCCACGAGCAAGTGAGCTTTGGAGAGCCATTTGGGATTTGCCGCCTGGCTGTTCCGGTTGAAGGTACATGGGGTTAGTGGCTCCCCTTCTGATGCCCCTCCTCTTCCCTTTGTGACTTGGTGCCCAGGGTCCTGCCGGCCAGTTTTCCAGTGTGTCCGGGACATAGATTTGGTTCACAGCATCCTGCCTGGGTCATAAGATAAGGAACAGCCAGATGTAATCTGCCATCGTTGAGTTATCAGCTCTCCACTTCGGCACTTCTGACATTCGGAGCTGGATCATTCCTCGTTACAGTTGGGGGCTGGTACTGAAGGAGTTTTAGCAGCATCTCTGGCTTTTATTCACCAGATGCTAGTAACACCAGCACCCCAAGTCATGATGACAAAAATGTCAGACATTGCCAAATGTCCCCTGGGGGGCAAAATCACCCCCATTTAGGGCCCCTGTAAGAGACCAGGCATATTCAGATTTCTTCAAACATCTCTAGAGAAGAGTGTGGTTTGGGGAACTGCAGGTGATGCCCTAGCGGGAAAGAGGTAAAAACCAAGAATGGCAGAGATGGGGATGGAGAGAGGAAGTGTTGCCGACCATGGGGTCTTAGGCTCTGATGTACTCAAACTTTCCTGGACGAGGCTTTTGTTAGAGGCTTATGTTCAAACATAAAGAAGGCAGCACTGGAGTGGAGGTTCAGGGGCTGACTCCCCAAAAAGTCCAGAAGGCGTTCTTTTTTTTTTTTTTTTTTTTTTAGAGATGGAGTCTTGCTCTGTCTTCCAGGCTGGAGTGCAGTCAGTGGCGTGATCTTGACTCACTGCAACCTTTGCCTCCTGGGTTCAAGCAATTCTCGTGCCTCAGCCTCCCAAGCAGCTGGGATTACAGACATGCGCCACCACGCACGGAGAATTTTTTTGGTATTTTTAGTAGAGAGGGGTTTCACCATGTTGGCCAGGCTGCTCTTGAACTCCCAACCTCAGGTGATCCACCCACCTTGGCCTCCCGAAGTGCTGGCATTACAGGCGTGAGCCCTCGTGCCCGGCCTGTCTTTTTTTTTTTTTTTTTGAGATGGAGTCCCACTCTGTCACCCAGGCTGGAGTGCAGTGGCGTGATCTCAGCTCACTGCAACCTTCACCTCCCTGGTTCAAGAGATTCTCCTGCCTCAGCCTCCTGAGTCACTGAGACTACAGGCATGTACCACCATGCCTGACTATTTTATTTTTAGTGGAAACGGGGTTTAACCATGTTGGCCAGGCTGGTCTTGAACTCCTGACCTCATATGATCTGCCCACCTCGACCTCCCAAAGTGCTGGGTTTATAAGCATGAGCCACCACTCCCGGCATTCTGAAAGGAGGTAGGATGGGAAAAGGGCGATGTTTAAGCATGTGGAGGTGGGGAATGTTCAGCGCCTGTGCAGTCTGGTCACATGCTTCTTGATGTGTGGTATGTCTCATTAGCATGTTAAAGCTCCACCCTCGGGCATGATTTTTAGTATTATAATGAGGCAAAGGGTAAAGATGGTCATTTTTCTGGTCTTCTGTGTGTGCGGGCTATAGGGTTAACTCCCTTGAGTAAGATTTAAGGTGGGAGCTGTTTGTTTTCGTTTCCTCAAGGTCTGCACTCAGTGGGCATGGCACCTTGAGCAAGATTTGTGGTGCAACGTCTGGATGATCTGACTGGGGTCTGTGCCTGCCATGGGCCACCCTCCCCAACCAGCTTGTAGTAGAGTCCTCGATGAGGCAGGGCAGGGGTCCAAGTCCCATCTCTGGTCTATCTCAGAAGTATTTGCAATGATGCTGACGGGAGGACAGACTGGCAGGCACCAGCCAGGGGAGGTGGCCACAGCGCCCATTTGCATTTAATCTGTAAGGAACAGAGAGTTCTTGAGGGCCCGGATGAGATCAGCAGGCAGAAATGTGATGAGAATGGCAGAGTCTCCAGCCCATCCAGGACCTGCCCGTAGCTCCCCCTGGATCTCAGAAGTGTGTTAGAAAACGGGTGATACTGTGCAGGTGTGGGGTTACCATGCCCTCTGCAAGCAACTCCACAAACCAGATAGCAGAAGGGACAATAGGTTTGAGAAGAAAACCATCCGGGCTTTGCCAGATACCAAGGGTCCAGCTTGGAAGAGGGAAAGTCTAGAGGCTGCTGCAGCTGGAAAATCACACCACGCGTGGGTTATAAGCCAGATGCAGGTTTTGCTTTGTCACCTATAAAAATTACTCCTGCCATGAAAGTCGCTGCTATAAAGGTCACTCCACAGGGGAAGATGATCCCTCTCTGATAAAATATCCATGTGCTTTGTGACTTTTGCTCACTATTAGATGATTAACAGACTGTTCCTGCCCCTAAGGCCAACAGATTTGGATGACTCCAGGGGTGGCGGGAGTGGAAGGATGGAAAGGGAACGGGACAGGGCAGGGACATTTGCACTTGGTGGTGCTGGCCGAGTCCTAGCTGGCCTGGCTCTTGAGGGCTAGCAGATGTTTCAAGCTGCCTCTTTCTTGTAGGAGCTTCTCTGGGTTCTTGGGGCCCCCAGCTGGGCCTTATAGGCCTTTGTTCCTGGGGTGGTGGGGGATGCCTCCCCTTTAGCTGGTCACACGCCCTGGCTGCTTCTCCCTGGCCACCTCCCCTCTCTGTTGGACTCTCCTCATTCTCCCTCCCCTCGTCAGCATCCGTCTCCCCAAGGCACACATCTGGTCCACAGAACATTCTGACCCATGTCTTGGCCGACTCCCAGCCAAATGCAATTATTTCCCAGACGCAGAAATGGAGCCCCTTCCTCCCGTCCCCTTCCCACCCGCACGTCTTCCCGTCACAGACTGTTCCTTCAAGGGCATGAGTATGAAGCCTGTCCATGCGGACCCCAAACAGACACATACCGGGCTTTCCAAGGAAGGCTCCTCTCTCAAGCATTTCTCTCTGGGCTTGAGAACACAGAAGGTAGCCCCTACCCATAGCCCCTTCCCCATGAGGGAGAAGGGATGGGACACACATGTATCTAAATAAATCTTACAAATCCTTCTCCAAGCCTGGCCAACACGGTGAAACCCTGTCTCTACTAAAAATACAAAAATTAGCCTGGCGTGGTGACATGAGCCTGTAATCTCAGGTACTCGGGAGGCTGAAGCAGGAGAATTGCTTGAGCCTGGGAGGTGGAGGTTGTGGTGAGCTGAGATCGTGCCACTGCACTCTAGTTTGGATGACAGAGTAAGATCCTGTCTCAAAAATAAAATAAAGTAAAGTAAAATAAAATAAAATATCCTTTTCCACTGTCTCCACGCTTCTGACAATCCTGCTATGTGTCTCCCTCTTGGGAATCTGCAGTCTTATCTATCGAGAACCTACTTCTCCTTTGGAATTTAGCTCCAGCCCTGGCTCTATCCTGTGAACCATTTCTTTCTCTCCTGAGGTTGAAGCGGGCCCACCCAATGCCCACTGTGCCCCATGCCGATTCCTCCCGTGGTTTGGCGTTCACTGTCCTATGTGTCTACTACATGATAAGGCCCTTGAGGACAAGAACCAAGCTCCTTCATCTCTGTGTCCCCAGAGCCTTGCACCATGCCTGACATACAGCAGGGATTCATTAAATGCTCAGAGGTGAAAGATTTCGTTGGAGGCATCGGTGGACTAGAGAAGCAAGCTGGGAGAGTTTTCTTGGTCAAGTTCATGACAATGGCTGTGACTCTGGGTCCTTTGTATTGCAGGCACCTTTCTGGTCACCATGCTGGTGAGGAATGCCTTCTCCAACCTGAGTTTGGAAATCGGGAACATCACTATCACAGGCAAGGTGTTTCTGCAAGGGAGCATAAAACCTTTTACCAAGAGTCCAGAGCATTGCACCTGCTTGGGCTCCAGTGAGGGGCCTTTCCAAACACGGCTCTGAATATGTATCTTGTTCTACAGATGGTTAGAATTCTCCAGTTATTCTAAGGAGGCAATGATGTTTACAGTAAAACATTTCACCACTGACACAGAATTCTTTTTTTTTTTTTTTTTTTTTTTTTTGAGATGGAGTCTCACTCTGTCACCCAGGCTGGAGTGCAGTGGCATGATCTCGGCTCACTGCAAGCTCTGCCTCCTGGGTTTACACCATTCTCCTGCCTCAGCCTCCTGAGTTGCTGGGACTACAGGTGCCCACTACTACGCCTAGCTAATTTTTTTGTATTTTTAGTAGAGACCGGGTTTCACCATGTTAGCCAGGATGGTCTCGATCTCCTGACCTCATGATCCGCCCGTCTCAGCCTCCCAAAGTGCTGGGATTACAGGCGTGAACCACCGCACCCGGCCAACCACTGACACAGAATTCTAAAACAAGAGTTTGCGTTCATTATGATGCTTTAAGCTGCAAGTAACAGAAGGTCCAACCTAAGTAGCTTCAGATTCAGGGCTTTCTTGACTCACATAAGAAGTTAGGAGGTAAGCACTTCCAGGGTTGGTTCGGTGGCTCAGTGATGCCAGCGAGAAACCAGGCTCAGTCTATCTTTCTCGTCTGCCATCCTTAGAGCTTTGGTGCTGCCTTAGGCTTGTTGCTCAAGGAATCAAAGTGACTGCTGCAGTTCCGGATATTACATGTCAACGCAGCGTACCAGCAGCGGGAGCAGGGGTTTCCTCCTGTGCACCTCTTTTTATTAGGGGAAAAATCTTTCCCACTCACTCTAAGCAATCATCACCTCAGATACCATGACCAAAGTAGGGTCAGGTCCGCTGCTATAAAGTGCACTGGAAAAGCAGATACCCAGCATTTTCAGTTTCTGTGGGAGAAGGTGGATTCTGGCTGCCAGGAGGAAGGCTGGGGTAATGGCTGTTGGGGAACTAGCTGAGAGTAGCCATCACAGAGGTAGGGTTCACTTGAATGTGTTTGCTAGGACAATTCAAGTAGCAAGGGACAGAAACGAAGGTGAAACTGGCTTGGGTCAAAAGGAAATTTTATCAGCTCAGAAAATGAAAAGCCAGCTGGGCACCGTGGCTCATGCCTACAATCCCAGCATTTTGGGAGGCCGAGGTGGTGGATCACTTGAGGTCAGGAGTTTGAGACCAGCCTGGCCAACATGGCGAAAGCCTGTCTCTACTAAAAATACAATAATTAGCTGGGCGTGGTGGCACACACCTGTAGTCCCAGCTACTGGGGAGGCTGAGGCCAGGAGAATTGCTTGAATCTGGGAGGCAGAGGTTGCATTTAGCCAAGATCATGCCACTGCACTCCAGCCTGGGTGACAAAGTGAGATGGTGTCCCCACCCCCCGACCAAAAAAAAAAAAGAAAAAAGAAAATGAAAATGAAAAGCCCAGGGAGTAGACCTGTTCTTAAACACAGCTGGATGAGTCGCTCAGACAGTGTCTTCAGAAACCTGCCTCTTTCCTCCTCTGGTTCTGTGTTGACTTCTTTTGGATTCTCTCTTCCCAGCAGTAGCAAGATGACCCCAGGCTTTGATCTTTAACCCCAGAGGAGAAAGAGTACGTCTTGATGGATATTTCTAGTAGAAGTCCTGAGGCTGCCTCTTGCTGGCTGAAGCTCAGTTCATGGTTTCTCCTGGACCAGCTGCTGAGACCAGGGGAAGCAGCAGTCAGTTTGGCAGGTCAGGGTCTCACGCCCACGCTGGAGTACAATGTAGGGTCAGCTTCACCCAAACCAAGGCCTGAGAGTTGGGGAGGGATGGTTCTTAGGGAAAATATCACCCGTAGATGCTGCTACCAAGGGAGGGGATCATAGATGCCTGGAAATTCGACAGCCAGATGTGGGATTTGAGACCCAGAAAGTTTAATTGACTTTGCAGAAGTCACATGGCTGATTCATGCAGGATCAAAGGCAGCAAATGTTTCTCCTAATTTTTTCATTCAGGGTGATTGGACTGCCTTCCTTCTTAAGGTTAAGAAAGTCCCCTTTCTCTGGCATCTTAGCCTTGATTTGTACAGTTTTACATGCCTTTGGAATTATAGTTGTGTGAATGAGAATTCACTGGGAGAGAATTTTTTAAAGATCAGTGGTACTCAGACCTTAATATATCCAGGGCCTTAGTGAATCACATGAAATAACTCTAAGTTCCTACTTTAAGCACTACACTTTAATTAGATATTAATCATTAATATTTCAATATTTTCAGTAGGCCAGGCACAGTGGCTCACGCCTGTGATCCCAGCACTTTGGGAGGTCGAAGCGGGTGGATCACTGGAGGTCAGAGGTTCGAGACCAGCCTGGCCAACATGGTGAAACCCTGTCTCTACTAAAAATACAAAAATTAGCTGGGTGTGGTGGTGCACACCTATAACCCCAGCCACTTAGCAGGCTGAGGCAGGAGAATTGCTTGAACCCGGGAGGGGCAGATTGCAGTGAACCGAGATCACGCCACTGCACTACAGGCTGGGCAACAGAGCTAGACTCCATCTCAAAAATATATATATTTTCAGAGACATCAATTGATTGTATCTTTTTCCATTGTTTAAACTTGAAAAACTAGCGTTCTTTGTTTCTTTCTTTCTTTCTTTTTTTTTTTTTTTTTTTGAGACAGGATCTTGCTCTGATGCCCAGGCTGGAGTGCAGTGGAGCCATCTTGGCTCACTGCAAGCTCCGCCTCCCAGGTTCAAGCGATCCTCCTGCCTCAGCCTCCCGAGTAGCTGGGACTACAGGCGCCCGCCACCAAGCCCAGCTAATTTTTTTGTATTTTTAGTAGAGATGGGGTTTCACTGTGTTAGCCAGGATGACATTCTTTCTAGATGTATAGTTTACAAAGCAATTCTATAAACAGCACCACATTCAGTCTTCCTGGAGCCCTGAGAAATGGGGATGGACTCCAGGTATTTTTACAAATGAGGAAACCAAGACTCAGAGAGGATAACTCACCTGCCCGGTTCACATAGCCAATGGGAGGCCAGTAAGAGGATCTGACAACAGGGTAGTGTGTGGTGCCGACTCCACCCACTTGCCAGAGGTGAGCGTGCCCATCTCTCCTCACTCTATATTCAGTAGCATCAGGCTTATAGATTGGTGGGAACATTTATACCATGGAAATTGACAAACCCTACAAATCAGGGCTTCTCACTCCCACCTCCTTTACTGGTAGTTAAACATTAGCAGTGCAGGCTGGGTGCAGTGGCTCATGCCTCTAATCCCTACACTTTGGGAGGTTGAGATGGGCGGATCACCTGAGGTCAAGAGTTTAAGACCAGCCTGGCCAACATGGTGAAACGCCGTCTCTACTAAAAATACAAAAAATTATCTGGGTTGGCCGGGCGCGGTGGCTCACGCCTGTAATCCCAGCACTTTGGGAGGCCGAGGCGGGTGGATCATGAGGTCAGGAGATCGAGACCATCCTGGCTAACAAGGTGAAACCCCGTCTCTACTAAAAATACAAAAAAAAAATTAGCCGGGCGCGGTGGCGGGCGCCTGTAGTCCCAGCTACTCGGGAGGCTGAGGCAGGAGAATGGCGTGAACCCGGGAGGCGGAGCTTGCAGTGAGCCGAGATTGCGCCACTGCAGTCCGCAGTCCCGCCTGGGCGACAGAGCGAGACTCCGTCTCAAAAAAAAAAAAAAAAAAAAATTATCTGGGTGTGGTGGTGGGTGCCTGTAATCCCGGCTACTCAGGAGGCTGAGGCAGGAGAAGCACTTGAACCAGGAGACAGAGGTTGCATTGAGCCAAGATTGCCCCACTGCACTCCAGCCTGAGAGACAGAGCAAGACTGTGTCTCAAAAAACAAAAACAACAAACAAAACAAAACAAAAACACACATTAGCAGTGCATAGCTGCATCTGTCTGACTCTAAATCTTGTGTTTTATCTGCACTGGCAGCTGCCTCTTTCTCAACTACCAAAGGGGTGTCTTTAGTCCAGTGGTGGACAAGATGACTCACTTTTAATCCATTTCCCTAGGACCTGAATGTTTGCTATGTTCCCTTAAACCATTTTCAAAGACAGGCTGACGCCCCTGGTGGCATTTTCCACATGACTCTCTGACTCTATATTTTGACAGCCTTTTATAAGGTTTCCAACCAAAGCTTGATACCCGTTCCCACTGTGTTCACAGCCCCTTCCGGTCTCCAAGAACCATCTGGGATGAATGCTGAAGGAAAGAGTGTGAGTATTGTCTTTAAAAAACGTTTAACCTCACAAGGAAAAGATGTCCAAGCACTCTGTTTTAGTTTTGAGTTTTGGTTTTTTGGTACCAATACCCAGAGCACTAGGAATCCCTGAGGCTTCTTCCATTTGAGAAGAGGCCCAAAATGACTGAATTCAAACAAAGCAAGTTGTCTAATCACAACAGAGTTATGTTGTAAATCTATAATGAGCTATCTAGGATATGTAGATATCTGTTAGATATCTTGGCAATTAAACAGCACACTTGTAAAAAAATCAATAGGTCAAGAAGAAATCACAAGGGAAATTAGAAAAAATTTCTAACTACATGATAATGACAATACAACCTATGCACATTTGTGGAATGCAGCTAAAGCAGTGCTCAGAGAGAAATTTATCGCTTTTAATGCTTATATTAGAAAGCAGGAAGAAAAGAAAACAGACCAAGCTCTTCAGTTTTTATAACAAGACTGAGTTCAGCTCCTTGCTGTTGACGTTGTTCGTGCGTGCACTTATTCTACAACAAAGACTTACTGTGCATCTACAACATTCAAGGCTTGGTATCAGGGGCTGGGAATGCAATAGTGAATAAGCACATATGGTCTCCGCCTTCAGGAAGCTTACTGAGTGATACTAACGAACATATCGGCCCGGTACAGTGGCTCACGCCTGTAATCCCAGCACTTTGGGAGGCCAAGGTGGGAGGATCACTTGAGCCCAGGAGTTCAAGCAAGAAAGTGAGACCCTCATCTCAAAAAAAAAAAAACAAAATTAAAAATTAGCCAGGCATTAAGGTACATGCCTATGGTCCCAGCTACTTGGGAGGCTGAAGTGGGAGGATAGTTTGGGCCTGAGAGGTTGAGGCGCAGTGAGCCATGGCCGTGCCACTGCACTCCAGCCTGGGTAACAGAGTAAGACTCTGTCTCAAAAAAAAAACTCCAACAAACAAATTATCATAGAATTAGGAATTGTGGTAAGTATCTAATAAGAACCAATAGAGTGCAACGATAGCAACGAACAGGGTGGTCTGGCTGATGTGGTCAGACATGGCCTCTCCAGAGGTGACATGTAAGCGGACACATGAAGATAAGCCAGCCAGCCATGCCTGAAAGCAGAACAAGAGCTTTCTGAGTGGGCAGATCTGAGAGGCAGGCGATGGCCTGAAGCCAGCGTGGCTGGAGCCTGTTGGAGGGAGGGATGTAGGAGATTATGGACACGTGGACAGAGGCCAGATCACGCGGAGCCTTAGTTGCCAAGGCAAGAAATTTGGATTTTATTCTCAGGCCACGGGAGGCCACTGGGGCTTGAGTTCCACTGGAGCCCTGTGTTATTTCAGGTCAGGACTTCGGGGCTTGAGCAAGAAGCTCCACAGCCCAAGCTGTTTAACAAGTCCCACCAGAACTTACTCCAGGAACACCCCGTGTACCCCGAGCCAACACTCAGAATAACGTGACTTGCCCAGGGATCCTGAGCAACCAACTCCACGCCCCATGAGGGGAAGGAAGCCAGGGGGATTGGCCAGGGTCTGTCTCCACCCCACGCCTTACACTGCAGCTGCTCTTGGTGCAGACTGCTCTGGGGTGAAAGGGGAATGCCAACAGCACCCCACAGTGAGCCTGAGCTAACTGTAGTTGGAGTCTCACCAGCTGGCTGCTTTTTTTTGCAGAAAGATAAAGGCGATATGGAGGTGTACATCCAACCTGGTCCATATGTGGATCCTTTCACGACAGTGACCCTGGGCTGGCCAGACAATGACAAGGAGTTACGCTTCCAATGGTCATGTGGTAGGTGACAATAGAGTTCTTTTTTTTTTTTTTTTTTTGAGATGGAGTTTCACTCTTGTTGCCCAGGCTGGTGTGCAACGGTGTGATCTTGGCTCACTGCAACCTCCACTTCCTGGGTTCAAGCCATTCTCCTGCCTCAGCCTCCCAAGTAGCTGGGATTACAGGTGCCTGCCACCACGCCCAGCTAATTTTTGTATTTTTAGTAGAGACAGGGTTTCACTATGTTGGCCAGGTTAGTCTCGAACTCCTGACCTCAAGCGATATACCCGCCTTGGCCTCTCAAAGTGCTCGGATTACAGGTGTGAGCCACCGCGCCTGGCCAATGATAGAGTTCTTGAATTGTCCTGTTTCACTAAGAAGTGGTGAGCAGTGGTCAGATTTTGCTGTTCTTTTTCTTAATCTTCGCACCAGCTTTCCCTATGGCCTACATTTTGTATAACTTGTACATGCCAGAGCTTGCAAATTCCATGGAAATAGGAGGTGGGGCCGGGCGTGGTGGCTCACACCTGTAATCCCAGCACTTTGGGAGACCGAGGCAGGTGGATCACTGGAGGTCAGGAGTTTGAGACCAGCCTGGTCAACTTGGCAAAACCCCGTCTCTACTAAAAATACAAAAATTAGCCAGGCGTGGTGGCGCACACCTGTAATTCCAGCTACTCAGGAAGCTGAGGCAGGAGAATTGTTTGCACCTGGGAGGTGGAGGTTGCAGTGAGCTGAGATTGTGCCATTGCACTCTGGCCTGGGCAACAGAGCAAGACTGCGTCTCAAAAAAAAAAAAAAAAAAAATAGAAGGTGGGAGAAAGCAGTGACAGACCAAGGGTGGCCCTGAATGCAGGCAGCAAGGGGATCTAGAGAATTTTAAAACAATAATGAAACCTGAAAAGCTGGTCCATACGCTGACAATTCCAAACAAAAGTGATAAAGTGCTCCTCTTCTCTGGTGTGGACTCCTCCCCTTTCCCCAGCCCTTTGGTATATCCCTAGGGAGAGAATCTAGAAGGGGGAAGTGAGTCAGGCATTTTCCAACAAACCAAGATGGCAGCACTAGCGCTCACATTGTAGAAATGGTATCCTCCTTTTTACAGGAATATAGCCTAGCTACATACACATTCTTTTAGCTTTTAGACATAAAATAAATGGGCCAGGCACGGTGGCTCATGCCTGTAATCCCAGCACTTTGGGAGGTTGAGGTGGGGGGATCACTTGAGGACGGGAGTTCGAGACCAGCCTGGCCAATGTGGTGAAACCCCGTCTCTACTAAAAATATAAAAATTAGCCAGGTATGGTGGTGGGTGCCTGTAATCCCAGCTACTCAAAAGGCTGAGGCAGGAGAATCGCTTGAATGTTGGAGGTAGAGGTTGCAGTGAGCTGAGATTGTGCCACTACACTCCAGCCTGGGCGACAGAGTAAGACTCCGTCTCAAAAAAAAAAAGAAAGAAAGAAAGAAAGAAATGTTATTCATACTGTTTTCTTTACCCTTTTCTCATTGAACAATGTAACCTGCATATTTGCATATTATAATGTCGTGGTATCGTCTCTATATTGATTTTCTTAATAGCTGCACAATAGACCATAATGTTGATGTGTGATTTTTTTTTCTTTTTTGAGATGGAGTCTCGCTCTGTCACCCAGGTTGGAGTGCAGTGGCGCAATCTCGGCTCACTGCAACCTCCACCTCCCAGGTTCAAGCGATTCTCCTGCCTCAGGTCCCGAGTAGCTGGAATTGTAGACACGTGCCACCATGCCCAACTAATTGTTGTACTTTTAGTAGAGATGAGGTTTCACTATGTTGGCCAGGCTGGTCTCGAACTCCTGACCTCAGGTGATCCACCTGCCTCGGCCTCCCAAAGTGCTGGGATTACAGGCGTGAGCCGCAGTGCCCGGCTGATGTGCGATCATTTCTTTACCCTCTTTTTGGACATTTAGATTGTTTCACATTGTTTGCTCTTATACAGTTCAATCTCTATTTACAACTGTGGTTACTTTCATAAATAAATTTGTAGAAATGGAATAACTGGGTCAAAAGTCATGCAACATTTTAAGGCTTTTGATGTTAATTGTTACGTGGTAATGACATCCCTCTGAATATTCATTCTCCTTATCTGAATACAGAGTATGCAAGTCCAGAGTTTAGGCGACCGAGCTGATGAGCCTGAACCCTGAACATATTTTGGAAATATGCTCAGGGAACATATCTTGGGACTGTTCTCCCAGGGCTGTAGATCTAGGGAATCTTGGAATTCTTGGAATAGTCCCAGGAATCTTGGGAATATTCTCCTGGGGATTTAGATCTTCCTGGCCTCTCTGCTGCTATATGCCTGTCACCATATTGGAGATGGTGGGAGGTGAGGTATTGATGAGTAAACATCTGTCAATAGAGTTGAAGGGCAGAGGATACAGAAACTTAGGAAGCTGCTAACATAAAGCAGGAGGTGACACAGCAGCCTCCCAGATGGCAGTACAACCTCCCAGGCCGCCGTAGTAGCCCACAGGGACTTGGCGCTGTGGACAGCCTCATCCACATGGAATGACAAATATACCGGGATAAGAAGCTGCCCTGGACCTTCTCCCAGGGCCACAGATCCTCCTGGCCCCTCTCCTGCTACACACCTTCCTGAGCACCAGTGCAACACAAGCCAACCACATCCTGCAGATTTGCTCAGAGTTTGGGTGAAGCATGGTTCTTTTTCCCAAAAGCATCCTTCCATAGCACCATTTCTGCAACCTGCATTAAAAGTGACGTTTTGGCCGGGTGTGGTGGCTCAGGCCTGTAATCCCAGCATTTTGGAAGGCCGAGGTGGGTGGGTCACCTGAGGTTGGAAGTTCGAGACCAGCCTGGCCAACGTGTTGAAACCCCAACTCCAGTAAAAATACAAAAATTAGCCAGGTGTGGTGGTGCATGCCTGTAATCCTAGCTACTCTGGAGGCTGAGACAGGAGAATCATTTGAACCCAGGAGGCGGAGGTTGCAGTGAGGCAAGATGGTGCCATTGCACTCCGGCCTTGGCAATAAGGGGGAAACTCCATCTCAAAATAAATAAATAATAAAACTGACATTAAAAAATTAAAATGTCTATTTAGAGCTGATGTTATTATTCATGACCCCTTTCAAAACCAGAAGCTAGCAGTGTGTGCCACGTTCAGGGCTCCTGATGGATCATAGTGTCTGTCCATTTCTCTCAGGGTCTTGCTGGGCTCTGTGGAGCAGCTGTGTTGAGAGGCAGCTGCTTCGCACAGACCAGAGGGAGCTGGTGGTTCCAGCATCCTGCCTGCCGCCGCCTGACTCTGCTGTCACCCTGCGCCTGGCTGTTCTGAGAGGCCAAGAGCTGGAGAACAGGGCAGAGCAGTGCCTCTACGTGTCTGCGCCCTGGGAACTCAGGCCTCGAGTCAGGTGGGGCACGTGGGCAGTTCCTCCAGGGTCCTGATTCATTCGTTCAGCCAACACTTACTGAGGACCCACTGAGGCTGGGGCTGCCTTGGGGCAAGGCTTGCTGTGGTGGTCTCTGTTGTCATAGGGGTTACTACCACCTGGTGATCAGCACTTCTGGACACGAATGAAGAAGGCAGAGAGCGCACCTCTATGAAAACTGCCCTGACTGGGGTTAGAGAGACTTCTCTCAGGAACTGCAGCTCAGCAGAGGTGTTCAGGAGAAATTCACAGGGCAGGGAAGGGGCAGCTGGAGCAGGAACAGAGCGGGCAAAGGGAGGGAGCAGAGAATCATCAGGGAGCGAAAGAGGCCAATGTCCTGAGGATGGAGAAGAGAAGGGTGGGAAGGAGCTGGTAGTGTAGGCAGGGCCTGGCTCAAGTGGGGCCTTGCCGGTCATATCAAGATTTTAGCCTTTTTCCTAAGAGTGATACAGAGAAACCACCCAAGAGTTCTTTATTTTTATTTTTATTTTTTTGAAATGGAGTCTCACTCTGTCACCCAGGCTGGAGTGCAGTGGCACCATCGCAGCTCACTGCAGCCTCCGCCTCCCAGGTTCAAACATTTCTCGTGCCTCAGACTCCTGAGTATCTGGGATTACAGGCACACATGCCACCGTGCGCAGCTAATTTTTGTATTTTTTGTAGAGGCAGGGTTTCACCATGTTGGATAGGCTAGTCTCAAACTCCTCACCTCAGGTGACCCACCTGCCTCGGCCTCCCAAATTGCTGGGATTACAGGAATGAGCCACCATGCCAAGCCAAGCAACCAAGAGTTCTAAGCATGTGACTTCAATATGCTCTGGTGGCTCAGTGGAGAATGACTTGGAAGAGGGCAAGAGAAGACCCAGGGAGATTGCCCAGGCTCTTGCAGGAGTCAAGGTAGGAGGTCAAGTTTGCTTGGACTATCAGCCAGTCCCTGCAGGAAGCTGATGGCTCAGCCAAACCAGGAATGAATGGAAGAGAGCTGATGAAGGGACTATTTACAGGTGAGGGCAGGTATAAGGCAATGAAGCAGGGGCGACAAGGCAGGACTACAACCAAGGGAAGCCATTATCACCCCCAGGAATGCAGAGGTAAGATTAGGCAGGACTACATACGTAGGGAGCTGTGGCCTTGGTTGGAGAAGCACAGCATCTCTCACCTGCAGCCCATCAGGGAAAAGAGCAGGGAAAGCCGTGAATAAATTCCCCAAACTCTCTCCTCTCACCCTCCAATCCTCTATCAATGGTTCCCATTGGCTGGACCCAGTTAGAAGCTGGAGGGTGTGGCAGCTTGGGTGATGCAGTGTATAGAGCTCAGTCTCCCAGGTCAGAGCCGCACGTGGGAGGAGACTGGATTGGAGAGGCAGATAGAGAATGTCCTGCACACTTGGACTAGGGCAGACATGAGGAGATAAGTAGGAAGTTCAAGAGCTGTCATCAAGTTCAGACCAAAGGGGAAACTGGGGGACCGTCCTGTGGAGGGCAGGTCTATGCAAACCTTCCCGCAAAGTTCGAGGAAGCAGAGAGGCCAGAGAAAGAAGCTGACAAATTTAGTTTCTTAGAAAGAAACATTTAATTGAGACTTGCGAACAGAAACCATGATGTCTAGGGCAGCTGCAAGACAAGATGGTGAAAGCCAGCGCCATTACCCGCCAGAACCAGGGCTTATATACCATAGGAAAGGAATGTGTAGGACAGTCGTAGGGAAAGGTAAGAATACTATGTGAATCTCTTTCAGGGCAGCACTCATAGTAAGTACATGCTCTTACACAAAGAACTGTAGAGAGAATAGAAATCTTAGAGGCATTCCTGGAATTGGGGTTAATCAGTAGTCAACGTGGCAGATTAGCATCTGAAATGGAGTTGCTTTGGCCTTCACAGAGACATTATAGAGAAGGCCAAGAGTTTGGATCCAGACACGATGGTTCACATTCTATCTGCCCACTTAGAAGTTACATCACTTAGGACAAATCACATAAGCTCTCGGGGCCTGGTTAGCTCACCTGTGATGTGGGGATGCTAATATGTCACTCATAGGGCTATTGTGAGCATTGGACAAGCTAGAGACAATGGAAGTAATGTGTGCATGGCAGGCGTGCTGTTGAACCACAGCATTAGTTTACTATTATCTGAACTAAAAAGAATCACAGAAATTATCTAGGCTATCCCCTCATTTTGCAGGTGAGGAAACTGAGGCTTAGAGAGTTTAAGTGATTCGGCTGGGCATGGTGGCTCATACCTGTAATCCCAGCACTTTGGGAGGCCGAGGCGGGCGGATCACCTGAGGTCAGGAGTTTAAGACCAGCCTGGCCAACACAGTGAAACCCTGTCTCTACTAAAAAAATACAAACGTTAGCCGGGCATGGTGGTGAGCGCCTATAATCCCAGCTACTCGGGAGGCTGAGGCAGGAGAATCTCTTGAACCAGGAGGTGGAGGTTGTAGTGAGCCGAGATCGTGCCACTGCACTCTAGCCTGGGCGATAGAGTGAGACTCAGTCTCAAAAAAAAAAAAAAAAAAAAAAAAAGTTTAAGTGATGCACACAAGGTGACCCTTCATAAGTGACAAGGACAGGATTAGAACCCAGGTCCTGTCTCAGCCTCATTCACCTTCCGTATCATTACGCTGTCAGTGAATGACATGGGAATTCAGTCAGGCCATGACTCAGTCCATCTTCACAACCAAGGCTACGTCCCAGTGTTGGTTGGGGCAGGGGCGGCTTTTATTCCATCTTTAATTTGAAAAAGGGCCATTTCCTACCCTCTCAAAGGACTTGAGAAGGACTGGACAAAAGACCAGGCCAGTGGTCACAATGCCTGTCTGAGTCCGTTTTGCATTTTTTTTTTTTTTTTTTTTTTTTTTGAGACGGAGTCTTGCTCTTTCACCCAGGCCGGAGTGCAGTGGCGCTATCTCGGCTCACTGCAAGCTCCGCCTCCCGGGTTCACGCCATTCTCCTGCCTCAGCCTCCCGAGTAGCTGGGACTACAGGCGCCTGCCACCACGCCTGGCTAATTTTTTGTATTTTTAGTAGAGACGGGGTTTCACCGTGTTAGCCAGGATGGTCTCGATCTCCTGACCTCGTGATCCACCAGCCTCGGCCTCCCAAAGTGCTGGGATTACAGGTGTGAGCCACCGCGCCCGGCCCATTTTGCATTGTTATAAAGGAATATCTGAGGCTAGGTAATTTATACAGAAAAATGGTTGGCTGGGCGCAGTGGCTCATGCCTGTAATCCCAGCACTTTGGGAGGTTGAGGCGGGTGGATCACTTGAAGCCAAGAGTTCAAGACCAGCCAGGCCAACACAGCAAAACGCTGTCTCTACTGAAAATACAAATTAGTTGGGTATGGTGGTGCCTGTCTGTAATCTCAGCTATTCAGGAGGCTGAGGCAGGAGAATTGCTTGAATCTGGGAGGCAGAGGTTGCAGTGAGCCAAGATCGCGCCACTGCACTGCAGCCTGGGCGACAGAGCGAGACTCTGTCTCAAAAAAAAAAAAAAAAAGAAAAGAAAAAGAAAAGAAAGAAGAAAAGAGATTTATTTGGCTCATGATTCTTATGGTTGGAAAATCCAAGACTGGACATCTGTATCTGATAAGGGCCTCAGGCTGCTTCCACTTACAGTGAAAGATGAAGGGGACCTGGTGTGTGCAGAGAAGGGTGGGAGGTGCCAGGCTCTTTTTTTTTTTTTTTTTTTTTGGAGATGGAGTGTTACTCTGTCACCCAGGTTGGAGTGCAGTGGTGTGATCTTGGCTCACTGCAACCTCCATCTCCCTGGTTCAAATGATTCTCCTGCCTCAGACTCCCGAGTAGCTGGGACTACAGGCACCCACCACCACATCCCACTAATTTTTGTATTTTTAGTAGAGACAGGGTTTCACCATGTTGGCCAGGCTGGTCTCAAACTCCTAACCTCACATGATCTGCCCGCCTGGGCCTCTCAAAGTGCTGGGATTACAGACGTGAGCCACTGCTCCCGGCCATCTTTTTAGCAACCAGCTCCGGTGGTGACTAATAGAGCAAGAACTCGCTCCCGAGGGAGGCATTCATCCAGTCATGAGGAATCCAACCCCATGACCCAAACACCTCCCATGAAGCCCCGCCTCCAACATTGGGGATCATATTTCAACATGAGGTTTCAGGGGACAAACATCCAGATGATAGCAATGCCTCGGGGAGCTTCCTCACTCTGTCCTCTGTCTGCCTTTCAGCTGTGAGAGGAACTGCAGGCCAGTTAATGCCAGCAAAGACATTCTGCTCAGGGTCACCATGGGGGAGGACTCTCCAGTGGCTATGTTCAGCTGGTATTTGGACAACACCCCAACAGAGCAGGTGAGCACAGTGACAACCACTCAAGAATGGAAATCTCCCTTGCGCTTTCAGCACACCCGTGTCGCATGCCCGGTACTGGGCCAGGGTTGGGTCAATTCCATTCAGAGCCTGTGGTGTGGGACTCAGGGTATTGGGCTGGGGAGAAAATCAGGGAATTGACAGCAGGGCAAATGGGCACAAAGGAGCATAAGCTCTGGAGAAACTTTGCAGCGGGTGCTCTTGGCATCTCAGCAAAAGTCCTGCTTCCCAGGCGGACGATCCTAACTCCAGCTTTTGTGGCCTGACCATTGGCCAACGACTGATGGGTGGAGGGTCTAATAGCCCAGCTTCTCTGTCCCCAGGTAGGGTGATTTCAGTTGTGCAACTTACACTTCAGGGCTCTCCGTGTGACCAGGCAGAGGCTGGATGCCTCCAGTAACTGTTTTTTGCCTTGTTTTGTTCTCTGCTGTTTCCCTCTCTGCACTGCTTTTCCCTGTGAATCCTCCTTCCATCAATAACCTGCACACAAGGCTGGATATGGTGGCTCAAGCCTTTAATCCCAACACTTTGGGAGGCCGAGGCAGGCAGATCACCTGAGGTCAGGGGTTTGAGACCAGCCTGGCCAACATGGTGAAACCCCGTCTCTACTAAAAATACGAAAACATTAGCGGGGTATGGTGATGCGTGCCTATAATTCTATCTACTTGGGAGGCCGAGGCAGGAGAATGACTTGAACCTGGGAGGCAGAGGTTGCAGTGCACAGAGATCATACACTGCACTCTAGCCTGGGCAGCAGAGTGAGACTCCGTCTCAAAAATATTTTCTTTTTAATTTTTTTTTTTTTTTGAGACAGAGTCTCACTCTGTCACCCAGGCTGGAGTACAATGACACAATCTCAGCTCACTGCAACCTCTGCCTCCTGGGTTCAAGCAATTCTCCTGCCTCAGCCTCCCAAGTAGCCAGGATTACAGGCACATAACACCATGCCCGGCTGATTTTCGTATTTTTAGTAGAGACAGAGTTTCCCCATGTTGGCCAGGCTGGTCTTGAACTCCTGAGCTCAGATGATCCACCCACCTCAGCCTCCCAAAGTGCTGGGATTAGAGGTGTGAGCCACTGTGCCTGGCTCAAAAATAAACAAATAAATAACCTGCACACAAATCCCCATCTCAGGCTCTGCTTCCGGGGAGCCCAATCTAAGACAGACACCGCAGTGAGGCTGGAAAGTGTATATTCCAGGTGACTTCTTGGGGAGCTGGGGCTGCCTGTCCTCCGTTCATCAGTAATAAATCTGAAAGGCTGTCTAGCACCCAGAAGCCACTGTCCTGCTGCAGTCCTGTGGCCTGGCTGTAGCGTCAGCAGCCCTGGGCCATCCTGTCTTTCAGGCTGAGCCCCTCCTGGATGCCTGCAGACTCAGAGGATTTTGGCCAAGGTCCTTAACCCTCCTCCAGAGCAACACCTCCACGTTGCTGTTGAACAGCTCGTTTCTGCAGTCCCGGGGAGAGGTCATCCGAATCAGAGCCACAGGTGCGAAACCTCCCTTTTATCTCCTCTCAGGGAACCCAGATAAACCCAGAAACACTCAGATATTGGGTGTCAGTTTATTTTTCTTTTAAATATTGAAATAGAGAGATGTGATCTCACTATGTTGCCCAGTCTGGTCCTGAACTCCTGGAGCCAAACGATCCTCCTGTCCCAGCCTCCTGAAGTGCTGGGATGGCAGCTGTGAGTCACCATACCCAGCCAGGGCATCAGCTTAGTGCAGAGGCCACAGCGCAGGCTCTGGTGTAAATCGCACCACTTCCGCTTTCTACGTGGGAGACTCTAGGCAGAGGATTTCGCCTCTCTATGCCTCAGTTTCCTGACATATAAACTGGGATAATCGAAATGCCTGCCTCAGAATGGTTATTTTGCAGGATGAATGAGATAACCCCAGTGTTACAAGCAGGTCATTCTGGGGTCGTGCAACCTGTACACCCTGCCAGGATTGTTCAGGGCTTCTCGTTTAAAACAAGCCCTGTGTGAGAAACATAGATTCTCAAACACACAAACAATGGAGGTGATGATTCTTTTTAGGAAGGATTGCTTTGCTTCCATTTTTCCCGAAGTGGCCCACAGACCATGCACATCAGGATAAACAAGGAATTAGTTAAACATGCACACTCTTGGGTCCACCCCAAACTTTCCGAATTGGGTCTAGGCCAAGGAATGAGTTTTTATGGGTTCAAATTCTCTTTATGCCCAGCTCTTCCAGGCATGCGCTCTCTGAAAATGTAGGTGGCTACTCCAGGTGATGTGGGATGTGACTGCAGGTCCACTCGTGGCTCTTAACAGTGATCTCGGCGCCTGGGAAGAGTGTGGGCTTCGGGGTGGGCTCAGCCTGTTTCCGGATCCTGGTTCTGGTCTTTCCTGGCTCTGTGATCTTGAGCATTTTCCCAGCATACTCCCACCTCACAAGATCTTTGTGCGGAAGCTATTATCATCAGCCTCATTCTACAGATGAGGAACTGACTCTCAAAAAGGTCAAGTTCTCAGCCCGGGTCCAGTGGCTTATGCCTGTAATCCCAGCACTTTGGGAGGCTGAGGCGGGAGGATCCCTTGAGGCCAGGAGTTCAAGACCAGCCCTGGCAACAGAGCGAGACCCTGTCTCTACAAAAATTAGAAAATTAGCCAGCCGTAATGGTGTACTCCTGTGGTTCTAGCTGACTCGAGAGGCCAAGGCAGTGGAATCACTTAAGTGTAGGAGTTCAAGGCTATAGTAAGTTATGATTGCACCACTGGACTCTAGCCTAGGTGACAGTGCAAGACCCTATCTCTAAAAAGAAAAAAAATTAGGAAAACAAAATTGGAAAAGAAAAGGTCAAGTCTGAGGTCACTCGGTTAACAAATGGCAGAACTAAAATTCAAGCTCAGGTCTGTCTAATTATCTTCCCCTATCTCTGCCCAGTTTCTCAAAGTGAGGCCCTGGGATCCCTTGCATCAGGGGGAGTTGTTTTGGGGTTTCATTGTTTAATTGTTAGATATGTACATTTCTGGGCTCTTCCCAGATCCAGAGATGTCTGAAGTTCTGGGTTTGAAGTAGAGCCCAAGAATCTTTGTGTTTAATGAGCTCAGGGGGCAATCTAACAGCAGGATGGAGTTTGTGGGCCCCACGTGGCCCCCTGAACATGATCTCTCTTTACTCCCAGCACTGACCAGGCATGCCTATGGGGAGGACACCTATGTGATCAGCACTGTGCCTCCCCGTGAGGTGCCTGCCTGCACTATTGCCCCAGAGGAGGGCACCGTTCTGACGAGCTTTGCCATCTTCTGCAACGCCTCCACAGCCCTGGGACCCCTGGAGTTCTGCTTCTGTCTGGAATCAGGTACCGGCTGAAGACTCTGCTCTTCCCTCAGCTCCTGGGCTCATCTTCTTGCAGAACAGGGGCCTGTTCTCTCTGGGAGCTGCAAAGAATATGTTCCGTGTGCGAGAGAGGTTGGTAGGATGAGGGCTCCCCTAAACCTCAACCCCTAGCCTCAAGACACTGACTCAGCCATCAGTCCACAGAGACATGAGAAGAAGGTCTCATCAATAGCTCTTCCACAACTGGAAGCCAAAATCCATTGCCCTGGCGTGGGGGACAGTGATGGAGTGAAATGAACGAGGATACCCAAAAGTATGACCATGTGGGGCCACCACCAAGACACCATCCCCCAACCCCTGCTCACCACACACACACACACACACACACACACACACACACACACACACACACACACACACACACACACACACTTGTAGTAGCTGGGACTCCCAGAAGCCTGGAGCTATTCAGGAAGACAGAGATGGGTCTGGTTAACAGAATCTTCAACAATTTCATTGACGCTGCTTTGCAAGCAGCCCCAGGGAATGGGTGATAATTGCAGGACTAGCTGAACTGAAAGAACATTTTTGCAAAGGTGTACAGGTGACAAACATGGAAGACCCCATCCACAATGCATAAAACCCTACACAGTCTCCCTGCTTTCACCCTAACCACTCACACCCCAGGACAGCCACAGGGCATTAGCAGGAGAGATGAGGGAGCCACTCACATTGCATTTATTCTTCCATTTGGAGAGTGATTGGTCCTTGGAGGGCTCATCTGAGCCCTGATCTCCACCCACTGGGCTTTGGCTTCTTCTTTTTTTTTTTTTTTTTTTGAGACAGAGTTTTGCCTTGTTGCCAAGGCTGGAGTGTGGTGGCACGATCTCGGCCCACTGCAACCTCAGCCTCCCGGGTTCAAGCGATTCTCTTGCCTCAGCTTCCCGAGTAGCTGAGATTACAGGTGCCCGCCACCACACCCGGCTAATTTTTGTATTTTTAGTAGAGATGGGGTTTCACTATGTTAGCCCGGCTAGTCTCAAACTCCTGACCTCAGGTGATCTGCCTGCCTCGGCCTCCCAAAGTGCTGGGATTACAGATGTAAGCCACACGCCCGGGAGAGCTTTGTCATTCTGTGCTCTGAAAATGCTCTAATCAGATTGTAAATTTCCACCAAAGTCAGCCACCAGTAGTGTTGCCAGGATGGTCCCCCAAATCCAGCATCAAACATCACAACGGCATAAACACTACACCTTGATTAGGGAAAGTGCACGTCAGCTATTGTAATACCTAAGAGAGTGTAGTTTTCACGAGCGCCCTGTCTAATAGATGTGGAAATGCATCACCGTTAAGAGGGCTGTGAATGGGGCTGAGTCTGAAAGGAAAAAGTTCAAGCAAGGTAAGTGGATGTTATTTCAAACTGCGTCCCGCCAGAGGGAAAGGCCAGGACAGCTGCCCTAATTCCAATAGGCTATTCCTCTTTAGTACCTCTCCCCCATCATCCAAGTGAGCACGGAGGCAGGAAAGTGTGGCTACATAAAAACGAGTCCCAGGCTGGGCGTGGTGGCTCATGTCAGTCATCCCAGGAACTTTGGGAGGCTAAGGTGGGTGGATCACCTGAGGTCAGGAGTTCGAGACCTAATTTTTACTTTTTTTTGTAGAAACAACGTCTTCCTAATTTGCCCAGGCTGGTCTTGAACTCCTCGCCCCTGAGCTAAGTTTTAAGTTGTCATTGTTGCTCCTCCTCCTCCTCCTCCTTCTTTTTCTTCCTCTTATAATTTGGTTTACCACCTTGACTTTTTTTAAAAAAAAAACTGTAAATGGGATGTTTTTCCTGCAATTTTTTATGGATTTTAGTAAAATTTTTCCAAAGTTACAGCAACCTGCAGTTGCTTAGAGAAGACAGTGAATCAGCATACGTGACTGTCTCATACTTGAAAGTGTGGAATCCCGAGAGCCTACCATGCCTTCAAGAGCTGTGGCTTTTGTGTCCCTGTCACCAGCCTCTACCTGAGTGGGTTGCAGTCTACCTGGGGCTTAGCGATGCCCCCTCATCGGTCAATTTCTGGTTTTGCCAGGTTCCTGCCTACACTGTGGCCCTGAACCTGCCCTCCCATCAGTGTATCTGCCACTTGGAGAGGAGAACAATGACTTTGTGCTGACAGTAGTTATTTCTGCCACCAATCGTGCAGGGGACACGCAGCAGACCCAGGCCATGGCTAAGGTAGGTGGTGGCAGTGGTCACTGTTTCTTTACTGAGAAAAATTCTCCACCCATATGAACCTCACTAAAAGGATGGCCGGATGGAAGATAGCCAGGGGCATAGCCAGATAAGTCAGTGATTCATCCATTCCTTCCACAAATATTTACAGAGCATCTACCCTGGGCCACGTCCTGGGGGTATAGCCAGGGACACAACAGACATGGTCTCTACCTTTGTAGATGTTATGATTTAGTGGCCAGAATAGGGGGAGGGTCCTGGGAGCTGGTGGGTGGGTGAGGGGGGTTGGAGAATGACTCTGGCATGAGTTAGGCCAGCACCTTCAGAGAGCTCAGAAGAAGTAGGACCAAGATTAGCCAACAAGGACTCAAGGAAGAGCCTGGATAAGATTCCAAGAAGATTTCAAGCGTCAGAGGCCAGGTGGGGGTGGAAGAGGTTGAGACCAAGAGAGGAGGGCGGCCAGTGGTAGAGCAATGACTTGCGCCAGGCTGGAGCCAACCAAGGCTTGGTTTGGGTGGCTGTCAGCTGCCTGGTGCGAGCAGGTCTGGGTGCCCTCCAGCCTCAGGAAGTGCTCGAGAGCCCACAGGCCAGGCCAAAGGCATCCAAGCCTCTCTGACCCCACATGAAGACCCCTGACTTCAGAGGCCAGCTTCTTCCTAGCAGGTTCTGAGCATATTTCTGATTTCCTAACAGGTGGCACTCGGAGACACATGTGTTGAGGATGTAGCATTCCAGGCTGCCGTGTCAGAGAAAATCCCCACAGCTCTGCAAGGCGAGGGTGGCCCCGAGCAGCTCCTCCAGCTGGCCAAGGCTGTGTCCTCCATGCTGAACCAAGAGCATGAAAGCCAGGGCTCAGGACAGTCACTGAGCATAGACGTCAGACAGAAGGTACCCGTGGGAAGCTGGGGGGCTCCTTTCATTCCCTTCCTCTGGGGCCCCAGGGTCTGCGTGCGGCCATTTGGGCTGTGGATCAAGGTTCATGGATCAGGGGAGAAACCTGTGGTGTCTCCCAAGCGGCTGACACCACCTCCCTCTCTGGTCTTTTGGGTGAGTGACATAAAGTGAAGAAAATGCCTTCTTCCTTGGTAACCTGCTTTCTCGGCTGGCCCTCATGGAGGCACAGGCCTCTGGGATGGGGGGAGTTTAGAACACATCATCCCCTGCTTTTCATGTTTCAGATGACAAGGCAGAGCCCCAGAGCAGAAAGGGGACTGTCCTCGGTCACATGGGTAGCGGTTTGGAGTTGGACCACAGATGGCGTCCCGGCTTTGTCACTTACCATTCGCATTGTCACAGGCCAGGGACCAAACCTCTCTAAGTCTCAGTTTCCCCATATAGAAGAATACTAGTCTCCTCATACAATTGTAGTAAGAGTTAAATAAGAATTACGATCACTGCAACTAAAAAACTAGATAAGACCGTCAACATTCAATCAGTTTTAATCTACAAAAATGGCCGTTCCATTGTTACAACCTAGTATGATAAACTATTGCAGAACGTATGATTGTGTCCACTCCCAGCATGTGCCACATGAGTTTGTGTTCGTGTGTGTGCATGCACACACCCACACACACACCCCTGTGGGCACGGAGAAGAGAAGAAAGACTTCTCTTGGCTCCCTGAAAGGTTTGCAGGAAGGTACTGAGTGTGGTGCTAGAGGCCTGGTAGGTACTTAATACAGGAAGCCGGATTGTCATTGTGGTCGCTTACCGAGAGAAACTAACATGTATCAAGCACCTGCTATGAGCTGCCAGGCCCTGAATTAGGGCTTCATGGATCTGTAATCCCCACTACAACCCTGGGACGTAAATGGTGAGGCCTCCATCTATGTTACAGCTGAGGAAACAGAGGGTAAGAGAATCAGAGGTGCCTGCCTGTGTCCCTGTGTCTGGTAAGTGGTGAAGCCTGGGTTCAAACCCAGTTTAGAGGTTCCCCCTCCACCTCCAGCCCTCTTACCCCAGACCCCCTGCCACATACATACACATTAGCTCTCACACATCATACATACACACTTTCACACACACTCTTATGCACACACACACACTCAAACATGTTCACACACACACACTCACAAACACATTCACATACTCCCACACACATACTCACACACTTATACGCATATACATACATGCTCACACACTCACTCATATGACTCATACTCACACACATACACACACTGACAGATGCTCACACACACACACTCATATACACACATACACATGCACACACAAACTCACACACATGCTCACACACATACACTGACACGCTGTCACACACACACATACTCCCACACACAATTATGCTTTCACACATACACATACATACACACTCACACACTTTCACACACACACAGCTCTCATTCTTGGTCACATTCACTCTGAGAAGTACCAATGGGAAGCTTCCCCTGGACATCCTGTGGTCCCCAAGCACACAGACCACACAGCCTAACCCAAGGTCTCCCCATGAAATGCCCGGGGCCTGGCACAAGACAGATGTCAAACTCTCACTGGGAAGCTGAGAAGATGTTAACAAGGGCTCTGTTGAGACAGGTGTGTGCAGGGCTTAGGGAACAAACTAGACAGCGTGGAGGACCCCAGAGGCCCGGCCTGCCGTGAGCAGGATCCAGGGGGCGGCTGCCCACAGAGGGACTCTCTGGTAGGAGCTGTGGCTTTTGAAGAATGAGGCGGCCAGCCCCCGGTGACCTGGCCGAGGGCATCAGGAGAATGACCCCTCCCAGCTCTCTCTCCTCCTGCCATCTCGTCCCCTGCTGGGCTCCTGCTGGGTGAGTCCATTTGCCGGAGGGTCCAGAGCCGGTGACATCTTTACCCAGGGTAGGTGACAAACGATGGGGTCAGGGCCTGCAGAAGCAAATGTGAGATTACCCATTATCTGAGTTTCCCTTCTGGAATATTCTGCAAAGAGTCTCCTGCCACACTGACCTATTCTTTCCTCAACCCAAGACACAGCCGGGATGGAGGCCTGGCTGTCCCTGGAATGGATGGCAGATGCACTCATACTTGGAAGCTTCGGGAAAGCCTGTCAGGCTGAGCCAGGTGTGAGCAACAGGCCACGGTGTCTCTGCCCCATCAAAAGTGGCTGCTGCTTAAATCTAAGTCATTATTAAAATTAAATAAAGTTACAAATGACAGTTCTACTGGGCAGTGCTGAAATGATGTTCTTAGTTTTTCTCTGCTCCTACCAAAGCCCCTCACCAGCCCCTCATTAGTGCTTTGTAGTGTAGAAAGCACTTGACCCTGAAGCCCGTGGCCTGGCCCAAGACAGGAGTGGAGGGCTGGGTAGGGGGGTTCTTGTCCCCACTGCTGCAAAGGCACACAGGGACCCCAAGCCTCCGGTGAGACCTCCCATCCATGCCAGACCAACAGTCATCCAGTTTCTGAATTTCATGCCATTCTGGTCACAGGTGCCACGCTGAGACACAATTTATTTTCAAATAGTGCCAAATTCTACAGATTCAATTTGAAGATTTGGAGAAAGCTTGAGACATCCTATATATGTTTGCTAGGGCTGCTGTTACAAATGACCACAAAGATCATGGCTTAACGCAACACGCATTTATTCACTTTATAGTTCTGGAGGCCAGAAGTTTAAAATGGGGTCCACTAGGCCAAAAGTAAGGTGATGGCAGAGCTGCAAACCTGGAGGCTCCAGGAGAGAAGCCATTCCTTGCCTTTTCCGGGTTCTAGAGGCCGCCTGCACTCCTTGACTCCTATCTTCAAAGCCAGCCACGCAGCATCTCCAAAGTCCTCTCCTCTCCCTCTGTCTCTCCCCACCCTTACCTCATCCTCTTTCCCTCTCTTTTTCTTCCCCCTACCCCTGCCTCCATCACCCATCTCCTGTTCTGATTAACGTTCCTACCTCCCTCTTAGAAGGGTCGTATGATGACGTTGGTCCCACCTGTTCGGATAATCTCTCCATCTCAGAA
Source organism: Homo sapiens (assembly GCF_000001405.40). NCBI lineage: Eukaryota > Metazoa > Chordata > Mammalia > Primates > Hominidae > Homo > Homo sapiens. The sequence goes on along the minus strand of NC_000016.10, from coordinate 81,171,664 downwards.
TTTTTAACTTAATTGCTTCTCCAAAATGACTTAGTCAAAGTGCCTTTTGCCACATTCAGTAACATATTCACAGGTTTCAGGGATGTGAATGTGGGCATCTTGAGGGGGCTGTTATCTGCCTAATCACACATCATACAAGGCAGACAGAGGTCTGCAGGGCTTTAGAAACCACCAGTGAGGCCAGGTGCGGTGGCTCACGCCTGTAATACCTGCACTTTGGAAGGCTGAGGCAGGTGGATCACTTGAGGTCAGAAGTTCAAGACCAGCCTGGCCAACATGGCAAAACCCTGTCTCTACTAAAAATACAAAAAATTAGCTGGTGATGGTGGTGCGCACCTGTAATCCCAGCTACTCAGGAGGCTGAGGCCCGAACCCAGGAGGCGGAGGTTGCAATGAGTCGAGATCATGCCAGTGTACTCCAGCCTGGGTGACAGAGCGAGACTCTGACTCAAAAAAAAAAAAAAAAAAGAAAGAAAAGAAAAAGAACCCCCTAATAACCCTGGTCACTCCTGACCCTGCATCTTCCTGACACTACTTCATGGAGCCACAGAATTACATTTCCTCTCCCTGCCTTTCTCCCCCGTGCCAAGGTCAGAGAGCATGTGCTGGGATCACTGTCTGCAGTCACCACCGGCTTGGAGGACGTGCAGAGGGTGCAGGAGCTGGCCGAGGTGCTGAGAGAGGTGACCTGCCGGAGTAAGGAACTCACACCCTCGGCCCAGGTGAGTAGCTCCCATCTACAGAGGCTAACATGGGACACGCTCCTTCACAGCAGGTGGGTGATCAGCATAGGTTGAAGGGGTCCCTTGGTCACAGGGCTATTTTGGGGCTGCCAAGACCTCTGTCATCTTCTTTCCAGGGGTCCTGCATGGGCGATTCATGGGAAGGTGCCCCTCCTGCTGCCCATGTATCTCACGCTAGGTGAGAGGGCCTGTTTGCCCAGACTCTCACTCCTGCATCTGCTGGTGAGCAAGTTGAGGGAGTAACTGAATCTCATTAATATTTGGGTGGCCAAATGTGAGTCCAGACACTGCTACTGACTGCCCATGTTCTCAACTTCAGTACATGCCAGCCTGACATCTGGCTGCCAGCTCCTGTGCTTCCTTATCCTTCTGGGGGTCTTCTCTGACCCTCAGAGCCTACTGTACCTGCCCATATGGCTGTGAATTCATGCAGTGTTCAGTGACTAATGAAGCTGGCTTATAAACACCCCAGCTACCTCACCCCTCTTGATGGATAATCCCAAGCAGGAGTGAATCCCAGGTAATGGGCTTGATCACACTCCTGTACTGGCTTCCACCCTTCCCTGTCTCACACCCCCTACTCCCCACAAGTGTTTCTTGGGATCATGTCCAAATAAATGACTTGCTCTCAAATTCTTGCTCTGGGATCTGCTTCTTGGAGAACTCAAATTAAAACACCGTGTTCCCAGGGTTCTGACAGCCAAGGGTTAAAAAAGAAGCCATAGGTGAGGCACGGTGGCTGACGTCTGTAATCCCAGCATTTTGGGAGGCAGAGGCAGGAGGATCGCTTGAGGCCAGGAGTTTGAGACCAGCCTGGGCAACATAGTGAGACCTCATCCCTTCAAAAACAAAACAAAGGCCGGGCACGGTGGCTCACGCCTGTAATCCCAGCACTTTGGGAGGCCGAGGCAGGTGGACTGCCTGAGGTCAGGAGTTTGAGACCAGCCTGGCCAACATAGTGAAACCCCATTTCTACTAAAAATACAAATATTAGCTGGGCGTGGTGGTGTGCGCCTGTAGTCCCAGCTACTCGGGAGGCTGAGGCAGGAGAATTGCTTCAACCCAGGAGGTGGGGGTTGCAGTGAGCCGAGATCGTGCCACTGCACTCCAGCCTGGGTGATAGAGACTCCATCTCAAAAAAACAAACAAACAAACAAAAACAAAGCAAAACAAAATTGGTTGGGCATCATGGTACACACCTGTAGTCCTAGCTACTTGGGAGGTTGAGGTGGGAGGATCAATTGAGCCCGGAAGGTCGAGGATGCAGTGAGCCATGATTGTGCCACTACACTCCAGCATGGCAGACAGAGCAAACCCTATGAAAAAAAATAACAATAAAAAGAAGCCCTAAAAACAGGGAAAGCGGGCCAGCACAGTGGCTCATGCCTGTAATCCCAGCACTTCAGGAGCCTGAGGCAGTAGGATCACTTGATCCGTAGAGTTCAAGCCCAGTCTGTGAAACATAGGGAAACCACATCTTTACAAAAAAAAAAAAAAAAAAAACAACACCTAAATACTGGCTTATACCTGTAGTCCCAGCTACTCAGGAGGCTGAGGCATAAGGGATACTTGAGCCCAGGAGTTCGAGGTTACAGTAAGCCATGCTTGCGCTACTGCACTCCAGCCTGGGCAACAGTAAGAATCTATCTCAAAAACAAACAAAAAAACAGAAGAGAAGAGAACTGTCCTGGCTTTGCCCCACGCACTCTGGTAGGAGGTTGTGCTCCTAAAATCTTCCAGCCTGAAGCCAGCAAGGCTGGTCTTGATTCTGGGGCTAATTCTTGATATGACACTTCCCATTTACACATCCATTTGCTAATCCATCTATTTACATGCATATACACTGTATATACATGGACCTGTACACATCCTCCACTCTATCCTTCTATCCATTCATGCATGCATTAATTTCATCATTCATTTAACAAATGCTTCCTGAATGTCAAGTATGTGCCAGGTAATGTGCAACGCATTGAGAATTCAGCAGCAAATCATGTAGACATGGCATCTGCCATTACGGTCCTTTCAGATTACTGAGACAGCCAGACATTAGACAAATAATTTCAAAAATACATAGAAAACTACAAAATTTGAATATGTACTGAATCCATCCGCCCACCCACCCACGCAACCATCCACCTATTCATTCATCTACCATCCACCCATCTATTCATCCATCATTCATCCATCCTCCATCCATTCATCTTCCACCCATTCATCCATCCACCTGTCATCCATCCATCTATCCACCCACTTATCCATCCTTCATTCTCCATCCATCCACCCCCCCACCATTCATCCATCCACCCACCATCCACCCATCCATCCATCTACCATCCATCCACCCACCCATCCATCCATCCATTCATCACCCATTCATCCTCCATCCACCCATTCATTCATTCATCCTCCATCCATCCATTTTCCACCCATCCACCTATCATCCATACATCCATTTATCAAACTGCCTATCCACCCTTCATTTATCCATCCATCCATCCATCCATCCATCCATCCATCCATCCATCCGTCCCCTAGTCATTGAATGTTCTTGAAGACCTGCTATGTGCTGGGCACTGTGCAGGGCGTTCTGGGAAGGATTCAGAGGCAGACCAGGCTACTCTCCTAGAGGATCTCAGAGGACTGTAAGGTGGGAGGCCCTGGTCTCAAGCCGGAGATACAGGGAGCTCGTGTGCCAGGTCTAGCCCAGCTCTTTCCTGGCTTGTTCCCCTCCTTGCTTCCCTTGTCCCTTGAATGACACAGGAATGGTCTATCTTAAGCAGAGGCTCACATCGCTTTTCCTTATTTGGGTGAACCCAGTGGGAGGCCAGCTTGGCTCTACAGCATGCCAGTGAGGCCCTGTTGACAGTGAGTGCCAAGGCCCGCCCTGAGGACCAGAGGCGCCAGGCAGCCACCAGGGACCTGTTTCAGGCTGTGGGCAGTGTGCTGGAAGCTTCCCTGAGCAACAGACCAGAAGAGCCTGCGGAGGCCAGCAGCAGCCAGGTGGGTGTCCAGGCCAGATGCAGACCTCACACACACTGAATGCTTAGTCACATCAGCTTTTCTAGGTGGAACTTTCCCCCCCCATCTTGCAGATGAGGAAAGTGCGGCACAGAGGTTAAGGTGTTGCCCTGGGAGGTGGAAGAAAATTTCCAGAGAGCATGCCGGGCGCGGTGGCTCAAGCCTGTAATCCCAGCACTTTGGGAGGCGAAGGCAGGAGGATCACCTGAGGTCAGGAGTTCAAGACCAGCCTCAACATGGAGAAACCCCGTCTCTACTAAAAATACAAAATTAGCCGGGCGTGATGGCCGGCGCCTGTAATCCCAGCTACTCGGGAGGCTGAGGCTGCAGAATTGCTTGAACCTGGGAGGCGGAGGTTGCAGTGAGCCAAGATCGCGCCATTGCACTCCAGCCTGGGCAACAAGAGTGAAACTCCTTCTCAAAAAAAAAAAAAGAAAGAAAAAAAGAGAAAATTTCCAGAGAGCAGGGCTTCTGGGAGGCAGTGTGGAGTGGTGGCCAAATCACAGGCTCTGGAATGAGACGGTCTGAGTTTGAATCCTGCCTCTGTCGCTTAGGAGGCTTGTGACCTGGGCAAGTTACAGAGCTTACCTAAGCCTCATTTCCTTATGTGTAAATCAAGGCACTCTGCCTCATCCCAAATAAGCTGCCAACTGGAGAGATCATATGGACCCACTAGCAGGTCTGGGTAAACTTGTGGCTCATTTTACCAAGAACACAGAAGAGAGGCAGCTGCCCAGAGTAAGAATAGGTGTAGCACTGTGTCACGTGGCCCCAGCATCCTGGTGGGGACATAGCCTCCTAGATGGCATCATGACAGAGCCACAAAACCCATTTCTTGCTGTTGCATGGTTCTTGATCACATGGGGCCATCACCTCCATTCAGGAAGAACTGAAAGACACACAACACGCAAAGATGCGTGGATGCACACACGCACATGCTCAGACACACTCAATCTCCACAAACACACACAAAAACACATGGCCACACTCACACTCATGTGCAAGCTCACACACACACTGAGAGGACCTCATACTCACACGGCCTCAAGCACACACTTTTGCACACAGATGCACATTTACACACACGCATCTTCACACAGGGCCATGCAGTCACATGCACTCACATACTCACAGACCCTCACATATGGTTGCACACTCCATAATCATGCAGTCACCTGTGCACACTCACACACTCAAACACTGTACCCACACACGCTCAGGACCACACTCACATTCGCTCACACATACACACGCTCAAACACTGACATTCACATGCAGTGATGTCACCCTCACACTGTGTGTTCACGTGTGTGCGCACATGCACACATACACTCACACACACTCACACCCACACGATCTGTGCCCCAACAGGAATTATGTGCAAACATCCAGCCCTTCCTGGGTCCCCGCACCAGCCGTGGTGTCAGGATGCATCTCATCTGGGGGTTGGGACGGGTGGGGAGCAGATTCGAAGCCCAGGTGACCTGGTGAAATGGCCTCGCTCTCAGCTGTCCATTTCCCCTGGAACAAGCCTTAGGGTGCTGGCAGATGTCAGCAGCCCAGACAGCCACATTGTCTGACAGCCCAGCACACGGGCTCTGTAGCCATATGCTTTGCCGTGAGTCCTGGCTCTTCCCCTTATCAATTTGTGACCTCCCACAGCCTCCTACCCTCTCTGTGCCTCCATCCCCCATCTGTCCAATGGGGCTAGTGAAGCCCCTGCCACACCGAGTTACTGTGAGGATGGAATGGGCTCACAAAAGCCAGTCTGGAAGCTTTATGAGTACTGTTCTTGGGCCACCTCCGAGGCAGTCTTACTCCCTCCTCTCTGTACTCTCCCGATCCCTCCTGAAGGTCCCACATTGGCCTGGTGACAGTAACCAAAGATGGTGTATGGCAGCAGGTCCATAGCAACATCTTCCTGCCTCCTTTTTCAGATTGCCACAGTGCTGCGGCTGCTTCGAGTCATGGAGCATGTGCAGACCACCCTCCTGCTGGGAAAACTGCCAGGGGGCCTTCCAGCCATGCTGGCCACCCCCTCCATCTCTGTGTACACAAACAGGTACAAACCAGCTGCGTTACAGGTCCCCAAGAAAGCTCATCCCCTAACCTGGTTCATTCCACACCGGCACTCCAAAGCCCTGTGCTAGGCAGAGCTCAGGAGACCAGCCTTGGAGCTAGAGAAGTGATGGGACCTAGAGCTGGGAAGGGCTTCCCACCGAGAGAAGGCCCCCTTGTCACCATGTTGAGTGTTTGCACAGCACAGGAAGGGAGGCATGGAGTGCCAAGCCCAGTGTTAGATCCACCTGAAGGAGTCCTGAGAGACGGTCACATGGCAGCTGTGCAGGCCAGGGGGCTGAATGAATGGGACTAGCCTGCTGTTAACCATGCTGTGCATGTGTCTGACCAGCCACTGCTCCTTGGGCCTGCAGGGACTCAAGATCCTCTTACTTTTGGCGTGCGCGCGCACACACAAACACACACACACACAGAGGGCTCATCTCTCAGTGAGCACTGATGCCATACCTGGGATGCTCCACACCTTCCATTCCTCCACCTGACAAGCAGGAGCTGGACAATGCTGCTGGCAACACTGGGACCCTCTGCCCCAAGCCTCAGTTCCTCCTGCCAGGGTTTCCCTCTTAGATCTCACAGACAGTTTCCCAAAGCAGTATCCTGATTAGAGGAACGATCTGAAGTGGGGTCCCCAACAAGATCAGAAAGGGGCAAGGTCAAAGACCAGAAAAGATGGGGCGGGGTTAAGACATGACGTCAGAGGTCCAGGTGGGAAGGGGAGATAACCCTGGAGAAAAACCTGCATCCAAGCTCATTTATTCATTCAACGAAAATACTGATGGACTACCTGTTATATGCCAGGCGCTGCTGTAGACATTGGGGATACAGTAGTAAACCAGGCTGGCAAAGCCCCACCCTCATGGAGCCTCCAGTCTAGCTGCCTCTTGTGCTGCTTCTGCTGAAACAAACATGCTGAACCACCTATGGGAATCAAAACACACCCCCACTCTGATGGTGAAGCTGGGCTCCCAGTAGTGCAGGAGGTGTGAGGGCTCCCTCGAACACTGACTTTCTCCTCCCTCCCCTGCCACCTCTGTCCTCACCTTGTGGCCAGAATACAACCCTGGAGTTGGCAAGGCTCCTCCCTGCGCCCTGATGCCGCAGACTCTGCAACCTTCATGCTGCCCGCTGCCTCCTCCCTCAGCTCTCTGGAGGGCGGCCAGGAGCCCGTGGATATAAAGGTAATAACGGTAGTAGCGTCCTTGGGGACAGCCTTTACAGTTTGCAGAGCACTTTCACGTGCATTTCCTTATTTGTGTTTAGTATGATGATGCCCGCTGTACCAGTGAGGTTCAATGATTTTCCCAAAGCCACAAGTAAGTGGCTCTGCCGGCCTTCAGACCCACACCTCTGGGCTCCCAGATTTACCCTCTTTCCATTGTGCTACAAAATTTCTCCAACAGCCTTGATTCAGGTAGTCACTGGAAATAAAGCTCTTCAGCTTAGTGTCATAACTTGGAAATGGCCAACCCAGGCTCTCTTCCATCCGCAAATTAAAGCACGTCTAACTGTGTACTCCCTGAGCTCTAGTGAAAGCAAACATCTTTCTCTTAAAGACTTACTGGCTTTTGGGGAAGAAAGACTTGGATGGGGAGGCTGAGGAGAACAGATCACCTGAGGCCAGGAGTTCGAGACCAGCCTGGCCAACATGGTGAAACCCCATTTCTACTAAAAATACAAAATTAGCCGGGCATGGTGGTGCACACCTGTAATCCCAGCTACTCAGGAGGCTGAGGCAGGGGAATGGCTTGAACCCGGAAGGCAGAGGTTGCAGTGAGCAGAGATTGTGCCATTACACTCCAGCCTGAGTGACAGAGCGAGACTGTGTCAAAAAAAAAAAAAAAAAAAGACTTGGATGGTTTTACATTCCAGTCATTGCTCAGCCCAAGCAAGTCTGATATGGGTCCTCTAGCGCAGGTTCTCTGCGGCCTCAGCCCTGAGGCTGGAAACATGCCAGGGGAAGCAGCAGCAGCCGAAGGCAGGCCCCACCCGCCCCACACGCCAGGGCTACTTCTCCTTGAGTCTTAGGACCTTGTCTTTCACCCTCCAGCTTCTCAGGGGCCTTGGCCAACACTCCTTGCTCTTGGTTTCAGATCATGAGTTTCCCAAAGAGCCCCTTTCCAGCCCGAAGCCACTTTGATGTCAGCGGGACTGTCGGTGGCCTCCGTGTGACCAGCCCTAGTGGTCAACTCATACCTGTGAAGAATCTGTCGGAGAATATCGAGGTAGAAGTTTGGGGTGTCGTCAAAAGTTAGGTGGGCCCAGGCTGGAGTTCAGTGGCATGATCTCAGCTCACTGCAACTTCTGCCTCCTGGGCTCAAGCGATCCTCCCACCTTAGCCTCCCAAGTAGCTGGGGCAACAGGTGCACGCCACCACATCCAGTTGATTTTTTTTTTTTAAGTTTTGGTAGCAACAAGTTCTCACTATATTGCCCAGGCTGGTCTTAAACTCCTGGGCTCAAGCAGTCCTCCCACCTTGGCCTCCCAAAGTGCCAGGATTATAGGTGTGAGCCACTGCACCTGGCCACATTTCTGTTTTTTTTTTTTTTTTTTTTTTTGAGATGGAGTTTTGCTCTTGTTGCCCAGATTAGAGTGCGATGGCGAGATCTCGGCTCACTGCAAACTCTGTCTCCTGGGTTCGAGTGATTCTCCTGCCTCAGCCTCCCGAGTAGCTGGATTACAAGCATGCGCCACCATGCCCGGCTAATTTTTTGTATTTTTATTAGAGACGGGGTTTCACCATGTTGGTCAGGCTGGTCTTGAACTCTCGACCTCAGGTGATCCACCTGCCTCGGCCTCCCAGAGTGCTGGGATTACAGGCATGAGCCACCACGCCCAGCCTCTGTCTTCTTTTTCAACTTGGTTGAAATTGAAAGTTGGCCAATTATTTTTTTTAAAAAATGGTTAGAGAAGAGAATTTTCCAAAATGATCCTTACCAGCTGGTCCTGGTAGTTCACACTTTGGGACTGGTAGTCCCAGCACTTTGAGAGATCAAGGTGGGAGGATCACTAGAGACCAGGAGTTCAAGACCAGCCTCGGCAACAATGTGCAACACCATCTGTACAAAAAATACAAAAATTAGTCAGGTGTGATGGCATGCACCTGTGGTCCTAGCTACTCAGGAGGCTGAGGCAGAAGGATTGCTTAAGCCCAGGAGGTCGAGGCTGCAGTGAACCAAGATTGGTTTAAAAAATAACAGCAACAGGCTGGGCGCACTGGCGCATGCCTGTAATCCCAGCACTTTGGGAGGCTGAGGCGAGTGGATCACCAGGTCAGGAGATCAAGACCATCCCGGCCACCGTGGCGAAACCCTGTCTATACTAAAAAAAATACAAAAATTAGCTGAGTGTGGTAGTGCGGGCCTGTAATCCCAGCTACTTGGGAGGCTAAGGCAGGAGAATGGCCGGAACCCGGGAGGCGGAGATTACAGTGAGCCAAGATCGTGCCACTGCACTCCAGCCTGGCGACAGAGTGAGAATCCATCTCAAAAACAAAAAACAAAAGAACAACAAACAAAAAAAGGTCCTTACCCTAGCTTAATCATTGTACTTAACTTAAAACTACAAATGCATGTTCATTCACCAATCCTTGGGTATATAACCAGAGTTTTCCTGGTTATATAAATCTGTTGTTTGGAATTTTAGTTATCTTCGTTACATAAACCATTCCCACTACATAGCCTCTAAAATGTCCAGTTAGGCTGGGCACAAGGGCTTACACCTGCAATCCCAACACTTTGGGAGGCTAAGGCGAGTCGATCACCTGAGATCAGGAGTTTGAGACCAGCCTGGCCAACAGTAAAACAGTTTGCATAGCACTTTCTCGTGCATTTGCTCATTTGTGTTCAGTAAAACTCCGTCTCTACTAAAAACACAAAACTGGCTGGGCGTGATGGCAGGCACCTGTAGTCCCAGCTACTCAGAAGGCTGAGGCTGGAGAATCACTTGAACTTGGGAGGCAGAGTTTGCAGTGAGCCATGATCGCACCGTTGCACTCCAGCCTGGGCAACAGAGCAAGACTCCATCTCAAAAAAATAAATAAAAAATAAAATGTCCAGTTAGATTTTCTTTAAACAAAAACGTAAACATACCATGGTGCAACCTAAATACATTTTTTCAAAATTTTAATGATTCTATTCTAGTCTTCTACAATTTTCTCATCAATGCCTAATTCAATAACAATTTTAGTGATGTCTGTGTTCTCATCCCTGGAGCCTGTGAATATGTCACCTTAAATGCAAAAGGGAGGTCAGGTGTGGTAGCTCACACCTGTAATCCCATCACTTTGGGAGGCTAAAGTGGGAGGATCACATGAGCCCGAGACTTCAAGGTTATAGTGAGCTTTGGTCATGCCATTGCACTCCAGCCTGGGTAACAGAGCCAGGCCCTGTCTAAAAACAAAAACCCAACAAAACTGCAAAAGGGATTTTGCAGATGTGCTTGAGTCTTGCCCATCCTGAGCTGGGGAGATTATCCTGGGTTATCTGGTGGGCTCCGCGTCTTCCCAGGGGTCCTTATAAAAGGGAGGCAGAAAGGGAGGTGACTCCAGAAGACAAAAAGGTGACTTGATGCCAGAAGCAAGAGGCTGGAGTAATGCGAGGAAGGGGCCATGAGCCAAGGAATGCAGGCGGCCACCAGAAGCTGAAAAAGGCAGGGAAGTATGTTCTCCCCTAGCCCTGGGAAACTGATTTTGCACTTCCAGCCTTTAGAACTAAAAGATAACAACTGTATATTGTCTTAAGCTTCCCACAGTGGTCATTTGTGATAGAAGCCTTAGGAAACTAATACAATGAGCAAAGCCCGGCCTGGATTTCTGTTCCCAGGTGCTCAGGCCACACAGCTCTACACAGCAGTCCTGATGCCCACGGGCTGGCATTGCCTTCCTGGCACACCTTCAATAGGATTGTTTCTGATCACAGATCCTGCTGCCCCGGCATTCACAAAGACACAGCCAGCCGACCGTGTTGAACCTGACCAGTCCTGAAGCTTTGTGGGTGAACGTGACTTCAGGGGAGGCAACCTTGGGGATCCAGCTGCACTGGAGACCAGACATTGCACTCACGCTTAGCCTGGGCTATGGCTACCACCCCAACAAGAGCAGCTACGATGCCCAAACTCACCTCGTACCAATGGTGGCTCCAGGTAGGCCTGTGACCATTTCCTGAGCTGCTGCCTGGGGTATGATCAGCTTCACTTGGAAATCAGAAGCCACAGGAAGAAAAGCAAAGAAAAAAACCACCCCACACATTCAGTGGCTTATTTTTTATTGGTGTTACTATTTGCCAACATTAGGTGAGCACTTACTATATGCCCCAAAGAAGTTTACAAGCTCATATAGGACTGACCTCATTGCAATCCTCATGACAACCCTTGGCAGGGGGAACTATTGAAATTTCCACTTTCAGCCAAGTGTGGTGGCTCACGCCTGTAATCCTAGCATTTTGGGAGGCCAAGCCGGGCAGATCACTTGAGGTCAGGAGTTCAAGACCAGCCTGGCCAACATGGCGAAACCCCATATCTACTGAAAATACAAAAAGTAGCTGGGCGAGGTGGTGCACACCTGTAATCCCAGGTACTCAGGAGGCTGAGGCACAAGAATAGCTTGAACCCAGGAGGCAGAGGTTGCAGTGAGCTGAGATCACACCACTGCACTCCACCCTGGATGACAAAGCGAGACTCTGTCTCAAAAAAAAAAAAAAAATCTCTACTTTCCAGATAAGAACAAAGAGGTTAAGGAAAAGGAACTGGTCTGAGCTCATACAGCCAATAAGGGGCAGAATCTGTGTTTGAGCCCTTGTCTGCCTGAGTCAGCTGTGCACCCTGACTGGGGAGTGCCCCTTCTTCTATGCTCCTGGTCTCAGGAGGAGAGAGTGCTTGTAGGACATCAGGGGTGGGGGAAAACCGGCAGGGTCTGCTTCCCTGCCAAGTGGCTCAGTCACCCTCTCCCATGATCTTAACGCCCATCTCAAGGAGGCTTCAGGCTGACCTGGAACCCCCTTTCCTACAGATGAGCTGCCCACGTGGATCCTGAGCCCACAGGACCTGCGTTTTGGAGAAGGGGTCTACTATTTGACTGTGGTCCCTGAGTCTGACCTGGAGCCAGCCCCCGGCAGGGACCTCACGGTTGGCATCACCACCTTCCTGTCTCACTGTGTGTTCTGGGATGAGGTCCAGGAGACTTGGGACGACTCAGGATGCCAGGTAAGGAGAGCGAAGTGAAGGAGATGAGGCAGCTTGGTGGGCTGTGCCCAGCTCATGTAGGGTTCCCTTTTGGTGCCTCTGGCACAGCATCTTGAGCCTCTCCGTGGGGCCTTTGCTGTTCCTGGTGCCTAGGATACCCGCCTCATCCTCGCTTCAGCCTAAGCATTGCTTCCTCGAGAAAACTGTTCTTAACTCCCTAAGTCAGATTTCCTATTGTGAACCCCCAGAGCACACACATCCAGAGCATCCAACCCCAGTGCTCCTCATCCATAGCGCTAAGCAGAGGGGTCATTTCACCTCTACGCATGAGATCATTTAAATGACGTCTGTCTCCCTCCATGCACTGGGAGCCCCCAGTGCAACAGGAACAATGTGCTTTGTTCATCACTGAGAACAAATGGTCATTGACCCAGGCGACGAATGACTCAGGAAGGCCTGCTGCCTCTAGGTTGTTAAGGGAGGCCAGGGTGTCATTTCCAAGAGAATGAACTCATAGCTCAGCCCTTAGTTCTGTGCCAGGTGCAGAGCTCCATGCTTTGCTTACATCGGCTCATCAGATCTGCACAATCATCTCCAAGACAGCTGTGACTCTCATTTTACAGGGGACAAAACAAAGGCTCAGGAAACTCAACTGACTTGTCCCAAATCTTACATGTAGGGCCAGGCACGGTGGCTCAAGCCTGTAATCCCAGCACTTTGGGAGGCCGAGGCGGGTGGATCACTTGAGGTCAGGAGTTCAAGAGCAGCCTGGCCAACATGGTGAAACCCCATTTCTACTAAAGATACAAAAATTAACCGGGTGTGGTGGTGGGCACCTGTAGTCCCAGCTACTCAGGAGGCTGAGGCAGGAGAATCGCTTGAACCTGGGAGGTGGAGGTTGCGGTGAGCCGAGATGATGCCACTGCACTCCAGCCTGGGCGACAGAGCAAGACTCTGTCTCAAACAAACAAACCATCTTCTTTACCCACCAGAAGGCCCTAGGGGGTGACTGTGAGCTCGCGGGGGATTGGGGGTGGCCATGTGGGTGTGAAGCACAGGCACAGATGGCAGCCCCTGCCCTGGTTCACTCCGGTCCCCTTGCTGCCCGGCCATGTTGTCCTGCACCACAAGGCACCACCTGTGTAAGTGCCATCACACCTTCTTTGTGCCACAATGCCAGCTTAGGACTCAAACCTGTGTCCTTCTCTTTTTCTTCTTTTTCTTCCTGTGGTTCCCCCAGGTTATTTTGCTTTTCGGCATAAGCTGACCAACTGTCCCGGGTTGCCCAGGACTGAAGGAGCTCCTGGGACTCAGGACTTTCTGTTTGAAAAGCAGGAAAGGCCCTGGCAAACTGGGATGAGTTAGTCACACCAGTGTCCTCTCAGCACCTAGCCTGTTGCTGGATGTAGAATTAGCACCCCACAAATATTTGTCCTGTGAATGAGCACCAGGTGCACCACGGGGGTGAATGCCAAATTTGTGATCCTGGTTGCCTATAGGGGAAGAGGGACAAAGGAGATCTCAAATTTACTTGCCATATATATGTATTTTTTTGAGACAGGGTCTCTGTCGCCCATGCTGGAGTACAGTGGCGTGATCTCAGCTCACTACAACCTCTGCCTCTGGGGTTCAAGCAATTCTTGTGCTTCAGCCTCCCAAGAAGCTCAGATTGCAGACGCGAATCACACTGTGGTACACGCCTGCAATCCCAGCACTTTGGGAGGCTGACGCAAGCAGATCACTTGAGATCAGCCTGTTTGAGACCTGCCTGGCCAACATGGCGAAACCCCGTCTCTACTGAAAATACCCAAATTAACCGGGTGTGGTGGCGCTTGCCTGTAATCTCAGCTTCTTGGGGGACACAGGCATGAGAATTGCTTCAACCCAGCAGGCAGAGGTTGCAGCAGTGAGCCAAGATTGTGTCACTGCACTCCAGCCTGGCCGACAGAGTGAGATCCCGTCTCAGAAGAAGAAAAAGAAAAAAAAAGGAAAGCAGACTGGCAACATATACACAGTTGTCCACTGAGAATGATGGACACAAAAATATAAATAATATTATCTCCATATTTTAATTAAATAAAAAATATTGGCCAAACACAGTGGCTCACTCCTGTAATCCCAGCACTTTAGGAGGCTGAGGCGGGCGGATCATGAGGTCAGCAGATTGAGACCATCCTGGCCAACATGGTGAAACCCCGTCTCAACTAAAAATACAAAAAAAAATAGCTGGGTGTGGTGGTGCATGCCTGTAGTCCCAGCTACTCGGGAGGCTGAGGCAGGAGAATTGCTTGAACCCGGGAGGTGGAGATTGCATTGATCCGAGATCTCGCCACTACACTCCAGCCTGGCAACAGGTGAGACTCCATCTCAAAAAAAAAAAAAAAAAAAAAGATCAAAAGGGGCTTTTGAAGCTGGTCTCCCAGCGGTCTTCCCACCACACACCCCAGCAGAGTGTGCACTCTTCAAAGCGAACACCGTTCTCCTCCCCTGGGCTCGAGCGAGCCGGGGTTGAGCTTCCCGAGCGTCTCCACTGACAGCCCCTTTATGGGTTGTAGGTGGGGCCTCGGACCAGCCCCTACCAGACACACTGCCTCTGCAACCACCTCACTTTCTTCGGAAGCACGTTCCTGGTGATGTCCAATGCCATCAACATCCACCAGACTGCTGAGCTCTTTGCCACCTTTGAGGACAACCCTGTGGTCGTGACCACCGTGGGCTGCCTGTGTGTGGTCTACGTGCTGGTGGTGATCTGGGCGAGGAGGAAGGACGCTCAGGATCAGGCCAAGGTGAGGCTGAGAACCATTGGCGCTGCGTACACCGTCCTGGAGAAAACTCCATTGTTTTCAAATAATATTAGGCTTCACGAGAAGAGGGTATTTGTCTACTTAAGATTTTTTCCAACCGGGCGCGGTGGCTCACGCCTGTAATCCCAGCACTTTGGCAGGCCAAGGTGGACGGATCACCTGCGGTCAGGAGTTGACCAGCCTGGCCAACATGGTGAAACCCCATCTCTACTAAAAATACAAAAATTAGTTGGGCGTGGTGGCATGCACCTGTAATCCCAGCTACTCAGGAGGCTGAAGCAGGAGAATCACTTGAACCTGGGAGGTGGAGGTTGCAGTGAGCTAAGATTATGCCACTGCACTCCAGCCTGGACAACAGAACAAGACTTCATCTCAAAAAAAACAATTGTTTTCCAATGTATGCAGTATGCCTGACACATACATAGTAGGCCTTCAGCCAATATTTATGGCTATCTGAAGAAGAGGTAATGAATGAATGCAAGGTTGCATTGTCACAGAGCTGTGAAACTCTATCCGTTCCTACCCCTTCCCCCGAAGCAACATCACTCAGGATTTCATGTGGGTTAAATTTAATAAGATAATGTTTCAGCATTGATACTGCTGTCTTTGATTCACCCAAGAGATTAAGCATTAATACTTGAAGTGCCTCTGCTGTAGGTTGGTTCCCAGGAAGCAGACTCCGATGCAAAGGTGAGCATGCAGAGTGTGCAGGGTGTTTATTAAGGGGGCCTGGGACCTGCACCTGGGAAGGGAGGGAAGGAGGCAGCATGCGCAGAGAGAGAAGCTGAGCTGTGATGTAGCCCAGTGACAGCCCGGCCCAGACCCTGGGGAGCACCGGAGCTGTCCCAAGTCGGGTTGAGATACCCAGGTCTTGACCACACCCAGACACTCCGCCTATTGGTCATTGGGTGCTGGCTGCCCCAAGGGGGCACAATCTCAACAGAGGTAGGTGTTGCATTTTTTACCCCATTAACTGAGGCAACGAACCCTGCGTGGGAGGGGGATCTGGGCAGCGCATTCAGAGTCGACTATAGCCTCTGGCCAACTCTGGCTAACTCTGGCTAATTTCTTTTTCTTTTCTTTTTGCCAAACTCTTTAAAAATTTTTGTTAATTCTTATGGGCACATGGTAGGTATATATACATATGAGATATATGGGACATTTTGATACAGGCATGCAGGGTGTAATAATCACATTGGGATAATTGGGGTATCCATCTCCTCGAGCATTTATCCTTTGTGTCACAAACAATCCGATTATACTCTTTTAATTATTTTTAAATGTACAATTATTATTGACTGTAGTCACCCTGTTGTGGTATAAAATACTAGATCTTATTCATCTTATTCATTCTTTTTTTTTTTTTTTTTTTGACCTGGAGTCTTGCTCTGTCACACAGGCTAGAGTGCAGCGACGTGATCTCAGCTCACGCAACTTCCACCTCCTGGGTTCAAGCAATTCTCCTGCCTCAGCCTCCCGAGTAGCTAGGATTACAGGTGCCAGCCACCACGCCCAGCTAATTTTTGTGTTTTTAGTAGAGGCAGGGTTTCACCACATTGGTCAGGCTGGTCTGTAACTCCTAACCTCAAGGGATCCACCCGCCTTGGCCTCCCAAAGTGCTGGGATTACAGGTGTAAGCCACCGCGCCCGGCAGACATCTTACTCATTCTTTCTAATTTTGTACCCATTAACCACCTCATCTTCCCCCCCATTCCCGCCCCCACTACCTTTCCCAGCCTCTGCTGACCATCATTCTACTTCCTATCTCCATGAGTTCATTTGTCGCTAAACTATCTTAACGTTTCATTTCTTTTAAATTCCCTCAAAAACACCACCTGGTTCCAAATGTTATGAGAAATTATACATGTACAGAGTATGTATGGTTCACCAGGTCAAACATTCAATGTTCTCAGCTTATCAAGTTCATTTCCAATTGGACTACATGGGGGTCATATCTCATAAAGAATGTACTTTGGGGCCGGGCGTGGTGGCTCACGCCTGTAATCCCAGCACTTTGGGAGGCCGAGGTGGGCAGATCACTTGAGGTTAGGAGTTTGAGACCAGCCTGGCCAACATGGTGAAACCTCGTCTCTAACTAAAAATACAAAAATTAGCCAGGCATGGTGGCACACGCCTGTAGTCCCAGCTACTCTGGAGGCTGAGGCAGGAGAATCACTTGAACCCGGGAGGCAGAGATGGCAGTGAGCTAAGATCACGGCACTGTACTCGAGCCTAGGCAGCAGAGCGAGACCCTGTCTGAAAACAAAAAAAAAAAAGGAAGAAGAAAAAAATGTACTTTGTGTTTTTTTATTTTCCGAGCGTTTTGCACTTGAAACCCTGCTTTTATAAAGAACAGTTCTCACCCGAGGGGATGAATAAATGGCACATGTAATTTTGCTTTGCCCAATTCATGATTATCACAAATCATCAGCTCCTTCTTGGCTGGTGGGTGATGCAGGAACCCACTGAGCAAGGCCTTCCTAATGCTGTCCTTCTCTTCAGGTGAAGGTCACAGTGCTGGAAGACAATGATCCCTTTGCTCAGTACCACTACCTGGTGACAGTCTACACAGGACACCGACGAGGGGCAGCCACGTCCTCAAAGGTACCTGCCTATGCAAGATCCACTGATTAATCAGCACATCCCACCCAGCCCTGCTATGCCACTGTGGAGTTGGCCACTTCTGGTCTCTGGATTTCAGGTGACTGTCACCCTGTATGGCCTGGATGGAGAGAGAGAGCCCCACCACCTGGCTGATCCCGACACTCCGGTTTTTGAGCGAGGAGCAGTGGATGCCTTCCTCCTCTCCACCCTGTTCCCCCTGGGAGAACTGCGGAGCCTCCGGCTGTGGCATGACAACTCAGGGGACCGGCCATCGTGGTGAGTTGGGGGCAGACAAACCTTGAGAATCTACAGAGTGACAGGCCCAGGGCTGGGCACTGTACATTTGCCTCCTTCCTGATCTTCGCAAGCCTCCGCAAGACACATAGAATGATCTCTGTTTCACAGATGAGGAAACTGAGGGTCAGAAAAGCCCACTGGTTCATGGTCCACACAAACTGGATCGGTAGCTAGGAAAAGGACTGGAAGCTACAGCTAGCCCCATCTTCAGTGCTAGCCCCACCCTTGGCCCTTTTGCAGCATCAACCTGTGACTTGCCCAAGGTCACACAGCTGGCAAGTTTGGAGCAAGGTTCTCTGCATTCTGAGGCCAAAATGAGTGACCCAGATGAGTGGTGTCCAGTCTGACCACCCATCAGTAGCTGGCGGCTTTAGAAAAACAATAGCACTTTAATTCACCTATGGGATTAAGCATTAATATTTTAAGCGTGGCCGCTGTAGGTTGCTCCCGGGAAGCAGGCTCTCAGATGGAGTTGCATATGCAGGGTGTTTATTACAGGGCCCTGGGACCAGCACCTGGGAACAGAGGGAAGGAGGCAGGATGGCAGAAAAGTCAAGCTGTGATGCAGCCCAGCAACAGTGTGGTCCACCACTGGGGAGCTCTGGAGCTGTCCCAAGTTGGGTTGAAATACCCAGGTCTTGATCCCTGTAGGTACTGCATCACTGGATGTCAGCTGCCCCAGAAAAGCCTGTGACCTTGACATAGGTGGCTTTTGCATTCCTACGGGGCTGCCCTTCCTGAAATGAGAAAATGCATATCAAGAGCATCTTAGCATAGCCCCCGCTATGTAGTAAATTCTCAGTGAAGAGCGGCTATTGCTATCCCTACTGTTCTTTTTTTTTTTTTTTTTTTTGAGACAGAGTCTCACTCTGTCACCCAGGCTGGAGTGATGGCACAATCTCGGCTCACCGCAACCTCTGCTTCCTGGGTTTAAGTCATTCTCCTGCCTCGGCCTCTTGAGTAGCTGGTATTACAGGCATACGCCACCATGCCCAGCTAATTTATTTATTTATTTATTTGTATTTTTAGTAGAGATGAGGTTTTACCATGTTGGCCAGGCTGGTTTCAAACTCCTGACCTCAAGTGATCTGCCCACCTTGGCCTCCCAAAGTGCTGCAATTGCAGACGTGAGCCACTACACCCAGCCATCATTGCTGTTCTTGTTGGCTGTATAGCAACAGGGAAAACTGCTGCTCGATCTGACATCACAGGATAGGCAAGATAATTTCAATTCTTCCCCATACCTCAAAGACCTAAATCAGGTTAGAAGATACCCACAAAGTCCTCAGCCCAAGATAGACGGTGATTCTTTGGTTAGAAACGCAAGAGAGGAGGCCAGGCGCGGTGGCTCACGCCTGTAATCCCAGCACTTTGGGAGGCCGAGGTGGGTGGATCACCTGAGGTCAGGAGTTCGACACCAGCCTGACCAACATGGAGAAACCCTGTCTCTACTAAAAATACAAAATTAGCCGGGTGTGGTGGTGCATGCCTGTAATCCCAGCTACTCGGGAGGCTGAGGCAGGAGAATCGCTTGAACCTGGGAGGCGGAAGTTACAGTGAGCCAAGATCACTCCATCGCACTCCAGCCTGGGTGACAGAGCAAGATTCTGTCTAAAATTTAAAAAAAGAAAGAAAGAAACGCAAGAGAGGACCATGTTCTGCGTACCCCAGCCTGCACCTGCCTGAACATGCACACTTTACACAATTTGGCTTTACTTGCTCATGCCTGGACGCTGGCCCTGAGCTTGGTGCCATGTGTACAGGTTAATGGTCTCCGAATGCATCCTTTTGCAGCATCTTTGTGGAAACATGGCAGCTTCCCAGAGTTGGCTCTCTACAGTAGCTGACCTCCTTATGTGACGCGAATTTTAATTAAGGCACCAAGAACAAAGAAAAATATGGTTTCTTTTTCTGAGGAGCTCTTGTTCTTTGGGTTCATGTTTGCAAAACTGTTACCTTGGTGATGTCCAGTGAAGTCTCCTCCCCTGCTCCACCTTATCCTCAAAACTCTGGGTCCCTTCTCCAGGTATGTGAGCCGGGTGCTGGTCTATGACCTGGTGATGGACCGGAAGTGGTATTTCCTGTGCAACTCCTGGCTATCCATCAATGTTGGAGATTGCGTCCTCGATAAGGTGTTTCCTGTGGCCACGGAGCAGGACAGAAAACAATTCAGGTACTTTATTTTTGTTTTCTTTATTTTTAAGATAAGGTCTTGTTCCGCCACCCAGGCTGGAGTGCAGTGGCACGATCACAGCTCACTGCAACCTCTACCCCCCTGGGTCAAGCAATCCTCTCACCTCAGCCTCTTGAGCAGCTGGGACTGCAGGCATGCACCACGATGCCTCACTTTCTTTTTCTTTTTTTTTTTTTTTTTTAAGTAGAGACGAATCTTTGCTATGTTGCCTAGGATGGTCTCGACCTTCTCAAGAGATCCTCCTACCTCAGCCTCCTGAGTAGCTGAAACTGTAGACATACACCACCATGCCCAACTGTTTTTGTAGAGATGGGGTTTCACCATATTGCCCAGACTGGTCTCAAACTCCTGGGCTCAAGGGATCCTCCGTATCAGCCTCCCAAAGTTTTGGGGTTACAGGTGTGAGCCACTGTGCTTGGCCATGCCTGGGATTTTTTTTTTTTTTTTTTTTTTTGAACAGAGTCTCTGTCACCCAGGTTGGAGTATGGTGGCACGATATTGGCTCACTGTGACCTCTGCCTCCTGAGTTCAAGCAATTCTCCTGCTTCAGCCACTCAAGTAGCTGAGATTACAGGTGCATGCCACCATGCCTGGCTAATTTTTGTACTTTTATTAGAGACGGGGTTTCACCACATTGGCCAGGCTGGTCTTGAACTCCTGACCACAAGCAACCCTCTCTCCTTGCCCTGCTAAAGTCGTGGGATTACAGGAATGAGCCACTGCACTCCGTCATGCCTGGGATTTTTAACCACTGTACTCCAATGATCTAACTGTAACAAAACTAATAGTATTTTAGCTATATTATTATATTAAAATTACAGCAAAAATAACAATGCTGACACTGATTGAATATTGACCTATATGCCAGCTACTGCCCCAAATGCTTTACAGAATCATCACTTTTATTCCTTTCAACAATCCAGTGAGGTAGGTTCTGTTATTATTACTTGCCCCAATTTACAGACAAGTCATCTAAGGTACAAAGAACAAAGTAACGTGCCCGAGGTCACACAGCTGGGAAGAGGGCCGTCTGTAATTCTAATCTGACTTCCAGAGCCTTCATTGTTAACTCTAAGTGATGCTGCTAAGATGCTGTGTTTCTTCTATTAAAAAAAAAAAAAAAAATTGGGGGGGGAGCCGGGGACGGTGGCTCATGCCTGTAATACCAGCACTTTGGGAGGCTCAGGCGGGTGGATCAAGGGGTCAAGAAATCGAGACCATCCTGGCCAACATGGTGATACCCCGTCTTTACTAAAAATACAAAAAAAAAAAATAGCTCACACCTGTAGTCCCAGATACTTGGGAGGCTGAGGCAGGAGAATCACTTGAACCCCAGAGGCAGAGGTTGCAGTAAGCCAAGATCATGCCACTGCACTCCTGCCTGGCAAGAGCAAGACTCCATCCGAAAAAAAAATGTGGCTAGGCGCGGTGGCTCACACCTGTAATCCCAGCGCTTTGGGAGGCCAAGGCGGCCAGATCACTTGAGATCAGGAGTGTGAAACCAGCCTGGCCAATGTGGTGAAACCATGTCTCTACTAAAAATACAAAAAATTAGCCAGGCGTGGTTGTGGGCACCTGTAATCCCAGCTACCTGGGAGTTTGAGGCAGGAGAGTTGCTTGAATCTGGGAGGCAGAGGTTGCAGTGAGCCGAGATCGTGCCATTGCACTCCAGCCTGGGTGACAGAGCAAGACACAAGACATTATCTGAAAAAAAAAAAAAAAAAAAGTGTGAACAATCTTAGAAACAAATCTCTGCCGCTCTTCCTGCTTCTCATCCCAAGAACGACCCACAGAGACCAGTTTCCCCCATTCCTGTCTCCCTAAATGCCTGTCCCTCTCTCCCTGCCTGCCTGCAGCCACCTGTTTTTCATGAAGACTTCCGCGGGCTTCCAGGATGGACACATCTGGTATTCGATCTTCAGCCGCTGCGCTCGCAGCAGCTTCACCCGCGTCCAGAGGGTGTCCTGCTGCTTCTCCCTGCTGCTGTGCACCATGCTGACCAGCATCATGTTCTGGGGGGTCCCCAAGGACCCAGCTGAGCAAAAGATGGACTTGGGTAATTCCCAGTGTCATGGAGGTCAGGGTTAGTGGCTGGTGGACCTGAGCCTTCACTGCTCCAGCAATGCCACTGCCATTCCAGAGTCCCCAAGACCGCCCTCCAGTTCAGTGATCCACTAGCAGGACTTACAGAACCCATTGTACTCATAGTTATGGTTTACTGCAGTGAAAGGATACAGCTGGCACGGTGGCTCACGCCTGTAATCCCAGCACTCTGGGAGGCGAAGGCAGGTGGATCACCTGAGGTCAGGAATTTGAGACAAGCCTGGCTAACATGGTGAAAACCCATCTCTACTAAAAATACAAAATTAGCCGGGTGTGGTGGTGCACACCTGTAGTTCCAGCTATTCAGGAGGCTGAGGCAGGAAAATCACTTAAACCCAGGAGGCGGAGATTGCAGTGAGCTGAGATCTCACCATTGCACTCCAGCCTGGGTAAAAAAATGCAAAATTCCATCTCAAAAAAAAAAAAAATAAACAAACAAACCAAAAGAACAAAAAACACAGAAAGGATACAGATTAAAACCAGCAAAGGGAAGAGACACATGGAGCAGGGGCCAGAAGAGACCAGGCACATAGCTTCCAGCATCCTCTCCCAGTGGAGTCGTGGATGGTGCTGACTTCTCCTGAGGATGTGTGACAGTGCACATGGAGTATTGCCAACCAGGGGGACTCACTCCAGCCTTGCAATTCACAATTTTTTTTTTTTTTGAGACAGAGTTTTGCTCTTGTCATCCAAACTGAAATGCAGTGGTATGATCTCGGCTTAATGCAACCTCTGCTTCCCGGATTCAAGCAATTCTCCTGCCTCAGCCTCCCGAGTAGCTGGAATTACAGGCACCCACCACTATGCCCAGCTAATTTTTGTATTTTTAGTAGAGAAGGGGTTTCACCATGTTGGCCAGGCTGGCCTCCAACTCCTGACCTCAGGTAATCCACCCACCTTGACCTTCCAAAGTGCTGGGATTACAGGCATGAGCCACCATGCCCAGCCACTATTCAGAGCTTTTACTGGGGCTCCAACATATAGGCATGGCTGACACCCACTTGGCTGCCCTTCGCCTCCAGCCCCTCTAGAGGTCAAGCTGACATCATATGGTCTAGGCCCCCACCTAAATCTCATCATTAGCACAGACCATCCGGTGTGACCCAAGACCCTAGGGAAACAAAGACATTCTTAGCAGTTGGGAACTTCCAAGGGCTGAGCGGTGACCTCCCAGGCGTTGGGCAGGGTTAACCCTTCACTGCACAGCCAGCTTCCACAAGGGGCAGAAGGGACTGGGCTCCGGGCGGTGGCCTCTCCCTTTGATCCCTTCCTTCCCTTTCCCCAGGTAAAATTGAATTCACCTGGCAGGAGGTGATGATTGGCCTGGAGAGCTCCATCCTCATGTTCCCCATCAACCTCCTGATTGTTCAGATCTTTCAGAACACCCGTCCCCGGGTCGCGAAGGAGCAGAACACTGGAAAATGGGACCGGGGGTCCCCCAACCTGACTCCCTCCCCACAGCCCATGGAGGACGGCCTTCTGACACCTGAGGCAGTGACCAAGGCAGGTCCTCAACCTCAGCTAGCCTGGGGGGTGCTGTAGCCTCAGCAGAAGTGGGGGTGAGGCCTGGGGCTTGAGACCCAGCAGCCCTGTGTTGCCTGGCAACGTGAGGTGCCAAAATTCATCAACTGAAGACACACATACACATGCAACATGCATGCACCCATGCATCTGTACACACATGCACACACAAACACACAGGTGCACATATGCATACATGCACACACATACACAGAGAGACACACAGACATGTACATACACATGCACATGTGCACACACGCATACACCCACATACTTTTTGAGTATCTACTGTGTGCAAAGAATTATGCCTTCATGGTAGACTCCCAGGCTGGAAGCCCATGGACGAGACTCCCCGCTCTGCGTTGATGCATTCAGTAAGCTTTCATTGAGCACCTACTGTGTGCCACGCTTTGAGGAGTACAGCCTGGAATGAGTTCAAACCCTAGAAGAGGGATTCAAGAGCTGACAAATGGAAGCTCAGGGAGGTCACTATCACATCTCAGTGGGCAGAGCAGGGGTCCCTACACAGGTTGCCAGGCCCAGGGCGTGTGCTCTTGACCCCTGTGCTGCACCCCTCACCTTGGCTTATGGCCCCTTTCCCCACCAGGATGTGTCAAGAATCGTCAGCTCCCTCTTCAAAGCTCTCAAGGTGCCATCCCCCGCCTTGGGCTGGGACTCAGTGAACTTGATGGACATCAACAGTCTCCTCGCCTTGGTGGAAGATGTCATTTATCCACAGAACACATCAGGGCAGGTGTTCTGGGAGGAAGCCAAAAAGAGAGAGGACCCTGTAACACTCACTTTGGGGTCATCAGAAATGAAAGGTAAGCCCTGGACATGTCTGTGCCAAGAGAAGCCGCATTTTGGGGCCGGGTGGAGACACAGCAAAGGGGTACATCAGCATCACTAGGGGAACAAGAGGTCTCCCTCACCAGCCTCTGCTTGAACCACCGGCCATCCCCTCCCTCTGTATACCTCAGGCACCTACTGTCCCTACAATGCCAAGCTGCCTTCCCACTAACAGCCTTCACACAGGCTGGTCCTTTAGTCTAGAATGTTCTTTCTCCTCTCTTCGCCAGGCCAATACCTACTGAAATTTTAGTTTTGGCTTAAGCATTCCTTCTTCAGGGGAGCAACCCAAGCCTCTAACCTACACTAGGGCCTCTGACCACGCGCTCTTTAGCTCCCTAAGTTTTTTTTTTTTTTTTTTTTTTTTTTGAGATGGAGTCTCGCTGTGTCGCCCAGGCTGGAGTGCAATGGCACAATGTCAGCTCACTGCAAGCTCTGCCTCCCAGGTTCATGCCATTCTCCTGCCTCAGCCTCCCGAATAGCTGGGACTACAGGCACCTGCCACCACGCCCGGCTAATTTTTTGTATTTTTAGTAGAGACGGGGTTTCACCGTGTTAGCCAGGATGGTCTCAATCTCCTGACCTCGTGATCCATCTGCCTTGGCCTCCCAAAGTGCTGGGATTACAGGCGTGAGCCACTGTGCCCGGCCAACTCCCTAAGCTTCTTGCATTCAACCTGTTTGTGGCCAACTAATGAATCAGGTGAAAATTGTTTAAAGCTTGCGCCATCCTTCCTGGAATGTAAACTCCGTGAGGTGGGAGCCGTCCATCTGTCTTTTGTCTCATCTCCACTAGGAAGAACCATGTCTGGGTCCTGGCTCTGCCACTAGCCGGCTGTGTGACCGTGGACAGGTGACCTCCATTCTCAATGCCTCGGTGCCTTCTTCTGTAGAGTGCTGGGGTGCAAAGCTGAACTCGATCCGTGCCTGAATATGTGGGGCAGGAAGCAAGATCACAGTCAGGGCAGCAAAAACCATTAAGGAACATGGAATTGCAGACTGGAAAAGTTATTCCTTTCTCTATTCGTTTTCAATCCTCCTAATTAAGCAAATGGCTGGGAGCACTGGCTCACGCCTCTAATCCCAGCACTTTAAGAGGCTGAGGCGGGAGGATTGCTTGAGGCCAGGAGTTCGAGACCGGCGTTGGCAACATAGGGAGACCCTGTCTGTACAAAGAGTTTAAAACTTAACCAGGTGTTAGCCAAGCACGGTGGCTCATGCCTGTATTCCCAGCACTTTGGGAGACCAAGGTGGGCAGATCACTTGAGGTCAGGAGTTCGAGACCAGCCTGACCAACATGGTGAAACCTCATCTCTACTAAAAATACAAAAATTAGCTGGGCGTGGTGGTGCACATCTGTAATCCCAGTTACTTGGGAGGCTGAGGCAGGAGAATCACTTGAA
The DNA here is from genome assembly GCF_000001405.40 of Homo sapiens. NCBI lineage: Eukaryota > Metazoa > Chordata > Mammalia > Primates > Hominidae > Homo > Homo sapiens. The sequence goes on along the minus strand of NC_000016.10, from coordinate 81,145,870 downwards.
CCCGGGAGGTGGAGGTTGCAGTGAGCCAAGATCACACCACTGCACTCCAGCCTGGGCAACAGAGCAAGACTCCTTCTCAATGGGCACCTGTAGTCCCAGCTATTTGGAAGGCTGAGGTGGGAGGATCCCTTGAGTCTTTTTTTTGAGTTTGAGGTTACAGCAAACTGGTTTGAGGTTACAGGTGCCACTGCACCCCAGCTTGGGTGACAGAGCAAGACCCTAGCTCTAAAAAAAAGGGAGAAAGTCTCAGTTTGGTGCGACTATGTCTTTAATGCCTCTCTAACACTCCTTAATCTGTTTGACAGAGATAAAAGATCTCAAATTCAGAGGTTTTTCCAACAATATCCAGCTAGAACCCAGTAACATTGTTTTCTTTTCATTAAACAAATGTATATATGGCATATTATTCCGGTTTCAACTAGTCTCCTGGTTCCCTTCATGCCCCTTTCCTGTCCATCTTCCCATTTAGAGCGGTGCCATCCAATAGAACTTTCTACAGTGACAGAAATGTTCTGTGGAACATGGTGGATAGTTATGTGGGTTTAGAATGCTACCATTTTTAATACACAAGGGTGGCCACTATCTAAACCTTGTTTAGAACACGAAAGTATGGTTTATAGAATAAGCAATTTGAATTCATAATTCTTGGCCCCACCCCTGATAGAGTTACTTGCCCCTGTAGTCCCAGCTACTCAAGAGGCTGAGGCAGAGAATCGCTTAAACCTGGGAGGTGTAGTCAGCAGTGAGCTGAGATCACATCACTGCACCCCAGCCTGGGTGACAGAGCAAGACTCCATCTCAAAAAAAAAGAAAAAAAAAAGAATTTGCCCCAGAGAGCTGGGTTTGGGCTGCTTATGGAGGTCATCCCTGCTTCCACTAGATCCTTGACTTTGAGTTTGGGAGTTTTAGCATTCACAGCTGGACACACTGGACCTTAAGAACATGAACTCTGGAGTCGGCCAGAACCTTGGGATCTCCCAGCTGCAGTAGCAGCGGTGCAACTTTAAACAAGTTGCTCAACCTCTCTGAGACTTCATTTCTTCCCTTAGAAAATAGAGGTGTTGGCTGGGCGTGGTGGCTCACGCTTGTAATCCCAACACTTTGGGAGGCCGAGGTGGGCAGATCACCTGGGGTCAGGAGTTCAAGACCAGCCTGGTCAACATGACAAAACCCCATCTCTACTAAAAATAAAAAAATTAGCTGCATGTGGTGGCACACGCCTGTAGTCCTAGCTACTCGGGAGGCTGAGGCAGGAGAATCACTTGAACCTGGGAGGTGAGGCAAGAGAATCACTTGAACCTGGGAGGTGGAGGTTGCAGTGATCTGAGATTGCACCACTGCACTCCAACCTGGGTGACAGAGCAAGACTCCTGTCTCAAAAAAAAAAAAAAAAAAAGGGGGTGTGTTAAAAATTAGCTGGGCGTGGTGGCACATACCTGTAATTCTAGCTACTTGAGAGGCTGAGATAGGAGGACTGCCTGAGCCTGGGAGGCAGAGGTTGCGGTGAGCCAAGGTTGCACCACTGCATTCCAGCCTGGTTGACAGGGTGAGACCGTGTCTCAAAGTAAAAAAAATATAAAATAGGGGTATTGATCCACCTAGCTCGTTGGCTTATTGTGAGGGCTGAATAAGATTGTAAGACATGTAAAGTATTTAGATCCCAGCCTGACACAAAGCAGGTATACAGTAAGTGGTGTTATGATTGGCAGTGATGTTATCTTTCAGAAACATTAGCAGAAGCCCTGCAAAATAAAGTGTTGACTTGGAATCTTCAGCTGAGGCTTCAGTGAGGGAGCCCAGTCAGGAGGGTGAGGGAGGAGGCTGTGAGTCAGAGGAAGGTAGGAGTTGACCTCACCATAGCCATTTACCCAACACCCTAACCTTATCTGAGTCAGGGCTGGAGATGCATATACCTGGCTGTAACCAAAATGCAGATATAGTTGCTTGCCATTTGCAGAGTCCAGTTAATCAGAGTGAGATCTGGTATTTAAAAAGTGACTCTTGACCGGGAGCGGTGGCTCACGCCTGTAATCCCAGCACTTTGGGAGTCCAAGGCGGGCGGATCACGAGGTCAGGCGATCGAGACCATCCTGACTAACACGGTGAATCCCCGTCTCTACTAAAAATACAAAAAATTACCCCGGTGTGGTGGCGGGTGCCTGTAGACCCAGCTACTAGGGAGGCTGTGCCAGGAGAATGGCGTGAACCTGGGAGGCGGAGGTTGCAGTGAGCCGAGATCGCACCACTGCACTCCAGCCTGGGCGACAGAGTGAGACTCTGTCTCAAAAAAAAAAAAAAAGTGACTTTTTTATCTGGGCATGGTGGCATGTGCCTGTAGCCCCAGCTACTTGGGAAGCTGAGGTGGGAAGATCACTTGAGCCCGGGAGGCAGAAGTTGCAGTGAGCCAAGATCACGCCACTGCACTCCAGCCTGTGGGACAGAGTTAGACCCTGTCTCAAAAAGAGATAGAGGTCGGTGGGTGGAGAGAGAAAGAGAAGTAACTTTTTATTCCAAAGCTAGCTTAGGGGAAGAAGTACAGGCTTCCTGACTTAAGGATATCACTACACCTCTGAGGCAGAAAGCAGGGATTTTAAAAGGAGACTTGGCATGAATGGCGGGGAGGAGAGGAAGCAAGCCAGTGGGGGTCGGCGTAACGCACTTCAGTGAATTAGAATTATCTACCAGGAGGTCCAGCTTGCACCTTCCTGGGCAGGGCTAGCCTGTACAAGTGGCTGAAACTCTCAACATGAGAGACAGTTTCGTCGGAGGCGTTCTTTGGGTTGCAGATGGACTGCTGTCTCTCAAGGCAACCTCCAGGTGGGATAGTGCTCTGCCTTGGAGATGCTAAGCACAGTTAGAAAAGCTTGTCCTGTAGGTGAAGGGAAGATACAAGATTATAACTGCATTTCTTCTTTTTTTTTTTTTTTTTTGAGACGGAGTCTCGCTGCGTCATTTTGATCATTTTGACGCTGTGTCGCTGTGTGGCTTCATCTCATCATTTGCTCTAATTTTATATGTTTGAGATGTTTCATAATTTTTAAAAAAGCTAAAAACACAAGATTAAGGATTACACTGTATTGGCCGGGCGTGCTGGCTCATGCCTGTGATCCCAGCACTTTGGGAGACTGAGGCTGGCCGATCCCCTGAGGTCAGGAGTTCAAGACCAGCCTGGCCAACATGGTAAAAATCCGTCTCTACTAAAAATACAAAAAAAAAAAATTAGCTGGGCATGGTGGCGGGTGCCTGTAATCCCGGTTACTCAGGAGGCTGAGGCAGGAGAATCACTGGAACCTGGGAGGCGGAGGTTGCAGTGAGCTGAGATTGCGCCACTGCACTCCAGCCTGGGCGACAAGAGCAAAACTCCGTCTCAACAACAACAACAAAAAAAACAAAAAAACAAAGGGACAGGATTACACTATATTTGGCACTAGACAAAAAAGGGTTCAAATTCAAGTCTTACCATATTAAAGTATTTGCTTTAAAATACTCTGGGCCCAGGGGGTGGGGGAGTCGGGGGGTGAGGGCGGGCACTGTGGCTCACGCCTGTAATCCCAGCACTTTGGGAGGCCGGGGCGGGCGGATCACCTGAGGTCAGGAGTTTAGAACCAACCTGGCCAACATGGTGAAACCCCATCTCTCTACTAAAAATACAAAAACTAGCTGGGCGTGGTGGCGTGCGCCTGTAGTCCCAGCTACTCAGGAGGCTGAGGCAAGAGAACTGCTTCTAGAACCCAGGAAGTGGAGGTTGCAGTGAGCTGAGATAACACCACTGCACTCCAGCTGGGGAGACAGAGTGAGACTTCACTGCAAAAAAAAAAAAAAAAAAAGCTCCAGGAGAAGAAAAGAGATGAGACAAGACTGGCCAAATGTTGGTCATTGTTGTAGCTGGAGTGATGAGTATGGGATTCTCCTCTGTTCTCTTGATGTGTAGGGAAATTTGAAGAATGACTCTGATAAAAATCTAAAAGAGAAACATCGAATCCTAACTGGCTGTGTGACCCTAAAACCTTACTCCGTCTCTTTGAACCTCAGATTTCTCAGGGCTTGGCACATAGCAAGCATTTCATACTCAGAAGCTGGTACTATTACTGTTGTGTTTTGTGGGGGGAGGTTTGTTTGTTTTGTTTGGAGACAGGATCTGGCTTTGTTGCCCTGGCTGGAGTGAAGTGGCGCCATCATAGCTCACTGCAGCCTCGCCCTCCTGGGCTCCAGCGATCCTCCTGCCTCAGTCTCCCGAGTAGCTGGGACCACCTGCGCATGCCGCCCCACCTGGCTGTTGTTTGTATTGCAGCTGGTTTGCTCTGTGACTCAGCACAAGCTGATCGCTTTCTTCTTTGTCCTCCAGAGAAATCACAGTGTCCCAAGCCCAAGGCGGCACGGAGTGGCCCCTGGAAGGACAGCGCCTACAGGCAGTGTCTGTACCTTCAGCTGGAACACGTGGAGCAAGAGCTGCGGCTGGTGGGGCCCCGAGGCTTCTCCCAGCCCCACAGCCATGCCCAGGCCCTCAGGCAGCTGCAGACCCTGAAGGGCGGCCTGGGGGTACAGCCGGGCACCTGGGCCCCTGCACATGCCAGGTAATCCACTTCCCTGGGGGCTGAGTGGGTGCCTGCCTGCCCCAGCCTGGGGCCGTCTGGAAAGGGCATTCTGAACAATCTTGGAAGGATGTCCACCCAGACCTTGCCAGGCAGAAACAATGCAGGATTCCTGCACACATTCAGGGAGGCCGGGTTTGAACAGGTCTGTTTGCTGGAAGGCACTCAGGGCCCTTTGTACCGCATGCTACAGTCACAACGGTGTTCCTGTGGGCTGTTTCCCATCTGTGCACTTCACTCTTGGACCGGCTCCTCAACTTCTCAGGCTTAGTTTCCTGATCTTTAAAATGGGAATGATGACGCCTATCTCTTGATTCAAACTTAAAACAAAATGCATTTTTTAAGATAACCAGTGAACTTTGAATACAGACAGGTTACTAGGTGACATTTAAAAATTACTGTTAATTTAGCTGTGTGAAAACAGCATCGTAATTCAGTAAGAAAATTGCCTTTTTTTTTTTTTTTGAGACAGAGTCTTGCTCTGTCACCCAGGATGGAATGCAATGGCGTGATCTCGGCTCACTGCAACCTCTGCCTCCTGGGTTCAAGTGAGTCTCCTGCCTCAGCCTCCCCGAATAGCTGAGATTACAGGTGCCCACCACCACGCCCAGCTAAATTTTGTATTTGTGGTAGAGATGGGCTTTCACCACGTTGGCCAGGCTGGTCTCGAACTCCTGACCTCAAGTGATCCACCTGCCTCAGCCTCCCAAAGTGCTGGGATTACAGGCGTGAGCCACCACGCCTGGCAAAAATGGCCACTTTTGAGATGCATTCTGAAGTGACTAGGAATTATTTTGTATTATGTCTGGAATTTATGTTGAAATTTTCCAGCCAAAAACAAAAACAAAACAGGGCTGAGGGGCAGATGAAATAAGTGTGACAAGGGGTGATAGTGGTTGCCAGCTAATAAACACCTGGGTATTCACTGTGCTCACTAATTTTTGTATGATGAGAATTTTCTTTCTTTTTTTTGAGACAGAGTCTTGCTCTTGTTGCCCAGGCTGGAGCGCAATGGCACGATCTCGGCTCACTGCAACCTCCACCTCCCGGGTTCAACCAATTCTCCTGCCTCAGCCTCCCGAGTAGCTGGGATTACAGGTGCCCGCCACCACGCCCGGCTAATTTTTGTATTTTTAGTAAAGACGGGGTTTCGCCATGTTGGCCAGGCTGGTCTCGAAATCCTGACCTTGTGGTCCGCCCTCCTTGGCCTCCCAAAGTACTGGGATTACAAGCATGAACCACTGCACCCGGGGGGAGAAAACTTAAAACAAGATTCTATGGTATCTGCCTTCTAGGCTTGCCCTGAGCAATAACAGAGCAAATCTGTGTGTAGCATTTAGTGCGGGGACTTGCCCCTACTAAGCACTGAGTAAATGTAACTGCTTTTACTCCACAGACTATGGCATAGACCTTTGAGATAGGTATAGATTACAGAGAAGGAAACAGAGGATCTGAGAGGTCCAGGAGCTTGGCCAAGGTCATGCTGATCAGAGTAGAGTGGGGTTTGACCTTGAGATTGCCTGGGGGTGTGGCCACCCTAACTATGTCTGTCCACCTCCTTTGCAGCGCTCTTCAGGTGAGCAAACCCCCTCAAGGCCTGCCCTGGTGGTGCATCCTGGTGGGCTGGCTCCTGGTAGCGGCCACCAGTGGCGTGGCGGCCTTCTTCACCATGCTCTACGGCCTGCACTACGGGAGGGCCAGCTCCCTCAGGTGGCTCATCTCCATGGCTGTCTCCTTCGTGGAGAGCATGTTCGTCACCCAGCCCCTGAAGGTCAGGACCCTGCCTCAGGCACCCGCCCTCCTCCCCTCCACCCATCCCTTCCCTACTGCCAGCAGTCTAGTCCCTGGGCTTTTATTCCTTTATTTATATATTCAACAAATGAACCTGGAGCACCCCCTCTGGGCAGGCCCAAGGCAGGAAAAATAGCCCTATCATATTACCCGAGGTTACCCTTGCCCTAGGGTATACATATATATGTATAAATAATACCCTATTTCCTCAATGTTAACATCCATTTGATCTTGAGACAAGACAACAATTTATGTAGCTAGTTATTCATTTTTTTTTTTTTTCTGAGTCTGCTTGCAAGGGAAAAGACAGCAATTTAAAGGAATTTTCCCTTTGGAAAAAACACCAAGTCATTATATGTGTGCCTGAGTTAGAAGCTACACTCCTATTTCTGAGATGTAAAATTACGCAAAAGAACTTGTTAGAGTTGAAGAAATTCTGGCTCGGCATGGTGGCTCAATGCCAGTAATCCTAGTATTTTGGGAGGTTGAGGTGGTAGGATCGCTTGAGTCCAGGAGTTTGAGGCTGCAGTGAGTTGTGATTGCGCCACTGAACTCCAGCCTGGGCGACAGAGCAAGACCCTGCCTCAAAAAAAAAAAAAAAAAAAAAATCCTTGGTCAGGCAGCTCCCATGAGACCAGCTCCTGGTGATCTGTTAGCCTGGGATGGTGGAAAGAAAAAAAGAAAGAAAGAAAGAAATCCTAAATCCAGGTGTAGAGCAGAGGAGGCAAGGGGCACAGTTTCCCTTGGAAGGAGTCGGGCAGTGGGCAATCCCTGGGGAACCCCTAAGGGGAAGAGATACTGGATTGGGGTGTAGGGGAAGCCACCGAAAGGAGGAGATATTTAAAGCAAATCTTGGTTGGGCGCGGTGGCTCACGCCTGTAATCCCAGTACTTTGGGAGGCTGAGGTATGTGGATCACTTGAGGTCAGGAGTTCAAGACCAGCCTAACCAACATGGAGAAACCCTGTCTCTACTAAAAATACAAAGTTAGCCAGGTGTGGTGGTGCATGCCTGTAATCGCAGCTAATCCCAGCTACTCAGGAGGCTGACGCAGGAGAATCACTTGAACCCGGGAGGCAGAGGTTGCAGTGAGCCGAGATTGCGCCATTGCACTCCAGCCTGGGCAATAAGAGCAAAACTCCATCTCAAAAAAAAAAAAAAAGAGAAAAAGATTACAAAATTAGTCGAGCGTGGTGGTGGGTGCCCATAATCCCAGCTACTAGGGAGGCTAAGGCAGGAGAATCACTTAAACCCAGAAGGCGGAGGTTGCAGTGAGCCTAGATCATGCCATTGCATTCCAGCTGGGGCAATAGAGCAAGACTCCATCTCAAAAAAAACAAAGCTCATCTTTACACCTATGGGACTTTGCCAAATCCCCTCTCGTCCCCCATTCTTCCCTGAACAGCCTTTACCATAAGACTCAAAAAGCATCCGACACCTCCCTTCAACACTAGGCTCGCAGGATACTAAGAACAGGGCTGCGTCTTGAGCCTTTCTGTTCCCCAAGTGAACCACAGGATCCTCCTGTGTTTGTGTGGAGCAGGCGCAGAGATCACGTGGCTGAGGCCTTGCAGCTGAGACCCTGCACCTGAGCGCATTACTTAATACTGGAGGAAAGGGAAGGAGCAGGGTGGGGCAGGATCCCTGTGCTGAAAGCCCTGGGGGAGAGCAATTCTCCTTGCGGAGAGATCAGAGACCCCTCAGACAGGTGAGCGGTAGTAGGTGGGAAGGCTCAGGGGAGTTCTAGGACTGGCCAGTCCCCCATCTGGTCTGCGAGCCAAGGCCTTGCGGTCCAGCTTCATGACCACCTCCCATCTCTGCAGAAGGGAGCTGCATTCCCCCAAAACACAGGGCCCTCCCCAACATACAAACGTGGCCCCAAGCCCCACGTGCTCGCAGATGAGGGGTTGAGAGTTACCAGAGTGGGTTCGAGGACCTCCCTGGGTATTTTTCAGGTGCTGGGATTCGCTGCTTTCTTTGCACTGGTCTTGAAGAGAGTGGACGATGAGGAGGATACTGTGGCCCCGCTGCCAGGACATCTGTTGGGCCCAGGTAATGTGCCTCGGTGGCTGGAGGCAGGGTCTGGCCAGCTGCGGCCCTGATGAGGCTCAGTGAGCCCTGCAGAGTGCAGCCTGTTGGGGGTCCTGGGCCTTGGGCCAGCTCCCCAGACCTTTGTTCCTCATCAGCTTTTCACCCCCAGTTTGTGAGCCATCCCCAAAAGAGCCAGGAAAAAAGTGACTCCATTGTCTCCTGAGTATCTGTGTTTGTTCGTTCCCTGGCATTTCTCCATGACACCCAAGTATGACCTGCCAGCTAGAAGAGTTGCCTCAGGGACGAAGCTGTCCACATGGGCGGTCCTTCTCTGTGTAATTCCAAGCAAGCAGCTTTCTTCTCCGAGACTCAGGGCCCTGGGCTTTAGAACAGAAACTAAAACAAGAATCGGTTTACAGGAGGCTGCAAAAAGTGGCCGCAAATTAGAATTTTAGGACAAAGCTCTGCAAACTACAGCTGGGGGGCCACATGTCTCCTGCTGCCTGTTTTTGTAAATAGAGGTTTGTTGAAATACGGCCACACTCACCCCTGCTCTAGGAGGCCACTGGCCAGTCCCCATCCTCCCAGCCTGACTTCTCACTTCCCAACCAAAATTCCCAAGGGTGGTGACAGTAATGACAAAACAAACATGCAAATAAAACTGAATCAACGTGGAATCATTGAGGCAATGGTCTTGCCTTTCAGGGAAAATAAAATAGAAACAAACAAACCAAATGCCATGCACGTGCCTCACAGTGCAATGTGGCTACCTCTTCAGGGCCTGTATTCTTCCATTCCAGGACAGCGTTTTAGATTTGCAGATCTGAGAGGTCCATTAAAATCTTCTCAATTCTCCACAGAGATGCTAGGCTCCAGACCATTAAATATTCATTCAGTCACCCCTTTGGCAAGTCCTCAGGGAGCACTGGCTGCGGGCCAGGCCTTGTGATGGCTTGGGAATATAATTTACATAAAATTCACCCATTGTAAGTGCACAATTTGTTGATTTCAGTAAATGTATAGGGTTATGTAACCATCACTGCAATTCACATTTAGAAGAGCTTCGTCAGCCCAAAAGGTTCTTTGTTGCCCATGTAAAGTCAATCCCCACTTCCAACCCCAGTCCCTGCCAACACAGCACAGGTTGCTGCCTTTGGAATGAACAGCCCATTTGGGGAGATGGCATCAACCAGGTAAATGCACAAGTAGACATATAAGTGTGAATTATGGTAAGAAATAGGGTTGGGGAAGATCAAGAGAGGGCAGGCCTCTCTGCTGCGGTGGTGCCTAACCTCTCTGCTGAGAACGGGGGAAGGGAAGGACTGCACACTCAGCACCTGCAAAGGCCGCGAGGTGGGACAGTGGTGTCGTTTTATTGCAGCCATTTTATAGCAACCATTGACAGTGTGTCTGGAGCATGTTGAGTTGGGGGTGGGGGAGAATGGTTAGAGATAAGGGTAGAGGGGGTGGGCAGCAGGTTGTCAGGGTCTTATAGGAGCTGGGGCAAGGCTGGGATGTGGAAGGGCTTTACATATGAGAATGATGATCTGTTTTATGATTTGTGTGTGTGTGTGTGTGTGTGTAAGAGAGAGATGGAGTCTTGCTCTGTTGCTCAGGCTGGAGTGCAGTGACGTGATCTCGGCTCACTACAACCTCCACTTCCCAGGTTCAAGCGATTTTCCTGCCTCAGCCTCCCAAGTAGCTGGGATTACAGGCACCCACCACCACGCCCGGCTATTTTTTGTATTTTTAGTAAAGACGGGGTTTTGCCATGTTGGCCAGGCTGGTCTCGAACTTCTCACCTCAAGTGATCCGCCCGCCTTGGCCTCCTAAAGTGCTAAGATTACAGGCGTGAGCCACCGTGCCCAGACTGTTTTGAAAGAACAGGAGGCAAGGCCCAGTGGCTCATGCCTGTAGTCCCAGCACTTTGGGAGACTGAGGTGGGCAGATTACTTGAATTCAGGAGTTTGAGACTAGCCTGGGCAACATGGGGAAATCCCTTCTCTACCGAAAATACAAAAAAATAGCCGGGCATGGTGGTGCATGCATGCAAACCCAGCTACTCGAGAGGCTGATGTGGGAGGACTGCCTGAGCCCGAGGAGGTCAAGGCTTCAGTGAGCTGTGATTGCACCTCCGTACTCCAGCCTGGGCAACACAGCAAGACTGCATCTCTACAAAACAAGTAAAATGAAAAACATTTTATTTTTATTTTTTTAATTTTTTTTATTAAAAAAATTTTTTTTTTTTGAGACAGAGACTTGCTCTGTCACCCAGGCTGGAGTGCAGTGGTATGGTCTCGGCTCCCTGTGTAGCAGGACGAGCCGCAGACAAAACTCCTCAGACACCGAGTTAAAGAAGGAAGGGGTTCACTCGGCCGGGAGCATCGGCAAGCCTCCTGTCTCAAGAGCCGTGCTCCCCAAGTAAGCAATTCCTGTCCCTTTTAAGGGCTCACAACTCTAAGGGGGTCCGTGTGAGAGGGTCCTGATCAATTGATCAAATGGGGTACGTGACTGGGGGCTGCATGCACCAGTAATCAGAACGAAACAGAACAGGACAGGGATTTTTACAATGCCTTTCCATGTAATGTCTGGAATCTATAGATAACATAACCGGTTAGGTCAGGGGTCGATCTTTAACTACCAGGCTTAGGTCAGGCAGGCCCAGGCCTGGTTTCAGGTCTGGTTCCTTGGTTTCGGGTCTAGTTCTTAGGCGCCGGGCTACCTGCCTTTAGTTTCGCTTCTCTTTCCTTTTTGAGTATAAAACAATATAAAGCAATATGAGAGGATCCGTCTCTCTTCTCTTACCTGCAACCTCCACCTCCTGGGTTCAAGTGATTCTCCTGTCTCAGCCTCCTGAGTAGCTGGGATTACAGGCGTGCACCACCACGTACGGCTAATTTTTGTATTTTTAGTAGAGATGGGGTTTCACCATGTTGGTCAGGATGGTCTCGAACTCCTGACCTCAGGTGATCCGCCTGCCTCAGCCTCCGAAAGTGCTGGGATTACAGGCTTGAGCCGCCATGACTGGCCTTAAAATGAAAAATAAATAAAAATTTAAAAATTTAATTTAAATTGATGAGGCTGGACACGATGACTCATGCCTGTAATCACAGCACTTTGGGCGGCCGAGGCAGGCAGATCACTTGAGATCAGGAGTTCGAGACCAGACTGGCAAACATGCCGAAACCCTGTCTCTACTAAAAATACAAAAATTAGCCAGGCATGATGGCACGTACCTGTAATCCCAGCTACTCGGGAGGCTGGGGCAGGAGAATTGCTTGAACCCGGGAGGTGGAGGTTGCAGTGACCCGAGATTGTACCACTGCACTCCAGCCTGGGCAACAGAGTGAAAATGTGTCTCAAAAAAAAAAAAAAATTAAAATTGAAGCTAAATTTGAAAAAATGAAGATACTAGGTAACAGACATGAGAGGACTTTGAGATATTTGTCACCCTCATCCTCGAATCCATCAGTTTTGGAGTGTCGGGGAAGGCAGTGCAGGGGCCAGAAAGATTTCAGGGAGGGGAAGACACCTCTGTGCTTTCTCTATGGAGAGTCCTCCAGATGGAGGAGGCGTGGGACTCTAGGCCCTGGGAGAACATGGACAGAGGTGTGGAGGGTAGAGTTGGGAAACGACTCCCAAGGAAGAGGAACGCAGAGCCCATTGCAGCAGGTGAGAGAGGGGCCTATGGTTGCAAACGCAGAGCCTGTCCTCCTCTGCACACGTAGGGGCTGTCCTGGTGTCCTTCCCTCCACAGACCCCTATGCCTTGTTCCGAGCACGAAGAAACAGCAGCAGGGATGTCTACCAGCCACCTCTCACCGCTGCCATTGAGAAGATGAAAACCACCCACCTCAAGGAACAGAAAGCATTTGCCCTCATCAGAGAAATCCTGGGTAGGCATCCTTCCCACTCGCTGGCTCTCAGCACAGCCTGAAACAGACAGACACCCTTACGGTGCTATTTTTGATAAGTCCCGCTCGTCTTTTGGGCCTCAGTTTCTCTGGATATCAGCACACTCCAGCTTCTCCCCTACACTTAAAATCCTTCGGTCGCCTCTCATGACCCTTACGACAAAACTCAAACCGGCTCCTGTGGCTCTACCCGCTTCAAGTGCCCGCTCCCGGCTCCCGTGACCCACGTTGTCCTCACATTGGCTTCTATAGCACCTGCGACCTGCACCCTGTCCCCACCCCAGGCTTCTGCCCAGGCAGTTCCATCTCATCGGCCTGGAGTCTGCTCACTCCTCCTCCCCAGCTTTTCTTCTGCCTAATTCCTCTTATTCTTATTTATTTATTTGTTTATTTTTTTTTTGGAAACAGAGTCTCACTCTGTCACCTAGGCTGGAGTGCAGTGGCACGATCTCGGCTCACTGCAACCTCTGCCTCCGGGGTTCAAGCCGTTCTCTCGCCTCAGCCTCCTGAGCAGCTGGGATTACAAGCGTGCGCCACGATACCCGGCTAAATTTTGTATTTTTAATAGAGACAGGGTTTTACCATGTTGGCCGGGCTGGTCTCGAACTCCTGGCCTCAGGTGATCTGCCTGCTTTGACCTCCCAAAATGCTGGAATTACAGGCATGAGCCACCATGCTCGGCCTTTTTAAAGATTTTTAATTTTTTTTTTTTTTTTTGAGACAGAGTTTTGCTCTTGTTGCCTGAGCTGGAGTGCAATGGCACGATCTCAGCTCAATGCAACCTCCGCCTCCCGGGTTCAGGCAATTCTCCTTCCTCAGCCTCCCAAGTAGCTGGGAGTACAGGCATGCGCCACCATGCCCAGCTAATTTTGTATTTTTTTTGTTAGAGATGGGATTTCTCCATGTTGGTCAGGCTGGTCTCAAACTCCCGACCTCAGGTGATCTACTCGCTTCCGCCTCCCAAAGTGCTGGGATTACAGGCATAAGCCACCACGCCTGGCCTAAGATTTTTAAATTTTTTATTTAATTTTTTATTTTATTTTTTAAGATACAATTTTACTCTGTCATTCCGACTGGAGTGCAGTGGCACAATCCCGGCTCACTGCAACCTCCGCCTCCTGGGTTCAAGCGATTCTCCTGCCTCAGCCTCCGGAGCAGCTGGGACCAGAAACGCACACCACCATGCCCAGATAATTTTTGTTTTTTTGGTAGAGACAGGGTTTTGCCATGATGGTCAGGCAGATCTTGAACTCCTGACCTCAAGTGATCTGCCCTCCTTGGCCTCCTAAAGTGCTGAGATTACATGCGTGAGCCACTGGGCCTGGCCTAATTCCTCATATTCTTTAAATCTCAGCCTAAACACTGTGTCTGCAGCGTGGCTTCCCCGGCCCAGCTGGTCAAAAGCCTTCACACCTCAGGGAGCCTCTGAGTCTGGATTTCCCAGAGCAGATTTGGGTGCAAGTAGCTGATTTGGGAGGTAGTCCTGGAAAGCACTGGTTGGAGGAGAAAGGGCAGCAGAGAGGGAAGGAAGCCAACAGAGGGTACCTGACAGGTGGGTTTTAGGTGGGCCACTGGGATTCAGTCCCACTGTGGACCTTGGAGAGAGCATATAGTGCACGCCCCCAAAGTGTCCTACTCATTGGCATCCATTCAAGTCTTCTGAGGTGGTTGCAGGGAGAGGGGAGAGTCTTGGAATACAGATTCCCAGGCCCAGGAACCAGAGGTTCCGGTTCACTAAGAACCTGATCCCTCATGTTATTGTGATGTCCACCCCCCCACACTAAATATCTGCACCTAAAGGATCCTCTACGTCACACTCACCTGTCTCCAACGAGACAGGTGAGCACCATGAGGGCAGGAACGTGTTTGTCTTCACCACCATACCCTCAGCCATGCAACGTGGCAAATGCCCCATTTTTTAAAATTCTATTTAAGAAATGCTTAATGTAGCAGACACTCTTTTTTTGTTTTTTGTTTTTTTATGTTTTTTTCTGAGATGGAGTCTCTCTCTGTCGCCCAGGCTGGAGTGCAGTGGCACGATCTCGGCTCACTGCAACCTCTGCCTCCTGGGTTAGAGCAATTCTCCTGCCTCAGCCTCCCAGGTAGCTGGGACTACAGGCGTGCACCACCATACCCGGCTAATTTTTGCATTTTTAGTAGAGGGGGGGTTTCACCATGTTGGCCAGGCTGGTCACGAACTTCTGACCTCAGGTGATCTACCCGTCTTGGCCTCCCAAAGTGCTGGTATTACAGGCGTGAGCCACCATGCCCGGCCTGCAGACACTGTTTTATGTGATTTCTAATTTTTTTTTTTTTTTTTTGAGATGGAGTCTTGTTCTGTCACCCAGGCTGAAGTGCTGTGGCATGATCTCAGCTCACTGCAACATCCGCCTCCCAGGTTCAAGCGATTCTTCTGCCTCAGCCTCCTGAGTAGCTGGGATTACAGGCATGCGCCACAATGCCCGGCTCATTTTTGTATTTTTAGTAGAAACAGGGTTTCACCATGTTGGCCAGGCTGGTCTTGAACTCCTGGCGTCAAGTGATCCAAAGTGCTGGGATTACAGGCATAAGCCACCACTCCCGGCCAGTACTTTCTAATATTAACTGATCCCCTCATCACAGAATTGTTATTCCCATTTCATAGATGGGGAGAGTGAGGCATGGAAGGATAGACTCACTTGTGAAGGGCGCCTGGATGAGATGTCGCAGAGCTGGGATTTGGACCCAGGCAGGAGATCCCATGGTCTGTGACTTTACTCCTCTCCGCTGCCTCTATAAAGATTGGTTCCATTGTCACCACAGTGGCGAGGGGCTGGTCTAGGAGGCCTTTCCATTTCCTGACTTGGACTGGGTGGGAGTCGTGGATCCTGCCTGAGCAGGGACTGTGCCTCCCTCCCCAGCATACTTGGGCTTCCTGTGGATGCTACTGCTCGTGGCCTACGGGCAGAGGGACCCCAGCGCCTACCACCTCAACAGACACCTCCAGCACAGCTTCACCAGGGGCTTTTCAGGTGTGCTCGGCTTCCGAGAGTTCTTCAAGTGGGCCAACACCACCCTCGTGAGTAACCTGTATGGTCACCCCCCAGGTAAGTCCTGAAGCCCTGGGGCTGTGTCAGCCTCCTTGTGCCTTCTGGCTAGGAACAGACGTGGGGCACTGTCAGCATCAGCCTCATAAGAAAACCAGGCCAAGTGTGGTGGCTTACACCTGTAATCCTAGTACTTTGGGAGGCTGAGGCGGGAGGATTGCTTGAGGCCAGGAATTCGAGACCAGCCTGGCAACATGGCAAGACCCTGCCTCTTTGAAAAATACAAAAATTAGCTGGATGTGATGCCTCATGCCTATAGTCCCTGCAACTCTGGAGGCTGAGGTGGGAGGATTGCTTAAGCCCGGGAGGCAGAACCTGCAGTGAGCCAAAATTGCACCACTGCACTCCAGCCTGGGAGACAGAGCAAGACTCTGTCTTAAAAAAAAAAAAAAAAAAAAAGAGGCCAGGTGCAGTGGCTTACGCCTATAATCCCAGCACTTTGGGAGGCCGAGGCGGGCGGATCACTTGAGGTCAGGAGTTTGAGGCCAGCCTGGCCAACCTGGTGAAACCCCGTCTCTACTAAAACTACAAAAATTAGCTAGGTGTGTTGTCACGTGCCTGTAAACACAGCTACTTGGGAGGCTGGGGCAGGAGAATTGCTTGAACCTGGGAGGCAGAGGTTACAGTGAGCTAAGATCACGCCATTGCACTCCAGCCTGGGTGAAGAAGTGAGACTCCATGAAAGAAAGAGAGAGAGAGAGAGAGGAAGGAAGGGAGGGAGGGAGGGAGGGAGGGAGGGAAAAGAAAAGAAAACCAGTAAAACCCCAGGCGTGGTGGCTTGCGGCTGTAATCCCAGCACTTTGGGAGGCCAAGACAGGTGGATCACGTGAGGTCAGGAGTTTGAGACCAGCCTGGCCAACGTGAAATCCCATCTCTACTAAAAATACAAAATTAGCTGGGTGTGTTTGCACGTGCCTGTAGTCCCAGCTACTCAGGAGGCTGAGGCAGGAGAATCGCTTGAACCTGAGAAGCGGAGATTGTAGTGAGTCGAGATTGCGCCCTTGCACTCCAGCCTGGGTGACAAGAGTGAAACTGTCAAGAAAGAGAGAGAGAGAGAGAGAAGGAAGGAAGGAAGGAGGGAAGGAGGGAAGGAGGGAGGGAAGGGAAGGAAGGAAGGGAAGGAAGGGAGGAAGGAAGGGAGGAAAGGAAGGAAGGAAGGAAGGAAAGAAAGAGAGAGGAAGGAAGGAGGGAAGGAAGGAGGGAAGGAAGGAAGAGAGAAAACCAATCAATAACCACAGGACCAGATGCTATGAAGGAGGGACTCAGAAGGCTGGGTGTGCACAAGGGGGGACTCTCCACCTTCCCTTCCCCCGATGCAGAGTGGAGAACCTCCTAAGTGAGTGATAACAGAGCTTGAACCAGCTAGGCAAAAACAGTGCACCAGGCAGAATGAACAACACGAGAAAAGCCCAGCCTCTTGCCATGGGATGCGTGTTCTTGGAACCACAGCGTGTTGGGTGTGACTCTCGTGTAGGATGTGAGTTAAGGATCAGTGAGAAGCAAAGCAGGAAAGATGAACGGGCCAGATCATGAAGGATCTCAGGAGCGTGTATCTCATCCTTGAGGAAATGAGGCGCCACTGAATTTCTACATGAGGCTATGGCATAAATCTGTGGTGTAGAAGGATCACTCTGGAAGCATGTGGAAGTTGGAGTAAAGGGTGGGCAAGTTGGCCGGGCGCCGTGGCTCACACCTGTAATTCCAGCACTTTGGGAGGCCGAGGTGAGTGGATCACCCAAGGTCAGGAGTCCGAGACCAGCCTGGCCAACATGGAGAAACCCCATCTCTAATAAAAATACAAAAAATTAGCTGGGCATGGTGGCATGCGCCTGTAATCCCAGCTACTCGGGAGGCGGAGGCAGGACAGTTGCTTGAATCAGGAGGCAAAGGTTGCAGTGAGACAAGATCACGCCATTGCACTCTAGCCTGGGCAACAAGAGCAAAACTCTGTCTCAAAAAAAAAAAAAAGAGGTGGAGGAGGTGGCAAGTTAGGATGCTGAGGACACAGGATGAGGGCTGGTGCAGGGAGGGACCAGGGACAGTGGTGATGGAGAGAACGGGATGGGCACATAAGACATGAAAAAAGTAGGATGGATAGGATGTGGTGACCAGTGGGATGGAGGATTGAGGAGAAAGGGCACAGGCACATCCAGATGGATGACGGGGTGGCAGGTTCCATTCCCTAAGAGAAGTTGTGCGGAAGCACAGTAGATTCCAGCAGGAGAGATGGTGAGGTTATTTGGATAAATGTAGCCTATAGTTGGTGATAAACTTCTCTGGGCTGTCTCTATAATGGGTACGCTGAATTTCACATTAGCCTCAGGCCGGGGAGCTTGGAATGTGTTAAGATTATTTTGATTGCTAGATTTACCCACCTTGTTTTTCTTTTTAGGCTTTATCACTGATGGGAACTCCAAGCTGGTTGGCAGTGCCCAGATTCGTCAAGTGAGGGTCCAGGAAAGCTCTTGCCCTCTTGCCCAGCAGCCGCAGGCATATCTCAACGGATGCCGTGCACCATATTCCCTGGATGCTGAAGACATGGCAGACTATGGGGAAGGCTGGAATGCCACCACCCTCAGTAATGGCAGTACCAGAGCCAGGACCAACGTCAAGGGTATCCCATCTGGGGCAAACTCACTGTGTACCGGGGAGGAGGCTACGTGGTCCCCTTGGGGACTGATCGCCAAAGCACGTCAAGGTAAGGTTGACTTGATTCATTTGTAGCTGAGTAAAGTCTTTTGCTAGAGTCCACATCTGCTTGGGGAATGTAGTCTTCCAAACAGGGCTGAGCCAAGTTCATTCAGGTCCTTGTGGGAGGGCTTGTAGGATACAGAATCATGCAGGTTGTATTTTCAGGTCCCTGGGAACTAAGCCATCTCAGAATTGGAAGGAAAGTCTCTCTCTAGCATTCACAGCCTGGTTGCTTCTGCTAGAGCCAGGCCAGAGATGGGGAGCTCACTACCACTCAAAGCAGTCCACCCTTAGGCAAGAGGGAATTAGTTAAGGATCTGTCAAGAATTATGCAAAATTTGAGGTTTTACCCTACTTGTAAGCCAACAAGCTAGCCTGTTAACTGTTTCACGGATGCTGGCAGAATACGCAATATTCCTGGGTCAGAGACAAAGGATTTTGTT
Organism: Homo sapiens; assembly: GCF_000001405.40. NCBI lineage: Eukaryota > Metazoa > Chordata > Mammalia > Primates > Hominidae > Homo > Homo sapiens. The sequence continues at coordinate 81,127,324 of NC_000016.10, read as the reverse complement.
ACAGCAAAAGTCATAGCAGAACATTACACTGGTCTGAGTCAGTTGCCCACAAAGGGCCGTGAAAGATGCCTGCATGTGCCTGCAATACAGAGCCTGGGGGCATTTGATGCTTTTACAGCAGCAGAAAGAAGCCTACTCTTTGTCCAAAGGAAGGCATCACCTCATCCCACAAGGTTGCACACTGCAAATACAGCCCTAAGAAGTGACTTGGCTAAAGCACAGCCACGGCCTTGCATTCCTAGAATACCCAGTAAGAACGTGCAGGGATGCTCAGGGTCCGTGAAGACTGACTCAACATGCCCTTGAGACAAGAGACCTAGATTTGAAACCCTGGCGCTGCTCCTTTTAGCTGTGTAGCCCAAGCAAATCAGCAGACCCGCGTGAACCTCAGTTTCCTCCATTGTATGATCATTGCACCAAGGTGGTTTATGATGGTGTAGCCTGTACTCTGTCTACAAACAGGGTCTCCTGGGGTTAAGGAAAGGCCAGGAATAGTCGATTTCGGAATAAGAGGCATTTTTCCTGCTAATTGGACTGACTGCAGATATTCTCTCTCTGGTGGCTGGGTGCAGTGATCATGCCTGTAATCTCAGCTCTCTGAGAGGCCAAGGCAGAAGGAGCACCTGAGGTCAGGAGTTCGAGACCAGTATGGCCAACATGGAGAAACCCCATCTCTACTAAAAATACAAAAAATTAGTGGTGGGTGCCTGTAATCCCAGCTACTCAGGAGGCTGAGGCAGGAGAATCGCTTGAATACGGGAGGCAGAGGTTGCAGTGAACCAAGGTTGCGCCATTGCACTCCAGCCTGGGCAACAAGAGCGAAACTCTGTCTCAAAAAAAAAAAAAAAACATATTCTCTCTCTATCTGCTGCTATGTACCAAGCAGGATGCAGACCCACTGGGGACACAGCATATTACAGGCCCATCATTATTACTGGAAGTAATAACAACTATCATTACTACACACACACAACACACACACGCACATGCACACACATCCCTCCATGTTCTCTAAATGATCTGAAGGCACTGGTGTTAACACCGTTGTAGAGCCGGGCACAGTGGCTCACACCTATAATTCCAGCACTTTGGGAGGCTGACACAGGGGGATTGCTTGAGCCCAGGAATTTGAGACCAGCCTGGACAACATACTGAGATTCTGCCTCTAAAAAAGATAACAAATTACCTGGGCATGGGGGTACGCACCTGTGGTCCCAGCAACTTGGGAGGCTGAGGTGGGAGGATCACATGAGCCTGGGAGGTGGAGGCTGCAGTGAGGGATGATTGCCATTGCACCCCATTCTGAGCAACAGAGCAATACCCTGTCTCATAAACACAAAAAACCAACAAAAAACCACACCATGGCAGATGAGGAAACCAAGGCCTGGAGAAGTTATTAGCTTGTCCAGGAGGCAGCCAAGATTTGAACCCAGGTCCCTCCACCACCTTCAGGGCATGTGCTCTTTCCACCACACCAGGCTGACAGATCTCCAGGAGCTCATGGGAGCTGCTTGCCTAAGCCCCTGATGTTTTATATGATTCTTATTTATTTATTTATTTATTTATTTATTTTTGAGACAGAGTCTTGCTCTTGTTGCCCAGGCTGGAGTGCAATGGCGTGATCTCAGCTCACTGCCACCTCTGCTTCTGGGCTCAAGTGATTCTCCCGCCTCAACCTCCTGAGTAGCTGGAATTACAGGTGCACGCCACCACACCCAGCTAATTTTTGTATTTTTAGTAGAGGTGGAGTTTCACCATGTTGGCCAGGCTGGTCTTGAACTCCTGACCTCAGGTGATCCGTCCACCTCAGCATGCCAAAGTGCTGGGATTACAAGCGTGAGCCATCAGCCCAGCCTCCTTTTCTTCTTTTTCTTTATTTCTTTTTTTTTTTTTTTCGGAGACAGAGTCTTGCTCTGTTGCCCGGGCTGGAGTGCTTTGATGTGATCTCAGCTCACTGCAACCTCCACCTCCCAGGTTCAAGCAATTCTCCTGCCCCAGCCTCCTGAGTAGCTGAGAATACAGGCGTGTGCCACCACGCCTGGCTAAAGTTTTTGTATTTTTAGTAGAGGCAGTGTTTCACCATGTTAGCCAGGTTGATCTCAAACTCCTGACCTCAGGTGATCTGCCTGCCTCAGCCTCCCAAAGTGATGAGATTACAGGTGTGAGCCACCATGCCTGGCCCTTTTTTCTTCTTTTGAGACAGTCTCACACCGTCACCCAGGCTGGAGTGCAGTGGCATGATCTTGACTCATGGCAACCTCTGCCTCCTGGGTTCAAATGATTCTCCTGTCTCAGCCTCAAGCAATTTTCATGCCTCAGCCTCCTGAGTAGCTGGGATTACAGGCATACACCACTGCAGCTAATTTTTTCTTTTTTATTTTTTTTTTGAGACAGAGTCTCGCTCTGTCACCCAGGTTGAGGTGCAGTGGCGTGATCTCGGCTCACTGTAACCTCTGCCACCCTGGTTCAAACAATTCCCATCTCAGCCTCCTGAGAAGCTGGGATTACAGGCATGCGCCACCACGCCCAGCGAATTTTTGTATTTTTAATAGAGACGGAATTTCACCATGTTGTTCAGGCTGGTCTCGATGTCCTGACCTCAGATAATCCACCCACCTCAGCCTCCCAAAGTGCTGAGATTACAGGCGTGAGCCACCGCACCCGGTCACACCTGGCTAATTTTTGTATTTTTGTATTTTTAGTGGAGACGGGGTTTCACCATGTTGGCCAGGCTGGTTTCAAACTCCTGACCTCAGGTGATCCACCTGCCTCAGCCTCCCAAACTGCTGGGATTACAGATGTGAGCCACCGCACCCGGACTATGATTCTTCTAACACCATGGCTCTCAAACCGTAAAAAGCATCCAAGGCTGGGCGTGGTGGCTCACGCCTGTAATCCCAGCACTTTGGGAGGCCGAGGCGGGCGGATCACGAAGTCAGGAGATCGAGACTATCCTGGCTAACACGGTGAAACCCCGCCTCTACTAAAAATACAAAAAATTAGCCGGGTGCCGTGGCAGGCACCTGTAGTCCCAGCTACTCGGTAGGCTGAGGCAGGAGAATGGCGTGAACCCAGGAGGCAGAGCTTACAGTGAGCCGAGATCGCACCACTGCACTCCAGTCTGGGCGACAGTTCAAGACTCCGTCTCAAAAAAAAAAAAAAAAAAATCCAAATCCTGGCGGGCTCATCAAAACACGCATTCTGGGCTCCCCTGAGAGTGTCTGACTCAGCAGGTCTAGGGCGGGCCTGAAAATCTGTATTTCCAACAAGTTCCCAGGTGATGCTGATGCTGCTGGTGTGGGCACTACACTTTGAGAATCTCTGCTCTGATGGCCAGGAGATGAGGGGTGCCACCATATCACAGCGTGGGCTACAAAATGTGACCACTCCCAGCAGCAGCTCTGTTGGCCTGGTGGCCCAGGGAGCAGAGCAGAAACAGAGGGAGAAGTTGAGACAGGAAGTACTGGCCTCAGTCAAGGGGCTGCCGGGACATGGAGCCCCTGCAGGATAGCAATGACCCAATGCCACTCTTTCCTGCAGAATTCTCCGCTATCTCTTTGACAACACCTGGCTGGACGCCCTGACCAGAGCTGTGTTTGTGGAGTCCACTGTCTACAACGCCAACGTCAACCTGTTCTGCATTGTCACGCTGACGCTAGAGACCAGCGCTCTGGGTGGGCAGCCTCGCCTGGGAACCCTCTGCAGGGCTCCAGAAGACATATACTCCTTCCCCTGGGCTGGGGCTCCTGACCTACCTAGGTGCAGCCACCCCAGGGCCAGAGCTCCAGAGCAAATACTTATTTAGTGAATCTAGGTGTGGATCTTGGTTATCCTTGCAGCCATGAGTCCCTGGGCCCCCAAAGGCAAAGCATTAGGGCCCTCCACCCTAATTCTTCCCATCTTTCTGGCCTAGTCGCCCAAGTTATCGTAAAACAGCCTATTCAGAGTCCAAAGGCAGCTTATCCATTGCCTAATCCCGAGCTTCCCTGTCTGCTGGGGTTGGGGGTGGTGACCTGGCAGTGACGGCGAGGGAGAATGTGATGTAACAGATCATATCACCTAATATATATTTCACCATACATCAGTGCACAGCACAAAGTACGTTTTACAACATAATCCAGCACACATGCAACCAAGATGAAATGTTCACAAATAACATGTACTTTAACTCCATGAGGCCGGGCTCGCCCCCATGATCCCAGCACTTTGGGAGGTCAAGGTGGGAGGACTCCTTGAGCCCAGGAGTCCAAGACCAGCCTGGGCATCATGGTGAGACCTGGTCTCTATAAAATTTAAAAAACAAAAAACTACATGTGATGGGCTCTCATATTTTGTGTTCTATTCTATTTATTCTTCCTCATGCCTCCTTCCCCCTTTAAAATGCTGATCACAGTCTTCTAAAAACCAATCTATAGTCTATTCAGCTGATGGTCAATTTACCTAAAAGCCAACCTCCTCTCCAGTGAATACCAAACTTTTAGAAAATATTAGATTACGTTTTTAATGATAAAAGTAATATAGGCCGGGAATGGTGGCTCACACCTGTAATCCCAGCACTTTGGGAGGCCATTGGCCGGGTGGGGGGGGGTGCAAATCACCAGGTCAGGAGTTCAAGACTAGCCTGGCCAACATGGCGAAACCCCGTCTCTACTAAACATACAAAAATTAGCTGGGCGTGGTGGCGGGCACCTGTAATCCCAGATACTCAGGAGGCTGAGGCAGAAGAATCACTTGAACCCAGGAGGTGGAGGTTGCAGTAAGCCGAGATTGTGCCATTGCACTCCAGCCTGGGGAACAAGAGCAAGACTGCATCTCAAAAAAAAAAAAAAAAAAAAAGGAATATATGTTTGTGTTTTAAAAACAAAATTCAGAACTGTGAAAACTGAAGGGCTTTCAATTTCCATTGTCATTCCGCATTGCTAATAGTTTCTTCCAAATCCTTTTTGGGTTTACCTGTGTATCTTTTTTTATTTTTATTTTTTTTTTGAGACACAGTCCTTCTCTGTCACCCAGGCTGGAGTGCAATGGTGTGATCTCGGCTCACTGCAACCTCTGCCTCCTGGGTTCAAGCAATTCTCCTGCCTCAGCCTCCCGAGTAGCTGGGACTACAGGTGCCTGCCACCACACCTGGCTAACTTTTTGTATTTTTAGTAGAGACGGGGTTTTACCACGTTAGCCAGGATGAGCTCAATCTCCGGACCTTATGATCTGCCCACCTCAGCCTCTCAAAGTGCTGGGATTAGAGGCGTGAGCCCCTGGGCCCGGCCCAAAATGGCTTTAAATGAGCCAAGTGGGAGTCAATTGTCATTATATGGGTGGATGTGCTTTATCTGGAGGTGTCTGTGCCCAAAAGGCCAACATCAAATGCCGAGGGGAGGGGAGAACCTTCCACTGCAGCCCCTCCGCCCCTTCTGTTGCATCCGCTGTCTTCGGTGTCTACCACGTGTCCACGTTCAGTCCTTCGGGTCTGAAATAACTTTGGCTTTTCCTTGGCCACAGCCAGCCCTCAGGGGGTTGAGCTTGAGTCATCTGACCTGATGGCTCCTGTCAGAAGCCATGGCTCTGAGCAACCAGGTGGCCCAGAGTGAGCAGAACGCACTTTGCTCCCCAGGCACCTTTTTTACGCACGCGGCCCTGCAGAGCCTCCGCCTGTACCCCTTCACCGACGGCTGGCACCCCTTCGTGGTAGCGGCAGAGCTCATCTACTTCCTCTTCCTCCTCTACTACATGGTGGTGCAGGTAAGGGGCATGCTCATAGCTCATGAGCAGGGTTTGGGGTGCAGGGGTGCCTGGTGCCTCACCAACACCTCTCCTCTTCCTTGTAAGTGGGATGGGAAAGGGATTTTTTCCTTTTTTTTTTTGAGATGGAGTCTCTGTCACCAGGCTGGAATACAGTGGTGCAATCTCGGCTCACTGCAGCCCCCACCTCCTGGGTTCAAATGATTCTCCTGCCTCAGCATCTTGAGTAGCTGGGACTACAGGCATGCACCACCAAGCCCTGCTAATTTTTGTGTTTTTAGTAGAGATGGGGTTTCACCATGTTGGCCAGGATGGTCTCAAACTCCTGACCTCGTGAACCGCCTGCCTCAGCCTCCCAAAGTGCTGGGATTACAGGCGTGAGCCACCGCACCCGGCCGGGAAAGGGCTTTGCCTTAGGTGTTTGCTGGGAGCAACCTTTGGTCCTTCCATTGGTCCTAGGGCTGATCTAGGCTGCTAGATCAGGGCATGGGAAGGACCCAAGGTTGGTACTCCTCAGGAATTGAGAACTCAAAGTGGGGTCTTTCATGGGTGGGGAAGGGAGAGGAGCATGGGTCCTGTTTCTACTGAACTGAGACCTTCCAAAGAGCCAGGGTAGGGCGATGGTACGGGGAAGTGACCCTACAGCTGGGTGTGGAAGTCCTCTGAACTTAGATTGTGGGGCCTCTTAGCATCTTTTGTTCCCACCCACGGTCACTGGGAGTTAGGCAACATCCCCTTTGCCACCTTTATTGCCATGTTGCATCCAAACGTGCAGATGTTGATGACGCTAAAGGCTGGACGATCATGGGAACACACCGGAAGCTACTCCCCTCCTCCTGACAAAAATGCAAACCAGATTGCCGAAAGGGGGCATCTTGGCCCTCCATCGTCTTCTCCAACACCCTGTTTAAAGCAAGGATGATATTTTTGAGTGCTTACTGCATAGCAGGCATTGTGCTAAGAACGTATGTGTTTTCTCTTTCAACAACAGGAGAAAGGTCCTATGGGCTCTAATTCAGAGTAGGAAACTAAAGTCCAGAGACTTTAAGTCATTTATCCAAGGTCAGAATTTGAACACAGGGAGTCTGACCCCTGACCGTCACACTCGACCCCTATCCACAGCATCAGCCTCATGAAGCAGCGCACTCGCCTGGTCTTGAGCATCACCAGTTCAAGCCCAATGGCCAACAGTCATCAGACAGCAACTTCAATCCATGCACCTGTCCAAGAACCTCACAGCAGATCTGTTCACCACCCGCCTCCACGGTTCACTGCCCTCCTCCAACTGCCTCCACAGTCTGCCTGCAGCTGCTTCAGAAAGCTGCTCTCCAAAACCTACAAATCTCTCGCAAAATGCTGCTTGGGCAGTTTTAAAAATCTCCCCACTCTCCATCCCTTTGTTGTAAAAGTGAACTTAGCCTGCCACCAGCCAAATGGAAGTCCTTCCTTCTTAAGAGTGGGTAGGAGGGGCACAGTGGCTCAAGCCTATAATCCCAGCATTTTGGGAGGCCAGGACGGGCAGATCACTTGAGGTCAGGAGTTGGAGACCAGCCTGGCCAACATTGCAAAACCTCATCTCTACTAAAAATACAAAAATTAGCCGGGCATGGTGGCAGGCGCCTGTAGTCCCACCTACTTGGGAGACTGATGCAATAGAATCACTTGAACCTGGGAGGCAGAGGTTGCAGTGAGCTGAGATCCTGCCACAGCACTCCAGCCTGGATGACAGAGCAAGACTCTGTCTCCAAAAAAAAAAAAAAAAAAAAAATTGCTGGGCGCGGTGGCTCACGCCTGTAATCCCAGCACTTTGGGAGGCCAAGGCAGGTGGATCATGAGATCAGGAGTTCAAGACTAGCCTGGCCAACATGGTGAAAACCCATCTCTACTAAAAATATAAAATTAGCCGGGTGTGGTGGCGCATGCCTGTAATTACAGCTACTCGGGAGGCTGAGGCAGGAGAATCGCTTGAACTGGAGGCAGAGGTTGCAGTGAGCTGAGATTGCGCCACTGCACTCCAGGACTAGGCAACAAGAGCGAAACTCTGTCCCTGGCAAAAAAAAGAAAGAAAAGGAAGGAAGGAAGGAAAGGAAGGAAAGGAAAGAAAGGAAGAAAGAAGAGGAAAAAAGAAGGGGCAGGAGGGGAAACTGGTACAAAAATAGAAGATTCTCTTGAGTGAAAGGGAAAAGATGGGGAGGAAGATGAAGAACACACGCAGGATCGTTCTTTTGAACTTGTGACACCTGTTGGGGAAGTTTACTTAAAACTAAGTCTCGTGCCTATCCAGAAAACCTCTCCACAAGGGCAGAAAAGAAAGAAAACTACCTAACTATCTATTTGTCTGTCTATGTAGAGAGAGGGTCTGGCTCTGTTGCCCTGGCTGGAGTGCAGTAGTGCAGTCCCAGATTACTGCAGCCTCAACCTCCCCAGGGTCAAGTGATCCTCCTACCTCAGCCTCCCGAGTAGCTGAGACTATAGGCATGTGTCACCACATCCAGCTAATTTTTGTACTTTTTGTAGAGATGAGGCTTTGTCTTTTTCTTTCTTTTTTTTTTTTTTTTGAGACGGAGTCTTGCTCTGTTGCCCAGGCTGGAGTACAGTGGTGACTTCTCTGCTCACTGCATCCTCCGCCTCCTGGGTTTAAGAGATTTGCAGCTTATTTTTATATTTGTAGTACAGACAGGGTTTTCACCATGTTGGCCAGGCTGGTCTCGAGCTCCTGACCTCAAGTGATTTGTCTGCCTTGGTCTCCCAAAGTACTGAGATTACAGGCGTCAGCCACCATGCCCAGCCCGTTTTCGTGATTTTGCCCAGGCTGTTCTCTAACTCCTGGGCTCAAGTGATTGTCACGCCTCAGCCTCCCAAAGTGTTGTAGAGGTATGAGTCACCACGCTCAGCAATTTTTAAAATTATTTATTTATTTTATTGTTGTTTTTTTTTTTTTTTAGACAGATTCTTTCTCTGTCACCAAGTTGGAGTGCAATGGCACGATGTCGGCTCACTTTAACCTCCGCCTCCAGGGTTCAAGCGATTCTCCTGCCTCAGCCTCCTGAGTAGCTGGGACTGCAGGCACCTGCCACCACGCCCGGCTAATTTTTGTATTTTTAATAGAGACAGGGTTTCGCCGTGTTGGCCAGGATGGTCTGGATCTCCTGACCTTGTGATCTGCCAGCCACAGCCTCCCAAAGTGCTGGGATTACAGGCGTGAGCCACCGTGCCCAGCCTAAATTATTTATTTTTAATTGTGGGAAATATACGTAACATAAAATTTACCATTTTAACCACTTTTAAGTGTTTAGTGGCATTAGGTCCACTCATATCATTGTGCAAGTGCCACTACCGTCCATCTCCAGAAGGATGAACTCTTTCCATGTTGCAAACTACAGCCAGCTGGGTTCGGTGGCTCACACTTGTAATCCCAGCACTTTGGGAAGCAGAGGCGGGCAGATCACCTGAGGTCAGGAGTTTGAGACTAGCCTGGCCAACAAAATGAAACCCCTTCTCTACTAAAAATACAAAAATTAGCTGGGTGTGGTGGCACACGTCTGTAATCCCAGCTACTCAGGGGGCTGAAGCAGAAGAATTGCTTGAACCCGGGAGGCAGAGGTTGCATTGAGCTGAGATGGGGCCCGCTGCACTCCAGCCTGAGCAACAGAGGGAGACTCCATCTCAAAAAAAAAAAAAAAAAAGAATTTCCTGGGGTTTAAATACCTTCTAGAGGTTTCCATTGGTTAATCGGTGTATGTCCTATGTAAATGAAGAGGTTAAAGTGAAGTTACAAAGTCATTTACTCGGGGTACACCCTATGTGAATGAAGAGGATATTTCCTGTCATAGCTGAAGTGTTTCCATTTGATTTAGTTCTTAGGTTCCCTGCCTCCAGGCCCTATTATCCCGCCTCAATGGGTCTGTGCACAAGGTTGGGGAGAGGCCTGGGCACTCTGTGCATGGGGGCCAGAGCTGGGGAAGCCTCCTGCCAGAGGGCCCTCCGGGATGGGGAGGGAGCAGCCCTGTGGGGCGGGGGCAGTCACGGCCGCAACTTCACGCTCCTTTTCCAGGGCAAGCGCATGAGTAAAGAGACGTGGGGCTATTTCTGCAGCAAGTGGAACCTTCTGGAGCTGGCCATCATCCTGGCCAGCTGGAGCGCCCTGGCGGTGTTTGTGAAGAGGGCTGTCCTGGCCGAAAGGGACCTCCAGCGCTGCCGGAACCACAGGGAGGAGTCAGTGGCTGTCTCCTCAGCCCCCCAGCTCCCCACACTGGCCCCTCTTCCTACAGCTCCGTTTGAGGCCCAGGGGTCAGAAGGAGGTTTTGGAATGCTGTGGACCCTCAAGGGATAAAGGGGCACTCCTAGTAGACATAACTCTAGCTGCCACCTAGATTCAGGTGTGGGGCCAGCCGCAAGTGAGTACGATTGGAGAGGACTCAGACAAAATAGAACATCTTGTGCAAATCTTCCCAAAACATAGGACCATGGGGCATCCTGCTTAGGCTCTCCAAAACCTTGCAAAGGGGAGGCCCTTTGCAAGTATTATGGCCCCAGTAAGCTCACCTCTGCTACCATACACTAAGTGTCCACTATGTGGTAGGCAGGATGTTTTCACCTAGGGAATCATCATCAGGATTGATGAAGGTCAGTGTTATCATCGCCCCATTTAACAAAGACATTGAGGGCAGGGTGTGGTGGCTCATGCCTGTAATCTCAGCACTTCAGGAGGCCGAGGTGGGCAGATCACTTGAGGTTAGGAGATTGAAACCAGCCTGGCCAACACAGTGAAACCCTAACTCTACTAAAAATGGAAAAATTGCTGGACACGGTGGCTCACGCCTGTAATCCCAACACTTTGGGAGGCCAAGGCGGGTGGATCATTTGAGGTCAGGAGTTCGAGACCAGCCTGGCCAATATGGTGAAACCCCATCCCTACTAAAAATACAAAAATTAGCTGGGCGTGATGGCATGCACCTGCAGTCCCAGCTACTCAGGAGGCGGGAGAATCGCTAGAACCCGGGAAGCAAAAGTTGCAGTGAGCCGAGATTGCGCCACTGCCCTCCAGCCTGGGTGACAGAGGGAGACTGGGTCTCAAAAAAACAGACAAAGACACTGAGGCTCAGAGAGGTCACGTGACTTCCCCAAGGCCACACAGCTAAAATGTGGCAGACAAGTAATTTAAGCCTAGCTTGTGTGGCTCCAGGGTCCCCTCCCTTGCTTGGAATCATCGGGTTTCTTGACTCACTCATTCGTTTTATAGATATAGCTAACATGTATTGAGTTATTGCTAAATGTCATACACTTTCATAAAAACACCACATTACAAGCAGTGTCTCATCTCACCTACACCTGAATCCTCCTGAGACCTCTAAGAGATGATATCACCATCCCTTTTTTTGTTTTGTTTTTTGAGACGGACTCTTGCATGATCTCAGCTCACTGCAACCTCTCCCTCCTGGGTTCAAGTCATCCTCCTGCCTCAGCCTCCCCAGTAGCTGGGATTACAAGTACACACCACCACACCCGGTTAATTTTTGTATTTTTAATAGAGACGGGGTTTCACCATGTTGGCCAGGCTGATCTCAAACTCCTGACTTCATGATTCGCCCCCCTCGACTTCCCAAAGTGCTGAGATTACTGGCGTGAGCCACCGCGCCCAGCCTCATCATCCTTTTTTTTTTTTACAAATGAGGAAATCACATGTAATGAGGCTTGGAGAGGTTAAGCTGCATGAAGGGAAAATAAAATCTTGGGACCCCAATCCACTCTGCCAAAAGGAAAAAGAAAAATTAAGCTGAAAGTTGAGTCATGCAAGAAACTGCCTTTCATTTTGTTCGTAAAGAGAGAGTTACAGCTAAAAGGTTGATCTCTGCAGACAGCAGCTCCAGGTTCACCTTATCTTATGTAAAGTGCCCACTTAACTGAGCATGAGACAAATACATCATTGACTATTCCCTTACCTGCTCCTTTTCTCTGGCAACATGTGGATTCAATAGTGTCACCAGACCCTCCCTCTTTCCTCTCTAGACCGCTTTTCTCTTTTAAGTATTGAAGGCTTCGGGCTGGGCATGGTGGCTCATGCCTAATAAAAGAGGGCTTATGGCCTCTTTTATTTATGTTTTGAGACGGGATCTTGCTCTGTCACCCAGGCTGGAGTGCAATGGTGTGATCACAGCTCACGATAGCCTTGATCTCCAGGGCTCATGCGATCCTCTCACCTCAGCCTCCTGTGTAGCTGGGACCACAGGCTCACGCTACCATGCTCAGGTAATTTTCTTTTTTTTTTGAGATGGAGTCTCACTCTGTCGCCCAGGCTGGAGTGCAGTGGCACCATCTTGGGTCACCGCAACCTCCGCCTCCCAGGTTGAAGCGATTCTCCTCCCTCAGTCTCCTGTGTAGCTGGATTACAGGCGCACGCCACTACGCCCGGCTAATTTTTGTATTTTTAGTAGAGATGGGGTTTTACCATGTTGGCCAGGCTGGTCTCGAACTCCTGACCTCGTGATTTGCCCACCTTGGCCTCCCAAAGTGCTGGGATTACAGGCATGAGCCACTGCGCCCGGCCGCTCAGGTAATTTTTAAATTATCTGTAGAGATGAGGTCTTGCTCTGTTGCCCAAGTTGGTTTTGAACTCCTGGTCTCAAGCATTCCTCCTGCCTTGGCTTCCCAAAGCGTTGGGATTACAGGCATGAGCCTCCATGCCCAGCCAGCCCTCCTTTATGAAGGCAGTTAGCCGTATTAAAGCATGGTTCTCAACCTTGGCTACATATAAGAATAACTCCAAGGAGACAGTAAAAATACTGAAGCCAGGCTGGGTGCGGTGGCTTATGCCTGTAATCCCGGCACTTTGGCAGGCTGAGGTGGGCGGTTCACAAGGTCAGGAGTTCAAGACCAGCCTGGCCAACATGATGAAACCCCGTCTCTGCTAAAAATACAAAAATTAGCTGGGCATGGTGAAGCACGCCTACAGTCCCAGTTACTCAGGAGTCTGAGGCAGGAGAATCGCTTGTACCCAGGAGGAGGAGGTTGCAGTAAGCCAAGATTGTGCCACTGCACTCCAGCCTGGGTGACAGAGCCAGACTCCATCTCAAGAAAAAAATAAAAATAAAAGAGGGCTTATGTATTGTTATTTTTTCCACATACATAAGCAATTAAATGGCATGAGACAGTGTTAGGTCTTCTTTTTTGTTTGTTTTGAGACAGAGTTTCACTGTTGTTGCCCAGGCTGGAGTGTAATGGCGCGATCTCCACTCACTGCAACCTCTGCCTCCCGGATTGAAGGGATTCTCCTGCCTCAGCCTCCCGAGTAGCTGAGACTACAGGCGCCTGCCACCCCACCTGGCTAATTTTTTGTATTTTTAGTAGAGATGGGGTTTCACCATGTTGGCCAGGCTGGTTGAAAACTCCAGACCTCAGGTGATCCACTGGCCTTGGCCTCCAAAAGTGCTGGGATTACAAGTGCTAGCCACCGTGCCCAGGCAGCATTAGGTCTTTTAAGAGAGACAGGAGAAAGGAGCTGCTGGAGTCAAAGGCGGAAGCAACAGTTTGTACCAGCAACTCCAGTCTGCTCAAAGGGAAGGAAGATTCTGGAAGGCAGGAGATTTGGGTAAAAGGATGGTTCTCACTGAGGCCTGGCCAGTACCCAAGGTGGCAAACCCAGTCTGTGCTTTGTGTCCCTCGGTGTGGCCCTGTAGAGAGCTGCCCTGAGTGAGTCCAACCTTGGAGGAGAGCACGGGGAAAGCTCTCCAGATCACAGAGCTTCGGGAAGGTAGTGTCACCTTGAACCTGTTTGAAAAGGCTTCTTCTGTAGAATAGCTAGAAGGCAGGCCTCACAAGTTTTTCTTTTTTAAGCAATTTCAATTTTTATTATTTTTTTTATAGAGACAGGAGTCTCACATTGTTCCCCATGCTGATCTCGAACTCCTGGCCTCAAGTGATCCTCCTGCCTCAGCCTCCCAATGTGCTGAGATTGCAGGCATGAGCCACTGCGCCTGGCCTCAAATTTTATTTAGGTTCAGGGGGTACATGTGCAGGTTTGTTACATGAGTATATTGCGTGATGCTGAGGTTTGGGGTGCGAATGACCTCGATACCCAAGTAGTGAGCACAGTACCAGTAGATAGTTTCTCAACCCTTGCCTGCCTCCCTCCAGTCTTGCAGTCCCCAGTGTCTGTTTTTTCCATCTTTATGTCCATAACTAGCTAATGTTTAGCTCCCACTTGTAAGTCAGAACACGCAGTATTTGATTTTCTGTTCCTGTGTTAATTCGCTTAGGATAGTGGCCTCCAGCCGCATCCACGCCGCTGCAGAGGACGTGGTTTTGTTCCTTTTTGTGGCTGCAAAGTTTTTCAGTTAACAAGAAATACCATATGGCGTCATAAAACTTTTATTTATTTTTATTTATTTTTTATTTTTGAGACAGAGTTTTGCTCTTGTCACCTAGGCCAGAGTGCAGTGTCATGATCTCGGCTCACTGCAACCTCTGCCTCCTGGGTTCAAGAGATTCTCTTGCCTCAGCCTCCTAAGTAGCTGGGATTACAGGCATGCGCCACCACACCTGGCCAATTTTTATATTTTTGCTAGAGACAGGGATTCGCCATGTTGGCCAGGCTGGTCTCGAACTCCTGACCTCAGGTGATCTGCCTGCCTTGGCCTCCCAAAGTGCTGGGATTACAGGTGTGAGCCACCACGCCTGGACTATAAAACTTTTAAAAACAGATCAGGAAAAAAAAATGTCTTGAGTCCAACATCCCAGAGAAAACCACATGGTGATTGGTCCTGCTGCCATCTCACTGATGACGATCATAGCTCACTACAGCTTCAAACCCCTGAACTCAAGTGATCCTCCCGCCTCAGCCTCTTGAGTAGCTAGGATTACCAGTGCACACCATGAAGTCCAACTACCATTATCATCTTTGTCACCATCACCATCATCTTCAGCATCATCACCATCATCATCACTGTCATTGTCATTATCACTCTCACACCACAATTCCCAGCATCCTCCTCCTCCTCCTCCCCCTCATCATCATCATCATCATCACCACCTACCTGGGGGAACTGGGATGGCTCTCTTTCCCAGACCTGTTTCTGGACCTGATGGCCTATGAGATGATGATAGAACTAATCCCACATCCCGAAATGCCGATAAATCCAGTCTTGCATCCAGATGAGTTCTGGCTGAACTGCTCAAGGTCTCTGAGACCCAGCCTTTGCATTTTGGTCCCACAGAGGCATCAGCTTCAGTGAGACAGCAGCAGCCGATGCCGCCCTTGGCTACATCATTGCCTTCCTGGTACTCCTGTCCACAGTGAAGCTTTGGCATCTGCTCAGGTTGAATCCCAAAATGAACATGATCACGGCAGCCCTACGCCGTGCCTGGGGCGACATTTCAGGCTTTATGATTGTCATCCTTACCATGCTCCTGGCTTACTCCATCGCGGTAAGTATCTGCTTTGGGAAAAGTTCGGGGAGGGTCTCTGCAGAAACCAAGGCTAATTGGTGGTGGGAAAGTGGACAGTTAGGGTTAGGGAGACCCTGGGAACTCAAGGAAGGTGGTGGCTCTTGTAAGTACAGGGTGTCTTTGCTGTGAGCTCATGCACCAGTCATCTCAAATGGCAAAGGCTGGAGAGCTCAGGTGGATAGGGTGAGGAGGCATAGGCTCTAGTGCTGAAAGGATCCAGGTTTGGGAAGAATTCCTTTCTGGCTCTAGACCCCTCCTGGATGTGCCAGTTATCCTGGCTTCCCAACTGGTCAGAAGGCACAGGGCTAACTCCTAGACACACACAGAGCACTGCTGCTGTGCTGGGGGATGGATGGGGCCACCACGTCCTTGAGTTGGGGCAGAGGTGGGGATGTGAAGGTAGATACATCCACAGGCCATGCCAGTGCTTGTTGTCCAAAACATGACTCATGAGCTTGGGAGGGCCAATGCCACTTCACTCAGCACTTTAAGAGCACATTGACAAGCATGGCCCTGTGTAGAAAAACATAAATGAAAACATTGAATTTTCTTTTTTGTTGTTGAGACGGAGTCTTGTTCTGCTGCCCAGGTTGGAGTGCAGTGGCACGATCTAGGCTCACTGCAACCTTCACCGCCCAGGTTCAAGCGATTCTCTTGCCTCATTCTCCTGAGTAGCTGGGATTGCTGGTGCACAGCACCATGCCTGGCTAATTTTGTATTTGTAGTAGAGACAAGGTTTCACCATGTTGGTCAGGCTGGTCTCGATCTCCTGACTTCAGGTGATCCACCCACCTCGGCCTTCCAAAGTGCTGGGATTACAGGCATGAGCGACCGTGTGTGGCTTTTTTTTTGTTTTTGGAGACAGAGTCTCACTCTGTTGCCCAGGCTGGAGTGCAGTGTCACAATCTCGGCTCACTGCAACCTCTGCCTCCCAGGTTCAAGCGATTCTCCTGTTTCAGCCTCCTGAGTAGCTGGGACTACAGGCATGTGCCACGACACCCGGCCAATTTTTGTATTTTTGGTAAAAACAGTGTTTCATCATGTTGGTCTCAAACTCCTGACCTCAGGTAATCTGCCTACCTTGGCCGCCCAAAGCGCTGGGATTACAGGCGTGAGCCACCGCGCCCAGCCAAAAACATTAAATTTTCAATTCTTTTTTATGATCATGTGAGAAACAAAGCCCCTCTTACATCCTGGCCCCCACCACATCCTGATGTCCTTCTAAATACACCCCCTACTGCCCACCATGTTCCCATGCAAGCCCTGGCCTTCCGTTCATCTCTGGCCTTTAGCACAATCCTGGCCCACTCCCTACCCCAGGGCCTTCCCCATCCTCACCCTGGCTCCATCCAGTCTCTTGCCTTCCTCTCCTCCCTGATCATCCTATCCACCAGCCCATCGCATCCTAGTCCCCACTCCACCCCAACCCTCACCCCACTCTGCCTCCCTGTCACCTCAGGCTTGACCCCTTCCATCCCTAGCCCCACCCGATCTTCCTCTCCCACCCCTGGAAACAGGTGGGGTGCACTGAGGGAGTGATGGGGGTGTGTTCTGGAAAGTTGGAGTCTGTGATTTTGGTGAAAGCTCCCCTCTAAATCCTAATGTGAATTTCTTCAGACTTCCATGCAGTGTCTGGGCTGCAGGGACATTGCAGTGTCCCATGGGACCAAAAGTCATCAACTCAGAGACAGAGCCAGGGGCTGCTGGGCCTCCCTCTGACACTGCAGCCCTGGGAAAGTCTTGGGAGTGAGGGGTTGTGGTGAGGGAAAATGCAGTGAGGGGAGGTCCTCACCCAGGCAGAAGCCCATCATCCATTCAACCCAGTTCCCCAGAGCGAAGGGTTTGGAGCCGCAGAGTGCCCAGACTCATTGTCAGGTATTTGCACCGCATCTGGGGAACACTGCGGTGGCTTAGCAGGTGGCTGCCTGAGCCCCAGAGGCACCCTGGGCACTCCCTCATCCTGGTGGGCACAGAGATAGGCATCATCAACAGGCCATGGACACAATAAAGGTCCTGGACAAGGTCATCCAGGCAGCACTTCCAGAAACTTGACACACACGTGCACATGGATGCACACACGTGCACACCTACACACATGCACACATGCACGCGCATACACGTACACACAAACAAATATACACACACATATGCACACACATAAACACTATACATGGATACACACACATACACATATACACATGCATGTGCACACAAATACACTACACATAGATACACACATATACATACACAAAAGTGCATATGTGCAGATATTGATGCCCACAGGCATACACATGTACACTCTCACACAGACACACGTGTGGCCTCGCATGCACAGACCCACAGAGAGAAACACATGCATGCCACATAGAACCAGTTGTGGACCGGGTGCAGTGGCTCACGCCCATAATCCTATCACTTTGGGAGGCCAAGGTGGGTGGATCACCTGAGATCCGGAGTTCGAGGCCAGCCTGACCAACATGGTGAAACCCTGTCTCTACGAAAAATAGAAAAATTAGCCAGACGTGGTGGTGTGTGCCTGTAGTCCCAGCTACTTGTGAGGCTGAGGGAGGAGAATCGCTTGAACCCAGGAGGCGGAGGCTGCAGTGAGCCCAGATCGAACCATTGTACTCCAGCCTGGGTGACAGAGCAAGACTCCATCTCGCAAAAAAAACAAACAAAAACCTGTTGTGTACACACACCCACTTGCACACCCCTGTAGGTACAGTAGCTTGACCAGCCCAGCCAGGGCAGTGGCTGACACAGACCACCCACTCCACTGTGAAACAGCAGGCTGTTTGGGCCTTGGCAGCCTCCTTCCCTGTTCATGAGAATTCTTTCCATGACAGTCAAACTTGATATTTGGTTGGAAACTCCGTTCCTACAAAACCCTCTTTGATGCGGCGGAGACGATGGTCAGCCTTCAGCTGGGAATCTTCAACTACGAGGAGGTAACGGGGTGAGGGCACGGTTGCTGCCATCTATACGGAGCCTCTGTGAAGATTAGAAAAAGCACTCCCTGTCCACCCCGCCCCGTGCCATCCCTTGGGCCCATGGCCTGGCAAGCACCGGGCAAGTCTGGACAAACAGAAATGTTCCCCCTCCTCTAGGTAGACACCCCTGCTAGAGCCCACAGCTTGCCCTTGGGATCCCTGCTCACAGAGGAACATTGGGTGCTGGCTACTCAGGGGAGGGCTGTACAGGGGTCTCCCAAAGGAAACACCCCCTACCCTGGGCAGAAAGGGCAGCCGTCTTTGGAGGTGGCAGCCGTGGAAAGTGAGGGGCTGCCCGTTCTCTCCTTGCCCAGCTCTCTCAGCCCCAGGCAGAGGGGACCTTCCAGGCTCTAGGCTCTGCCTAACTCTGAGGACCATTTTCCCTCTGAGGGTTCCCAGTAGGGGAAGTGGCTACTGGGACCCAGGACACTGGATGACCCTGGCTTTCTTTCTGACAGGTCCTGGACTATAGCCCAGTGCTTGGCTCCTTCCTCATTGGATCCTGCATTGTTTTTATGACATTTGTGGTGCTGAACCTGTTTATCTCTGTCATCCTGGTGGCCTTCAGTGAGGAGCAAAAATACTATCAGGTGAGTCGCTTTGGCCTATTCCTCATCAGTCATTGAACTATGAAGAGGCTGGAGCGGTGTTAGACTTTAGGGAACTTGAGAGATCATTGTAGCTCAGAGCCCTCATTTAACAGGAGGGGAAACTCAGGCATAGACAGAGGACATTAATTCCCCAAAATCACAAGCAAGTGAGGGGCAGGGCTGGGACCAGAGCTGTGTCTCCTGATTCCCAATGTGAGACTCTGTTCGCGACACCAGTGACCTCCACCCTGAGTGCACCTTAGAATCACCTGGGGCCTTTTGGAAACAACGGCTGCCCAGCCAGAGACCAATACCAACAGAGACCAACACCAACAGAGACCAACACCAACAGAGACTAATACCAACAGAGACCAACACCGACAGAATCTCTGGGAGAATGAGCCAGTCCTTGGTATGTTTGAAATCTCTTTGGGTAACTTTTTTTTTCTTGAGACAGAGTTTTTGCTCTTGTTGCCCAGGCTGGAGTGCAATGGCACAATCTTGGCTCACTGTAACCTCCACCTCCTGGGTTCAAGCGATTCTCCTGCCTCAGCCTCCCAAGTAGCTGGGATTACAGGCATGCGCCACCACACCTGGCTAATTTTTTGTACTTAGTAGAGACGGGGTTTTACCATGTTGGTCAGGCTGGTCTTGAACTCCTGACCTCAGGTGATCCACCAATCTTGGCCTCCCAAAGTGCTGGGGTTACAGACATGAGCTACCACGCCCAGCCATCTCTTTGGGTAATTTTCAGGTTAATGAACAGCCAAGGTTGAAAACACATACTACACTCCAAAACCTCAACCCACGTCGTCATGGCTCGGAGGGCAACAAGCTGGGCACTCGTGATCGACCTCCCACCCATGGAAGAGTCAGCGTGCTGGGCTGCCTGCAGGAAGAGGGATATGAGCACACAGACTGCAGGTTAATAACAGCCACCAGCACCACCCACACAGCGCTCTCTTCACAACCGAAGTTGTGTTTTATTTAATCGTCAAAACAGCTCTCTGAAGTAGGTATAATTATTCACAACGTACAAAGAAGGAAACCAAGGCTCACAGAGATGAAATCATTTACCTAGAACCACAGAGCTAGAAAGTAGGAAAGGTGGGATTTCAACCTGGATCTGTCTGACTTGGATGTATGGTTTTGTTTTGTTTTCTTTTCCTGCCCTTCTGGAGGTATGACTGTGTGAACGGTGACGTATTATGCAGCTCACCCTTCCTGTCCCAGTTGAAAGATTCTTTCAATCTGTATGCCTAAGCCGGGTGTGGTGGCACACACCTGTAGTCCTAGCTACACAGGAGGCTGAGGTGGGAGGATCACCTGAGCCCAGGAGACGAAGCCTGCAGTGAGCTGTGATCATGCCACTGCACTCCAGCCTGGGTGACAAAGCAAGATCCTGTCTCAAAAGAAAAAAAAGAAAAATCTGCACGTCTAACAAAGAAACCTTTGTTAAGACACTCTTCTTTGAATTTTTCCATTTCTATACAAGAGCAGCAATTTGGTATTGTTGTTTTTCTAAATTGCAAAAGATTTCATAAAGGTGACATACTCCATCATGTTGAAGGATCATTGTAAAGAGTTATTTTTCCTGGAAACCAGGAAATTATTGCCCACAGGATTCAAGAATGCTAAGAATGCTGCCCCTCTTCTGTTGCTAAATGGTCTCTGGTACGCTTGTAACGTGTGTCCCGGATCTGTGTTTGGAAAGGAAATACAAATTTTTATTTCACTAAACTCTCACTTAACACAGAACACTTCTGTGACCAAATGTGTGGAGATTTTCTGCACACACCAAGCAATTCTCCAGCAGACACCAACTGGGTATCTTATACCGATTGGGCATCCCTAATCCAAAAATCAGAAATCCAGAATGCTCCAAAATCCAAAATTGTTTGCATGCTCACCTGAGGTGAAACATGGAAAATTCCACACATAAATACTTAATACAAACTTTGTACAGAGAGGATCAGCATGACCCCTGTGCAAGGAGGTCGTGCAAATTCACAAAGTGTTTCATATTTTTAATATAATTTTAAAATAAAAAAATATATACTGGGCTGGGCCCAGTGGCTCACGCCTGCAATCCCAGCACTTTGGGAAGCTGAGACAGGAGAATCACTTGAGGCCAGGAGTTCAAGACCAGCCTGGGCAATATAGAAAGACCCTATCTGTGCAAAAAATACAAAAATTAGCTGGGCCTGGTGGCATGTGCCTCTTCTTCTGGCTACTTGGGAGGATAGCTTGAGCCCAGGATGCAGTAAGCCATGATTGCACCACTGCTCTCTAGCCTGCACGACAGAGCAAGATGCTATCTCTAAAACATAAATAAAAATTAAAAACACATATTGTATGAAATTACCTCCAGGCTATGTGTATAAGGTGTATATAAATATAAATAAATTTCCTGTTTAGTCTTGGGTCCCATTCCCAAGATACCTCATTATGCATTCTCCAAAATCTGAAAAAATCTGAAACACAAAACACTAGTCATCCCAAGCATTTTGGATGAGGGATACTCAATCTGTATAACAACTATTTATATATAGCATTTACATTGTGTTAAGTATTATAAGTACTTACTGGTACTTATAGGCCAGGTGCAGTGGCTCAAACCTGTAATCCCAGCACTTTGGGAGGCTGAGGCGGGCTGATCACCTGAGGTCAGGAGTTCGAGACCAGCCTCAACATGGAGAAACCCCATCTCTACTAAAAATACAAAATTAGCCCGGCGTAGTGGTACATGCCTGTAATCTCAGCTACTCGGGAGGCTGAGGCAGGAGAATTGCTTGAACCTGGGAGGCGGAGGTTGCGGTGAGCTGAGATCGTGCCATTGCACTCCAGCCTGGGCAACAAGAGCAGAAACTCCATCCCAAAAAAAAAGAAAAAAAAAGGTACTTATAGATGATGACTTAAAGTATACAGGAGAATGTGTGTGGGTTATATGTAAATATTATGGCTTTTTTTTTTTTTTTTTTTTTATCAGAGACTTGACCATCCGAGGATTTTCTGGTGACCTGCCTCATCCTGAAGCTATCTAGGGGCCTGCCCTAAGTCACTCATTAGCAAAAACTCAGATGTGATGAAAGGGGGCTCATCATGAATAGCAAAAGACACTCCTATTATTGCCGGGCGCGGTGGCTCACGCCTGTAATCCCAGCACTTTGGGAGGCCGAGGCGGGCGGATCACCTGAGGTCGGGAGTTCGAGACCAGCCTGACCAACATGGAGAAACCCCGTCTCTACTAAAAATACAAAAAAATTAGCTGGGCATGGTGGCACATGCCTGTAATCTCAGCTACTTGGGAGGCTGAGGCAGGAGAATCGCTTGAATGCAGGAGGCGGAGGTTGCAGTGAGCCAAGATCACGCCATTGCACTCCAGCCTGGGCAACAAAAGCAAAACTCTGTCTAAAAAAAAAAAAAAAAAAGACACTCCTATTATTAGTAAATTCTAAGGGTTTCAGGAGCTCTGTGATGGGAACCGAGGTCAAAGATCAACTATGGTTCATATTATACCACAATGCCTTTGTCCTGCAAAAAGATTTGATATTTTAAAAACAATTTTGTAGTGTTGGGGAAATGTTTTCATTTTAGCAAGGAAGCAGAGAGCATTGCTAGGTCTGATGCCCAGGTACTCCAACTGTACCTTAATTTGGAGATGCAATTAAGTAGCCACCTTTAATTAAAGTTACTTTCTCCGAGTGGGTTCCTTCTATCAGAAGATTGAACTTGTCCATTGTAAATAAATTATTTTTTTAACAATGAAGATATATTTCATGTGCCATAAAATTAGCCATTTTAAATCATACAATTAAACGTTTTTTAGTATATTCAGAGAGTTGTGCAAACATCGTCACTAATTCCAGAATATTTTTTTTCTTTCTTTTTTTTTTGAGAGAGCGTCTCGCTCCATCGCCCAGGCTGGAGTGCAGTGGCAGATCTCGGCTAACTGCACCCTCCCCCTCCCGGGTTTAAGTGATTCTCCTGCCTCAGCCTCTTAAGCAGCTGGGACTACAGGAGCACGCCACCATGCCTGGCTAATTTTTTGTATTTTTAGTAGAAGCGGGGTTTCACCATGTTAGCCAGGCTGCTCTGGAAGTTCTGACCTTGTCATTTGCCCACCTCGGTTTTCCAAAGTGTTGGGATTACAGGTATTAGCCACCACACCCGGCCTTCTTTTTTTTTTTTTAATAGAGACGGGGTTTTGCTATGTGGCTCAGGTTGTTCTCAAACTCCTAGGCTCAAGCAATCCACCCACCTTGGCTTCCCGAAGTGCTAGGATTACAGGTGTGAGCCACCACACCCAGCCCTAGAACATTTTCTTTTTCTTTTTTTCTTTTCTTTTCTGTTTTTTGTTTGTTTGTTTTGTTTTTTGTTTTGTTTTGTTTTGTTTTGAGCCAGAGTCTTGCTCTCTCACCCAGGCTGGAGTGCAGTGGCGTGATCTTGGCTCACTGCAACCTCCGCCTCCCGAGTTCAAATGATTCTTTTGCCTCAGCATCCTGAGTAGCTGGGATTACAGGTGCCTGCCACCACACCCAGATAATTTTTGTATTTTTAGTAGGGATGAGTTTTTCCATGTTGGCCAGGGTGGTCTCGAACTCCTGATCTCAGGTGATCTGCCAGCCTCGGCCTCCCAAAGTGCTGGGATTACAGGTGTGAGCCACCGTGCCTGGGCTCAGAACATTTTCAATACCACAAAGAAGCCCCCTACCTATTAATAATCACCTCCCATATCCATGCCTCCAGCCCCTGGCAACCACTAATCTACGTTCTATTTCTTTGGATTTGCCTATTCTGGAAATTCATATTCATATAAATGAGCTCGGACAATATGTGGCCTTTTATGTCTGGCTTATTTCATTTAGTATCATGTCTTCAAGATTCATCCATGTCGTAGCGTGTATCCACGTCATTCCTTTTTACGGCTGAGTCATATTTCATTGTGTGGGTAAAACAACGATGTGCTTATCCATTCCCCAGCTGATGGGTATTTGGGTTGTTTCTGTATTTTGGCTTTAACAAACGATGCTGCTATGAACATTCTGTGGGCAGAATTTCATATGGACATGTGTTTTCGCTTCTCTTGGGCATATACCTGGAAGTGAAATTTCTGGTTTACACAGTAACTGTTTAATTGTTTGAAGACCTGCCACACTGTTTTCTGAAGCAGCTGTACCATTTTAGATCCCCAGCAGCAATGTGCAGGACCTTTGCACATAAATTCTTCTGTTTGTTTGTTTGCTTGCTTGCTTTTGAGAAAGGGGCTTGCTCTGTCACCCAGGCTGGAGTGCAGTGGTGCAATCTCAGCTCACTGGAACCTCGGCCTCCTGGGCTCGAGCCATCCTCCCACCTTAGACCCAGTAGCTGGGACTGCACCACACCTGGCTAATTTTTTTGTATTTTTGGTAGAGATGGGGTTTCCCCATTTTGGCCGGGCTGGTCTCAAATTTCTGGGCTCAAGTGACCTGCCTGCCTCAGCCTCCCACATTGCTGGAATTATAGGTGTGAACCGTCACACCTGGCCTGATTTTTAAACACTCTTCTTTTTTTTTTTGAGATGGAGTTTTGCTCTTGTTGCCAGGCTGGAGTGCAATGGCACGATCTCGGCTCACTGCAACCTCTGCCACCTGAGTTCATGCAATTCTCCTGCTTCAGCCTCCCAAGTAGCTGGGATTACAGGCATGTGCCCACCATGCCCAGCTAATTTTGTATTTTTAGTAGAGATGGGGTTTCACCATGTTGGTCAGGCTGGTCTCAAACTCCTGACCTCAGGTGATCTGCCTACCTTGGCCTCCCAAAGTGCTGGGATTACAGGTGTGAGCCACCACTTTCAGCTGTGATTTTTAAAATTATCTGTAGAGATGGGGTCTCACTATGTTGTCCAGGATGGACTCGAACTCCTAGGATCAAGCAATCGTCTCACCTTGGCCTCCCAAAATCCTGGGATTATAAATATAATAAGCCCCTGTGCTCAGCCTGTACATAAGTTCTTAACAGCCTCTGTTGGGGTGGTAGAGAGCATTTTCTGACGAGTTTACTGAACGTGCCTCATTGGTACCTATAGTCTGCCATTCCTGTTTCCTAGAAGTTGTTCTTTCTTTGCTTTAAGTCACTCTTAAATATGTGTATATGGTTGAGAAGTGTGGGAAAGCCAGAGAGAAACATCTATTTATTTTTTCATTCCCAGAACTTCCTCCCATACCAGGCTAGGCCAGGAGGTAAACAGAGCAAGCAGAAGGAATAATAATAAAGAACCACAAGGCCAGGCCCAGAGGCTCACGCCTCTAATCCTAGCACTTTGGGAGGCTGAGGTGGGTGAATCACCTGAGGTCAGGAGTTCGAGACCAGCCCCGCCAACATGGTGAAACCCTGTCTCTACCAAAGATACAAAAATTAGCTGGGCGTGGTGGTGTGTGCCTATAATCCCAGCTACTCGGGAGGCTGAGGCAGGAGAATAGCTGGAATCCAGGAGGCGGAGGCTGCAGTGAGCCGAGATTGAGCCACTGCACTCCAGCCTCGGCGACAGAGCTAGACTCTGTCTCAGAAAAAAAAAGAACGAAAGAAGGAGCCACCACCAACACTCTGACCTAGAGGAAAAGGGGAGACACTCATCTCAGAAGGGGGCCCATGTGCTGTTTAACTTCAGGCTCAGCCGCCCAGCCGAGGCTTACTCTGCGCTGGCTTGGGAATTTGAAATGTGGCAGTGAAAACTCAGTCATCCTCATCAGAGAGGTGGAGGGAGCCCGCTGAGGATAAAGGATGGAGCACACACCCTTGGCATTCCCAGAGGGAGGCCTTTCTGCCCTAAAACAGCTCTCAACAGTGAAGTAACCTAGGTTGAGACCAAACTGGACAATAAAACTGTGATTTCGGCCAGGGATGATGCGATGGCTCAAGCCTGTAATCATCCCAGCACTTTGGGAGGCCGAGGCAGGTGGATCACTAGATGCCAGGAGTTTGATACCTGCCTGGCCAACATGGTAAAACTCTCTCTCTACTAAAAATACAAAAATTAGCTGAGCGTGGTGGCGGGTGCCTGTAATCCCAACTACTCGGGAGGCTGAGGCGGGAGAATCGCTTGAACTCGGGAGGCGGAAGTTGCAGTGAGCCAAGATTGTGCGACTGCACTCCAGCCTGGGCGACACAGTGAGACTCCATCTCAAACAATAAAATAAAATAAAATAAATAAAAATAAAAACTATGACTTCCCCTTAGAAAGAAAAGCCCCCAAAGAAGATGGTTCTATGGGCATTGCCTGGTTCTTTCTCTTGCAGCTGTCGGAGGAAGGGGAGATCGTAGATTTGCTGCTGATGAAAATACTCAGTTTCCTGGGCATTAAGTCTAAGAGAGAGGAGCCTGGAAGCAGCAGGGAGCAGCCTGGGTCTCTGTCCCAGACTCGCCACTCTCGACCAGCACAAGCTTTGCCCAAGGACTAAGCTGTTCGTCCACACGCCACCATCTACCAGTGGGGACGCCCAGGGCCTCGGGCGTACGCTTACCAGCGACTCTATAGTCTCTCTAGGTCATAGCTTTCATGTCCATTGAAGAATTACCAAGCCCAGCAAGTAAAAAAAATTACAATAACAGAGATATATGTAAAATTGCCAATACTATGAGAGCTTCTTTGTTCAAATGTATTTCCTCTTATTATAAATAAAACAAATATTACATGGAGTTTGGAAAATTTCCTGCACAGACTAATTATTTCGTCTTTTTAGTCCGTTGGGGGTTGCTTTTGAATGATTCTAGTTCAGGGCTTCTCAAACTGTCTGAGAGATGCTAATGGATGCTGTATTAGTTTCCCAGAACAATGTATCACAAACGAAGTGGCTTAAAACGACAGAAATGCATTCTGTCCCAGCTCTGGAGCCTGGAAGTGTGCAATCAAGATGTTGGCAGTGGCCGGGCATGGTGGCTCACGCCTGTAATCCCAGCACTTTGGGAGGCCGAGGCGTGCGGATCACTTGAGGCCAGGAGTTCGAGACCAGCCTGGCCAACAGGGTGAAACCCTGTCTCTACTAAAAATACAAAAATTAACCAGGTGTGGTGGCGGGCGCCTGTAGTCCCAGCTACTCAGGAGGCTGAGGCAGGAGAATCCCTTGAACCCGGGAGGCGGAGGTTGCAGTGAGCCTAGGTGGTGCCACTGTACTCCAGCCCGGGCGACAGAGCATGACTCCGTCTCACAAAAAAAAAAAAGAAAAGAAAGAAAAAAGATGTTGGCAGTGCCATGCTCCCTCTGAGGGCTCTAGGGAAGAATCCTTCTTGCCTCTTCCAGCTTTTGGTGTTGGCCAGCCAGCCTTGGTGTCCCTTGGCTTCTAGATGTGTCACTCCCAGATGGGAAGAAGCTTGCTGGGAGCCTGTGTTCCTTCTCCTTTTCTCAGCACACCAGCCATATTGAATTAGGGGCCCACCCTAGTCCAGGGTGACCTCATCTGAACTAATTATAATACATCTGCAGGGATCCTGTTTCCCAATATGGTCACATCTGAAGAACTGGGACTTAGGACTTTGACATACCTCTTTAGGAGCCACAATTCAAACCAGAACAGGTGTCATTCCTCCAAAAATGTTTCTGGGTCAAATAAATATGGGGAATACTGGTTTATAAAAGTTTTTTTGTTTGTTTGTTTGTTTGTTTGAGACAGGGTCTTGCTCTGTTGCCCAGGCTGGAATGCAGTGGCATGATTTCAGCTCACTGAAACCTCTGCCTCCCAAGATCAAATGATTCTTGTGTCTCAGGCTTCCCAGTATCTGGGACTACAGGCACACAAGAGCATGCCTGGGTAATTTTTGTATTTTTTTGTAGAGACGGGGTTTCACCATGTTGGCCAGGCTGGTCTTGAACTCCTGGCCTCAAGTGATCTGCCTACCTAGGCCTCCCACAGTGCTGGGATTACAGGCATGAGCCACCGCACCCAGTCTACTGTATTGTTATAAGAGGAAAATATGTCTATCAGCTCAAAGAGATGAATGGGCCCCTCTCAAAACACCTGGAAGAAATGACCACCTGGAATTTTCCAGAGCTTATACTCAATGGGCAACGAGATGACCTTTAAAATCTCAAACCAGGAGGTTACAAAGATTACTAGGTAGAAAAAGAAAAAAAATTTTGACTGTCTTCAATGCTTTTTACCAAAAGAAAAACACATGTCATATTTTTTGGTGGAAGGGCCTTTTTGTAGCCCATATGTTGATGTTGATGTGTGATCTTTTTCTTCCCATCACATGAGTTAGTGAAGCTGAGAATAAATATGTTAGGGTGTAAGTGGCACGATGCTGCACTGTCTTGTAATGAAACAACAATAGAAAACAACATCTTGACATTAGAGAAGGTAGCCAAGATCTGTAGTGCAGGGTAGACCAGCGTGATCCAGTCAGCATCCCAAACGAAAGCAAGCGGAGCAGAGCTTAAGAGCAATTGCTGGCCAGGCACGGTGGTTCATGCCTGTAATCCCAGCACTTTGGAAGGCCGAGGTGGGTGGATTACAAGGTCAGGAGTTCGAGACCAGCTTGGCCAACATAGTGAAACCCCATCTCTACTAAACATACAAAAATTAGACGGGCGTGGTGGCACGTGGTCCTGTAGTCCCAGCCACTCGGGAGGCTGAAGCAGGAGAATTGCTTGAACCCGGGAGGCAGAGGTTGCAGTGAGCCAAGATCACGCCACTGCGCTCCAGCTTGGGCGACAGAGCTAGACTTCGTCTCGAAAAAAAAAAAGAAAAAAAGAAGAGTTGCTTTCTAATCAGTGTAGAGGCCAAGGTCTACTACTGCCACCTAGGAGCTACTTAAGCCACAAAAACGCCTCCCCGATCCCACTCCTCGGAAGTGCCTTCACCTCTGAGCCTCATCTATGAAATGAGTGTAACACCTGCCAGAAAGAGGTTTGGAGAGGATTAAAAAGATGTGTGCATAGTGCCAGGCACATAGCAAAGGCTCAATAGATGGGAATGATTTGCTCAAAAGAAAGTGGGCATGACGGCCCTTGCAAGCCACTGCACAGATGTGGTGGCAACCCTAAGTTCATAGCAGGGCAGAAGCTCAGTGCAACAACGTATGGGCTCCCCAAACACACACACACTCCATGGTGTGCACCCTATGGTACTGTTTCCGGTGTTTGAACAAGAACAACTCCATTTTGAATATGGGCTGGGTAAAATGAGGCTGAGACTTGGTGGGCTGCATTCCCAGGAGGTTAGGCATTCTTTTTATTTGTATTTTTTTCTGAAGCAGAGTCTCGCTCTGTCACCCAGGCTGGAGTGCAGTGGCGTGATCTCGACTCACTGCAACCTCTGCCTCCCAGGCTCAAGTGATTCTCGTGCCTCAGCCTCCTGAGTAGCTGGGATTACAGGCACCTGCCACCATGCCTGGCTAAACTTTGGATTTGTAGTAGAGACGGGGGTTTCTCCATGTTGGCCAGGTTGGTCTCGAACTCCTGACCTCAAGTGATTCACCTGCCTCACTTAGTCACAGGATGAGCTAGGGTTGGCACAAGATACAGGTCACAAAGTCCCTGCTGATAAAATAGGATGCGGTAAAGGAGCTGGCCAAAACTCACCAAAACCAAGATGGCGACCTCTGGTAGGTCTCACTGCTCATTATACGCTAATTATAATGCATTAGCATGTTAAAAAAAAAACAACTCCCACCAGCGTCATGACAGTTCACAAATGCAATGGCAACGTCCAGAGAAGTTACCCTATAGTCCAAAAAGCGGAGGAACCGTTAGTTCTAGGAAATCCCTGCCCCTTTTCTGGAGAACTCTTGAATGATCCACCCCTTGTTTAGCATACAATCAAGAAATAACTATAAGTACACTTAGTCGAGAAGCCATACTGCTGCTCTGTCTACGAAGAAGCCATTCTTTTTTTTCTTTACTTCTCTATTAAACGTGCTTTCACTTTATAGACTCTCCCCAAATTCTTTCTTGCATGAGGTCCAAAAACCCTCTCTTGGGGTCTGGATTGGGAGCCCTTTCTGTAACAGTACTAAAGGTGTGTGTGTAGCTTAAGGTGTTTTTCAGAACAGTATTTCTTTGCTGACTCATGGCCACTCCATAAAATCTGTGTTAAAGGTGAGGTTTTTCCCAGAACCTAATTTTTTTCTGACTTCTTGGATTGGGATGATGACTTCGGCTTTTCTCGGAAGGCCTTGGTCACACCGCTGGCCGATGAAACAAGGAATTGTGCACACTGGGTCTCAGCTCTCTGCGTTTTGAATATTTCTGCATTAGTGACTGGCTTGGGTCCAGTCTCCACCAAGAAGCCACTTATGACCCTTGGACAAGTCTTTATTCCTTTTTAAGTAAGCTTCTGGATTCTGCCGGTCCTGTTTGGGGTCCCTGGGGCTCTTTGAGACAGGAACGTTACAGAGCAGTTGAAGGAGAATAGAAACTTCCAGGCTGCAGTTCTGTCTAACAAAAGGAAACTGTTGAAATAGCTGCACAAGCTATGGGCTAAGACCCTGAAAAACCAGGGTGTGGGTCAACCTGGCTAAAACCAACTGGACCCAACGTGGTGTGGCTTTGACCTAGGCTTCACCTAGGACTCATTAACATACTAAGTCACACACCCACCGGCACCACAACAATTCCGGGAACACCCATATTTGGTGTAAAAATGGGTGGCACCACAGTTCTGACAAGTCTCCACCTTATTCCAGAAACCTTTGTGTATATTCCATTTCTCAAAGAAACCCATAAAGATGGAAACCCCAAGCCCCATTGTGTGGCCCTCTTTTGAGTCCGCCCTTTCTTCAGTGTGTACTTTGCAGTAAACCTCTGTACTTTCACGACTTTCCGACTTGTTCTTGAATTCCTTCGTGAGGTGGTGAAACCACCTTTGAAAACTTATGACAGAGGCAGTAAAAGAGATACACATGTGGAAAGGAACCCAGTCTGGGGCTAGGCCCCGCCCCCCTCCTGCGGGCAGCCCAATCATACCCAGGCCCGCCGCGCTAGTCTCCGCCTCTCGGTGCTGCCTCTTCCGGGCCTCAGGTTCTTCCCCATGCCCACGCCCCTCTTTCGCGTCGCCGTATCCGAGGTCGCGCCAGGCCCTGGAGTCCCCAGTCTCCGCGTGCTGGCCAATCAGACCCTGCCTCGCCCCCTCGCCTGGGAGTCTCCGCCCTCCACGCTCTGCCCAGTCAGGCTCTGTCCCGCCCCCGCGGCACCGCCTCCGCGCCTCCATCCAGCCGGCTCCCTCCGGCCGCGAACTGCCCCTCCCCGCCCCGCCTCC
Organism: Homo sapiens; assembly: GCF_000001405.40. Taxonomy (NCBI): domain Eukaryota; kingdom Metazoa; phylum Chordata; class Mammalia; order Primates; family Hominidae; genus Homo; species Homo sapiens. The sequence goes on along the minus strand of NC_000016.10, from coordinate 81,096,328 downwards.
CGGCGCGGGTGGCCGAGGCGTAGCGCTGCGACCCCCGCACCCCTGCGAACATGGCGCTGCGAGTGGTGCGGAGCGTGCGGGCCCTGCTCTGCACCCTGCGCGCGGTCCCGTCACCCGCCGCGCCCTGCCCGCCGAGGCCCTGGCAGCTGGGGGTGGGCGCCGTCCGTACGCTGCGCACTGGACCCGCTCTGCTCTCGGGTAAGCGCGGCGGGCACGTGGGCGGCTGCTCCCTCCCCGCCTGGGCTGCTTGTCCCGGGCCCAGCGGGACACGGAGGACGCCGGGGCACCGCTCCTGAGCCACCGGGGCGGAGCGAGCGCGGACCCTGCCCCCTTCTTATTTCTGTTGGGATCCCTGGCTCTGCGGCCGCTTCTCCCCCTTAAGTAGCGGGAGGACCCGCGAGTAGCCTTTGCCCTAGGGATTGCATGCAGCCGGGAGGGGAGGCCTGCGGGACACCGAGGCGGGGGTGGCCCGGCGGGTCCGGCGGGCAGGTCGGCCGCTTGCTGCAGAAGCCAGGCACGTGTCGCTTAAGCGTCTCGGTGGCCTTAAGTTTATCTCCCATCTGCGTGCATCGTTGAGACCCCAAATGGGGAGGCCTTTAGTTTACTAAATGGACCGTTACTGAGAACTCCGAAGTAAAATTAAAACAGAAGCGCTTATTAAAATTAAAGCACCAGGCAGGGCGCGTTGGCTCATGCCGGAGGGCGGATCACGAGGTCAGGAGATCGAGACTATCCTGGCTAACACGGTGAAATCCCATCTCTACTAAAAGTACAAAAAATTAGCCAGGCGTGGCGGCATGCGCATGTAATCCCAGCTACTCGGGAGGCTGAGGCAGGAGAATCGCTTGAACCTGGGAGGCAGAGGTTGCAGTGAGCCGAGATCGCGCCACTGCACTCCAGCCTGGGCGACAGAGCAAAACTCCACCTCAAAAAAAAAAAAAAAAAAAAAAATTAAAGCGCCAGATCTAGATTTTTTTACTAGATAAAACAATCATAACTTTGAAGATTCAGCTATTTCCCCAAAACAAGTAAGATAAAGTCTTCTGGACTCAACAGAAGTTCTGCTAAAGTTTGTATTGGATCATTCATGTGTGTGCTTGCTGAAATGAGCCCTAACTCAAACGGACTTGAAATAACTGGGAAACCTGCCCATGAATGTTTCGGCCATTTGTGCTACTTCAGCACAATTATTGCAGGGGAAAAACAATTTTCTTTTTTTTTTTTTTTCTTTTTATTGAGACGGAGCCTCGCTCTGTCGCCCAGGCTGGAGTGCAGCGGCGTGATCTCGGCTCACTGCAAGCGCCACCTCCCAGATTCAAGCGATTCTCTTGCCTCAGCCTCCCGAGTAGCTGGGTTCACTGGCGCCCGTCACCACCTCCAGCTGAGTTTTGTATTTTTAGTAGAGACAGGGTTTCGCCACGTTAGGCTGGTCTCAAACTCCTGACCTCAAGTGATCCACCCGCCTCAGCCTCCCAAAGTGCTGAGATTACAGTCGTGCGTCACCGCGCCAGGCCAACAATTTTCTTTACGCCCAAATGTTTGATACACTGACTGCTCCTCTGCTTCGATTGCGTAGATCAGTGATGGCTCTTGTCTCATTAGCTCATTGTTTTAGAAACCTGTTTGGAGCTGGAATGGTTGATAAATTTATTCCAAAATTTGTAGCATAAAGATTTACTTATGCTGTCTTGCTAATAGTCTGTCCGCTCTGTTTCTGATAGGGATCCCTACATCACTAATTTGAATACAAAGGTAAAGCATTTCTCAGATAAGAATTTAGTTTCAAGTCTGTGGTTTTCGTTCCTTTTTTTTTTCTTCTTTTTTGAGATGGAGTCTCGCTCTGTCGCCCAGGCTGGCATCCAGTGGCAGGATCTTGGCTCACTGCAACCTTCGCTTCCCGGGTTCAAACACTTCTCCTGCCTCAGCCTGTGGAGTAGCTGGACGACAAGAGCACACCTCCATCTCAAAAAAAAAAGAGAAGAAAAATTGACTAATACTAATATAAAATATTTTATCTGACTAGTGACATTGAAAAAGGAAAATGCAAAATTTTCATAAATTGCTCACAACTCCTAATTTTCCGAGGCCAAAAACCACCTTTTTCAAGGCCCAGTTAGAAAGTAATTATTGTCCAGGCACGGTGGCTCATGCCTTTAATCCCAGCACTTTGGGAGGCTGAGGCGGGCGGATCACCTGAGGTCAGGAGTTCAAGACCAGCCTGGCCAACATGGTGAAACCCTGTCTCTACCAAAAATACAAAAAATTAGTCGGGCGTGGTGGCACGTGCTTGTAATCCCAGCTCCTTGGGAGGATGAGGCCGAATCACTTGAACCCGGGAGGCAGAGGTTGCAGCGAGCCTAGATTGCACCACTACACTCCAGCTTGGGCGACAGAGTGAGACTCTGTCTCAAAAAAAGAAAGTAATTATTTACCTAATCTATCCACTTCTTCCTGTCGGGCCAAGGGTTAAAGGAGAATTGTACTAATCATTGCCTTTAGCCTAAACAGCATGCTTAGTAAAATAAAGACTTAGGTCTTTGAATCACTGCAACCTCTGCCTCCCAGGTTCAAGTGATTCTCCTGCCTCAGCCTCCAGGGTAGCTGGGATTATAGGTGCCCGCCACCATACCCGGCCAATTTTTTGTATTTTAGTAGAGACGGGGTTTCACCATGTTGGCCAGGGTGGTCTTGAACTCCTGATCTCAGGTGATCTGCCTGCCTCGGCCTCCCAAAGTGCTGGGATTACAGGCGAGAGCCACTGCTGTTGGCCAGGACTGAGGGGTAACATTACCTGTAATGTTGCCGTCTCCCTCTAAACTTGGGGCCAACAATTTTCTTTACACCCAAATGTTTGAGACACTAACTGCTCCTTGTTAAGGAGAATTGTACTAATTACAATTAGTAATTGCTCGGTTGCTAAAATGAGGGTCACAGCAGCCTTACTCCTAAAATTATCTTCACAGGTAGGCAAGATGGCAAGGTCAAAGAAGGTAGTCTCAGGTGGTGTTTATAGTTGTCCAGTGCTTACTTTGAAAAGGTGTTTTAGCTTCAAACTGCTCATAATTGGCATATAACCGGCGATTTGTAGCAGAGTGAGAGAATTAAGTGTTAAAGACAAATAACTATATACTATCTATTTTCCTCAGAATCCTCTTAATAAACTTTAAAAAATCACGTCATTCTGCAACTTTTTTTTTTTTTTTTTGGAGATGAAGTTTCGCTAGTCGCCCAGGCAATGGTGCAATCTCGGCTCACTGGAATCTCCGCCTCCCAGGTTCAAGTGATTCTCCTGCCTCAGCCTCCCAAGTAGCTAGGATTATAGGCGTGTACCACTACACCTGGCTAATTTTTGTATTTTTAGTAGGGACTTGGTTTCACCATGCTGGCCAGGCTGGTCTTGACCTCCTTACGTCAGGTGATCCGCCTGCCTTGGCCTCCCAAAGTGCTGGGATTGCAGGCATGAGCCACTGTGCCCGGCCTGCAACATGATAATTTAAGGGGAAAAATATATATATTTTTCTCCCAAAGTGTTGAGATTACAGGCATGAGCCACCACGCCCAGGGATTTTTTTTGTTTGTTTTTTTTGAGACTGAGTCTTGCTCTGTTGCTTAGGCTGGAGTGCAGTGGCGTGATCTCAGCTCACTGCAACCTCTGCCTCCTGGGTTCAAGCAATTCTCATGCCTCAGCTTCCCAAGTCGCTGGCATTACAGGAGTGTGCCACCACACCTGGCTAATTTTTGTATTTTTTTAGTAGAGATGTGGTTTCACTATGCTGGCCAGGCTGGTCTCAAACCCCGGACCTCAGGTGATCCACCCGCCTCGGCCTCCCAAAGTGCTGGGATTACACGCATGAGTCACTGTGCCTGGCCTGCGACATGATAATTTAAGGAAAAAAAAAATTATTTCATTCCTTCAGCTTTTGAGTGCTTGCTATGTGGCAAGCACTGTATTTAAAATTGGGAAAACAAATGAAAATAAGATAAACCTTGCTGTTTCTTGGTGGGTACACAGCCTACTTCCTGGGGAGACTGACAGATGATCTCTAGTATGTTCAGCACCGTGTGTGTGCTGGGGGATAGTGGTACAGGGTGCCGTAAGAGCATGTTGGCTGGCCTAAGAACCTAGACTTGGTTAGACAAGCCTTTGGGCAGGAACGGACTTCTGAATCTAGACCGGAAGTAGTTAGTAAAGATGGTAGGGAGAGTCTTTCAGTCAAAACACAGTGTACACATCTTAAACTTTCTTACCTGAACGTCAGAGTGACCTGAAACATTCAGTTCTTTGAAGTGGAATGAAGCAAAATAAATTTCTTAGTGACACATTTTTTGACTTCTTCCACTGAAGGGGTATGAACTTTAGAAAGTTTCATAATTAAGGGGAAAAGAAAGCAATATTGAATTATATACTTGGCTAGGCACGGTGGCTCACACACTATTATCCCAGCACTGTGAGAGGTTGAGGTGGGAGGATCATGAGCTCAGGAATTTGAGACCAGTCTGGACAACATAGACCCCCCCATCTCTACAAAAATAAAAAATAAAAATAATAATTATACACTCTACTTACGTTGTGCTGCGTATCAGAGCTGTAACCAAAGCAATTGAATGCTGTTTTAAGTACTACTATCCTTTGGGTAAGGGGTAAAATGAGCCAGTGAGGCCTCTTTAAAACAGTATTTGAGTTAACCATTTTTCTATGAACTTACGTTGCATTGTTTTTAGAAAAATACTTGGTGTCAGAATATGAACTGTATTTAATATAGCATATGCTTTTTAAAAAATATTATTCTCTAAGGCAAGTACTTTTAACTTTATATCCTAAATAACTCTTTTTACTCTTGAACATTGGCCGGTCCTTCTTTCAGGATTCCCTGAATCGTTTGACCGTATCTTTAGAGAAGTGCTCAGTAAGTCGAGGGCTGAACCTGTCCAGTGAGTGGTGAGCAGAGCTTGATTCTCCACCAACCCATGGCTTAGCTCTGAGAAGACTGTTGAGTTGTGATCTTAATTTTCTTCTTTAAGCGATGGTAGTGCTATCTTCAAGGTTAGGCTTGAATTTGATTAAAGTAGAATTTTAAGAACTTAGTCAAATTATAGTTGTTCCAGGAGGTCAGTTTCATTCCTGTAAAATTTTACTTTGTAACCCAAGCTGCACTGAAGCTCTCTTAGGTCAACTCTGCCTAAAGAGGCACCTGATTATTACTGTTATTTTTTTTTTTAGGTTAAATCATTTCTTATATGAGCCATCTTTATGCTGCCTCCCTAAACCTCATCACCCCAAATTTGTCTTCAGAGGCACAGATTTTTTTTTCTGCAAGACAGACCAGTAATAGTTAAGTATACATTTGAAATATGCTCCAAAATTTTCTTTTGTGATTTAGGCTAAGTAATGTTAAAGCAGATAATCCAATCTCCAAAAGATGCACAAGGTGTTCAGATGAAGCCATCTTTGCTTAAATGGTACTGCTGTTTAAATGCGTCATCTCTATACATGATCTTCATTCTTTCCTGAGCCATGCACTATTTAAAGGTAGTGTCAACAGGTCAAACAGAAATTCTGGGAAAGTCTTTTGAAAGCAATGGTAATGAAAAGTGCTTCTTAAGAAGTAATGCTACTGCTTTTCTGAAATGTTGGTCTTCTGTTTTAGTGCGTAAATTCACAGAGAAACACGAATGGGTAACAACAGAAAATGGCATTGGAACAGTGGGAATCAGCAATTTTGCACAGGTATTGGATTATATTGAAATATTTGTCCCAGTGTGCTCTTGCATGATTTGCTTTATCTCTACCTTTTTAAAAGTGTTTAGGCTGCGTGAGGTGGCTCATGCCTGTAATCCCAACACTTTGGGAGGCTGAGGCAGGAGGATTGCTTGAGGCCAGGAGTTCAAGACCAGCCTGGTCAACAAAGTGAGACCCCGTCTCTACCAAAAGTTAAAAAAAAAAATTAGCCTGGCATGGTTGCTCATGCCTGTGGTCCCAGCTACTCAGGAGGCTAAGGCAGGAGGGTCGCTGGAGCCCAGGAGGTTGAGGCTGCAGTGAACCATGATCATGTCACTGCAAAATACAAAAATTAGCTGGTCTTGGTGGTGCACACCTGTAATCCCAGCTCGTCAGGAGGCTGAGACAGAAGAATCACTTGAACCTGGGAGGCAGAAGTTGCAGTAAGCCGAGATTGCACCACTACACTCTAGCCTGGGTGACAGAGTGAGACTCCATCTCCAAAAAAAAAAAGAAAGAAAGAAAGTAAGAAAACCAACCAGAGTTGAATTAAGTAAAACATAATTTAGTTAGGGCATTATGTGGTGTTTTAAGAGATGTTGCAAGCTTAACACTGAAAGTAGGAAACATGTCCTATTCAAGAAGGAAATGTGTGTGTTTTGTACTGGGCAATTAAGGAAAGAGGAAAAAGAAGAGCAGGGTGTTGCCACCATTTTGTGGGTCCAGTGATACACACGTGACCAGGAGGACGGGAAGAAAGAAAACCTCAATAGGCACAGATGACACAAAGGGAAGGCTTTTATTCAGCCCATCTTTTCTCTGTAAATTCCCCTCAATTCCATATGGCGATACTGTTTAAGAGAAAATGAGAAGCCAAATCCTAGCGTGTTCAGTGATTTTCAACTGGATGTATGTATTGGGTGAGGCGGGGAAGGGGGGATGTTAACTGATGGGAATGCACTCGTGTCACTTAATGATGGAGCTATGTTCTGATAACTGCCTCCTCGGGGATTGCGTCCTTCTGTGAGCCTCCTAGGGTGCCCTTACACACACCTAGATGGTACAGCCTATTACACACCTTGGCTGTATGGTACAGCCTTTGCTCCTGGGCTACAAACCTGTACAGCATGTTACTGTACTGAATACTGTAGGCAATCGTAACACACTTGGCCTATCAAAACACAGAAAAGGTACAGTAAAAATATGGCATAGGTTGAGCATCTCTAATCCCTGAAATACTCCAAAAATCTGAAACTTTTTGAGCACCAACGTGACTCTTAAAGAAAATGCTCATTGGAGCGTTTTGGATTCCAGAATCTTGGATGAGGAGTGCTCATGTATTAAGTATAATGCGAGTATTCCAAAATCTGAAATCCAAAACACTTCTGCTCCCAAGCATTTTGGACAAGTGATACTAACTATATTATAATTTCATGGGACCACTGTCATATATGTGGTCTGTTGTTGACCAAAATGCCATTAGGCGGCACGTGACTGTACAAAATTCCTCAGACATGTAAGATGCTTGTGTGTTGATAATCACAATTATATCTTCCTTGGCATCTCTGTATACCTACTATGAGGCCCAGTGTTGGATAGTTTTTGAGATGTTGTGTAAGATGTCGTCCTTACCTCCTAGAGTTTATTTGTGAGGGGAATTACCTACATGAGAATGACTTGCAAACATTACATGATGGCATCGGAACGGTGGGGTTGTAATTCACTTACCTGATGGAGAGACCACTTCTTTCTGGAGTCAGGGACTTCAGGGAGTACAAGGTGTGAGGACTATGATTTGTAGAATCAGTGAGCAGGATTTCAGCAAATGCTTTGGGGGCAATGGTGTACATAAAACTACAGAGGTGGAAGAACACCAAATATGTTCATGCCCAGAAGAGCTAGCAGTGTTTGCCGGGCGCAGTGGCTCACACCTGTAATCCTAGCACTTTGGAAGGCCGAGGCAAGTTGATTATCTGAGGTCAAAAGTTCAAGACCAGCTGGCCAACATGGTGAAACTGCATCTCTAGCAAAAAATTTTAAAAAATTAACCAGGCATGGTGGTGGGCACCTGTAATCCCAGCTACTTGGGAGGCTGAGGCAGGAGAATCGCTTGAACCTGGGAGGCAGAGGTTGCAGTGAGCTGAGATCAGGCCACTGCACTCCAGCCTGGGCAACAAGAGAGAAACTCTGTCTCAAAACCAAATAAAACAAAGAGCTAGCAGTCTTGTGTGGGGCAGGAGGCTTGTGTTAGGTTGCTAAAGCCTGTGAGCCAGATCTGGCTGGCGGCTGGTCTCTTGCAGCTCCTGAGTTGAGAATAGTTTTTTAAAATCATTTTATTTTACTTAGTTTTGGAGAACAGGGTCTTGCTATATTGCCAAGGCAGGTCTCAAACTCCTGGGCTCAAGCTATCCTCCCACCTCTGCCTCCCTAAGAGCTGGGATTACAGGCATGAGCCACCGCACCCAGCCATTTATTTTTATTCTTGACATGGAGTCTTGCTCTGTCGCCAAGGCTGGAGTATACAGGTGCAATCTCAACTCACTGCAACCTCTGCCTCCCAGATTTAAGTGATTCTCCTGCCTCAGCCTCCTGAGTAGCTGGGATTGCAAGTGCCTGCCACCACACCCAGCTAATTTTTGTATTTTTATTAGAGACTGGGTTTCACCATGTCAACCAGGCTGGTCTCGAACTTCTGACCTCATGTGATAACACCCACTTTGGGCCTTTCAAAGTGCTGGGATTACAGGCGTGAACTACCACACCTGACTGAGAGTAGTTTTTACATGTTTAAAGGATTTTAAGGAAAACTCAAGAATGTAGCCCCTCCAGTATAAAATATATACTAAATCTTCATTATAGGGGATTCAGTGTTTGGCTTATTCTGTTTACTGGAGGGTTTAGTTATAACTTCTTAGAGATTTTTGGTTTTGTCTTGTTTTATTTAGGAAGCGTTGGGAGATGTTGTTTATTGTAGTCTCCCTGAAGTTGGGACAAAATTGAACAAACAAGGTGAGTGTTCTTAGGATCTTAGAATGATCCATGCCATGAATTTTGTTTACATTGAATAGTAATTTGTTTGTACCCTGGATTAATTAGAGTGCTTTTTTTTTTTTGGAGACAGTCTTGCTTTGTCACCCAGGCTGGAGTGCAGTGGCACCATCTCGGCCCACTGTAACCTCTGCCTCCTGGGTTAAAGCGATTCTTGTGTCTCAGGCACGTGCCACCACGCCCAGCTAATTTTTGTATTGTAGAGACAGAGTTTCCCCATGTTGGCAAGGCTGGTCTCGAACTCCTGACCTCGAGTGATCCGCCCGCCTTGGCCTCCCAAAATGCTGAGATTACAAGTGTGAGCCACCGTGCCCAGCCAATTAGAGTGCTTTTGACCCAAGTATTAGGTTGGTGTAAAAGTAATTGCTACTCAGAGGCTGAGACAGGAGAATTGCTGGAACTTGGGAGGCGGAGGTTGCAGTGAGCCGAGATCCCATCACTGTACTCCAGCCTGGGCAACAGAGCAAGACTCCGTTTTAAAAAAAAGAGAGAAAAAAAGTCTATTAATATCGATATGTTAGATAATATCCTTAAACTAATGAATACCCTTTTAAGACATTCTGCTAAAGGTAGTTTTTTAACTTGATGTAAAATCTACATACAGTGAAATGCATGGACCAGAAGTGTACAATTCAGTGAGTTTTAACAAATGTATACACTTAAATAAACCTTCCTAGTCAAATAGATGACCTCTTCTCTCGTTTCTACACCATAGGTTTATTTTGCCTATTCTTTATATGAAAGGAATCACACAGTGTGTGTTACGTTTGGCTGCTTTTGGGATTTACCAAGCTTCTTGAATCTGTAGATTGAATTTTTTTTCGATTAAATTTGGAGACTTCTTATTTTAGTCATGATTTCTTTCTCTTCCCACTTCATTCCTTTTTCCTTCTCTGATTTGAGACATGTTCGTCATATCACTTGATATTGTCCTATAGGGTCCCTAAGACTGTTAACTTTTCAGCCTTTTTTAAACTGTTCTTTTTTTTTTCTTCTTATTTTTTTGAGACGGAGTCTTGCTCTGTTGCCCAGGCTGGAATGCGATGGTGCGACATTGGCTCACTGCAACCTCCGCCTCCTAGGTTCAAGCAATTCTCCTTTTTCAGCCACCCAAGTAGCTGGGAGTACAGGCATGCACAACCACACCAGGCTAATTTTTTAAATTAATTAATTTATTTATTTCGAGGTTTTGGTAGAGGCGGGGTTTCACCATGTTGGCCAGGCTGGTCTTGAACTCGTGACCTCAAGTGATCTACCCGCCTTGGCTTCCCAAAGTGTTGGGATTACAAGCATGAGCCGCCGTTCCTGGCCAGTAGTTCAGAGTTCATAATTGTGTTTTTTTTGTTTTTTTTTTTTTTTTTTTTTTTTTTTTTTTTTTTTTTTTTTTTTTTTTTTTTTTGAGACGGAGTCTCGCTCTGTCGCCCAGGCCGGACTGCGGACTGCAGTGGCGCAATCTCGGCTCACTGCAAGCTCCGCTTCCCGGGTTCACGCCATTCTCCTGCCTCAGCCTCCCGAGTAGCTGGGACTACAGGCGCCCGCCACCGCGCCCGGCTAATTTTTTGTATTTTTAGTAGAGACGGGGTTTCACCTTGTTAGCCAGGATGGTCTCGATCTCCTGACCTCATGATCCACCCGCCTCGGCCTCCCAAAGTGCTGGGATTACAGGCGTGAGCCACCGCGCCCGGCCGTTTTTTTTGTTTTTGAGACGGAGTCTCACACTGTCACCAAGGCTGGACTGCAATGGCATGGTCTCGGCTCACTGCAACCTCCACCTCCCGGGTTCAAGTGATTCTCCTGCCTCAGTCTCCCAAGTAGCTGGGATTATAGGCGCCCACCACCACGCCCGGCTAATTTTTTTGTATTTTAGTAGAGACCATGTTGGCTAGGCTGGTTTCAAACTACTGACCTCAGGTGATCTTCCTGCCTTGGTCTTCCAAAGTGCTGGAATTACAGGCATGAGCCACCACGCCTGGCCCAGAGCTTATAATTGTTATCTGATACAGGGTACTTCACTGTCACTGGAACATTCTAAAGTTTTCATTTTGTTTTTTTCTGAGCCACAGCTAAGTTGCAAGAACATGGAGTTTTACTGAACCTACACACATCTGGCATTCAGGCACATCACCATTTGTTATTTACTGTGTCCAGGACACACAGATAGGTCCACTTTATTGAGACAATATATACCCTTCTCGTGGTTATTATAGCCTGACAAAACTTATGGTTTTATTTTTAATTAAAGAAATGTAGGCCAGGCACGGTGGCTCACGGTTATAATCCCAGCACTTTGGGAGGCTGAGGCGGGTTGATCACGAGGTCAGGAGTTCAAGACCAGCTTGGCCAACACAGTGAAACGCTGTCTCTACTAAAAATACAAAAATTAGCTGGGCGTGGTGGTGCGCGCCTGTAATCCTAGCTACTTGGGAGGCTGAGGCAGGAGAATGGCTTGAACCCGGGAGGCAGAGGTGGCAGTGAGCCTAGAACACACCATTGTACTGTAGCCTGGTGACAGAGCGAGACTCCGTCTCAAAAAAAAAAAAAAAAAAGAGCCAGGTGCAGTGGCTTATGCCTATAATCCCAGCACTTTGGGAGGCCGAGGCGGGCGGATCACGGCATCAGGAGATTGAGACCATCCTAGCTAACACAGTGAAACCCCGTCTCTACTACAAATACAAAAAATTAGACGGGCGTGGTGGCAGGTGGGCGCCTGTAGTCCCAGCTACTCGGGAGGCTGAGGCAGGAGAATGGCATGAACCCTTGGGAGGTGGAGCTTGCAGTGACGTGAGATTGCGCCACTGCACTCCAGCCTGGGCAACAGAGCGAGACTCCATCTCAAAAAAAAAAAAAAAAGAAATTTGGAATTTTAAAATCATAGCTGTATGACAGGAATCTACTTTTTCGTATTTTATGTTTTCAAGTAACTGACTTTTAACATTTCATGTTTTCTTTAATTTTTTTTCCACTTAGATGAGTTTGGTGCTTTGGAAAGTGTGAAAGCTGCTAGTGAACTCTATTCTCCTTTATCAGGAGAAGTAACTGAAATTAATGAAGCTCTTGCAGAAAATCCAGGACTTGTAAACAAATCTTGTTATGAAGATGGTAAGCTGTTGCTAGAAATTTCTCAAGGAATTACTACTACAGTAAATATTTTATCTAGAATTTAAAGCAAGTTTAGCTGATTGTGACTTCATCTTTTTCTACTTCTTGGTACTAAATAGAGATGTTCTGCTTTAAAAGAAAAACAGAGGTTAGTTGAATACTTAAAGTTATGTTTAAGATTTCTGGCTAGGCGCAGTGGCTCGCGCCTGTGATCCCAGCACTTTGGGAGGCCAAGGTGGGTGGATTGCTTTAGTCCAGGAGTTGGAGACCAGCCTGGGCAACATGGTGAAACTCTGTCTCTATAGAAATACAAAAATTAGCTGGCTGTGGTGGAATGTGCCTGTAGTCTCAGTTACTAGGGAGGCTGAGGTGGGAGAATTGCTTGAACCTGGGAGGTCAAGGCTGCAGTCTATAGTGAGCCAAGATCGCACCACTCCACTCCAGCCTGAGTGACAGAGCGAGACCTTCTCAAAAAAAGAAAAAAAAATCTCTGATGATAAAAGCATTACCTTATTTTGCAGTTTCTTGATATCAGTTGTAGATTCTTTGGTTTTGGTGTAAACATCTGCAAAGTATTTACTTTTTCAGACATAAAGCAGCCACTCATATTGTGTGACATGGGAGGTAAAAAAATATATATTTTGCATTAATTTTTGGTTTTCTCACATTTTCACCCTTATAATCTAATCAGGTAAGCTAACAGCAATTTTCTCTATTTTGTAGATGAATAGAGGCTCCAAAGGATTTATCTGTCAGGGTCTCATGGCTGATAAATGGCAAAGCTAGGATTAGGTTGTAGTTCTCTTTTGTCTGTCACCTAGCCCTTCTAATTACTACTGCTTTCTAATCCCGTTAACCTCAGTAGTTAGTGTTCCATTTGTTAAAGACATACCTGGTCTTGTGTATTTGGATCATATATTTAAGGACTTATTTTTATTATTTTTTTGAGACAGAGTCTCCCTCTGTCGCCCAGGCTGGAGTGCAGTGGCGTGATCTCGGTGCACTGCAACCTCCCCTTCTCGGGTTCAAGCACTTCTTCTGCCTCAGCTTCCCAGTAGCTGGGATCAAGGGCAACTGCCACCACGCCCAGCTAATTTTTGTGGTTTTGGTAGAGATGGGGTTCCACTATGTTGGCCAGGCTGGTCTAGAGCTCCTAGCCTCAAGTGATTTGCTTGCCTTCGCTTCCCAAAGTACTGGGATTACAGGCATGAGCCACCGTGCCCGGCCCTTAAAGATTTAAATGTCATTTTCTGATGCTTATTACAACCTAAGAGTTCTTAATTTATTATGGTGGAATCTATTCTAGCCATAATTATTTTCATTTGTTATATACAAGTATTTTAATTCTTAAGGCTAAAATTTAAAGTTCTATGAACAAATAATGTATGGTTTTTGTAAAGAATACAAGATTGAGGCGCTCAGAAATTTATTTTACGTTTTGGATGAATTTGACTTTTTAAAAAGTTAATGTGGAATATAAGGTTGTCTTTTGGTTGCAGGTTGGCTGATCAAGATGACACTGAGTAACCCTTCAGAACTAGATGAACTTATGAGTGAAGAAGCATATGAGAAATACATAAAATCTATTGAGGAGTGAAAATGGAACTCCTAAATAAACTAGTATGAAATAACGCAAGCCAGCAGAGTTGTCTTAAATTAGTGGTGGATAGAAGACTTAGAATAGAAACTTTTAGTATTACCGATGGGGAAAAAAAAACTACTGTTAACACTGCTAATGAAAGAAAATGCCCTTTAACTTTCTAATGATTATAGATAAATATAATATGCGTCTTTTTCACAATATCCTATGATTTTTAGACTAGGCTCTAGTGTTCAGAATTCATGAAATTATCCATGGTAAAAACTAGTTATAAAAATTACATAATTCAAAGATAACATTGTTATTCTTAAGCCTTATATAATATTGTAACTTGCATGTATCCATACCTGGATTTGGGATGAAATACTTAATGATCTTTCCATTGGAAATAACTGGAAGTGAAGAGGTTTTGTTGCTTGTACAGTGTCAGATGAGGAACACCACTATCTTAATTTTGCGATACACTGCATTTGCTGGTGCTATTTTTATACAGTGAAGCAACAGCTTTGCAGCAAAATAATAAAATACTTCTTCGTTAATCATGTTTGTTTTGATGTTAATATTTCATTTAGTAACTCTGCTAGTATTTGTGAAAGTGCTAACTTTAACTTACGGAAAGTTACTTTTTAAAAGGAAATTTAAGCCAGAACAATGCAAAGCTCCAAGAAAATGTTTTCTTTAGTCACAAATCTGGTTTTTCTTAAGCCAAGATCTGTCACCTTTAACATAATAAAAAATAAATCACCAACTTTGATTTTCTATCATGCGAGGTCTGAAGAAAGAAGAGGAAAGACAGAGGAAGGTGGAAGTTTTGATCAGTATAGCACATGGTGTTTTTAAGTTGTTAAACCACGTTCAGGTTTCCACTTAAGTCATGGGAATAAAAGTGGACAAGGACTGAAGCTTTATGAGCTCAGATAATGGACTCTGATAGTATTCTTTGCAGCTTAAGCATATTTAGAGTGCCAAAAGTTATTTCCAAGTAGCTAATACACAGCATACGCTAACCAACTGTAATATGCTGATAATATTGGGGTGGGGGGTCTATATGCACATGCAAATATATATATACATACACACAGAGCAAGAGGAGATAAACTCCTGTATCATTTTCTCAGTTACTAGAGGAAAAGAGAAGTATTCATATAGTACCACCTTCTGGTGGTGAATAAACAGCAAAAATAAGGACTTAGCAAAAGTAGGTAGGTAAATAACATACAAATCTTTCCTGCTCCTCAGCTGAAGAAACTTCATTCCAAGCCTCTGCCAGTAGCCATATCACTGCTGAACTATATCTTTGTACCCTTAAATCTTAAGTATTGGCCAGGTGTGGTGGCTCACGCCTGTAATCCTACCACTTTGGGAGGCTAAGGTGGGTGGATCTCTTGAGCCCAGGAGTTTGAGACCAGCCTGGGCAACATGGTGAAACCCCGTCTCTACAAAAATATAAAAATTAGCCTGGCATGGTGGCATGTGCCTCTGGTCCCAGCTATTTGGGAGTCAGGTAGAATCACTTTGTGTCTGGGAGGTCAAGGCTGCAGTGAGCCAAGATCACACCACTGTACTCCAGCCTGAGTGACAGTGAGAACGCATCTCAAAAAAAAAAAAGTATCCAAGGTATCCTGGATGATTGTCTATATTGCGTAATTGTCAATCATGTTAATTGATCTGTCTGCTTTGAAAATAGATGGGGATGAGTAATAATTACATAGATTTACCCTTTAGTTTTGAAAGTTCTCTAGACACATCGATTACTACCATCATTTCACAGGTATGAAAGGTGATAGGATAAGAAATTTGTTAAATAGTTGGGTGGTCGTGGTAATGATTTTCATATTTCCTGGTCTACTCTTAATCAGTCCCTTAGCAAATTTTACTATAAAAATATTTAAATGGGACAGGCGCGGTGGCTCACGCTTGTAATCCCAGCACTTTGGGAGGCCGAGGCAGGCGGATCACGAGGTCAGGAGATCGAGACCATCCTGGCTAACACGGTGAAACCCCGTCTCTACTCAAAATACAAAAAAATTAGCCGGGCATGGTGGCGGGCGCCTGTAGTCCCAGGTACTTGGGAGGCTGAGGCAGAAGAATGGCATGAACCCCACATGCGGAGCCTGCAGTGAGCCAAGATGATGCCATGCACTCCAGCCTGGGCAACAGAGCGAGACTCCGTCTCAAAAAAAAAAAAAAAAATTTTTAATGGGAATCTCAGGGAAGAGGGGGAGGTTGAATGTTCTAAATAAAGGTGGGAAGCAAAAGTGGCCATTCTAGAGTATGAAAGTCCGTGAGTGGTTATAGTCTCTGAAGAAGGTGGGCAGTTTTTTATTTTTCCCTTTTCCTGCCAAAGACACACATAACTTGCTCTGTAACAACCCCTCTTTTTTCAAAGAGCAGAACATTTGGCAACTTGCTCTTCCACTATTTAGAACACAGAGCCAAATCCACTGTCATTGATGTCACAGTGCTGCCAAAAATACAGGCTTTGAATGGCCCTCCAAATTGACTGAATCCAGGGAATTTAATTTTCATGACCTCATATTCCTTTTGAATGGTTTTGGCATTAGTAGAGCAGATTAATAGAAGTTTTGAAGAAAGCTTTCTAGTAACTAAAACTTGAGAAACTGAATAGGTTACCCTGCAAGTGTTAAATTTTTTTTCTGCTATCACCTCCCAGGTAGTTTTGTCGTTAGCTTTAGGTTTTGTTTTGTTTTTTGTTTTGTTTGAGACGGAGTCTCGCTCTTTTGCCCAGGCCCTCCACCTCCCGGATTCAGGCAATTCTCCTGCCTCAGCCTCCAGGGTAGCTGGGAATACAGGCACCCGGACCACGACCATGCCCAGCTAATTTTTGTATTTTTAGTAAAGATGGGGTTTCGACATGTTGGCCAGGCTGGTCTCAAACTCCTGACCTCAGATGATCCACCCGCCTCGGCCTCCCAAAGTGCTGGGATTACAGGTGTGAGCCACCGCGCCTGGCCAGTTTTAGGTTTTAATAAACCACTAGGGAGCTCTGCATGGGCATACTACTATGAAAATGAGGCTGGCCATTCAGATCAGTTCCTCAGCAAATCAGAATTTCTGAATTTTTTCAATTTCTTTTCTTTTTCTTTTTTTTTTTTTTTTTTTTTTTTTGAGATGGAGTCTGGCTCTGTCGCCCAGGCTGGAGTGCAGTGGCGCGATCTCGGCTCACTGCAAGCTCCGCCTCCCGGGTTCACGCCATTCTCCTGCCTCAGCCTCCCGAGTAGCTGGGACTACAGGCGCCTGCCACCTCGCCCGGCTAATTTTTTGCATTTTTAGTAGAGACGGCCTTTCACTGAGTTAGCCAGGATGGTCTCGATCTCCTGACCTCGTGATCCATCCGCCTCGGCCTCCCAAAGTGCTGGGATTACAGGCGTGAGCCACCGCGCCCAGCTGCTGAATTTTTCCAATTTCTATAGTTTTTCTGGGGCTACTAAAAAGAGCACAGTTTAAAAAATTATGCTAACTACAAGCGTGTCTTTTTTACTGTGTTCTTTCAGACCAAATCACACCTTCCTTCCCATACTTAAAGAGGTGCCTTTCTTTACACCAGGATTAAATTCCTCTTTCTTCCCTGCAACAGGCCTTTCCTGCCGCCCAGGCTGGAGTGCAATGGTGCGATCTTGGCTCACTGCAACCTCCACCTCACGGGTTCAGGTGATTCTCCCACCTCAGCCTCCTGAGTAGCTGGGATTACAGGCGTCCATCACCACACCCGGCTAATTTTTGTATTAGGGTTTTGAAATGGGGTTTCGCCATGTTGGCTGGGCTGGTCTTGAACTTCTGACCTCAAGTGATTGACCCGCCTCAGCCTCCCAAAGTGCTGGGATTACAGGTGTGAGCCACCGCACCCACCCATCTCCCTTTAATTTTAAAAAATAGATATGGGGTCTTGTGACACTTCCCAAGCTGGTCTCAAGTGATTCTCCTGCCTTAGCCTCTCCTGTGAGTAACTGGTATTACAGACGCAAGCCACCACTCCTGGCTTTTTTTCTTTAAAATACATTTTATGTGTTAGAGGAAGTTTACAGTCACAGCAAAATTGAGGAGAAGGTACAGTTCTGTACGCTTCCATTCTCCGTTTTTGCAAAGTGGGATCTTACTATAAGTAGAGTTTCTGGTATCTTGACTCAATTCCTATGTTGACTTTTTATAAACATAACTAGCCAAACCCTTGTCCCTTCATGTTTCCACTCAATCATGCTATCGGGCTTTTACCTGCTAAATGCAGGAATAGTTAGTGTGAAGGAAGTCAGGTTCTAGATCCTCCAACTTCCCCATGTACTTGCCGTTAGGTTATTTAATTAATATTCATTTAGCAAATCTTAGTTAAGACTTTTGGTATACTTCCCAGAAACTTTTTTCTAATATGCAAGGTCTTGCACTGTTTCCCAGGCTGGAGTGCAGTGACACAATCATAGCTTACTGCAACCTTCAACTCCTGGGCTCAAGGGAGCCTCCTGCCTCAGCTGGGATTCCAGGTGTGAGCCACGGTGCCCAGCTGTTTTCAATAGATCTGAAGGAAGACCAAAACAAATTGTCAACTGATAAAACATTTAAATGTTTTTGGTTAATACTTACTAGCTTGAGATACAATAAAACCCCTTTTATTTGCATCTTCCTATTTATGTGAACAAGGTACCTAAGCTTACACGTATGAAAAAAGTTGGAATAGAATTATAGCTGAATCCGTCTCATTGGAGCAATCACAGTGCTAGAGAACTTAGATACCAAAATTTTTTTTGAGACTTGAGTTTTGCTCTCCAGGCTGGAGTGCAGTGGTGCCATCACAGCTCACTGCAACCTCCGCCACCCGGGTTCGAGCCAGTCTCCTGCCTCAGTTTCCCAAATAGCTGAGATTACAGGCGCCCGCCACCACACCCGGCGAATTTTTGTATTTTTAGTAGAGACACGGTTTCGCCATGTTGACCAGGCTAGTTTCGAACTCCTGATCTCAGGTGATACACCCACCTCGGCCTCCCAAGTGCTGGGATTACAGGCGTGAGCCACCGCGCCTGGCCTAGATACCGGTTTTCTACAGCAGAAATAGTCACACTTTCTAAAGCAGAAGGGCTTTGGAGTCAGACCCGAGCTGGAGTGGGGGATGCTTTGCGATCTCTCTTCAGCAAGCTGTTGTTTTAGGGACGTGGGGCCACCTTCCTTTATTTGTATAAAAGATGCCACTGCCCACTTAAGAGCTGTGCTGCTCCGGGCCAGCAGTTCAGCGAGTGCCCGTCGGCCTGGTGCTGTCGGTCACGTAAGTGGGCTCTTTGAGGCTCACAACGCGTCCTCCCTGGACGTTCTGGGCCTGTTAAGTTTGTGTCCGTGGGAAACGCTCACGGCGGTTCCCCAGAGGGCCGAGGGAGAAAAGTGAGGACGTTTCTGGCCGCCTGGCATCTGCTAAATATCCTAGCAGGCACAAGGGCTCCCCAACGGGACTCGCCGACCCGAGAGCCCGGGTGGGCCTCAAGCCCCGCCATCTGAGACCCTCCGTCGCTGGCCCTTCCGGCGGCAGCGCCCGGAGCGGATAGGAGATGCCACGAACCGCCTCGCCAGTGCTAGGCTTTGTTGGGCTACGTCACTTCCGCCGCGGTCCCGCCCCCAGCGTGGTCGTAACCCAAGGCAACGGCCCATCCGGCAGCGACCTGAGTAGCTCTTGCCAGTAGGCCGGGACTAGCTGTCTCGGGGCCTTCCATCCGCTTGGCCCCACAGGTAGGTGTGAGCGGCCATTTCTCCACCCCTGGGGCAAGGCCCGGGACCACTCCAAAGGCGACAGAGCGAGAGTCCCTGCCTCGTTCGAAAGGAAGCGAGAGGGAGCGAAAGGCAGAGGCACTATGTGCCGGGGCTTCCCCAGAGCGGGCGGGGTCTGGGGAGGGGCGGGGCCTGAGGAGGATCCGTTGGGAGCGGAACCCTTTAAGGGTGGGTAGACGGAGGACGGGGAGGAATTCGAACGGGCAATCCAGAACGCTTTTCTGAATGGGATAGTTTGAAAGAAGGGCAGGCGTCTTTGTGGCACGGTAGGAACTGGCGGAGGAAGGGGAAGAGCTAGATGAGGAAAAAAGGCTTATGGCATAAAGGGAGGAGCCTGATAGAGAAAGGGGTGTGGCCTGCAGGAAGGGGCGGGGCTAGATGAAGAGGTGGAGCCGAGCGTGATGCGCCTGGGCTTTAGGGGTGGCAGGTGGAGCGCGTGTGTTTGATGACTTGCGCTTTGCTGTGGACTGTAAGCTGTGTGAGAGTAGAGAAGACGGATGCTGCTTTAGCTTTTTATTCTCAGTGCTAGGTACTTAGTGAATTCATTAATGTGAGTTGAAAAAGGGGAAGAGTTTGAGACTGAGATTGGAATAGATGTGGTCTGATCGGGAGGGATGGTGTAGAAACTGCGCTCCTTGGCATCATTCTGTGAAATACTTGAGGTTCCTGTGACCTGTAGGCATATAATAAGCAGAAGGCACATATAATTAACAAGGAGGATAAAATTTATACTCTTGGAAATATGAACAAATTGTGCAAGTTGGGTGGCGCGGGTGCTTAACTTTCAGACAAAGGTTCAGCTCCTTCCAGTGTGTTTCTAAATGCGACTCCCAACTCATTTTCCTGTAGAAACTGTGTCACAAATGATCAGGATGCCCAGGTCAGTCTTCAGGACCTATTTAACTGGTTCATGTAAGTGAAGATTGGTCCTGTATTAAGAAACTTAACTTCTGCCATGGCTAACAATATTTCTAATGATTATTCCTTCATTCAGCATAGGTTGTTAAGGAGCCGACCCACAGGAAC
Source organism: Homo sapiens (assembly GCF_000001405.40). NCBI lineage: Eukaryota > Metazoa > Chordata > Mammalia > Primates > Hominidae > Homo > Homo sapiens. The sequence goes on along the minus strand of NC_000016.10, from coordinate 81,076,070 downwards.
GTTCATTCAAATTCCAAATGAGGCTGCCAGAAACTCATCTTTCCCTGGTTGGAATTTAAGATTCCTTTAAACCTATAGCTTGTAGGAAGATGAGGGTGTGTGGCACAGTGGAGAGCCAATGAGAAGTTGAGGCAAGGTGATAAGGAGTTTTGAGAGATTACCATCTATCTGCTTTTGACATAAACAGCTTGCGTTTGACTTAATACCCTGGGCCTTGGTTTCTCCTGGTCCTTCAACATTCCCCTGCCCTTAATGGATTAGGAATCTGTCAACCAGGTATAGGAAGCTACGGTAAGATATTTGTAATCTGACTATATAGACAGACTGGCAAACATGTGGCACACTCTATTTTCTGGCAGACATAATTAATCAACCCCAGAAATTTTTCCTGCTATAGTCAGGTCATAAGATCCTTCTCAATACAACACTCTAGGTAGCCACTAGTTTGGAGTTGACAATTCAGAATTTTCTTTGTTTTGTTTTGAGACAGTCTCACCCTGTTACCCAGGTTGGAGTGTAGTGGTGCAATCTCGGCTTACTGCAACCTCTGCCTCTCGGGTTCAAGCGATTCTCCTGCCTCTGCCTTCCAAGTGGCTGGGACTACAGGCGTGAGCCACCATGCCTGGCTAATTTTTGTATTTTCGGTAAAGATGGGGTTTCATCATATTGGCCAGCCTGGTCTTGAACTCCTGACATCAAGTGATCCACCGGCCTCGGCCTCCCAAAGTGCTGGGATTATTGGTGTGAGCTACCGTGCTTGGCCAGAATGTATTCTTTATCCCTGATCTAGGCAATAGGTGTTAAAAAAAAAAGAGAGAGAGAGAGAGACATCAACTTCTATAACTCTTGGTAGGTTCCTCTAAAAAAAAAGACTATCTAAATGGATGGATCTGGATTCCTGTAGAAAAGATTTAGAAACATAGGCCAGGTCATTGTATAGGGAGTAAGATGAAGGTGAATTTGCAGCTAGTTGAATAATTAGCAAATGTCCAAGTGAAAGGGATACCCAGAGGGCATTATCCTTTACCCATCCTTCTCAACGTCTTTATCCGTGATGTAGATGGAGATACAGAAGGCATCCTCATCAAATTAATGGAGTCATCAAGCAAGAAGGAATGGTCAAACTGTGGGAAGTCAGAGTTAGGTTGCGAACTGTCTACGCAGGTTTAATAATGGTCCAAAAACAAAAGGGGAAATTTTACAAGGATCTGATGCATTTGGAGTCTACATCTAAGTAAAACAAAAAGAATAAAGAAAAAGAAAAGAAAATCAACAGCATGGTTACAGAGTAAAGAAGACAGGAATTTTTAGCCATTCATGTGAAAAAAAAAAAAATCTGGAAGTTGTAGTTCACCTCAAGCTCAGTGTTAATCAAGATTGAGTTATAGGGTTGGGTGTGGTGGCTCATGCCTGTAATCCCAACACTTTGGGAGGCTGAGGCGGGCGGATCACGAGGTCAAGAGATCGAGACCATCCTAGCCAACATGGTGAAACCCTGTCTCTACTAAAAATACAAAAATTAGCTGGGCGTGATGGCGCGCATCTGTAGTCCCAGCTACTCAGGAGGCTGAGGCAGGAGAATCTCATGAACCCAAGAGGCAGAGGTTGCAGGGAGCTGAGATCATACCACTGTACTCCAGCCTGGCAACAGAGCGAGACTCTGTCTAAAAAAAAAAGAAAGAAAAAAGATTGAGTTACACTTTTAAAAAAATATAGTAACTTTGTTTAATTAATAGATGTAGATTTCAGATCAAAAGGAGTCAGATTTCAAAGCAGACACTTCTAGTCAGACCACTTTTGAGGTATTGCTTTCAGTTCCAGGCACCACATTTTAAGAGACAGGTAATTTTGCATTCTTAAGATGATGAGGAACTTGAGATTTGTATCTGACAAAATGATAGCTGTCTTCAGATGTTTTCAGATTTGCATTTGAGAAGAATACCAAGAACTGAGGAACAAAATTTGCAGGCTTGCGGATGACTTAATTTGAGATCATTCGAATCTTTAGAGCTTCCAATGGAAAGAAAAAACATTCCTGTAAAGTTACGAGCACTCAGTCGTTGAAAGTACTTAAGCAGAAGTATTTAAGCTGAATTATTATTGTATTAGTTTTCTGTTGATGCTTTGTTCTCTGTTTAAGATCTCCTAAGTCATCCAGTCTAGACTCTTATTGGAAGAACCCACTTCCAAGATCATTCAGACTGTTGGCTGAATTCAGTTTCTTGAAGTTGTAGAACTGAGATCCCTGTTTAATTCCTCACTGTAAACCAGGGTCTTTTCTCAGCTCCTAAATGCCATCCACATTCCTTGGGATGTGACCCCCACTTCATCAAAGCCAGCAACAATGCATTGAATTCCTCTTGTGCTTTGTATCTCTGACTTCTGCTGCTGCTAGCTAAGACAAGTTTGTTTTAGAAGACTACGTCATTTGATTAGGGCCACCCAGATTATCTAAAATAATATCCTATCTTCAGGTCAACTGGTTAATAACCATAATTACATCTGCAAAGTCCCTTTTACCATGTAATATAACATATTTGTGGATGTTATATTTCATCCTATTCATCCAGGGATTAGGGTGGGAAATCTTGAGGGGAGAGAATTTGTAGAATTCTGCCTACCACGTTATCTTTCAGGAACATTCTAGAAGAGCTTATTGCAGCAGGTATTTTTACCCATTTTTCTCTCCATGACCATAAATTAACCTTATATGCTATTAATTCTGCCTCTAATCAGAGTTGTATCTTAGAATTAAGCATATTTTTAGTCTTCCAAAGACATGGAGCTTGTGTTCCTGAGACTTTCAATCTCTAATAGGCACTTTTTAGCCTGAATTTATGGTACATACCAATCTGGCTTTACACAGGGTAATAACTACAGACATCTGTTCCCTTCTATAGTGGTAAAATACTTTATGTTTTATATTTTCCTATTGTGAAACAGCAACTGTATTTTCCTGTTTTACCTGAAACTAATCCTTTTCTGCTAGCATCATGTGACTTCCTATAAGGTAGCTATAATTTAGAGGACTAAATAGCTAGTTCCCTTTAGTATGTAACTCTTCATCCAGTTATTTTTTAAAGTATGTTATAATTGGCCGGGCACTTTGGGAGGCTGAGGCGGACGGATCACTTGACATCAGGAGTTGGAGACCAGCCTGGCCAACATGCCAAAACCCTGTTTCTACAAAAAAATACAAAAATTAGCCAGGCATGGTGGCGCACGCCTGTAATCCCAGCTACTCAGGAGACTGAGGCTTGAGAATTGCTTGAACCTGGGAGTCAGAGGTTGCAGTGAGCCGAGATCATGCAATTGCACTCCAGCCTGGGCAAGAGAGTGAGACTCTGTCTCAAAAACATAAAAATAAAAATAAAAAAATAAAAACTAGGGTGGGCACGGTGGCTCACGCCTATAATCCCAGCACTTTGGGAGGCTGAGACTGGCGGATCACCTGAGGTCGGGAATTTGAAACCAGCCTGACCAACATGAAGAAACTCCATCTCTACTAAAAATACAAAATTAGCCTGGCATGATGGCGCATGCCTATAATCCCAGCTACTTGGGAGGCTGAGGCAGGAGAATCACTTGAACCCAGAGGCAGAAGTTGCAGTGAGCTAAGATCGCACCATTGCACTCCAGCCTGGGCAACAAGAGTGAAACTCCATCTCAAAAAAATTAATAATAAAAAGTATGTTATAGCTAGTTTCTTTTTTCTTTTTTATTCTTTTTTTTTTTTTTTTTTGCATCAGGTATAATCATTACACGAACAACCCCTCAGAGTCAGAGTCCCACCTGGCCTTGTAATCTCAGCTCTGACACAATCTCAGTAACTGTACTTACCTGTATAGGACAGACTGGTGTAGCAACAAGCAGTTCCTCAGATCTCATGGCTGGAGTCATTAAGTTTTTTCTCATCCATGCATAGTCTGATGAGGGTTTATGGGGACATTTCTCAAAGCTGTGAGTCAAAATCTAGGCTTCTTCCATTCTGTGGTGCCGCTAACTCAACATCTGACCCCCAGGGTCATTGTGGGAGGAGAAGAGAGAACTGAAGGAGGACGTTACCTATTCACTGCCTCACCCAGGAAGTGACACACATTAGTTCCACTCACAGTCTGTTGACCAGGCTAGTCACAAGTCTCTAACCCAACTGCAACAGAGGCTGCAAAGTAGGCAAAGACAGTGGCTCTTTGGGCAGCAGTAGCTGTCTCTCACAGTGATCCCGGAACGTTCCTCACCTTCCTGCATTTTTTTTCTCATTTATAAGATGGTACCACTAATGAGTTATTCTCTTAGAGACTCGGTATATGTACCAGTTATGTTATGCATTGACTTTTTAATTTTTTTTTATTTTTGGGGTTATTTACTTATTTATTGATTTAGAGACAAGATCTCCCTCCGGGGCCCATGGGATCCCCCACTTCAGCCTCCCTAGTAGCTCTGACCACAGGCACACACCACCACGCCTGGCCATTAAAAAAAATTTTCTAGTGATGGGGTATCTCTGTGTTGCCCTGGCTGTTGTCAAATTCTTGAGCTCAAGTGATCCTCCTGCCTCAACCTCCCAAAGTGCTGAGATTACAGGCGTGAGCCACTGCAGCAGCCTGCACTGACTTTTCTTTTCCCAGCATTTGTGTCTTAATTGAAACCAGTGTTTCTTTGTCTTGGAAGTGTTCATTTCCAATATAGTGACTTCTCTTCCCCTGCAGCGATTAGATTTTCTTCTCTGGCATTTAGCCTTGATCACAGATAGTTGGTCGCTCTTATTGGTTAGTGATAACCTGCCACGTTTGACTGGGCCACTTGGAGCTTCCCCATGACACTGGGAGTAGAGCTTTGGCATTCTGAATACACTGATCTCTAGTGAGGAGCAGTCATATCAGGAACCAGGTAGGAATGTTCTTTTCATTCTTAGTGGGGCTGTACAGAGTCTCACGAGGTCAGAACAAATATAACTCACCATATCGCCGCTGTCTGATTGGCACTGGATTCCCAGGAACAAGTATGTCCACACCATATAGTGAAAAGAAGTACACATGGACTCTGGAGTCGGAAAACCATGGCGTGGTGGTTCAAGACATGAAAATTATTTGATAATTCTCCCATACAGAAGAAGAGTCTGTGCCCCTTCCTCTTGAATGTGGGCTGACCCCAAAGGCTGATAAACCAGTTGAGTCCAGCAGTGAAACTATACATGACTATAAGTTATTATATAGAAGTGAAACTATAGAGTGACTTATAAGATCATAAAGCTACTCGGGAGGCTGAGGTAGGAGAATGGCTTGAACCTCGGAGGCGGAGGTTGCAGTGAGCCGAGACCATGCCATTGCACTCCAGCATGGGCAACAAGAGCAAAACTGCGTCTCAAAAATAAATAAGTAAGTGAAAATAAAAAACAGGAAACCCCCAAATAAAAGCTGCCCAGTTTTAAGATTTATATTTATAATCTATGATCCATTGTAAAGTGTTTTTGCATATAGACGGTTAATTGTTGCAACACCATTAGTTGAAAAGACAGTCCTTTCTGTATTTAATTATTTGTGTGCCTTTGTTTAAAAAAAACTATTGGCCATGTTTGGGGGGGTGTATTTCTGGATTCCTTATTCTGGCGCATTGACCTATGTGTCTCTTCATTCACTAATACCATACTGCTTTGATTACTGTAGCTTTATGGTAATTCTTAAAACTGGGTAGTGTGATTTCTCCACTTAATTCTAACTTTTCAAAATGTTTCAGCTATTCTAGTTCCTTTGCCTTTCCCAATAAATTCTAAAACTTGCTTGTCAATGTAAAGAATCCTGCTCTAGATTCCTATTTATATCATCTCAGTATTCATCAGTGCAGTCTTACAACTTCTTCTTTAACCTTTCAATCTATTTTTGGGACTTTGTGTTTTCATATAAACTTTAGAATCCAAAAATTTGAAAAAGGTTTGTTTTTTTTTTTGAGATGGAGTCTCACTCTGTCGCCTAGACTGGAGTGCAGTGGCGTGATCTCGGCTCACTGCAAGCTCCGCCTCTTGGGTTCAAGCAGTTCTCTGCCTCAGTCTCCTGAATAGCTGGGATTGTAGGCGGCCATCACCATGCCCAGCTAATTTTTTTTGTATTTTTAGTAGAGATGGGGTTTTACCGTCTTGGCCAGGTTGGTATTGAACTCCTGACGTCGTGATCCACCTGCCTTGGCCTCCCAAAGTGCTGGGATTACAGGCGTGAGCCACCATGCCTGGTGAAAAAGGTTTTAAGAACAGCATTATAATGTTTTAAGTCCAGTCTTATCTTCCTAAAATCTAGGACTTCCCATTCCCAGGAAATGGTCCAAGGAGTCTGGATTCTATTTTCAGTGATGATAAATGTCCACATTTTAGGTAGTGACATTCACAGTAGATATGGGTTATTTTCTTTGTATTTCACCTCTAATGATACCAGATTAATGTGGTACCAAAACAGTATGATCAGTCACCAAAATCTGGCTTCTTACTCCTCCTGGAGATATAGAAGGAAGTATTAGCCCCGCTTCTCCTTAAAGTGAGGCAATGTCTGTGATTTGCTCCAGGCTAATGACATGTGAACTGAAGTCAAATGAGTGACTTCCAGAAAGAACCATCTAAGAGCCATGTTTGCCATCACACTCTGCATCACAGTTGGCTGTGGTTTCCAACGACGCAGGCAGCCTCTGTCAGTTCATGTTCAGGAGTGAGGACAATGTGGAACAGAGTCCCAGACATCATACAATGAACCTGCAGCATGAGTTAGAAAGAAGCCTGTGTTTTTTTAACCACTGGAAAAGAGATAGGGCTGCTTGTTACTGCAGCCTATCCTTGCCTGTCTTGACTAATGCTAGGTAGTCGAGACTGACGGACAGTACTCCTCCTAATTCAAGTGTACCCACTGCAGCCTTCTTCAAAAAGAGCCTGGCAGCTTGAGTCCTATCTGGGGCAAAAAAGACATAAACCAAAAATAAGCAGACACAAAATCAGAATTCTATTTTTTTATAAGTCCATTTCTAACCTCATTTTCATTAAAATAAAGTAGCCACGTTATTACCTTCTTTATCAAAACAATATGAAGGGCCAGGCACGGTGGCTTACGTTTATAATCCCAGCACTTTGGGAGGCCGAGGCGGGTGATCACCTGAGGTCAGGAGTTCATGACCAGCTTGGCCAACATGGTGAAACCCTGTCTCTACTAAAAATACAAAAAAAATTAGCCGGGCGTGGTGGCATGCGCCTGGAATCCCAGCTACTTGGGAGGCTGAGGCACAAGAATCACTTGAACCCAGGAGGCGGAGGTTGCAGTGAGCTGGAATCATGGCACTGCACTCCAGCATGGGTGACAGAGCGAGACTTGGTCTAAAAAATATATATATATGTTACAAAGAAAGGCTGGGCTCATGCCTGTAATCCCAGCACTTTGGGAAGCCAAAATGAGAGGATCACTTGAGGCCAGGAGTTTGAGACCAGCCTGGTCAATATAGTGAGACCCCATCTCAAAAAAAAAAAAAAAAAATACAAAGAAATACAAAGGCCCTTTCTGTACCATATGGCATAGTCATTTCTTCTGCTATCCCTTCACTTCTTTTCAGCTACCAGGACTTTGGAAATTTCTTTATGTTCTTGGTCGGGTGGTCTCTTTCCACATAGGTTTTTCTTTGGGCAGTGTTACTTATTTGTAAATAGGAGATACGTTCATTGTTCTCAGTTTACACTGATTTCTCCCCCGCTTTCCCAATTTTAACTTTTATACAACACACAACAGAAAACATGTCCTTTTGCTGTATTCGACTGGTATGCCTCTACTGTTGACTGTGATAGCTTAACCGTTGTCTTTGTTCATTTCAGGAGCAAGACACTTCATACTCTATAGATTGGTTAGGGTGTTAAAGCTACATTAACTTTGCCGGACGTATAACAAAGGAGCATTTGATAGTCTTGTACTTCTCAGTTCATTAACAAATTACATGATCTCAATATAGTGTCACAGATCCAAATAGTAATGTCTATTCTTTTCTGCATTTACACCTGTTCCTTTGGCCATTCAATAAATTCAATGAGAAGCCCTTGTGTACTGTGACTTAAGAATAATTGGACAAATATTTCTGGAGTTCCTCTAAATCACTTTTATAAAACTTGTTATCTGATGTTATATCTTTTTTGTAGATCTGTGTGTTTTTTTCTTTCAATAAGTCCTTGTTCAAGGTCTTTACTGCAACTTAAAATTACACAAACCTTGTTATCTGTTCATTGATACATTTATTTCTTTGGGAGGCTGAGATGGGTGGATCACCTGAGGTCAGGAGTTCAAGACCAGCCTGGCCAGCATGGTAAAACTCCGTTTCTACTAAAAATACAAAAATTAGCCCTGCATGGTAGCGCACGCCTGTAATCCCAGCTACTCGGGAGGCTGAGGCAGGAGAATCGCTTGAACCCAGGAGGCGGAGGTTGCAGTGATCCGAGATCACACCATTGTACTCCAACCTGGGCAACAGAGCGAGTGTCTCAAAACAAAAAAACAAACCAAAACAAACAAACAAAAAACAACATTTATTTCAGTTTGCTTAAGGTCAAAATTCATTGTACCCTGGCTTCTATCATTATTCCACATTTCATTTCTTGGAGCTCTCCGATAACATCATGGCTTTAAAAGTTTTATTACAGGAAGTTTCATGCTTACATAAAAATATAATAGTACAGTTAATCCCCATGTCCTCATACCCATCTACAACAAACAGAACTTAAGGGCACTTTGGTTTCACTATTCCCTCCCTAACCTCAACCTCACATTATTTTGAAGCAAAACATGTTATTGGTAAAAGAAAATAAACCACTTTACATTTCTTTGGCTGATCATTTCCTTTTTGTATCTGTCTTTAAATGCTACTAGAAAAGGTATTTTCTGGATTATGGTAAATTTCCATAGGCTATATTTTTTAGGCTCTCATTCACCATCTTTCTTTCGTTTCCAAATATCTTAAGTTCTTTGATCAGTTTTTCTTTGGGTTTATTCTTGTTTATCCAAACATGCACTTTGGGGGCTTGGATCAGAGTCAACTATTTCTTTTGTACATGTTGGTTCTAATCACTTTAATAGCTTGTGTAATAGAGTTTAATACCTTCTGGCCTACATATTTGAGCTTTCCCGCTTTATACTCTAAATCCAATTTTAGAGTTGCATCTGCAAATGCGTCTCCATGGCAACATCTTCACTGTGATCTTTGTGTTTTCTTGATGTGGTGGAAAACGTTTGTATGGACTTTGATGTATGCTTTATCCTGGTGATTCTCAAACTGAATCAGGTTGTAAAGTTCAATGGAAGCCAAGAAATGGGATGGCATGAGCTCTTGGTTTACGTCAAATGTGTAAGTCAGGCATAATTTTACTACCAGAAAATATTATATGAATATAGATGTCTGCATTCCAACATAAAAGTAAAACTGCATACAGATTGCAAGGAATCACATATCCACTCTTTTCTTTGATCTATTGATTCTTGGCCATTACTGTGTGTCATCTGCTAACGTGAGCTGGAAGACAAGAATGGGTAATAAAACTCGACAGTTACAAAAAAATTAGCCAGGCGTGGTGGCAGGCGCCTGTAGTCTTAGCTACCTGGGAGGTTGAGGCAGGAGAATTGCTTGAACCCGGGAGGCAGAGGTTGCAGTGAGTTGAGATCACACCACTGCACTCCAGCCTGGGCGACGGAGCGAGACAGACAACAACTTGATAGTATGTTTAGAGAAGGGAAACTTAAAATACAACTTTCCTATCCACTAACTGAATTTCTTTTTAATTAGGAAAAGACCCCAATATTCTCTTTTAGTAGCGGAGCGTGTTGATCCTGCCTGAAGTACACCAGTGTTCCGAAGGTGCATCTGGTGATCTGGTATGCAGTAATCTGACCTTCTGATTAATAATACTGTGTTAATTGACTCAGGGATGATTCTTAGTTTTGAGTCACAAGGAATCAATACAGTTCCTTGTGAACCCTCATTACATAAGTAAAGTGCTTATAAAAATGTAGTGTTGGCCAGGCACGGTGACTCACGCCCGTAATCCCAGCTACTCGGGAGGCTGAGGCAGGAGAATTGCTTGAACCTGGGAAGCGGAGGTACAACTTCCAACTTAAAATTTTACAAAATTTACTCCAGTAAATTTTGTCAGTGAGCTAAGATCGCACCACTGCACTCCAGCATGGGCAACAGAGTGAGACTCTGTCTCAAAAACAAAACAAAACAAAACAAAACAAAACAAAACAAAATAAAAAAACTAAGCCTATGTGAAAAAGCCAAATTGGTAATTCAACAGATTTGTCATAAGAAGTACCGATCTCTTCCTAAACAAAAAATGAAAAAAACTAGTTTTCTGGCATGGGTCACGTCTGGCTGAGAGAAAGCAAGGAGTGGGTGTCCCCTGTGCCTCCTGTCTTATCACAAGCAAGGAACTTCTTGAGAAGACACTGGGTGCTTATCAGCACTCAAGCCAGAGCTTTGGTGGTCACTGCTCAGGTATTCTAGTTAATTTCTGCAGCCTGTGGGGTCCACAGGAGGAACCCCTATCTGTAGGAAGGTATCATGCTTTTGCTTTTTTTTTTTTTTTTTTTTTGAGACGGATTCTTACTCTGTCGCCCAGGCTGGAGTGCAGTGGCACGATCTTGGCTCACTGCAACCTCTGCCTCCCAAGTTCAAGCTATTCTCCTGCCACAGCCTCCTGAGTAGCCGGGACTACAGGTGTGCACCACCACACCTGGCTAACTTTTTTGTATTTTTAGTAGAGATAGGGTTTCACCATGTTGGTCAGGCTGGTCTCAACACCTAACCTCAAATGATCCACCCAGCTCGGCATCCCAAAGTACTGGGATTACAGGCGTGAGCCATCGCATGCAGCCGCTTTAGCCCTTTTTATAGATGAGCAAACAGACCCAGAAAAGTAAGTCATCGCTCAAGGGACACAGCCGGTAAATAGGACTGGAACTGTTCAGCTCTTTGGCTCTGATCAGGATTACAACTTTGCAGACCCTTTGTCTAGATTCTAAATGCCAAGTGCATTTTCCAGAAAAACATCCATTAATGGTAGATAGGGTTATCACCATCACCTACTGTTTTACTTTGCTAGGGGCGTCATGACAATGTACGACAGACTGAGTGGCTTAAACAACAGAAATGTATTACCTCATAGGTCTGGATTCTCAAAGTCCAAAATCAAAGTTTTGGCAGGGTTTGTTCCTTCTGAGGGTTGTGAGAGGAGGCTCTGTTCCAGGCTGCTGTCTTTGGCTTGTAGATGGCCATCTTCTCCCTATGTCTCTTCATATCTTCTTTTTTTTTTTTTTTTTGAGACAGAGTCTTGCTCTGTTGCCCAGGCTGGAGTGCAATAGCGTGATCTTGGCTCACTGCAACCTCCACCTCCCGGATTCAAGTGATTCTCCTGCCTCAGCCTCCCAAGTAGCTGGGATTACAGGTGCGCAGCACCACACCCAGCTAATTTTGTATTTTTGGTAGAGATGGGGTTTCGCCATGTTGGCCAGGCTGTCCTCGAACTCCTGACCTCAGGTGATCCATCAGCCTCAGCATCCCAACGTGCTGAGAATACAAGTGTGAGCCATCACTCCTGGCTGCCTTATCTTTCATAGTGCCAGTGGTTGGCAGTGGATAGTTGCGTAATATTTGTTCTCAGTCTATTCCTGAATGTTTCTTTCTTTCTTTTCTTTTTTTTTTTTGAGATGTAATCTCACTCTCTAACCCAGGCTGGAGTGCAGTGGCCAATCTCAGCTCACTGAAACCTCTGCTTCCTGGGTTCAAGTGATTCTCCTGCCTCAGCCTCCCGAGTAGCTGGGATTACAGGTGCCCGCCTTATTTTTAGTAGAGACTGGCTTTCACCATGTTGGCCAGACTGGTCACAAACTCCTGACCTCAAGTGATCCGCCTGACTTGGCCTCTCAAAGTAATTCCTGGAATTACAGGCATGAGCCACCGCGGCCGGCCATATTCCTGAATGTGTCTTGAAGATATTTCACCTGAGTATTGCATTGCTTTTTTTAAAAAAAAATTAATATTAAAAACGAAGTTCCATTCATGTTTTTAAACAGCAAGAAGATGTTAAAAACTTTAAGCAAGCATCACAGTAATGGATCTCTGTCAGAAAAATGAGACTGACTTAGAAAATGCTGAAAATAATGAAATTCAGTTCACAGAAGAAACAGAACCAACCTATACTTGTCCAGATGGAAAAAGTGAAAAAAATCATGTTTATTGTCTTCTCGATGTCAGTGACATTACGCTTGAACAAGATGAAAAAGCCAAAGAGTTTATTATTGGAACTGGATGGGAAGAGGCAGTGAGTATCTTTCTGAGTCACAGCTTTTCTGTCTCTCGCACATCAGTGTTTTGGTGCAAGCCTCTTTTTCCCAAAAATAGTTAATATTACCAAAAAATGTGGAATCAATGACATGTAGAAACCCTGGAATTGAGGTAAAATATTACTGATGATAAGAGCAGCACCTACTGTGGGTATTTATGGCCACTTAGTATGTGGACAGCACAGTACTAAGTACTTTGGATACATTAATTCATCTAACCTCTCAATAGCCATATGGGGCAAGTTTTCTTCCCAGCCTCGCTTTGTGGATGAGTATACTGAGTCACTTGGAAGATAAAGTTACATGCTCGAGATCACCCAGCCAATAAGTGGCCAAGGCAGGGCTTGAATCCAGGTCTCCTGGACTCTAGAACCCTGAGCTCCTTAGCAGCTGTGCTGAACTCCCTGAGAGAACTGAGGCTTCTTTCCTAATGGCTCTACTCAGAACTCTGTGGGTTTTTTTTTTTTTTTTTTTTTTCCCTGAGATGGAGTCTCTTTCTGTCGCCCAGGCTGGAGTGCAGTGGCGCGATCTTGGCTCACTGCAACCTCTGCCTCCTGAGTTCAAGCGATTCTCCTGCCTCAGCCTCCTGAGTAGCTGGGATTATAGGTGCCCACCATGCCCAGCTAATTTTTGTATTTTTAGTAGAGACGGGGTTTCACCATATTGGCCAGGCTGGTGTCAAACTCTTGACCTTAGGTGATCTGCCCACCTCAGCCTCCCAAAGTGCTGGGATTACAGGCCTGAGCCACTGCGCCTGGTCTGCAGGCTTACTCTTAAACAATTCATAGAATCAACAATAGAATCCTATATTTAAAACTATAAGAAAACTAAAAAAAAAAAAAAAGCATAAAACTATGAGAAAACTTGGTCTAATCCAGTGATTAAACATAGGATTACCAGATAAATACCTAATTTATCAGTATAAGTATGTCCAAAATGTGGTCCTATATTTTTACTGGCAACCCTTTTTTAATGGTGATCTCTGTGGCAAGATCAGCCAGAGGACTCTGGGCGTGTATGGGGAGTAGGTATCCCTGGGTACGCAGGGCTCCTCTGCATTCCAGGACCTGCCTCTGCTCCTCGGTCTCCCTCCAGCCTCTCCAAGCAACAGTGTTCCCCAGGTAAGGGAAGCAGAGACTGGCGGTGCCCGAAATCCTTGTTGGTGGGACAAGTATGAACGGTTTTCATTTTATTTTAATGGCTTCAAATTTAAATGTGCATTTGAAAAGAAATATAGTCAGCACATCAAAGTGGCCATTTACAAATACTGTTGCTTAGTGTTTTAGTATTAACAAATGCTCTTGCTAGTATTTAGGATTAACAAATACTATTACAAATACTGTTATTGCTTTATAGCGGTGAAAGTAGGTATTACACTTTTTCATGCTTTGCAACTTTGAAGGATTTTTTTTTTAAGTGAATGAATTTTAAGAAAATTATTAGTGGGGGAAGGGGTAGTAAAAAAATAAATAAAAATAAGAATATTGTTTCACATAAGACTGCCAAAATGGGAATGTGGCCAAAATTGGGGCAAGGACAGTTTGGGCCCCTCAGCTGGAGGAGTAACATGCCGCTTTATTTGCAGGTCCAAGGGTGGGGAAGGACTTCTCCAGCTGCCTGCATCTGGCCGAGGAAGATACCAAAAAAGGCGAGGGTAGGGGAAGGTGCCTGCAGCGACTGCTTGGTGTGTGTTAACCTCTCCCACTGGAGCCTCCAGACCAAGCCTCCTACTGAGGGGGGCCCAGAGAAGGATCAGAGCAGCCCCTCCCAGACTCAGGCAGCCCCCCAGGGCCCCAGCACTGCTTCCAGGGCAATTAGCGACATCTGCTTTCCCACCTACTTTCGAGCAGAGAAAAAAAGTCTGCAAATCAAGGAGTTTATTTGGTGCAACAAAGACTGGGCCATCCCCGGCACTAATAGGGGCAAGGCCTCTGGGAATCCCAGTGGAGGGGCCCACAGAGGGCTGTCCATCCCAGGCCCCCTGACTTCCAGGGCCCTCCTAGTTCTGCCTCCCCTGAAGGCTTCACTTTCAAATGCTTTGGATGTTCTGGGTAAGAAGAGTAAGAACTCTTTCTTGCAGTCAGAAGAGAAGGTGCTGGATGTGGAAAAGGATGGGTGTGTGGCTTATGCATATGGCTTGAAAACAGCAGATGGGAAAGGTGAAAAAAGAGCCAGTGAGCTGGCCAAACACCCTATGGTCAACGACACGCCATCCTCCCCTTCCCCAGCGGCCCAGATATCCCTGCTGACCGATCCGGAGCAGCGCTGCCTGCATTGGTCCCTCCTGTCTGAGAAAAACCTGGCGTGCCCTCCAGACCCCAGCAACGTTCGCTACCTTGCTGCCTTGCAGCTTCTGCAGAAACGGGGAGTGCAAAGCTACAAATCCAAATTCAAAGCCAAGGAGCCAAGATCTCCTGTGATCACCCGAAAGCATGTTCTCCCAAAGGCCAAGCAGGAAAACAGGCCCCAAATGCTGGAGACCAAAGTTTTCCCAAGACCTGTCTTGCCGTCTCTCACAGTGAGCAGAGTTATCATTCCTGTCTCTACCCACAGGATCCTCTGAGCGGTTGCGGTAGAACCCCTGGGAATAAGCACCGTTTGAGATGCAGCCATCCTTTCTCTTTCTTCTCTCTCATTTCCCACCCACCCCCCACTCTCTCTTTCTCTCCTCCCCGTCAGTCTGTCTTTACTCTTCTTTTCCTCCATTTTTTTTTTGTAGTACAACTGAAGAAAACTGAACCTCAGTGGATTGTTGGGATTTATTTTCTAAAACACCATATTCATGTGTTAACGTGCTTCTGCTACTTAGCCATTCACAAAATGCCAATTGGTCTTGCCAGCCCCAGCCTCTGCCTGCTTCATGTCCACTCCCAGCAGAAGCCACGCAGAAAGTGGGGAATCCAAAGGGCCTCCTTCCCTCCATGCTGGCCGCACGTCAGCCCAGAGCCATCTGGCAGGTGTCCTTTCTGCCCCACCCCCGTGCCTCAAACTAAGTATACTGGGCTGGTTTAGACCAAACTGCCTGCTGATTTTTTGAACGAAGCAGGTGTCTATGTGCTGCCTCATTTGCTGTTGCAACAAAGATCTGAAGAATTGCTTTAATAAAAAACTCCAGGCCGGGCACAGTGGCTTACGCCTCTAATCTCAGCACTTTGGGAGGCCAAGGCAGGTGGATCACCTGAGGTTGGGAGTTCGAGACCAGCCTGACCAACATGGAGAAACCCTGTCTCTACTAAAGTAATACAAAATTAGCCGGGCATGGTGGCGCATGCCTGTAATCCCGGCTACTCAGAAGGCTGAGGCAGGAGAATCGCTTGAACCCGGGAGGCAGAGTTTGTGGTGAGCCGAGATCGTGCCATTGTACTCCAGCCTGGGCAATAAGAGCGAAACTCCGCCTCAAAAGAAAGAAAAGAAAACTCCAGCTTGTGTCCAGGACGTCCAAGGCATTGGAGACCCTGTGCGTCCAGGGTGTCACACCCTCAGATTGTTTCCATGTATATACACTATCGTCTCCTGCATTTTCAGGGTGCCATGTCCTCAGATTGTACCCTCATACTAATCTCTGTGTCTGGAAGTTTTAGCTACAGTGCTACAAAATCCAGCCTGGGAAGCAGGTTAAGAATAATTACTTTTTGGGGCCGGGCGCCGTGGCTCACACCTGTAATCCCAGCACTTTGGGAGGCTGAGGCGGGCGGATCATGAGGTCAGGAGATCGAGACCATCCTGGCTAACACGGTGAAACCCTATCTCTACTAAAAATACAAAAAATTAGCCGGGCGTGGTGGCGGGCTTCTGTAGTCCCAGCTACTCAGGAGGCTGAGGCAGGAGAATGGCGTGAACCCAGGAGGCGGAGCTTGCAGTGAGCGGAGATCGTGCCACTGCTCTCCAGCCTGGGCGACAGAGTGAGACCCCGTCTCAAAAAAAAAAAAAATCTTTTTGGGAAAAAAATAAAAAGATCACTGTGATTATCATCCCACATGCTTCCTCTGGCATTACTTTGCATCTAATGTTTGGAAACCCTCAACCCCAGACACTTTTGGAAAGGGGCTGTTATTTTCTCCCTCTGTCCTTCCTCCACCCTCATTTTACCCCAACTCATATTCCCACCGTTCTATCTAAATTAAATGACATTTGTAAATGATTTATATTTTAAATGCCAAGTGATGTTGCTTTGTAGACACATGTTCTGATGAACCGTTCTGTGATATGAGTAATCATTAAGCTGCTTTGTAATTACATAGTTTGAATTTGCTTAAGGTAGGTTGGACTTGAAGTCTGGATTTCCTGTCTCCAAACGATGGAGTAGACAGAATATATGACTATATTTGTAAATACCTGCTTCCATAGTGGTCTTTGTAATGTCTTGTCTGTTTGCCTAGGGTTTTTTTTTTTTTTTTTTTTTTGAGACAGAGTCTCGCTCTGTCACCCAGGCTAGAATGCAGTGGCATGATCTTGGCTCACTGTAACCTCCGCCTCCTGGGTTCAAGCGATTCTCATGCCCCAGCCTCCCAAGTAGCTTGTATTACAGGTGCCCACCACCACACTCAGCTCATTTTTGTATTATTAGTAGAGACTGGGTTTCCGGAGGTTGCAGTGAGCCGAGATGACGCCATTGCACTCCAGCCTGGGCAACAGAACAAGACTCTGTCTCAAAAAAATAAATAAATAAGAATCCAAGTCCTCTTCCCAGACATTATCTCTTTTAATCCTGCATGTATGCATGGGAATCAGGGATCATTTTCCTCTTCTAACCCAAGGAGAAATTGTTCAGCAGAGGGTTGGGTTTGGTCAGGACAGCATTAAGGTTTGTAGCCTGGGTTTCTGAAGGCTCAAACTATATTTCACAGGTCGGGGACGTTTGAAGTACTAGGTGGAAAATATCACATAAGGCAGGAAGGAGGGCTCAAGAATGTCATTTCTTCCTTTAAGATAGGAACAATTTTCAGATACAGGATGTGGTGAAGATGACCAGGTAATGTATGTTGAACTCCAACAGAGATCTGTGTTTTTCCTGAATGTATTGAGTGGATCAAATATAACAAGCTGGATAATTTCCCTCTAATGAATAACTGACTGTTTAAAATTGTATGGAAGTCCTTTGGCCTGCAAGCTGGCATTTGGATATTTGATGATGGGTCTTTACTCTTTAATGGGTTCTCAGAACTTAACTTTGCAACTTGTCAACTAAGGTGCTCCTTGCTTGGGTCCAATCCATCTTAATTCCCTGGCCTTTTTCCTCATCTGGTTTTGCCTGTATTTCCACTGTACCAGTCTAAACACCATCACTGTGCAGCTTAAGGCATGACTCTTGTACTGAATTTGTGCATACGGAGGTGTTCCAGGAAAAAACTTTTCAAGTTCAATCTCCTAGATCAAAAAGCATCTGTATATTTTCTTGGACACAGTCTCAGGATAAATCCAGTGTTCACTGCAATAAGTAAAAATAAGAACCATCTTCCTTTTTCCTAAGAGCTGAGAACCATCAGGATGTATATTTTTTAGTACCCCAGCTTTGCCACTGAGCATTTCTGCCTTTGCCTATAAAATGAGCGAGTAATGTCTGAAATTTCCCTAGTTCTGTCATTTTAATGCATTTAACTTGCCTGCAAACATTATTATTATAGAGACGCAAAATAGTGAACAGTTATTTCTGTTTCAGGTTTTGTTTTGTTTTGTTTTGTTTTGTTTTGTTTGAGATGGAGTTTCGCTCTTCTTGTCCAAGCTGGAGTGCAATGGCACAATCTTGGCTCACTGCAACCTCCGCCTCCCGGGTTCAAGTGATTCTTCTGCCTCAGCCCCCTGAGTAGCTGGGGTTACAGGTGTGTGCCACTGTGCCCAGCTAATTTTTGCATTTTTAGTAGAGAGGGGGTTTCACCGTGGTAGCCAGGATGGTCTCGATCTCCTGACCTCATGATCCGCCCGCCTTGGCCTCCCAAAGTGCTGCGCTTAGAGGCGTGAGCCACCACACCCGGCCTGTTTCAGGTTTTGATCAGTCTTGCTCTGGATCCTGGCCTTTCTAATGTGAAAAACAACAACAACAACAACAACCTAAATGAACTTCAGTTTATACGTTTCAAAAGATGATGATGGTAAAAACCCTAAAGAAATTTTAGTTTTTTTTTTTAACCTAAGACTGTGGGCACTTAACCTTCTCTACCAACACATACTTTTTTTTTTTTTTTTTTGAGACAGAGTCTTCCTCTGTGGGCCAGGCTGGCATGATCTCAACTCACTACAAACTCTGCCTCCCGGGTTCAAGCAATTCTCCTGCCTCAGACTCACGAGTAGGTGGGATTACAGGTGTGCACAACCATGCCCAGCTAATTTTTGTATTTTTAGTAGAGACAGGGTTTCACCATGTAGGCCAGGCTAGTCTCAAACTCCTGACCTCAAATGATGCGCCCGCCTTGGCCTCCCAAAGTGCTGGGATTACAAGCGTGAGCCACCATGCCCTGCCCCAATACGTTCTAAACAATATACATAACTTCTTAGAGGATTGAATGGCCCAGGTGGGTGCTGTATTTACAGCAATGCTCAAAGCCACCCCATCACCTGGCCTATCTTTAGGACAGGGCTTTTCAACCTGGGCACTATTTGGGGCTGGATCATTCTTTGTGATGGGCCTGTATGTGCATTGTGGGATGTGTAGCAGCATCCCTGGCCTTGACATATTAGATGCCAATACCATCCCCAGTCATGACAACGAAAAATGTATCCAGACTTTCCCAAATGCCCCTTTAGGGCAAAATCACCCTAGCTGAGAACCGCTGGTTTAGGGAATTAGTAATCTGGAGCCCACCGCCTTTGCTGCAGCTTCTCTGACAGCTTTACTTATAGATCAAGCAGGTGCCTTGGTGCAGGTGTGAAGGGAGCTGGGGGAACGCCCAGCTTGCCACATCCCAGAAGGCATATGTGCTCTCCATTTTGCGCTGGTCCTCTAGGGTCTCATGGTGGCACCTGCCTAGGTCCTTTCTAGAAAGAAGCAAAGAAGCAGCCATAAGTCTGCTTTTTTTTTTTTTTTTTTTTTTGAGACGGAGTCTTGTTCTGTTACCCAGGCTGGAGTGCTGTGGCGCGATCTTGGCTCACTGCAACCTCCCTCTCCCGGATTCAAGTGATTCTCCTGCCTCAGCCTCCCGAGTAGCTGGGATTACAGGTGCCTGCCACCATGCCCAGCCAATTTTTGTATTTTTAGTAAAGATGGGGTTTCACCAGGTTGGCTAGGCTGGTCTTGAACTCCTGACCTCAAGTGATCCACCCATCTCAGCCTCCCAAAGTGCTAGGATTACAGGTGTGAGCCACCGCACCCTGCGAAGTCTGCTTTTCTCTGAGAAGAGTCTCTCAGAGTAACAGGAGGGCCCATTCAGTCAGTGACAGGAAGAGTTGTGGGCATTCTCTCTTCCCATCTTCAGGAGAATGTGCATTACTGGTTTGGCAAGGTTTTCGAGATAAGTCGAAGATGTTAAATTAGTGTATTTACATTTACTGCCATTATTCAGAATTCTCTGATGTTTAATACTCACTTTTCCACACTCACTGCTTGGGCTGAACAGGCGTAAATATGAAAAGGCAGCCAATACTTTGTGGGATACACCTTAGCAAGCACTGGCAATCTGTGCTTCATATGTATATATCAAAGTGGCTTTTCTCTCCCGTTTAGCTTAAACTACAAATCTTCCTCCCCATGTATCTTTTAAAATGAAACAGTTGGCTGGGCATTGTGGCTCGTGCCTGTAATCCCAGGACTTTGGGAGGCTGAGGTGGGTGGATCACTTGAGGTCAGGAGTTCGAGATCAGCCTGGCCAATATGGCGAAACCCCGTCTCTACTAAAAATACAAAAATTAGCCAGTTATGGTGGCACATGCCTATAATCCCAGCTACTTGGGATTAGGCAGGAGAGTCGCTTGAACCCGGGGAGGCAGAGGTTGCAGTGAGCTGAGATTCCAACACTGCACTCCAGCTTGGGTGACAGAGCGACAGTCCGTCTCAAAACAATAATAAAAAAAGAAGTTTCTCTACTTATTTTATTTTTTGAGGCAGAGTTTCACCTGTTACCCAGGCTGGAGTGCAGTGGTACCATCACAGCTCACTGCAGCCTTAGCCTGCAGGGTTTAAGCGATCCTCCTACCATAGCCTCCCTAGTAGCTGGCTGTACAGGCACACACCACCATGCTCAGCTAATTTTTTTTTTTTTTTGAAGAGACGGGTTTTGCCATGTTGCCCAGGTTGGTCTCGAACTCTTGGACTCAAGTGATCCGCCTGCCTTGGCCTCCCAAAGTGCTGGGATGACAGGCATGAGCCCCCATGCCCAACTAGTTTTACCACTTATTAAAACTTGAGGAGAGCTAGCTTGAAAATGTAATATAGTTTTTTATTTTCAGCACCACACAGGGTTATGACAGTTCACTAAGCCTTTATTTTTTTTTCCTTTTTATCTGCCCAAGAATAACCATGATCACTAAACCTCTAAATGTGAAAGAACTGTTAGTGATTTCATTTGTTCCAATCTGCATGTCCTCTGAAGATAAATCCGATATGGAATTTGGGATAAATACCACTGGCCTTATTACTATTCATGAGTCTATTTTAATTTCTTTGGCTGTTCAACGAAATCCTCATGACTGACTTCTCTAAATTTCAGGAAAGTAGGATGTCAGAGGAATACTTGGCATTATGGTAGTTATTTAGAGAACTTTAACTCTGAAGAGTTCTTACTAGTTAAGCACATATCTTGTAACAGAATAGTGACTTCAGTGATTTAAAAATATACGACCTGTTGGCCAGGCACGGTGGCTCACACCTGTAATCCCAGCACATTGGGAGCCCGAGGTGGGTGAATCACTTGAGGTCAGGAGTTCGAGACCAGCCTGGCCAACATGGCAAAACCCTGCCTCTACTAAAAATAGAAAAATTAGGGGGCGTGGTGGTGCGTGCCTGTAATCCCAGCTACTCAGGCGGCGGAGGCATAAGAAGGTCTTGAACCCTGGAGGTGGAGTTTGCAGTGAGCCGAGATCACGCCACTGCATACCAGCCTGGGCAGTAGAGTGAGACACTGTCTCAAAAAATAATAAGATATATCACATGTGGCCGGGTGCAGTGGCTCATACCTGTAATCCCAGCACTTTGGGACGCCAAGATGGGTGGATTGCTTGAGGTCAGGAGTTCGGGTCCAGCCTGGCCAACATGTATATACATATATATATATCACGTTACCAAAAAAGGTGCAGAAAAATTGATACCAGCTTGCAATTCATTAATAGTATTAACTCTAAAATATAACAAAACCAAAATTATTTCCATGAGCTGAAATAAGACAATATAGAGTAAATAATTCCTAAAGCATAATTTGCCAAAGTTTGGTTGACTTCCCAAAATTAAAATCTTAATTTCGGTGGGCTCACGTTTTAAAAAGAAAAAAGTTTTTTATTTTTGTTGTTTTTTTTTGTTGTTGTTGTTGTTGTTTGCTTGTTGGTTTTTAGAGACTAGTTTCATCTACCAAGGAAAAAGTTATTGAGGGCAGTCTTCATGGTTGAATATCCTTTTGTCATAATTCAGATGCATTGACTTCTGCCACATTTTCATTGCAGCATGGGCTCTACATTTTCTGAAGTCATTAAATTTCTCGTTACAGCACAGGAAAAAGAAGATAAAGTAGGAGAGGGATCAGTTTCACATTCAGTCCTAAGCAGCAACACGGTTGAGATGTAATCATAAAAGCAAATATTTCACCCAGGACATGGAAAAGCGGCGGATCACCAGAAAGCAGAGAGTCAAACGCTGCAAGCAGAAGCAGTAAGAAGACGCCACGTTTGGAGCAAGGTCTTATTTACACCTGCCATGGTCATCGGCTCGCTCTTTTAGGTCTCCCCAACCCGGCCCCCAAAAAGAGGTTATATGCAGAGGTAATATAATATATGTACTTTTGAAAATAACAAAGTCACCGTGGAGATAATTTCAAAACAATTTATTTTCATTTTCAGATACATTGGACTATTTCACTGATGTTAAAAAGAGTATGACTTGTTTAAATTTTTTGTTGTTTCTTTTTTGCAGCCTAATGTTCTGTAATAGTAACTTGCTTCCAAGTAAAGTATGAAAAGTTAGTGGAGGGGCCATGGCTGTGGTCTCTGATAGGTCAAACTATACTATTTTGGAATGCGTGGAGTTAGAACAAAGTTTTTATTTTGTTATTAATTAGTAAAGCAATAAATAAAATTGTCTTACTAATATTTATGAGTTTTTGTTTTGTTATTTATTAGTAAGGCAGTAAAACATTTAGTGTTTTTTCTGGAGTTTGTTGAAGAAACTGAATATTGATAGTGTTCCAGCTATGGCATAGCCAGTGCTGCTTTTACTGATTCATATAGCTTGGGCCTTGCTCCTTTCAAGCAAGCTGATTTTTAAATGCAGTGCCCCTGTGAACGTCAAGAACACCGACAACCTGAGAGCCGTCCCTGTTTGTTTTCTAGCCTGCGTCTCTGGATATGTAAACTAAAATATCAATGTATCTGCTAATAAATACCGTTCCAACAACTGAGAGAATCCTTTGGATTTAAACATTGAAAAACAATGTAGTCATCTTCTTGGCCTTAAAACATTTTACTGGCTAACACCTTGCTAAACAAACTAGATTAAAATTCATGGCTAGACGCAGTGGCTCACATCTGTAATCCCAGCACTTTGGGAGGCCGACGTGGGTGGATCACCTGAGGCCAGGAGTTCAAGACCAGCCTGGCAAACATGGTAAAACCCCGTCTCTACTAAAAATACAAAAAATTAGCTGGGCGTGGTGGTGCGTGCCTGCAGTCCCAGCTACTCGGGAGGCTGAGGCAGGAGAATTGCTTGAACCCAGAACGTGGAGGTTGCAGTGAGCTGAGATTGCACCACTGCACTCCAGCCTGGGCGACAGAGCGAGACTCCATCTCAAAAATAAGTACATGCATACATACATAAAATTCATGTCATTTAACAAATTAGAGCCTTTTAAAAGTTGAGAGTATGAAGGCATATATGTTGTCCCCTCCTAGTTGTCAAATCTAATTAATGCCATTTAAACATGCTTTGGAGGACAACACACATAGATACACTGTGAGAGACAAGGAAAATAAAACTGTGTGGTACCCCAAAGGCTGCGTCCCTAAGCCCCCCAAAGTGATATAACCCTTCTCTTTCTTTTTAAAAATTATTTTCTTTTAATTTTCTTTTTTTTTTTTTAATTTAGAACTCACAGTCTAGTAAACATTTTAGACTTGGGGTGTGGGGGCTACATTTGCATGTTTGTTACATGGTTATATTGTGTGATGCTGAGGTTTGGACTTCTACTGATCTCATCACTCATATAGTGAACACAGTACCCAATGGGTAGTTTTTCAACCCTTATTCCCCTTCCCACCTCCCCACTTTTAGAGTTCCCAGTGTCTGTTCTCATCTTTATGTCTGCATGTACCCAGTGTTTAGCTCCCACTTACAAATAAGAACATGCGGTATTTGGTTTTCCGTTTTTGTGTTAATTTGCTTAGGGTAATGGCATCCAGCTGCATCCATGCTGCTGCAAAGGATATGATTTTGTTCTTTTTTATGGTTGCATAGTATTCCATCGTGTATATGTACCACATTTTAGAAATACAGGCTGGGCACGGTGACTCATGCCTGTAATTCCAGTCCTTTGGGCAGCCGAGGTGGGTGGATCGTTTGAGGTCAGGAGTTCAAGACCAGCCTGGCCAACATGGTGAAACCCTGTCTCTACTAAAAATACAAACATTAGCCAAGCATGGTGGTAGACGCCTGTAATTCTAGCTACTTGGGGGGTTGAGGCAGGAGAATCACTTGAACCCAGGAGGCGGAGATTGCTGCACTCCAGCCTGGGTGATGGAGTGAGACTCATCTCAAAAACAAAACAAAACAAAAAAAGAAATCCATTCCACCATTGATGGGCACCTAGGTTGATTCCATGTCTTTGCTATTGTGAATTGTGCTGCGATAAACATATGAGTGCATCTGTCTTTTTGGTAGAACGATATGTTTTCCTTTGGTAGGCCCACTAATGGGATTGCTAGGTTGAATTCTATTTTCAGTTCATTGAGAAATCTCCAAACTGCTTCCCACAGGGGCTGAACTAATTTCCATTCCCCATAACAGTGTATAAGCGTTCCCTTTTCTGTGCAAAGTTGCCAACATCTGTTATTTTTTGACATTTTAGTAATAGCCATTGTGGTTAAAAGAAACAAAAAACTCGAAATGAGTTTAATTGTAAATTTGTTAAGATTTATTTTGTGGGCTAACATGTGATCTGTCCTGGAAAGTGTTTCATGTGTTACTGAGAAAAATGTGTATTCTGCAGTGTTTTGGAGGAATATTCTGTCAATGTCTGTTAGGTCCAATTGGTCTATTGTGCAGTTTAATGTTTTGTTGTTGATTTTCTGGATGATTGGTCCATTACCAAAGGTGAAGTGCTGAAATCCCCTATTATTGTTGTATTACAGTCTATTTCTCCCTATAGATCTAATAATATTTGCTTTATATATTTGGGTGTTCTGGTGTTGGTTGCATATATATTTACAATTGTTATATTAATTGTTATATAATGACTTTCTCTCTTTTTGCAGTTTTGACTTAAAGTCTGTGTTATCTGATACAAGTATAGCTACTCGTGTTCTCCTTTGGTTTCCATTTGCATGGGATAACTTTCTCCATCCCTCCACATTAGTTTTTGTGTGACCTTGCATGTTAAGCGAGTCTCTTGCAGGCAGCATATAGTTGGATGGTGTTGCAGGTTTTATTTTCTAAATCCATTCAGCCACTCTATATCTTTAACTGGAGAATTTAATCTATTTACATTCAAGGTTGTTATTATTATATTATTATTATTATTTTTTTTTTTTTTTGAGGAGGAGTCTCGCTCTGTTGCCAGGCTGGAGTGCGGTGGCACAATCC
The DNA here is from genome assembly GCF_000001405.40 of Homo sapiens. Lineage (NCBI taxonomy): Eukaryota > Metazoa > Chordata > Mammalia > Primates > Hominidae > Homo > Homo sapiens. Next base: position 81,050,792 of record NC_000016.10, on the reverse strand, counting down.
TGGCTCACTGCAACCTCCACCTCCCAGGTTCAAGCAATTCTCCTGCCTCAGCCTCCTGAGTAGCTGAGATTACAGGCACGTGCCACCACGCCTGGCTAATTTTTGTATTTTTAGTAGAGACGGGGTTTCACCATGTTGGCCAGGATGGTCTTGATCTCTTGACCTTGTGATCCACCCACCTTGGCCTCCCAAAGTGCTGGGATTAGAGGTGTGAGCCACCATGCCCGGCCCAAGGTTATTATTGATAGGCAAAGACTTACTCCTGCTATTTTAAAAATTATTTTCTGGTTTATATATCCTTTGTTCTTCTCTTCCTCTTTTGTTGTTTAGGTGGTTTTCTGCAGTGCTAAACTTTGATTCCTTTCTCTTTCTCATTTGTGTATTTGAGGTAATTTTTCTTTCTGTGGTTACTAAGGTACTTACATGAAAAATCTTATAATAGACTTTTTAAAGCTGATAACAACTTTGGTCCCGCACAGATACTCACACAAAAAATTTTTGTCCTTCCTCCACAATTTAAAATTTTGTCTTAAGTTACATCATTTTGTGTATTCCTTAACAGTGTATTATACCTGTAGTTATTCATAGCGGAGATCTGAAAGACATATGCCACCATTAGAGTAATGGTGTATTCTGAATTTGATTATGAGTTTACCTCTACCAGTGAGTTTTATACTGTCATATGTTTTCATATGACACACAAAATGATGAAAGTAATTATCATCCTTTTGCTTTTGGTTGAAGTACTTCCATAGCATTTCTTGTAAGGCCAGTCTAGTGGTGATGAATTCCTTCAGCTTTTGTTGTCTGAAATATACTTTATTTCACTTTCATTCAGGGTATAACATTCTTGGGTGGCAGTTTTTGTTTTTGTTTTTTTTTCTTTCAGAACATTGACTATATCATCCCATTCTTTCCTGGGCTTCAAGGTTTCTTCTGAGAAATCTGTTGATAGTGTAATGGAGATTCCCTTATATATGATTTGATGCTTTTCTCTTGCTGTTTTTAAAACTCTGTGTCTTTGAATTTTTACAGTTTGATTACAATGTGCCTCTGAGAGGACCTCTTTGGGTTGAATCTATTTGGGATTCTTTGAGTGCCATGGATCTGGATGTCCATATATCTCTTCCAGGACTTTGGAAGTTTTCAGCTATTATTTCATTAAATAAGCTTTCTGTGCCTTTCTCCATCTCCCTCCGAAAATCTCATAATGTGAGTATCTGTTCTCTTAATGATGTCCCCATAAGTCCTGTCAACTTTCTTCACTCTTTTTCATTCTCTCTTTATTCCCTTTGAATGTGTTATTTCAAAAGAGCTGTCTTCAAATTCAGAAATTCTTTTTATTTTCTGGCTGGGTGCGGTGGCTCACACCTGTAATCCCAGCACTTTGGGAGGCTGAGGCAGGCAGATCACCTGAGGTCAGGAGTTCAGGACCAGACTAGCCAACATGATGAAACCTCCTCTCTACTAAAAATACAAAAATTAGCCAGGCGTGGTGGCAAACACCTGTAATCCAAGATACTCAGGAGGCTGAGGCACGAGAACCGCTTGAACCCAGGAGGTGGAAGTTGCAGTGCAGCAAGATGGCACCACTGCACTCCAGCCTCGGTGACAGAGGGAGACTCTGTCTCAAAAAAAAAATGGAAAATTTTTTTTTTTCTGCTTGATCTAGTCTGCTGTTGAAGCCCTCAATTGTATTTTTTATTTCATTCATTAAATTCTTCAGATCAGATTTCTGTTCTTTTTTAAAAATATCTGTCTCTCTTGAATTTCTCATTCAGATCAAGAATTATTTTGCTTATCTGTATTCTCTTGTGTCTTGCTGAGCTTCCTCAAGATCATTATTTTGAATTTCTTTTCAAGAAATTCATAAATTTCTATCTAACTTTGGGGTCAGTTATTGGAGAATTATCATGTTTCTTTGGTGGTGTCATATTTGTTTGCTTTTTCATGTTTCTTGTGTTCCTATGTTGATTTCTTTGCAGCTGATGGATCAGCTGCCTTTTCCAGTTCTATGCAGTGGCTTTCATAGGGAAAGGCTTTAATGTGCAGATGGGGCCTAAGTATCAGTTGAGTAAGGCACACTGGCTTTGGTTCTGTATGGGTACAGTAGTAGTGTGGTCTTCATGCAGGTTCTTCAGCTGTAATCAATGTCAGCAATGCCTGCAAGTGCCTCAGTGGCCTAGGCTGCAGTAGACTGTGTGGCTGGCATCCTGGGTTGAGTATGGCTCCTTTGTGGATGGAGTATCGGCTTTTTACATGCTGAGGGGATGCAGGGCTGGTCCACTGGCTTGAGCTTGGCTTCCCCACTGAGCAACACTTCCTGTTCCTTTGGAGGCAGGGCACTGCATGGGCCTGGGTGCTAGGGTCATGGCTGTTCTGCTAGGCCTAGGTTCTGAGTAGTTGAGTTCAGGACTGTGCTGCCGCGAGGATGGTTAAGATGGAGCAGCTCTTGGGCAGCTTGTTCCCAAGGAGTAGGGAGCTGTAGCCCCTCAGCTGGGGGATGCTGCACTGCTGTGTGTGAGATGGTGTAGTGATAGCAGAACCTCAGGAATGGAGAGATGCAGTGGTTACTGTCCCCTAGAGCAGTGGGTCCAGGTTGAAAATGGTGCCATGCTGTAGTAGCTTGGGTCACAATGTCGGCTTTTTCTCTGCAGTAATGCAGTCATGTGAATTCGAGGATGCTTTCTAAACTGGGCTCAGGGCTTGAGAGAACTGCAGGATTCTCCAGCAGAAAAGACTACAGGTGTCTGTGGTGGTAATGGGACCTGCTGGCGACCTTCTGCCTTCCTTTTCCCCCAGGCAGAAATCCATCTTGGTTCTGAGCTCATCCTGACTGGGGAGACGGGGTGGCAGAGCAGGGTATTTCACTCCCTTCTCTCTCTGGCCGTCCTGAGTCTCTGTGTGCCACAGGTTCTCTACCACTCCCCTGATATACTCCAGCATTTTTTCTTTTTTTTTTTTTTTTTTTGAGACAGAGTCTCACTTTGCCATCCAGGGTGGAGTACAGTGGTGCAGGCTTGGCTCACTGCAACCTCTGCCTCCCAGGTTCAAGCGATTCTCCTGCCTCAGCCTCCTGAGTAGCTAGGATTACAGGCATGCACCATCACGCCCAGCTAATTATTGCATTTTTAGTAGAGATGGGGTTTCACCATGTTGGCCAGGCCAGTCTCGAACTTCTGACCTCAGGTGATCCACCCGCCTCAGCCTCCCAAAGTGCTGGGATTACAGGCACGAGCCACCATGCCAGGCCTCATTTTCTTTTAGATACTCTAGTCAAAATGTATTCTATTTGTTGTTTTGGTCCTTTTCTGTGGGGGCAACAAGCATTAGGGACCTCTAGTCAGCCATCTGGCTGGTATTACCTGGAGTGTCTTTTCTAGGAAAATTGTCTGTTAGCATATTTTCATGAACAAAAGAAAAAACAATGAAAATAACTGGGTATTATTAAATAAAATCATTTTATCATATGGCTTTCAAAAGACAATGAGTGAAAACTTAAGGCAATACAATAAGTCATATTTATGAGTACGTTCAAGAATTCACAAAAAAGGGTACAATTCTGGCTTCTCTTTAATCATTAAATTTCAGTTTTTACAAATAATTCAGGTTCAGGTTTTGAGGGGGAAACAGTTCTTGTATTATTACATGCTCATTTTTCTTCTGTAAATGACTCTATTGGCTAGATTTACAAACATTGTCACAGAAACAAATTTTTTAAGCCATAGATCACTGCATTTATATTTACAAAAAAGCCATAAACATGCATTTCTCCTTTATTAGGACTTAAATAGATGCTTGAATATTAAGGCAGTGATGATTCTAAAACATAATGAAATTCTAAGTTAAGGCTTTATGTTTCTTTTGAAACCCACACTCATAGGCAACTGTGACCAAACCAAACTCTTACCTACTAGGTTGAGCTCATCTGCCCGGGATATGTTATTTATCCATTACCAACACTTCTTTTGTGTCAAATGTATGGGATAGGAATTAGTAGCAAAACCATCAATTTACTTTAATGAATCATTAGTCCCCTTACTAGGTTTTGAGGATTTAGCTTTCAGTAATACAGGCATGTGCCACAGAAAGGAGCATGTCGTGTGTGTGTGTGTGTGTGTGTGTGTGTGTCAATGTGGAGAACTTACAGGCTGCACTGATTCCTACTTGACTGGAACTTAGCCAACAATTAAGAATCCAGGATCTCCTAAATACAGAAAATCCCCAAAGCATACTTGATCATGCTCCTACCTCAAAACACACAAAGCATTCTTGATTATTGAAGCAATAGGTCTTCACCTTGTTTTCTTTGAAGACTGGTATTATTCACTTAAGAAAAAAAACCAAAATGCAGAATACCATATTTTAGATGAATCTATCCTATAATTGCTAGCCTCAAGGCACAAGTAATATCCTTGCTAGATACTTTTTCTTATTCAAAGAAAAGATAAAGAATGGTGAATGGAAGGAAATTCACTTTAAAATAATTGTAGATTGCACTCCTGCCCTATCAAGCTTAGTAGAAGTGCAAAGTATTGAAACCTAATGGGGGATGCCCTTTTCCCACTTTTTTTCTTGTTTAATTTTAGAGTGACAAAACTCAGATCCAGCTTGTGGATGCACTTGGGGAAACAGCTCCAGAGCCCCCAACTCTGGCCTACTGTGGAGACCAGAAAGGATCTTCATAGGACACACCCCAAGATGAAGTCATAGGCATGTTTCCATAACTCCCTGTTCCCAAGGTTTGGATAACCTACGCTCATTTAGCAGGAACACTACACTACGTGCTTGTTGCTGGCGACTTTTTTTTTTTTTGAGATAGGGTCTTGCCCTGTTACCCAGGTTGGAGTACAGTGCCAAGACCATGGCTCATGGCAGCCCCAATCTCCTCGAGTGATCCTCTCACCTCAGCCTTCCAAGTAGCTGGGATCACAGGCGCATGCCACTGTGCCTGGCTAATTAAAAAAAAAAAAAAATTCCAGAGACACGGTCTTCTTACGTTGCCCAAGCTGGTGTTGAACTCCTGGGCTCAAGTGATCGTCCTGCTTTGGCCTCCCAAAGTGCTGGGATTACAGGGGTAAGCCACCACACCTGGCCCGCTGCTGCTTCCCTAGCCGATAATTTTACATCAATAAACCTCTTGTGTGTAAAGTGCTGTACACTTGTATGCTGGTATCAATAGTAGTTCATGTAGCGAAGAGGTGGCAATGATTACATGAAAACTGCTTCAAAGCTAAAGACAGTTGTAGTTTTCCTTGGTGTCTTTAAATCAGAAAAGAGGTGTCAAAGCTGACGAAGGTCCAGGCAGCAGGAGTCTTAAGAGCATGGAAGCACTACTGCTTAAATCCTACGGTGGCAGCATCCGGTTTCTTTAGTGATTAGTAACAGGAATCAGGAATTTCTAACAAGCAGTGCCAAAGATATTTTAGGTGCAGTTTAAGTATATTACACTTTGACTAAAATGTTTTGAAGATTTGAGAAGTTTGTACCCTTGAACCTGGTAAGCTGGGCTTCAGCTAAATGGCTATATAGGTTTTATAGATATGAAATACATTTTTTTTTTTAACATGAAAAGACTAGCTGTGAAAAGGCAAATGTAGGCAACACAAAAACAATTTAGATCAACATCTCAAACTTTATAATACACTCACATTTATACGCAAATTTCTGTTTACAAGTACAAAAGGCAAAGAAACACAAAGAAGCTAAGCAACTGCATCATCAGCCACATTCAATCGAATTAATACTGTTGTCCCCAGTCCGTAGTTTTAATCCAGAGGAAATGGTAGATGCCATTTCACACATGGACTCCACCGTTAGTTTTAGAAGTTGGAGACTGTGTGTGGTTCCGCAGAAGTCTGGGTTTCTACAGAGCTGAACTGAGACTCCATCGTGTTCCAGGCCAGATCAGCCAGAAGAAAGTCATCCATTGCTGTCTGAGTTTCGTTGCTGGTGAAGAACAAGCTCCCCAGGGTTTCAAACCCAGAACTCATGGTCTGTGTTTCTGTACTGTTCAACTGAACTTTGCTTTCTAGAGCAGGTATATTTTTAGCAGTGGAGACTCCTTCAGTTTGGGTCTCTGTGTCAGATGAATCAGTACTCACGGAAAAGCTGGAGTGTTTCAGAATACTTCCCAGAGGCAGATGAGGGCTACTGTCTAAGAAAAAGTTTAAGTCTGTCTGTGTCTGTGTGTCAAACATCTCAAGGCCTAAGAAGTTAGAATTTCCCCTACACCCATAGGACTGAGCAGAGGTATCTGCGAGTAAGAAGTCCGTTTGAGTCTCTATGTCCAGTGACTCCAAGACTGGCTCGGTGGTCATGGTGCTAAGTTCACTCTCTTCAGTTTGAGTCTGGATATTTGAGGCCGAAAAGAACTCTTCGATATCAAAATCGATTCCGGGGTTCTGGGCTGGGCCAGATGGGAGCTGGGTGTCAGGTCCAGGATTTGTGTCAGACAAAAGACTACGATGATCCAATGTCTGAGCAGGCAGATTACTTGACAAGATGTTTTCCAAATCACTTAATAAATCTATGGTTTGGGTCTGATTATCTGTCATGTTCTGTGAAGGAAGCATACTATTCTGTGCACTGAAATTTATAATTGGTGCAGATTTCTCAATATCTTGATTTAAAGTCTTAGGCTCATTCTGAGGTAACAAACTATGAGTTACTGTCTCTGCTACTAAACTGTTGCTTATAATGTTACCTGTAGCAACATTATATGATGAATGAACACTCTCAAAAATGTCTCCGCACATTCCAGCTTGGTCCATCTGTACATGGTCATCCGTTGGACTTTCTATCCCACTGGTTTGAGTTTCTCTGGAGACCCCACCTGACTGGAAACAGGTGTCCATAAATGCATCAGTCTGAGCAGCTATAGATGAAGTTACCTTAGAGCTGGGCAAAAATGTCTGAGTGTGAACACTAATGGGAAGAGACACTTGAGAATCAAACGACAAATCAGTTTGAGAACAAGACGACACAGAGGAATCAGCAGTGGCCCACTGTGCAGAAGGTATAAAGTTTTGTGAGGCATAAGACAGATCTGTCTGCACGTTGATTGAAGAAATGCTATTCTTTTGACACGTGTTCCCTAGTTCTTGTAAAGGATTAGATGGACTTTTACCAAAGTTCACTTGAACACCAGTACTTATTGGCTCACCAGCAATAGGATTAGCAATTTTGAAAAGAGGTAGGCTCTCCTTAAGAGAGCAAGCCTCTGAATCTAGGCCGAGGATCAGGGTTCCTACTGACAAGGGCATTAAGTGCACAGCCCCTGTGGCAGAGCCCTGATCAACACCTAACACCACAGGCTGGGCTGAGGAGTCGGCTGTAGGCACAAAGACAGGCATGACAGAAAACTGCATCACGGGTAGTTTAACCAAAGCCACTTTGGGCTTTGGTAAAAGCAACTTCTGAGGATATCTCGGTGGTGTTGTAAGAGTCTGCTTGTCAGTGTTAGAGCCACAAGAGTCTTCAAAAGATGGTTCTAGCTTTATTTCTGAAGCTTCTAGTTCTTGAGTGTCTGGTCTAGGGATTGGTTGGTTGTTCAATGATTCAATGGTCTTGTTGGATAACTTCTGGTTTTGTGCACAGTTTTCCATTTTCCTTTTCTTACTAGGTGGGTCCCTGAAAACAATGACAGAGCAAAAAGAAAACCTTAAAATACAACTTTCTTCGACCATGACACTCTATCCTCACTTACAAATGCCATTTCCCCCATCTATAGCAGAGGTCATGTTCAACCCAGACAAGATAAATCCATTCTTTCGCAACTCTGGGAGTTGGTCCTATTATAGCAGGTGAACTTTGAGAAACATGCAAACAGAGAAGGAGGAAACATACCTTTTGTTAAGCTCTAAGTACTAGAACTCAACTCAGATCTTTAAGCCAAAAGAAGCTAAAAGACTTACATAATGCAAGTTTTATCATTTCTAAGGCAGGAAGCTATCACACTAAATGAAAATTTGACCTTTAAATGAAGTACAGTTTCATGATAAAACTTATTTGTTGGCAGTTTGGTTCCCTCTGATAGAAAATTCTGGAAGCTGAGATTTTCAAATGGAAATAACAAGGGACTCTCAAAGAGGGCTGGCAGAAAAAAATAGGGGGAACAATTGGGTCAAGATTTCAGGCCCAGACATGTGTCATTTGCAAGACCTGCTTCCATTTTCAAAAGCTTCCTTCTTCCACGTCACACATTTTCTAAGATTCCTTTTTCCTCCCCACACCACTGGCTCTCCAGGATGTTTCATCTGAAATGCTTCCCATAGCTACTGACTTCTGTGCCATCATTTCTTTCCCTTCACCTGTGTTCTGCAGGTATCTCGTGCCCAGTTCGGTAGATGTGAGACTGCAGTGCTGTTCTACTGGCGTAGGGACAGCCGCATGTGCACCGGAAGGTCTTGCCACAGTCCTCTGCATGTCTTTTCAGGTCCCATTCTGTACCGTACGAATTGCTGCACTTACTACATTTGTGCTTCTTCTCAGCATGCATTTTCATAAAGTGCTAGGAGGAACGCAGAAGGGACTAAGGTGAAAAACAGCAACTGGTCAAAACATTTCAGAAACCATCATACACCCAAATTAATAATGATTTTACACTATTAATATAAATAACATAAAATACAGCAGTCCAAGTCAAAAGAATGTAAAAGCAGGAACATCGCAGTTAATTATATATATGCCTCTTCTTGTTGCTTTTGCTTTGTGAAAAGTGAGGAGATTGTTTTGGAAACATCTATGGTCTCCAGCATTTACACTCTGATCTGTAAGTGCTGCAGGCAGGAAAAAAATGTCTTTACAATGCTCTTCTCAGGACGCCCTCCAGCAGACCCTCAGGGGAACATTTCAGATGCCAATCTCTTCCAGTTCTGAATCACCTCTTGTCCCAGTCACTGGGGCCCTCCCTCCTCTTAAGATTGCGGCTTCCAAAACTCTTCTTTTCCTGGATTCTGCAGGTTCTTATTCCCCTGGGAGAACAGTTCCTTTGTGCCTTTGCGCTGGGCCCTTGGAGGTATGCAGACTCACACAGGAGATCTGCGAGCAAACATTTTCTCATTCTTTGCTGAACTGGTTTACTCTCTCTCTCTGTATTTTAACTCAGTTCTAGACATATTCCCTCCAGACCGTGCCGCTTTTCCCTCCACTTGTGTAACAGCATACTCAGGTTTATACCAACTGGGAGACACGCAGGCATCTCCCCTCACAAGCAGCTGTCTACTCAATTCTGTAGTTATGTCTGCTAAGTAATCAGAATGCACAATAGGTTTTTAGCATCTGTATCTCATCCTCAGAGTAGAGAGTACCTGTTTTACGAGAGAAAACTGAGAAAACGGTCTCTCAGGGCCTCTGGGGCAGCCTTCAATTGGACAGCAGTAGAATTTCGGTCCAGTTTTCAAATCTTTTCTTATTGTTGGATTGACTATGCCATCCTGCAAAAGGAAAATTACTTTAAATTATTATTTCAAAAAAACAACACAACAGGCTGGAGTGGAAACGGAATGACTGAAAACGAGCACATTTTGTGAAATACTTTTAATTAAGAGTTTTTCCATCTAGTGTCAGCAGTAAGAGAAAAAGAGTATGAGTAGATTAAACGAAATGTGGTGAGAATACTAAGCAAGACTCTAAAATTCTGCATTCATTTGACCATTACTGAATTCCTCTTAGTCAATTTACATTCCAGGGAGATGCCCCCCTTGTATGTTCCTAGGCTGTGAAATGCTCCAGAAAACCACGGATTAGGATCACTACAAGATTCCTGCTCATTTCAAACACATCGTCAGTGAAGCTCGGTAATCCTTTCATTATCTTTTCCAACCTCCCTCATGCTCCCCTGTAGTGTGTGCTCTCATCATTGAATGCCTTTTACTATCTCCTGTCCTCTTCTAAGTGCCCCTTCGTTCAAGTCCTCCTATTTATGTGGATTTTGTCATTAGCCTCAATCTAATTTCTAGACCTTCAGTCTCTTTTTCACTCATACTTTATCAGATTCACCTTTCTCAAGTATAGCTTCGATCATGTCATTACCTCCCTCAAACGTTTTCAGCAGCACCCCCGTACTGTTCAAGTCCCAACTTTTTGAGCCTGGGATACTCAAAGTCCCTTACTCCATAGCTTCAAACTACTTTTTCTTCTCTCATTACTTCATTACACCGAAGAGAACGCCTTCTAATGCCCCCCACACCTTTACATGGGCAGAGATTTATTTGTATCTTCTGTTGCCTTTGGGAATGTTTTGAACAGAATAAATGTTCAATAAAAACTGGTAGCATTATACTGAATCTCTTCAGGTAGCCATCTAAGCCAAAACTATCATGCCTGGGTAAGAGACCACTGAAGACAGTCTAAGTGGATGTTAATAACCTCACTGTCATGGCAACAAGCTGACACTGTCCATGCTCCTGTTTTCTGAGAGCCAACACCCCACCACTCACCAGCACAGCAGCCTCCTCCCACCCCCACCCACTGCTTCTGGGGCCTTCTTCCCATTTCTGTCCTCAGAGAATAAGCTCAAGGGTAGGATGGCTCAGATGAGAAATGGCAATGGCACGATAAAATGGAAGTGCAGTGAGAAAGTGGTGTTTTCATTCTGAAGTTCTATATACTTTCAAGAATAAAATGCACTGGACTTTTTGTACTGTATCTTTTGTGCGCATAACTGAAAAGAGAACCTATGAGAGGAAACAATCCAGTAACAAGACAGAAAGAAAATATACAAGAGGAAAAGTAAGACACAGTTGAAGAGTAGAGGGTGAAAAGAAACGATTGTAAGAACTGTAGCAAAAACTAGGAAAAACTGTCTGTCTAGCTACTCTAGCACCACCTGACTGCCTTCCGAGAAAGCATCCAAGAAGGAAACGGTTTGCTTTGTCATCTTATTCTAAATTTAAAATTAGAAATCTTTGTACAGTATAGTCTATAGAGTAACTTGGAACCTTTCCTTTCCTTAAAAAATTTCTGGCAAATCATTAAAAACAAACCTCTGGACTAAAAATAACACAAAATCCTCTAAGCCATGTTTTACAATATAAATGTTGCTTGATAAGAGGTTCTTTAAGTGCCTGCCTGTCCCCTCCACTGCTTTCACACACAAGGAACAAAAGAATCTCTAGGAATAAAAAAATGTACATTTACTTCTGCTCTTCCTGCCCCTGAATCCTCATGGCTTTCATTTCTCCATGAATCCCACCATACACAAGGCTGGGCTAGATTTCTGGATTTCCTTACAGGATATGGAATATGGCCATATACCTTAGGCACCCACATCAAACCAGAAGGCGGCACATACTCTACAGTTTGCAATCCAATTCCTCATTCTCACCCATCCTCGTTGCTCATCATTTATGTTAAGAAGGGAAGATTTGGTTGGGGGTGGGGTGTTTTGGGAAGAAAGATTAGAATAAAATAAGAACCAACAGCAACTAGTGGGGAGGGGAAGAAAATATAATCTAGAAAATATATAAACAATGAAAGAAATTATGCAAGCAGCTGTAACTAAGACCGAAAATTTCCACTGACTATAAGAAAACCTGCCAATAAGATACTCAGGGCAGAAAGTGGATGGAGTCTCTGGTCAACACAGCTCTTAAAACCTAAGATAGCTTCCCAGCCAGCCTTCCTCCCGGTTCCTTGTCCTTACCCCTACCTTCTTCCAGTACTTTGAAAACAGGTATCAACATTGATGTTTGAGGCCTGGCGCAGTGGCTCACTCTTGTAATCCCAGTACTTTGGGAGGCTGAAGCGGGCGGATCACTTGAGGTCAGGAGTTCAAGACCAGCCCGACCAACATGGCGAAACCCTGTTTCTACTAATAAAACAAAAATTAGTCGGGCGTGGTGGAGCATGCCTGTAGTCCCAACTACTCGGGAGGCTGAGGCAAGAGAACTGCTTGAACCCGAGAAGCGGAAGTTGCAGTGAGCCGAGATCATGCCACTGCACTCCAGTCTGGGCGACAGAGTGAGACTGTCTCAAACAAACAAACAAAAAGAACAATGTTTGAGGCAGGGCATGGTGGCAGGAGCCTATAGTCTCAGCTACTGGGGAGGCTAAAGCAGGAGGATCACTTGAGCTCAAGAGCCTGACAGCAACCTGGGTTAACAGAGCAAGACCCTGAAAAGCCTTCTATGTAGTAACCAGACAAGGTACAGATCTCCATACTGGGCACCATCATATAGATGGCTATTGCATCACACAGACAACCTTCATTAAAGGAAGACACCAAGACAGGAGCTGCTCAGGGGCCACTGGGCACTGCGGTTAGAAAGCCAGGACAAGACAGGAAAGTCAGTCTGCTTGTCAAGAAAAAAATGATGGATCTGGTGAGGTATAATTCCTGCTAAAAAAAAGTTTGCCCTGGCTGGGCACAGTGGCTCACACCTGTAATCCCAGCCCTTTAGGAGGCTGAGGCGGGTGGATCACTTGAGGTCAGGAGTTCGAGACCAGCCTGGCCAACATGGTGAAACCCCACCTCTACTAAAAATACAAAAATTAGCTGGGCGTGGTGGTATGCACCTGTAATCCCAGCTACTAGGGAGGCTGAGGCAGGAGACTCGCTTGAACCTGGGAGGCAGAGGTTGCAGTGATCCAAGATGGCGCCACTGCACTCCAGCCTGGGCGACAGAGTGAGACTCTGTCTCAAACAAAACAAAAAAAACCCAACATAATTAGAAACAAACCTACTGTATACTAACCAGTCCTGAAAGGCAAATGGTATCTTTATGTTCAACAGATGTTTACCAGGGTCTTTAAAGAGCTAGAGCTCCTAACAACAACTCCACAGAAAGGAACAACAGAAACTATTAAGAAATAGTTCATCCACCTAAGTTATGATTAAATAAAGGATTTAGGTCGGTCGCGGTGGCTCACACCTGGAATCCCAGCACTTTAAGAGGCTGAGGTGGGTGGATCACCTGAGGGTCAGGAGTTCGAGACCAAGCTGGCCATCATGGTGCAACCTGTCTTTACTAAAAATACAAAAAAAAATTAGCAGGGTGTGGTGGCAGGTGCCTGTAATCCCAGCTACTAGGGAGGCTGAGGCAGGAGAACTGCTTGAACCCCGGAGGCAGAGGTTACAGTGAGCTGAGATGGCGCCACTGCGCTCCAGCCTGGGTGATGGAGTGAGACTCTGTCTCAAAAACAAACAAAAAAACACAAAAACAATAGGGAAGAAAAGGATTTAGTTAAAATTTAGTATGAAAACAAAACAACAGGTTGAAAGCCATTCCCAGAGTTACACTTGAGTGCTGAAAGAAACCCAGAGCTTTTCAGTCCAACAATTCGGCCCCACCTGCACGGTCTTCCTCAGCATACCTCAGGTACATTTCCTGACTGGCTCCCTGATCTTCAATTGAGAACGTTGTTGCATCCCGGTTTAGATGGTGGTAAGAGCAGATCACTCTTCATTGGCGACACATCTGTCCTACTAGAGACTACAACCTCAGAGTTTTCTGCTGTGAAATTCTTATCAGAAGCCTGACTATGGGCAGACAGAACATGCAATATTCTGGGTACTCTAAATTTACTCCTGATCATCAAAAGCTACATATTCGCAGAACTGCTTTCAATGACTTGCGCTTTTGAATTATGTCACTGCTGGCCTAGAGTGGTGGAAGGAAACTTGCCATTGTAATGACTGAGAGATTGTGACTTAACAGGTCCGGGGTGGGGCTGGACATCTGGATTTTTAATAAGCTTGTCACAGATGTGTCCCAAGGTTGAAAATGACTGCCCTGTTTTGCATAACGTGGAGGGTTGTTGAGACTATTGTCATGGTGTATTTACTGTGTCCCCCTCTTAAAGAAGAGCCACAGGGGCAATTTCCCTTAGGTCTCAGTCCTGAGCTGATCTTACCAACACCGTGAAACTGACTGATGGTGTTTAGAGGCAAACCTACCGCTCCTTTAAAACATTTTTTTATTCATAATCGACACACAGTAATTATTCCTACTGATGGGGTGCGGTGTGCAGCATGGATGGACATATACATTGCATAGTGATCAAGTCAGAGTGTTTAACATGTCCTCGACCTCAAACGTATTGTCTCTTGGTGGTGAGAACATTTAAAACCCTCTCTTCTAGTTATTGTGGCACATACAGTCCACTGGGCAGGACCCAAGGGCGGCATTGTGGGTGTCGTGGCAAGCACAGGGCTTTAGAACCAGAGGCCCCGGTTTAAAGCCCCGCATCATCTAGGTTGCATAATCTGTTTCTCATTAATATAATGGAGACGATGCGTCCCTCGCCAAAACGCCGTTAAGAACTCACAGGCAAAAAAGTGTAAAAAGCCTGGGCCGGCGTCCGGCACGACACTCGGGGCCAGGGAGCCAGGGAACCAGGGAACTGGCGCGTACGGCGGACCCGGGGCTCCCAGCTCCTCCTCCCCCCCAGAGGCCGCACCTGCGGCGCCTGCCGCGAGGGTTCGAGAGCCGCCTCCGGCCGGGGAGGGCAGAGGCCGGTGGGGCAGCGGCAGCGGCAGCGCGCAGGGCGCTCGTCCCCCCGAGGCCGGCTTCGCGCGCCGGCGCCGGGCGCTTTGTTGGAGCCAGGCCCGGCCCCCCGGGCCGCCGGCCGCGTCGGGCTCACCTGCAGGCGGTGGCTCTTGACTAGGTGCATGTTGAGCGCGGGGCTGTTGGGCAGGATCTTGCCGCAGCCGCGCACGGTGCACAGGATGTTGGTCCGCACGGCCCGGGACAGCTCGCTCACCGACGGCTGGATCAGCTCCCCCGCCGGCGGCGCGGGGACAGCGGGCTGCTGCGTCGCCCCCGCGGGCCGCGGCCGGCTGCCCCTCAGTCGGGGTCCCGGGGGCACCCACGGGCCCGAGGCGGCGGCGGCGGCTCCTGTCGTGGCCGCCGGGACGGCCCGGGCACCCGCCGCCAGAGCCGCGGACCCCGCCGCCGCCGCCGCCTCCGAGGCCGCCATGGCTCCCGCACGGCCGCCCGGCCCAGTTCGTAGGCCCCGCCCCCGCCGCAGCCACTTCCGGCAGGGGGCGAGGCCGCCAGGCTTGTTAGCATCCGGCGGGCCCAGGCGGCCGCGGCGCCCCCTGCCGGCCGCGGAGGGCGCGCCTTGGAGGGAGAGGACTTTAGGTGACGCCGCCAGGAGGCGAAATTTCACCTGCCAGCAGGTAAAAGGTATTGCCCCGCCTCTCTAATCGATCCATTCTTCCTAGGAAAGTGACTTCAGGCAGTAGTCACATAAAAGAAAAAGCAATACGTTGAGCAATGCGTTTACTTCCCAAAGATTAGAAACAACCCAAATGTCTAGTGGCAGGTGAGGCAGAAGTACACTGATTTCCGCCGTTGTTTATTACCTAGGCCTTACTGGGTACCAGGTGGGTCTGGTGGATGCACTTTTCATGCTGTGTCTCATTTTGTCTTCAAAACGACTGTAGCGGGTATGTACTGTAACTTGCCCCACCTTGTGCAGAGAAGGACATTTAGGCTTATATAAATTAAGTAACTTGACCTAGACCACACTATACAAATGAAAAGATTGTTATTATTGATAGGATTAATCATTTTAAGAAGGCTGGATTTGCTTGCTTCTATTTTAGCTGCTGAAATTAGGATTACTGTTTGGGAGACACTGCAGTTCAGTATACGATTACAAAACTTAATACTTAGACTGGGTAGTTCATGTAAATGGACATAGGAGGCTGGGGTAGACAAAAGGGAGGGGTGAGGACTGCAGTGAAATTGGAAACACATCCTTTATTAAAAGGGGGCAGCTGCTACTCATCTTTGGTATGGCTAGAGTTTTATGTGAAAATTTCCACCTTTTACATACTAGCAGCTATATTCGTTTTCTCTTGCTATTAATAAATTACCACAAACTTACTGCCTTAACACAAATTTATTATCTTCCAGCTCTGGAGGTCAAAAGAAATGAGACTGCTGGGCTAAGATCAAGGTGTCAGCAGGGCTGTATTCCTTCCCAAGGCTCCAGGGGAGAATCTGTTCACTTGCCTTTCCCAGCTTCTAGAGGTTGCCTACATTCCTTGGCTTGCGGACCCTTCCTCCATCTCCAGAATCAGTAACGGTGAGTTGAGTCTTCGTCACATCACATCACTCTGATTTCTTCAGTAGTGATCCCTCTGATTCTTCTATTCTTGAGGCCCCCTGTGATGACATTGGGCCCATTCAAATCATCCAGGATAATTTCTCCAACTGCCAAGTCCCTTTGCCTTGCAAGATAACTGTGATAATGTGAAGTATATATTTGGTCTTTGTCCTGGCATGCAATTCCTAAAATCCTTGGAATCAGCAAATTGGTGTTTTTTTGTATGCTAATTAGTTGACTGATGACTCACAGTCCCTAGGTAGCTTTAGGATGGGACTGGTCACTGGAAAGACCAAGGTAGGATTAGAGGCTTGAGACTTTCAGCCCTCCCCCTCAACCTCTGGGGAGGAGACAGGGGCTGAAGCTTAAGCTGATCAATCATTCCTAGGTAATGAAGCCTCCATAAAATCCCAAAAGAAATGGGTTTGGAGAACTTCCAGATAGCTGAATGCATGGAGTTTCCTGGAGGGAGGCGCACTCAAAGAGGGCATGCGTGGAAGCTCTTGCCCTATGCATCTTTTCATCTGAATCCTTTGTAACATCCCTTGTAAGAAGTCAGTCTATGTGTCTTCCTGAGTTCTGTGAGCTGCCCTAGCAAATTAATTGAACATGAAGAGAGGGTTGTGGGAAATGCAATTTATAGCTGGTTAGTCAGAAGCGCAGGTGAAACAACCTGGGGCTGGCAACTGGCCTCAGAAGTGGGTGGCAGTTTTGTGGGACTGAGCCCTTAACCTATGGGGTCTGATGATATCGCCAGGTAGTTAGTGTTGGAATTGAACTGGAGCATACCCAGCTGGTATCTGCTGTAGAACTGATTGCTTATGTCAACCAAGAAGAGGTGAAAGGGCCAGGCATGGTGGCTCACGCCTGTAATCCCAGCACTTTGGGTGGCCGAGGCAGGGCGGATCACGAGGTCAAGAGATCGAGACCATCCTGGCCAACATGGTGAAACTCTGTCTCTACTAAAAATACAAAAATTAGCCGGGTGTGGTGCGCACGCCTGTAATCCCAGCTACTCAGGAGGCTGAGGCAGGAGAATCGCTTGAACCCAGGAGACGGAGGTTGTGGTGAGCCAAGATCGCACCACTGTACTCCAGCCTGGTGACAGAGCAAGACTGTCTCAAAAAAAAAAAAAAAAAAAAGAAGAGGTGAAAGACCACACTGCAAAGCAGTAAGACAAGGCATTTTTTTTTAATTAAAAAAAAAAAAAAGAAAAGAGACAGGGTCTCGCCATTTTGGCCAGCTTGGGGTCAAGTGATCCACCTGCCTCGGCCTCCGAAAGTGCTGGGATTATAGATGCAAGTTACCACGTCCAGCCAAACAAGGCATTTTGATTGGGGTCTTAGAAATTACAATTTGGGAGACACAGATTCACCTAGAAGCCAAATGGGGTTCTGAAAAGAGGGAGAGAAGTAGATGTTTTTAAAAGAAAGCAGAGGGTTAATACACAAATTGTTTTGAAAGAATTATCATTGGTGGAGGTGGCTGGCTTAGTACATGAATCCATAGTTGATTGGTTGCCGCTGTTCAGGAGTTGTAGCACTGGTGAAATTCAGTTTTCCAGGATGTAGTGGTTATTGCAGTTTTGGCCCAGTTCAAAGCTTCAAGGCAAGTTCATATTTTTTGTTTTTGTGTTTTGCAAGTTGCAGATTGTGCAGGCAGTCCTTCTTAGAATGGCTTCCCAACTCCATTTTAGAGCTCTGAACCAAAGTGATGCCATTTTGTGTATCACTTTTCACATTTTCCTTTTTTGATCAAGATCCGAGGCAGCATAGCTGATTAATCATTGGTTGGTTGGCCACAGATTAGTTATCTGTTCCCCTTAGAGCTAGAAGCACCTGTGTCTAGAGTGTTATGTCCCACAAAAAGTGGTTGTCAAGTCAGTGCACATCCAAGCTTCCAAGATTGGTCAAATTTGAGTAACAAAGGGTCCATTTTAACAAGGAGGCCTGCATTAGTCTATAGCAGTTAGCTGTATATCAGGAGAGACATACATTTGATTAACCATTTAAATGTCTAAATGTTGTGACATCATGATTTTAACATCTTGGATACAATGGGACAAACAGAAGGTACAAGTCCTTCTGCCAGCTGCTCGGGTCCTGGGTCCCTTGACTGTGGCTTCCAGAATAGCAGAGCAGCTTTTGGATCCTGCAAACAAGTGCTAAAAAAAAAAAAACACTGAAAATCAACTGATAAAAGACGGATTAATAGGAGAAAAGACATACAAGTTTTATTAACGTGCCTGGTGGGGAGGGGAGGCATCAGAGTGATGATTCCCCAACCCCCAATGGGGTGTGGACGCTTATATACCCTTTTTCATAGGAGAGTAAGGAGATGGGGAACGTGTGTAATTCTTCTGAGGAGCAGTAAATTATTATAAGGGAGAGTAAATGGACCAGGGAGACAGAAATTAACTTGTAAATGATTCTCTTTGGAATCTGAATGAGCCTGAGGGGCAGGCCTTATGAAAAGGTCCATCCATATGTGGCTCTATTCCTCAGTCTTCATTTTTTGATAGATAATGAGATTTGAAGGACAGAATAGAAGGCAACTGTGTTTCTTTTAGTAAGAAGCTTTCTTAGTCAGACAAGGAAATTCCAGAGGGAGTTCCTCTCTGCCCTTGGTTGAGGCAAGAATAAGACAAGGTTGGAGGGACCTTGACTCTCAAGTGTATTTCTCAGGCCTTTCCATTTTCAAAAGCATCCAGCATGCCAAAGTACCATCATTTTCTGTGCCTCAATATTCCCTAGTCTGAAATTTCCCTAGTAGTTTCACAAATGAAACAGTGAGTTGGCCATGAAGAGAAAAATCAAGTTAAATAGAATTTTGGCTGGGCACTGAGGCTCACACCTGTAATCCCAGCACTTTGGGAGGCCGAGGCGGCAGGATCACTTGAGGTCAGGAGTTTGAGACCAGTCTGACCAACATGGTGAAACCCTGTCTCTACTAAAAATACAAAAATTAGCTGGGCATGGTGGCACGTGCCTGTAATCCCAGCTACTGGACAGCTGGCAACCAAGGACGTTGGATAAAGAACCTCAACCAAGGTAGGGGGTTAAGGAATGAGACAACTCGTAAACAGAATCCGTGGCCATGGGAGAGGTGTGGAACACAAGGGGTTCCTCCTGCAGGAACTGTGCTCGAATCCGTGGCCGCACCAGAACAAAGAAGGGAGTTGCTTTTTTGTCCCACTCAATTCTGACACCATTTAATGTCATCCAAGGGGCAAAAGACCACACTGCAAAGCAGCAAGACAAGGTGTTTTTATTGAGGTCTTAGGAATTGCAATTTGGGAGACAGATTCAGCTAGAAGCCACTTGTGTTCTGAAGAGAGAGGGTAGAGGAGGGGTTTTTAAAAAAAGCTGAGGGTGATTAGACAAGTTGACAAGTTGTTTTGAAAGAGGCAACTGGCTTAGTACAAAAATCCATAGTTTATTGGTTGGTGCTGTTGAGGAGTTGTAGTGCTGGTGAAATAAAATTTTCCAGGATGCAGTGGTCATCGCAATTTGGCCCAATTCAAAGGTTCAAGGTAAGCTCCTGTATTGTTTTTTTTTTGGAGCTTTTAATTTTTTTTCAAGTTGCAGGTCATGTAGGGAGTCCTTTTTAGAATGGCTTCCTCCCTCCATTTTAGAGCTCTGAACCAAAGTGATGTCATTTATTTTATTTTATTTATTTATTTTTTAAGATGGAGTCTCACTCTGTCACCTAGGCTGGAGTGCAGTGGTGCAGTCTCGGCTCACTGCAACCTATGTCTCCCGGGTTCAAGCGATTCTCCTGCCTCAGCCTCCTAAGTAGCTGGGATTACAGGTGCACACCACCAGGCCCAGCTAATTTTTGTATTTTTAGTAGAGTCGGGGTTCACCTTCACCATGTTGCTAAGGCTAGTCTCAAACTCTTGACCTTGTGACCCACCTGCCTTGGCCTCTGAAAGTGCTGGGATTATAGGCGTGAGCCACCATGCCTGGCCTTTATTTTATTTTTTGAGGCAGAGTTTCACTCTGTCACCCAGGCTAGAGTGCAGTGGCATGATCTTGGCTCACTGCAACCTCTGCCTCCCCGGTTCAACCAGTTCTCCTGCCTCAGCCTCTCGAATAGCTGGGATTACAGGCGGCTGCCACTACCCCCAACTAATTTTTCTATTTTTAGTAGAGACAAGGTTTTGCCATGTTGGCTAGGCTGGTCTCGAACTCCTGACCTCGGGTGATCTGCCCACCTCGGCTTCCCAAAGTGCTAGGATTACAGGCGTGAGCCACTACACCCGGCCCAGAGTGAAGTCATTTTTCTATATCATGTTTCACACTTGCTTAATGTGTGGGGGAAACCCCCTCCCCCACATATCTGGTATCAGAAGTGTGAGAGTACACTAGGAGAAACCTCCTGAAGTGCTGGGATTACAAGTGTGAGCCACCATGCCCAGTCTAATGTGTTTCTGTAACTCCAAATCCTCTCTGAAACAAGATAAAGAATAGATTTTAAAATGTTTAAAAAAGACATGCTGGCGGGCGTGGTAGCTCATGCCTGTGATATGGTTTGGCTGTGTCTCCACACAAGTGTCACCTTGAATTGTAATAACCCCCATGTGACAAGGGCAGGGCCAGGTGGAGATACTTGAGTCATGGGAACGATTTCCCCCATACTATTCTCATGGTAGTGAATAAGTTTCATGAGCTCTGGTGGTTTTATAAATGGGAGTTTCCCTGCACAAGCTCTCTTGCCTGCCGCCATGTAAGACATGACTTTGCTTCTCATTTGCCTTCCACCATGATTGTGAGGCCTCCCTGGCCACGTGGAAATGTGCGTCAGTTAAGCCTCTTTCCTTTGTGAATTACCCAGTCTTAGGTATCTTTATTAGCAGCATGAGAATAGACTAATACACTCCTATAATCCCAGCATTTTAGGAGGCTAAAATGGGCAGATTGCTTGAGCCCAGGAGTTTGAGATCAGCCTGGGCAACATGGAGAAACCCTGTCTCTACTAAAAATACAAAAATTAGCTGGGCATGGTGGTGCAGGCCTGTAGTCCCAGCTACTCAGAGGCTGAGGCAGGAGAATCTCTTCAACCCAGGAGGCAGAGGTTGCAGGGAGCCAAGATTGTGCCATTGCACTCCAGCCTGGGCGATAGAAGGAGACTTGTCTCAAAAAACAAAAAACAAACAAAAAAAAAATTAGCTGGGCAGGATGGAGCGCGTCTGTAATCCCAGCTATTCGGGAGGCTGAGGTGGAAGGATCACTTGAGCCTGGGAGGTCCAGGCTGCAGTGAGCCATGATCATGCCACTGCACTCCAGCTTGGGTGACACAGTGAGACCCTGTCTCAATAAATAAATAAAGAAATAAAAAATTAGAAAGGAAAAAATTTTTAAAAAGATAGGGTATTTAGTGATGATCACTGAAGTACTTTGATCAAAATTAACTGATGTGCCAGTTTTTTGACACCTTTATTCATAAGTCAATATATTTGTCAGTTTGAATGTTATACACATGATAAAATAGATTATGAGAAGTATCATATTTACAATAAGAACACTATTTTATATAACTGACTCACCAAATATGCAACCTCTTGCAACAATAACAGAATGGACTCAACTCCATCCTTTGAATAGACCAATTTCATGATTCTCCTAAAAAGTTTTGAGTTGAGTATAGTTCCTTGTTGCTTCTCTCTGTGATCCAGAGCTTAAGAATCAATCCCTGGAAACCAGCCACTGGAACCAGACCTCTCCAGAATTGAGAAGAGACAGCCATAGAAAAAAGGACACAAACCCAAAAGTCTTGAGCGCTGTGCCATATGCTTGATTTCAGAGCATTCAGGCACTCAAGGTCAAGTGTGGGGCCATATATATATATGTCCTGTCATCTCAAATGCCACAACGGCTACAGTTAGCAGGATATCAGAGAGAGGAGGCATATCGTGGAGGAATGAATCAGTCCCAACAATTATGTGAGCATTTCTAAAAATTCAATACCAAGGATTCTTGAAAATACAAGTTTACAGACGGAAGCTATACAGCTAGCCATGAACTGAAGTGCATGTGCAATATCAAGAAGGAGGAGCTGTGCTTAAGAAACCACGCACGTCTTATTTATCTCTAATTTTAAAATAATTCATTCTCTTGTTGGGTATGCAAGTGAGCAGTGGAGAAAGTGGAGCATCTGCAATACCTGAAATTAAAAAAAAAAAAAAGGGAAAAAGAAAATTAAAAGTCATCACAGGAGGATGGATTTGAGTCAGTTTAAAAATGGCTGAGATTAGAGGGTGGATCATAGATGCCCCTCCTCCCTATTAAGTACAGAAGCAGAAGATGCAAGAGAGAGCAGGATGGGCTAGCAGACTAGGGTGATGGGTGAGCTCAGAAGTAATTAGCAGATTATAAGGATGGAATGGAGGCATGTTGTTAATTTTTCTAGCTTATAGAGTAAGCTGACCACTCACCCGCTGGTGCTAAGGATTTCAATGCTTCCAGAAGATGTGGGCTAGAGAACTTTATTAGGCATCGGAGGGGTTCTTCCCTCTCAGCCAAGATGCTCCCATTTAAACCACTTTTGAATTTCGTTTCAAGCTGTCAACAAACATTTATAAATGACTATTAAACATATTGTATAAATACGAATGGTAAAATATAATGAAATCATAATGATACGTTTCATTAATTCTTGCCATTAAGAAATACAGGAATTAACAGGGGTGGGGACCATTTAATCTGCTAACTGCAAACATAGAGGGCAGGTCGGGCAAAGTGGCTCATGCCTGTAATCTCAGCACTTTGGGAAGCCAAGGCGAGTGGATCACTTGAGGTTAGGAGTTTGAGACCAGCCTGGCCAACATGGTGAAACCCCGTCTTAACTAAAAATACAATAATTAGCTGGGTATGGTGGTGGGCACCTGTAATTCCAGCTACCCAGGAGGCCAAGGCATGAGAATTGCTTGAACCCAGGAGGCGGAGGCTGCAGTGAGCCAAGATGGTGCCACTGCACTCCAGCCTGGGCAACAGAGTGAAACTGCATCTCAGAAAAAAACAAAACAAAACATAGAGGGCAACTGGTGTATCAAACAACATCCAAGGCAAAATGCCAGCATGCACAGTGCCTGCTACATGGGAGATACTGACTGTCAGTTCCACCCTCAGGTGCCCTTTACAGTTTGCATTCTTAATGGAAAATTAGTGCTATCTTTTGCAATCTGTAACTTCAATGTAAAAATACCACATTTTTTTTGAGTCACACTGAGATTTCTTTCTTTGTTTCTTTTTTGAGACAGAGTCTTACTTTGTTGCCCAAGTTGGAGTGGTACGAACATGGCTCATTGCAGCCTCGACCTCCCTGGCTCAAGCCATTCTCCCGCTTCAGTGCAAGTAGCTGGGACCACAGCCACATGCCACCACACCTTGTATTTTTGAATTTTTGTAGACACAGGGTTTTGCTGTGTCGCCCAGGCTGGTCTCAGTCTCCTGGGTTCAAGGGATCCGCCCGCCTCAGCCTCCCAAAGTGCTGGGATTATAGGTGTGAGCCACTGTGCCCAACTGAGATATCTTTTTAACTTCTAATTATGGAAGATTTTAAACATATACAAAAGTAAGGAGCACGGTATGAGCCCCATGTGCACATCACCCAGGTAAAATAATTATCAACTTATGGCTGGGCGCAGTGGCTCACGTCTGTAATCCCAACACCTTGGGAGGCCGAGGCAAGGTGGATCACCTGAGGCCAGCCGTTCGAGACCAGTCTGGCCAACACGATGAAACCCCGTCTCTACTAAAACTCCAAAAAAAAAAATTAGCCAGGTGAGGTGGCAGGTGCCTGTAATCCCAGCTACTCGGGAGGCTGAGGCAGGAGAATTGCTTGAACCTGGGAGGCAGAGGTTGCAGTGAGCCATCACGCCCAGCCCAGATTCATAATTTCTAAAGGTCTCTTTTGCTAACAGAGGAACTTATAAATACAATAAAGAGGTCTATTTAATTCATAAATTTATTACATGAAATTTAAGTGACAAGTGAAAAAGGAACAGTTTCTTAGATCTGTTTTCCACTTAAGGTTTTTGTTCTTTTTAAACAATGTTGATATCTTGTACTTAATATTTATTACGACATCTTACCTTATATTGTGCAAATTCTAGTTGTGGTTGAGGATAATCTCCAAATGTTTCTTGAGTTATTCGTTGGACTCTCTCTTTTTCTACTATGTTTTCATGAATGATCCTTGAATCCACTATGGGTGGAAGATTTCAAATAAAACAGCCGTTAGGAATATATTTCATCCTTAAATTATCCTCCTTTCATTCCTAACCCTTCGAATTGTTTGTATAATTTTAAAATAATATTTACTGCTTCTTCTCTTGGCTGTAATAATTTCTTAGTGTAGGGAAGTTTCTTAGGGTAGTGAAGTACAGGTTGATAAAAGAGAAAATAAAAATCATAATTCTACCACCCAGAGATAAGCACTGTTAGCATTTTAGTATATTTTTGCCTAGCTCTTTTTACAGTGAATAAAAATAAAGATGCATATATGTGTATATATATATACACACACATATATATACATATATATACACACACATATATATACACATATATATACACATATATATATACATATATATATACACACATATATATACATATATATATACACACACATATATATACACACACACACACACACACATATATATATATATATATCTCCATGGCACCCAGCCTATATATGTATTTTTTTTAAGAGATGGGGTCTCGGCTGGGCACGGTGGCTCACACCTGTAATCCCAGCACTTCAGGAGGCTGAGGCGGGAGGATCACTTGAGGTCAGAAGTTCCAGACCAGCCTGGCCAACATAGTGAAATCCCATGTCTACTAAAAATACAAAAATTAGCCAGGTGTGGTGGCAGGCGCCTGTAGTCCCAGATAGTTGGGAGGCTGAGGAAAGAGAATCGCTTGAACCTGGGAAGCAGAGGTTGCAGTGAGCTGAAATCATGCTACTGCATTCCAGCCTAGGAAATAGAGTGAGACTCTGTCTTAAAAAAAAAAAAAAAAAAAAAAAAAAAAAGAGAGACAGGGTCTCACTATGTTGCCCAGTCTGGACTGGATCTCTTGGGCTCGTGATCTTCCCTCCTCAACCTCCCAAGTAGCCGGGACCACAGATGCATAACATTGTTCCTAGCCTCACCTATGTATTTTTAAAACTGGAATCGTAAGATACACACAATTTTATATCCTGATTTCTTTACCTAAGATGAGATCAACAGCAGTTCCTATGACACTGGAAAATCATAAAAGTGTTTAGTTTATAACAGTGGCACTGTTTCATTTCATTGCCAAATCTCTACTAAGAGATAGGAAAGTTTTCATTTTTTTATGAATTTTTATTTTACCCCACCACTTTTGTAAATTTACTTTAGTAGTTCTGTACTCTTTTCTCTTGGGTTTTCTAGTGAGAGACTTCAGACATCTGTGAGTAGCAATACAGTCATGATTCTCATTGTTCTAGAAGTTTATCCAGCGCATTAAGAGCATGGGCTCCAGATCCAGACGTACCTGGATTTTACTCCCAGTTTTGCCACTCCTTAGCTGTGTGACTTTGCCTAGAGAGTTACCATACCTCCCTGAAACCCAGTTTCCTGATGAATGGCGCTTATTCACAGGACTACTGTGAAGATTAAGGAAAGAATACATATAAACATCTTAGTGTGGTGCCTGGCACACAAGAAATGCTCAACAACTATTAGCTAACTTTTGTTTTTGTAATTATTGTTTTGTTGTTTATTGTTATTCTAGTAAATTCTAAAGGAGAACTATGGTAGATTAGCTTTCCTCCTTCAACAGATATTTACTTTTCAATTTTTCTGAAAACAATAAAAGTTTTAAATTAGGATCCTACTATACACGTTTTACCAAGTGAAAGAAATCTATAAGGGAATGATGCATTTCCAAAATTCAGTTTCATATTAACACACACGTACTATTTATATCTAGTCCAAGGCTTCTTTCCTGTAGAGGTGTCGTAGAGTTGTGAGTTTCAAAGGTCTAGGGAAAAAAAAGTGAATATTTTACTAATCTTGACATCTTGAAGTACAGATATTAATTTTTTTTTTAGTATATTAAAGTATGTCAAATGTTTATTTTTTTCCAACAGAAAGATCCAAAGCCATATCCTGGCTGAGTTGGCTGAGTTGAGCAGGACACTGACAAGGAGGCTGCTGAGCCTGCAACTCGACTGTTCTGTTTGAGGAGCTCTGTGCTTTATCATAGAAATGGATCTGGTGAGTGCAGAGCCCAGGGAATCTACGGAAGCATTTGCACTGTGGTATTTCAGCGTCGTCAGTGCTCAATCTTCATAACCCTAAAAAACTTACTGAGATTGGAAAAATAACTTTCCTACTGTAAGTCTGAATCTCTTGAACCCCTTCTCCTACCTTCACCCACTGAATCCATTGTTTTTATAGTTCTGTGCTTGACAACGTGGATTTTCGTAAGAATGCCACTGTCTTTTTTTTTTTTTTAGACAATATCTCAGTCTGTTGCTCGGGCTGGAGTGAGTGGCATGATCATGGCTCACTGCAGCCTCAGTCTCCCTGGGCTTTGGAGATCCTCCTAACTCAGCCTCCCAGGTAGCTGGGACTATAGGCATGCGGCACCACACCTGGCTACTTTTTTTTTTGAGACAGAGTCTCACTCTGTCGCCCAGGCTGGAGTGCAGTGGCACTATCTCCACTCACTGCAAGCTCTGCCTCCCGGTTTCATGCCATTCTCCTGCCTCAGCCTCCCAAGTAGCTGGGACTACAGGCACCCGCCACCATGCCTGGCTAATTTTTTTGTATTTTTAGTAGAGACAAGGTTTCGCCGTGTTAGCAAGGATGGTCTTGATCTCCTGACTTTGTGATCCGCCCGCCTCGGACTCCCAAAGTGCTGGGATTACAGGTGTGAGCCACCGCGCCCGGCATGCCTGGTTATTTGTTGTATTTTTTGTAGAGACGGGTTTTCGCCATATTGCCCAAGCTGGTCTTGAACTCCTGGGCTCAAGGGATTTGCCCTTCTTGGCCTCCCAAAGAGCTAGGGTTACAGGCATGAGCCATGGTGCCTGGCCACTACTGTCGTATTATAGCAGAACAGTTTATATCAATTTGGTGAGAGGGTAGTAGGTAGGAGGGGATGGCTAGAGAAGAAAATCATGATCTAAGTTTAAAAAATATATATTATTTATTTTTTGTTTTGTAGAGATGTGGTCTCCCTATGCTGCCCAGGCTCATCTCAAACTCCTGGGCTCAAGCATTCCTCCCACCTTGGCCTCCTAAAGTGCTGGGATCATAGGCGTGAACCACTGTGCCTGGCCTCATGATATAACTTCTTAATGTTAGTTTTTCCTTAAAGAGGGACTGCTTGCAGAGAGCTGTCACTTCTTTCTGCTTAGAACAGATGAAAATACAGAAGTATAACATCTCTAGTGGCTCAAAGATATACACAGAGCATTAACAATCCACTCACAGGAGTGTCAACACATATGCAGACATCTGCCATGCATAGTTTGAAAAAACACCCCTGCATCTGTAAGGACAGATCTGTATTTGTCATTAGAGGGGAACATTACATTCAAATTATTTTAACAAATGAACTTTGGGATTTAAAAAACCACTGCTTTTCCCTTTAATTCCAGTGCCTGTATAACCTGCTTGAGTGATGGGACAAAAAGTTAATTCTACTTCTCTGTTGTTTCATAGAATAATATATTTAGCTTCAAAAGATAATGTGAAGTTTCTCTAAAGAGAAAACAAATTCTAGTGTGATCAGGTGATTTGGAAGCTGAGATCTACAACACAGACTCCAGTGACTAATGAGTGGTATAAAACACAATACAATTATAAAAAGATGACTGTGAGGAATTTTTATTTTCCTTTCATGTTCACTAATTGCAAGCTTTCTTCATTTCGGTAATATCTAAAATGATCTCCTCTTGTCGGAGGTAGATTTTCCCAGTAGCTTCTAACTCCTGTGTCAAAGAGAAAATAAAGATTTACCTTTAAAGAGAGTCACTGATTGGCTCACCTGATTATACTGTTTAAAAACAATAGCCTTAAGAGAGTCCAGATACCGACTTCTCAGGTCCATTTTCACAATCTGATGGTGTTTGCTAGCAATTGTCAGCGCCTTGAAATGAAAATTTGCAAGACTATTACTAGGATTACTGCCTCTGTGTTTATAATACTTGTCAAAGTAAAATGTAAGAGCTGCAATTAGGGAATAGTTTCCCCGTAAGTGTAAAAAGAAGTCTAGAAAAACATCTGATAGCCTGTTACTGAGCTTCAAAAACAAAGTGGTTAATGGCATTAATACTCTGATAAATGCAGTCTTTTGTATCATTTCTTAGAAAAGCGATCCTGTTTAAAGTTAGGAGTTACTAATAAATCAAGTTCAGACTTTGGAATAAACAATAAATACTCAAAATGTTACTGTTTTTGAATATCAGTCATCTAATACCATAATGATATTGCCATACAAAAACGCAGATATGTATGCTTTTTGGCAAATACTGAAGAAATAAGTGTGTATTGAATACAGCTCATAAGAGTTTCCTGTCATTAGGGGAAAAGAAGACTGAAACAGAATTACTATGATAGGATAAGATGTTTAACCTGATCTAGAGAACAGACAAGTTTGCCTTAAGATACACAATAGAAATGAACATTAGTCCGCGCAGTGGCTCACGGCTGTAATCCCAGCGCTTTGGCAGGCCAAGGCAGGTGGATCACTTGAAGTCGGGAGTTTGAGACCAGCCTGGGCAACATGGTGAAACCCCACCTCCACTAAAAATAGAAAAATAAGTTAGCCAGGCATAGTGGTGAGTGCTTGTAGTCCCAGCTACTTGGGAGGCTGAGGCAGGAGAATCGCTTGAACCTTGGGGGTGGAGGGTGCAGTGAGCCAAGATCGCCCCACTGCACCCCACCCTGGGTGACAGAGTGAGACCCTGTCTCAAAAAAAAAAAAAGAACATTAGCCTTTGGGGTAATGTTTAAACTACCTGTGGCAAGGTGTACTCACCTGGCTATAAGTGGATGAAAGACCACTATGTATCATGGAGCAGGAGACCCCAAATGTAAAGAAGTGTTTTAAGGAAATAGAAGTGAGTAGCAGTCTTTGCCATTTCAATAAACCACCAAAAAACTTAAATGACAAGCAAGTAGTCATTTACTACCTAGGGCTCGCCTGGTCACAACAGTGGAGTCCTTGGTACTCCACACCGCACCTCCACCCCACTCTGCTGTGGAGTGACAGGACATGATGCAGCCAGGATGGTGGAGCTGCTCGCCTACAACCAGCTGATGTGGCAGCTCTGGAACCAATTGAAGGTGCCACTGAGGTTGTGAATGCTAACAGTGGTAGCAGCAAGTGCCAGGCCAATTTAGGGAGAACTAACTTTGGGGAAAGATGCTAGGAAGCCTGTGATATTAAAGGCAGAACCATAAAGAGAAGCAGGCTCGGAACAGAGGCTACATCTTATGTGAAAGCAGTCTCCTTGTGTATGGAATGTGGGAGAAATGGTTACAAATGAAAATAATGTTCATTAATAAGCAAATTATACAATTATGAAAAAGTAATGAGGTATATTCATTTGTAACCACGTGGAAATGTTATGTTAATTTTTTTTTTTTTTTAAGACGGAGTTTCTTTCTCGTTGCCCAGGCTGGAGTGCAATGGTGCGATATGGGCTCACTGCAACCTCTGCCTCCCGGGTTCAAGCAATTCTCCTGCCTCAGCCTCCCAAGTAACTGGGATTACAGGTGCCCACCACCACGCCTGGCTAATTTTTTTGTATTTTTAGTAGAGACAGGGTTTTACCATGTTGGCCAGGCTGGTCTCAAACTCCTGACTTCAGGTGATCCACCTGCCTCGGCCTCCCAAAGTATTGGGATTACAGACATGAGCACCGCGCCTGGCCTACCCTGGCTTTTCTAATAACCATCTTGTCAAAGGAAATAGCAAACTTTGACAGTAGTTATTTTGAACGAACGGAATAGGGAAAAGGGGTATGAAGCTTTGAAGACTTTTTATCTTTAGAGACTTCTGTATCGGTTGCATTTTTTTATATTAAGTATGCATTATTTCTAGATCAAAAAACAATAAAATATAGCTCCAATCTAATATCTTATGCCATGTTCCCATCTGCAGATAACAACACTCTGTTTCTTATTTTAGGAGAACAAGAATTACATGTGGTATTCTATATCTTTTTTTTGTTTTTTTAGAGGTGGGGTGTTGCTTTGTCTTGTGATCGCAGCTCACGGCAGCCTTGGACTCGTGGGCACGAGCAATCCTCCCACTTCAGCCTCCCAAGTAGCTGGGACCACAGGTACATGCCACTGCACCTGGCCTAGTATTCTCTATCAAATACTTATTCAACAGTTAAAATCTATATAGACCTTTGAGATAGGATAATAAAATATTATAGCTTGTAATAATTTTTTCCATACCTGACCCAGAAGCGGTGTATTGCGCCTCAGCATGGAGGAGGACGTGAAGGCGTACGGAGTCTGGGAGTAGTACACCACGTAGGTAGGTTTGTACTGGTTTGGCTTTGTGTACTGTGTTCCCCAGGCAATTCGAATCCAGACTGCATTCTCCTCAGTTTCTCTGAAGCTGACTGTCACCTTATTAAAGAAAAAAAAAAAAGGCTTAATTTCCTAATTAAAATTTCACTGTGGCACCAACTCCAGGTGCTTATTAGGGGTGAACAATGATGTCCCTATACTCTTGTATGCAGGTTGAGACCTGGCAGTCTTTTCTGCTTTTCATGAGTATTTTGAGAATCTTTGGGAAAACATTTTGTGATTTTAAAAAAAAAAAATCCTTTTCAGTTCTTTTTTTTTTTTTGAGACTAGGTCTTGCTCAGTTGCTCAGGCTGGAGTGCTGTGGCATGATCATAGCCTGCTCACGGCAGCCTCAACTTCCTGGGCTCAAGCAATCCCATCTCAGCCTCCCTAGTAGCTGAGACCACAGGCACGTGCCATCATGCCTGGCTAATTTTTTTAAAAAAGTTTTTTTTTGTAGAGGTGATTGTTTTTTCAATAATTTCTTGGGCTTGTCCTGAAAACTGTTCCTCCTTACGTAAGAATTTATGAGGTAAGGCAGCCTTACAAATGAGATACTTGTTTTATAATGAAGCCTTCTTAGCATCTAACCCAGACCTAGCACACGCTATAAACTTTAACAGTAAGATTTCTATGTAATTAGGCTGGGTGTTGTGGCTTATGCCTGTAATCCTAGCACTTTGGGAGGCTGAGGTAGGAGGATCGCTTGAGCCCAGGAGTTTTGAGACCAACCTGGACAACATAGTGAAACTCAGTATCTACCGGAAAAAAAAAAAAAAGCCAGGCACGGTGACATGTGCCTATAGTCCCAGCTACTCAAGAGGCTGAGGTGGGAGGATGGCTTGAGCCTGGGAGGTCTAGACTATAGTGAGCCGAGATCATGTCAGTGCATTCCAGCCTGGGCAACAGAGTGAGACCACGTTTCCAAAAAAAAACAAAAACAAAACAAAAAGAAGAAGAAAAAGAAGATTTCTATGTCATAATGGGCTTAAAGAAGATTTCTATGTAATAATGGGCTTGAAAATATACTATTCCTAATGCTCTTATGCATTTAGCTCAGAAGCTAAAAACTCCTCTAAAAGAATGTTACATGGCAAGACCAGAGGTACTACCTTGAATCCACTTCATGGATAAAATACAGGCCTTTCCAAACTTTTAAATATGGTTGCCAATTGGTCTGGAATTTAATAGGCTGCTCCTGGATTATCAGCTCCCCTCTGATTCAGCTTCCCTTTAAAGCTCTGAGCCTAGAAAGGAGGGACTTGAGTGAGATGCACTCAGCTTGCCCACGTCTCTGTTTCCTCCCTCTGAGATCTTGTTCTAGGAAAAGTGGGTTGTTACAGTGGCACTAGCAAATTCTGCTCATTCTTTAGCAGCTTTTCCAAATTCCCTCAGTGCAGGAGACAAGAAAGTCTCCCCAGTCCAGGGTATGGCGGCACACAGCTGTCTGACTTTCCTGAGTGAGCATCATAGAGCTTGGACCCAGTCACATGCTCAGTGGGCCTCTACTGCCTTGAATGGAAGATTGTCTTATTCTGAATAGCTTCTTTGTTTTACATTAAAAAAGCAAAAACATCTGTAAAATCAAGGGTGCTTCAGGTTTGCACTGACTATTACTGGAACTACTAGCTACATGTGGCTATTTAATGTAAAAAATCATTGAAGTTTAAAAAGATTAAAAATTCAGGCTGGGTGCGGTGGCTCACACCTGTAATCCCAGCACTTTGGGAGGCCGAGGCAGGCAGATCATCTGAGGTTAGGAGTTCGAGACCAGCCTGGTCAACATGGAGAAACCCCATCACTACTAAAAATACAAAAATTAGCTGGGCATGGTGGTGCGTGCTTGTAGTCCCAGCTACTCGGGAGGCAGAGGCAGAAGAATTGCTTGAACCCAGGAGGCAGTTGCAGTGAGCCGAGATCTCGCCACTGCACTCCAGCCTGGGCAACAGAGTAAGACTCTGTCTCAAGGAAAGAAAAAAAAAAAAAGATTAAAAATTCAGCTGCTCAGTCACACTAGCCGCAAGTGCTCAGCAGCTACATGTGGCTGAACTGAACAGTGCCAATACAGAGCATTTCCATCACTGCAGAAAGCTCTGTTGGACTGAGCTCCTCTGGAAAAAGAAGCCTCAGGCCCTGAATGGACAGGAGAGAGGAAAGGGAAGTTTTCATAATATTTACAGTGTGTTTCTGATATGGAGTAGAACCGTATGAACTATTACTAACTGAATTTCTTACAAATTAAAAAAAAACTATGATAGTAGCAAATTTTAAGTGCACAGACGTCATGACATTGAATTTTATGTAAAAGATGAATTTTATTCTTACATTTTTTAATGCTCTCTGAAGAATTTTCTTGAACGAATTTTTAAATTGTTTCATATCAAAAAGGTCAACATCTTCACCTGCCAAAGTGAAAAAAAAATAAAGAAAAATCAAGGGAGCTACAATGTCTTCAGTAAATACATTCGTAAAGTACCATGAAACTAAGCATTTTGTATAATTCCAGAGTAATAATGATCAAATCACACAAATGGTGCTAGTACTTCTGACATGGCACCAAGAAGTATGTTTCTCATTTTCCAAAAGTGAGTAATAAATAATCACCTCATTTTGAAAGAAATGAGGAACATACTGCTATTTTTTTTTTTTGGATATAGAGTCTTGCTCTGTTACCCAGGCTGGAGTGCAGTGGTGCAATCTCAGCTCGCTGTAACCTCTGCTTCCTGAGTCCAAGCCAAACTATCAAATATTCAATTGTAAACAGAAAATATTACCTGGTCCTTTACTCATCTGAAAAACTTCCCAAACTTTCTGGTGCTGATGAAATTGCATATCTGAGAGAGGGAAGAAAGCTTTATTACTAGCATATCATAGAACTTTGAAGTAATATGCTTATAGATATTTCTATACTTTAAAACTGGGGAAAGTAACAGTAATTCACAAATTGAGTTATACAGATTTGTATTCAAAATATAAACTTTATATGGATTAAAGTACTTCATATAAATAAAGCAAATCATAATTACTTAATTCAACTGACTTAGATAATACAGTTGAGTTTTGGTATTTATTCTATGTTAGCCCATTTATTCCATTTCCACATTCCATTTATTCCATTCCACAGAATGCCACATTAATCTGGCACGACAGGGAATGCTGTGCCCCACAGGACCCACATTTGAGCCAGCTGTTCCTCTGCCTGGAGCCTCTTCTCCTAGCTCCTTACACACCCTACTCCCCACCTCATTCTGCTCTCTACTCAGAGTAGTCCCCGCCCGGATCACCCTACCCCAAACACCCTGCGTTAGTTCCCAGTTCCTGTCGGAGGACTCATCACTACCTGATGTCACATTATGTATGTATGTATGTATGTGTGTATTTATTATTATTATTTTTTGAGATGGAGTTTCACCCTTGTTGCCCAGGCTGGAGTGCAATAGTGCAATCTCAGCTCACTGCAACCTGTGCCTCCCGGGTTCAACCGATTCTCCTGCTTCAGCCTCCCGAGTACTGGAATTACACATGCCTGCCACAACGCCTGGCTAATTTTTTGTATTTTTAGTAGACATGAGGTTTCACCATGTTGGCCAGGTTAGTGTCGAACTCCTGACCTCGGGTGATCCACCTACCTTGGCCTCCCAAAGTGCTGGGATTACAGGCGTGAGCCATCGTGCCCAGCCACATTATTTATTTAGATGTTCATTTGTACACTGCCTGTCTTTCCAGTTAGACTCTGATGGAAATGAGGGACCTGTTCACTGTTGTAGTCCCAGGTCTAAACTTAACTGCGTGGCATAAAGCAAGCACTCAATATTTGTTTTGTTTTTCTAAGAGACAGGGTCTCACTATGTTAACTGGGCTAGACTTGAACTCGCGGGCTCAAGCAATCCTCCTGCCTCAGCCTCCCAAGTGTCCCACACCACCACACCAGGCTTCAGTATATGTTTGATGAACGAATGAATGAATAAGTATATGACAGAAAACACCTTTCAGGAGTTACAAACTTGGAGTGTCTTGGAGTAGAAATGGACCTAGGAAGTTAGCAAGTTCAACCATATCCCTTCATCCTTCTGGCTTAAAATTGTCTCTGCACTGACCTCTGTCTGTGCCTCTGGACTTCAGACCAGGTTTTCTTTTCTTTTTCCTTTTTTTTTTTGAGACAGAGTCTCACGGTGTCGCCAGGCTGGAGTGCAGTGGTGTGATCTTGGCTGACTGCAATCTCTGTCTCCTGGGTTCAAATGATTCTCCTGCCTCAGCCTCCCGAATAGCAGATTACAGGTACCTGCCATCATGCCCGGCTAATTTTTTGTATTTTTAGTAGAGATGGGGTTTCACCATAGTGGCCAGGCTGGTCTCCAAC
This sequence comes from Homo sapiens, assembly GCF_000001405.40. NCBI lineage: Eukaryota > Metazoa > Chordata > Mammalia > Primates > Hominidae > Homo > Homo sapiens. The sequence goes on along the minus strand of NC_000016.10, from coordinate 81,015,799 downwards.
TCCTGACCTCAGGTGATCCACCTGCCTTGGTCTCCCAAAGTGCTGGGATTACAGGTGTGAGCCACTGCGTCCAGCCAGGTGCTTAATGAATTTTTGAATCAATGTATGAGAAATGGGAATGGTGTGGATCCACCTTTTATGCTTGAGAGAATCCAACCACTGAAAATGAGACAAACTAAATCAGAGGCAGATGCTCCAAATTCAGCAATAGCTGAATTGGAGCATGCCATGAGTTGGAGCAAAGTATTAATAAAGATAATTTTTGTTACACTTACAGAAAACAGCTAATACATAATGATTGCAATTAGTTAATACCAGGCTTTAAGTATTTAACATGTACTCTTATTTAATCCTCACCATAACCTTATGTGATATTATCACTATTATACAGATTGGTCAAATGATAATACCAGAGATGTCGGTATGCCACAGAGATGTTAACCAACTTCCTCCAGGGCTCACAGGGAGGCAGTAACGGAGCCATGAAATGAACCCAAGAGGTCTGGCCCCAGGGCCTGTGTTCTCAGCCCCTATATTATGCTGCCTTCTGATAAAAAAAACAGACATCTTGAAAAAGTACAGACAGGAAAGCTAGACAAAAATCAATGAAATGGAAGGGAGGAGAGGTGAGAAGCTACACTGTAATAGGAACAAATTTTCAGAAAGATATTTTCAAATCCTTTAATAATAATACAGATGCTTCTTGACTTATGATGGGGCTATGCCTGATAAATCCACCTTGAGGTGAAAATAATTCACCTAACCTTCATATATCTTAGCTTAGCCCAGCCTACCTTATGTGTGCTCAGAGCACTTACATTAGCCTACAGTTGAGCAAAATCATCCAACAGAGTCTTCTATCATAAACTGTTGCATACCTCATGTAACTTACTAAATGCTGTACTGAAAGTGAGAAAAGAATGGTTGTATAGGAACTCAAAGTATGGTTTCTGTTGAATGTCTGCTGCTTTCATACTAGTTGAAAATTTTTAAGTTGAGCTGTTGTAAGTTGGCAACCTGAGTAATACAAAGCCAAACATTTACTTTGTGTTTCTGATGTGCCAGTTACCATGCTAACAGCTTCTCGGGCACTACCTCATTTAATCCTAACAAGAATACCGTGAAGTAGATAATGTACTATTATCTCTGCTTGAAGTCTGAGGCTCAGAAAGGTGATGCAACTTGTCAAAGAACATACGGCTGAGTGACATACTGGGATTTGAAACAAGGTCTCCTGAACTCTAGACTCTGAGGCGTTATATACAAAATTGCTTCTGGGACAAGTACAGCGGTTCACACCTATAATCCCAGCACTTTGGTAGGAGGAACACTTTAGCCCAGGAGCTGGAGACCAGCCTGGGCAACACGGCAAAACCTTGTGGCAAAAAATACAAAAAATTAGCCATACATGGTGGTGCACTGCTATAGTCCCAGCTACTCGGGAGGCTGAGGTTGGAGAATCACTTGAATCCAGGAGGCAGAGGTCGCGGTGAGCTGAGATGGCGTTACTGCACTCCAGCCTGGGCGACAGAGGGAGACCCTGTCTCACAAAGAAAGAAACAAAATTGCCTCTAATAAACTGATTGGTTAAGTATAAATACAAATCACTGACACTTACAAATGATGTCTAACAGGGCAGCATCACTGATACTTGCACGCTTTTCCTAAAAGAGAAAACAAATTATTTAGTAACTGTGGTTATAGGTTTGGTTCTATCCCGTTTAAAACACATTTTAGGATTGGTTAGAACAGACTATTAGCACATTCTCAGTACTTTACTGACAACCCATCTCCAATCTCTTCTCCTGTTAACCAATGGACATTCTTTCTGATTCATGTCTTAGTCCACAACCTTCTCTCACAATTTATTCCTCATTTATCACTTTTAACTTTTTGATTTTTTAAAAATTAACTTTATTGAAGTATAATTATCATCCATTAAACTGTATATTTTTAAAGTATACAATTTGATACATTTTGACTTATGAATATACACACAAAACCACTACCACAATCAAGACAGTGACAATATCCACCAGCACTGCCTCCCAGATTTTCTCGTGTCTCTTTTTTTTTTTGGAGACAGAGTCTTGCTCTATTGCCCAAGCAGGAGTGCAAACGCGCAATCTTAGCTCACTGCAACCTTTGTCTCCCAGTTTCAAGTGATACTCCTGCCTCAGCCTCCCAAGGAGTTGGGATTACAGGTGTGCACCACCATGCCTAGCTGATTTTTGTATTTTTAGTAGGGAAGGGGTTTCACCATGTTGGCCAGGCTGGTCTCCTAACCCAAATGATCTGCCTGCCTTGGCCTTCCAAAGTGCTGGGATTCCAGGCAGGAGCCACTGAGTCCAGTCTTGTGTCCCTTTCTTATCACCGCCCACTTCCTTCCACTCTTCTTGGTTCCCATGTCTCTACCTCCCAAGCCTTAGTCCTAAGGCAAACGCTGATCTGCTTTCTGTCATTACAGATTTGTTTGCATTTTCTAGAGGTTTATATGAATGTTAACATAAGTGTGTACTCATTTTTTTGGTCTGGCTTTTACTCAGCACAATTATTTTGATATCCATCCATATGTTAGCATCTATGAATACTTCATTCCTTTTTACTGCTGAGTATATCCACTGTATGGAAACATCACAATCTGTTCATCTGTTTACCTGCTGATGGACATTTGGGTTGTTTCCAGTTTGTGGCTTTTATGAATAATGTTGCTGTGAACATTAGTACACACGTCTTTATGTGAACGTGTTTTGTTTTTAAAACAATGCTACAATGCATCTTCATTTATATAACTAAATATTTATCAATATTTATACATACCTCCTATTTTTTATTATTTTCTCATCATAAATTTCTGTAAGTAGAATTGCTAGGTCAAAAAGTATATTTATTTAAAAGCAAAGGAGGCCAGGCATGGTGGCTCACACCTGTAATCCCAGCACTTTGGGAGGCCAAAGTGAGCAGATCACCTGAGGTCAGGAGTTTGACACCAACCTGGCCAACATGGCAAAACCTCGTCTCTACTGAAAATACAAAAATTAGCCAGTGTGGTGGTGCGTGCCTGTAGTCGCAGCTACTCAGCAGGCTGAGGCACTAGAATCGCTAGAACCTGGGAGGCAGAGGTTGCAGTAAGCTGAGTTTGTGCCACTGCACTCCAGCATGGATGACAGAGCAAGACTCTGTCTCAAAAATAAATAAAAAATAAATAAATAAAAGTGAAGGAGAGACGGGTATATTGGAATAAGAAAATTATTTGAACTAAATTTGCAACTTTTCTGATAGTCTGAAAACATTTTAAAACAATAAGCAATTAAAGAGATAAATACACATGAAAGACAGAGTCTCTTTCCTTACAAGTTTGCCAATACATCTGGGTGTTGTTGTCTTTTCATCCTTGATAATTTGATAGGTTTAAAAAAATACTGCGAAAAATACTGCTCGTTATTTTAATTTGTACTGTTTTTTCTACTATATTTACTTTTTCCATCTTATTGATTTTTAAGCATTCTTTTAAGATGAAAAGGTCAATTAAAAATTAGGTTTTTTTCCACTGCAGTTGTATATAGCCCTCATCACTTCACTAGTAGTTTAGCAGCTACCTTACATCTCTTTTGGAGTAAGGAATAGAAGAAAGAAAAACCCAAGGGGGTAGCACTCTGTTCAAGGCTCATCATTTTTAACACTGTTACCTCACACAGATGGATCAAGTGCTGAACTACAGATTCCTTTCTCTGTCGGAAATTTACAGTCTGCAGTTGATTTTCAGACAAAAAATCCCAGGCCTTCAGGATTGTTGTCAGTTCATTCATGGGGATTTTCAAGATGGTCCTCTTGATGAACTCAGCAACAGTCTCATCCATCTCTTTGGCACTTTTACAAAACAAAAACAGCACAACAAAGTATTAACCAAATACAATACTTGTCTGTCTTTATTTACACATACACATACACATATGAAAAATAGAGACAGGGTCTCACTAGATTGCCCACGTTGGTCTTGAACTCTTAGGCTCAAGCAATCCACCCGCCTCAACCTGCCAAAGTGCTGGGATTACAGGCGTGAGCTACTGCGCCTGGCCATCGGCATCATATTTAGCTGGGATTTTGATTTGTAGGTCCAACACCTAAATGTTTACACTTTTTCAGCTATTTTGCAGTGTTTTAGCATGAGCATTTAATTATTTTCTCCTTAATGTATATTTAAATGTTTTAGAGTTTAAAAATTAGTGCTATCTCTCCTTTTCTGGCTAGAGTATTTTGATGTTTTGATGGTGATGATATATAAATCATTCATTCATTTACTGATTCATGTAACCCCTTACTGAGGATCTGTGCATGCCAGGCCCTTTTCTAGGCACTGGGGATACATATGTCTTTGGCCAAAAAGACAAACATCTGTTCCAGTATGGCACATCCATTCTAGTGGGGAGAGAGAAACAACAGGGAAATCACAAACTATGTTAAAAGTGAGGAGTGCCGGAGAAAATGGAATAATTTTGGCAGGCTGAGTTGAGCGTGGGAGTGCTGGAGAGAGTAGGCATCATAGAGAACATGACTTGGGGGCAATCCTTGTAGGAGAAGGAGTCATGTGGTGGAAGAGCTTTCCAGGCAGAAGGAACAGCATGTGCAAAAGTCCTGAGGCAAGAGCCTGCTTGGGGCCTTCGAGGAACAGGGAAGGGTGGCCTCCAGTCAGGGGACAGCAGAGACAGGAAGGAGGCATAGAGAAGGAGGTGAGGTCAGTCATCATGGAGGGCCTTGAAAGGCACTGCGGGGATCACTGCTGTTTTCACTCTGCAAGGTGCTGAGCACAGGCAGGACATGCTCTTGTTTAGCTTTTCTACCAGGATCAATCTCGCTACTGTACTGAGAACGCAGTGTAAGGAGGCGAGGGCAGAGGTTGGAGGTTAGTGAGGCAGGGGAAGAGGTCAGGTTCTGGATACACTTTTAAGAGGGAACTCACGGGGTTTCCAGATGGATTACATGTGGGGTGTTAGATCAAGAAAAGAACCAAAGATGAAACCAAGGTTTTTACCAGGGAACTAAAAGACAAAGTTACTATTAGCTGAGACGGCCAAGACTGCGAGAGAGGCAGGAGAAAGCTCAAGAATTCTGTAATTCTGTTCTGAATCTGTTAATATTAAGATAAAGATGAGAGTCCAAATGGAGATACCGAATAAACAGCTGGATCTGTGACTCCACAGGACATGCTAAGAGCTAGTGGTGCAGTGGATTGCTGTCTCTTAGTCCTTTAATGCACCGCCTGTGAACAAAGAGCTCTTTCCTCCCTCACTTCTCCTGCCCATGCCTGAGGGTGAGATTCCTTAATTGTCTATAAGGTCCTGAGCCCCAAATCTGGTGTGCCTCCCTTATCAATAGGCAAGGGATATAATCTCCAGAAGAATGACCTAGCGGCTGCAGGAATAAGGAAGGAAGATTCTGAGCTCTTTTATCATTTTCCTTTGGCAGAAGTTGTGAGCCAATGGTGACAGCTGATCTCACGTCTGCTACTTTATTTGGGGACACCAGTGAGCATCTCTCTCTCTCTCTTCAAATACAGAACAAAAAAGCAAGCAAACATGATATTTATTTATTTTTTTCATTTGAGATAGAGTCTCACTCTGTCGCCCGGGCTGGAGTGCAGTGGTGCAACCTCGGCTCACTGCAACCTCCCCTGCCTGGTTCAAGTGATTCTCCTGCCTCAGCCTCCCAGGTAGCTAGGACTGCAGGCGTGCACCACCACGCCTGGCTAATTTTTGTATCTTTAGTAGAGACATGGTTTCACCATGTTGCCCAGGCTGGTCTCGAACTCCTGACCTCAAGTGATCTGCCCTCCTCGGCCTCCTGAAGTGCTGGGATTACAGGTGTGAGCCACCGCGCGTGGTCTGCAAACATGATTTTTATACAATGCAGGGTACCACCCGCATACTTTAATGTCCCTTAACAGTGTGTCTTCTAGGAAGGCACACACAGACCTTGGCATCTGTGTTTAAGACAAGCCTGTCAGTCATCTGTTTCCTTCACAACTGTGGGAATTCCAGGGACAAAGAAGTATCTTCCTACAAGAGTCCTGGCTGTGACTTATTTGTTGAACACTGAAAAATTATCCTTGTCCACTTCTGAAAAGAAATAGTTGACTGTATTTTAACAATATACTGAAAATGATAGTAAGACAAAGATAAAGAGGAAGGATTAGGAGTCATTTAGAAATAGAAAAATAACTGAATTAAGGTCGTAGGAACAGAATCAGGATCATGAAACAGGAGTCGGATTTGTTTCTTTGTGTAGTTACTGGACCATCTAAAGCCTTCACCATGGTCTACAAGGCCCCGTGTTGCGTGGCCCCTGCTTCCCTCTCCTTGGTTTTCTGAGCTCCAACTACACTAGTCTCTTAAATAATCTCTAGAGAAGGACCATTGTGCCTGCAGTTACAACTGCCTAGAAGGTTCTTCCTGCACATGTTCTCTCCAGTGACTTCTTGCAATTCTGGTGTTAGCTTAGATGGTTTCTCCTCAGACTTATCCTGACCACCCAACCAAAAGTTACTTCCCCACTCTCCACTGCTAATTGTTTTTTTCCTTTTTTTTAGACGGAATCTTGCTGGGTCACCCACATTAGAGTGTAGTAGTGGGATTTCTGCTCACTGCAGCCTCCTGCAGCCTCTGCCTCCCAGATTCAAATGATTCTCCTGCCTCAGCCTCCCGAGTATCTGGGATTACAGGTGTGCACCATGACACCCAACTAATTTTTCTACTTTTAGTAAAGATGGGGTTTCACCATGTTGGTCAGGCTGGTCTTGAACTCCCAAGCTCAAGTGATCCTCCCGCCTCGGCCTCCCAAAGTACTGGGATTACAGGCGTGAGCCTCTGCACCAGGCCATCCACTGCTAATTGTCTTTACAGAACTATCTGAAATTATCTTTTTAACTTTTCTTGTTTCTAAAATTGAGCTCCAGGGCAGGACGATGTTTTTATTCACAGCTATACTCCTAGACCAGAACTGCCTCACTATAGTCAGTAAGTCTAATCAGGCCAAGAACAGTCTAATGTGTCTTTGATAAATACTTGTGGAATGAATGCCTGAGGAGACAACCTGGGTGGTTTGGGGTTCAACAGTCAGTGAAACATCAAATCAACACCTCTCCCATTAAGAACACGGGCGAGGGGCCGGGAGCGCGCCGGGCGTGGTGTATCACTTGAGGTCAGTCGTTCAAGACCACCCAGGCCAACATGGTGAAACTCCGTCTCTACTAGAAATACAAAAATTAGCCGGGTGTCGTGACGCACACCTCTAGTCCCAGCTACTCGGGAGGCTGAGGCAAGAGAACAGCCTGAATCCGGGAGGAGGAGGTTGCAGTGAGCCGAGAACGTGCCACTGCCCTCCAACATGGGCGACAAAGCAAGACTCCGTCTCAAAAAAACAAAAAACAAACAAAAAAACCCACAGACGAGGCTACCCGTTAAAATGAAGATTCCTGGGCCCTATCAAATTAAACTGTGAGGAGGGCGCACGGAGGGCTTGAGATTTAGCATCTTTTAAAAAGTACGTCAGATGATTTATTCCGGGTAAAGTTTGCAGAACGCCAGTCTAAAGAAATTTGGTAGAGCGCCCTCAGTCTCACCAATTAAGACGGAAATCCCTTTAGTAAACGTTTACCCCGTGACCATTTTTAAACTTTCCTTTTTTTGTTGTTTCGGAGACACAGTCTCGCTTTGTCGCCCAGGGTGCAGTGCAGTGGCGCGATCTCGGGTCACTGCAACCTCCGCCTCCCGGGTTCATGCGCTTCTCCTGCCTCAGCCTCCCAAATAGCTGGGATTACAGGCACCCGATACCACGTCCGGTTAATTTTTGTATTTTTAGTAGAGACGGGGTTTCACCATGTTGGCCAGGCTGGTCTCGAACTCCTGACCTAAGGTGATCCGCCCACGTCGGTCTCCCAAAGTGTTGGGATTACAGGCGTAAACTACCGCGCCTGGCCCCATTTTAAAACTTTCTTTATACTTCCTAGCGTTTTAGTGTCTGACATACAGTAGATGCTCAAGATCTGTGGAACGCATGATCAAAAAGATCCATTTTAAGTAACGTTCCCGTAGCCACACACCTCTGCTGCGCTCCAACAGGCAATGCGAGGAGCAACGCAAGAGGGTACAGGGACAAAAAACGACGGAAGCCGAGGTGACAGAAAAGCAAAACCCCAACTCTGGGAAAGGAAGCAACCCCAGGATCGTAGAGCGGAGCCCCTGGTCACATGACCACACGGCCCTCCCCTGACGCAGTCGCGAGCCTACGAAAGGCTCCACCCGCCCCACCGCGGGCGAGGTGACGTCACAGCCGGCACAGCGCCACCGCCCCCTCACCTCGGCCCGAACCGTAGTTCCTCGCCCCGAGCCCGAGACCCAGCGCCAATCCTGCGCCTCACAACGTGCGACAATTGCGAAAAAGCCACCCCCGAGGCCTGGGATCTGGCTTCCTCAAGGCCCCACACCCTCCGGGGCCCGATCCAGTGCCGCCCGGGGCTCTCTTACCGGCCCACATCTCCTGCAGTCTCACTCCTCAAGAGCTGTTCCCGCTCGCCGCGCCTTCAAAGCCACCAATTGCAGTTCCCGCCGCCTCCAAGCTCCGCCCACCGGAGCACAAGCATCAGGCTGTGTCTTGGGCACAGGGGACTGCACGGGGGAGCGACTGAAGCGAAGGTCGCCGAGCCCCCCACGCCGCTCTTCTTAGAAGTGTGCAACCTTGCACCAGTAGTGGACTTACACATAGGCTCCGTTAGGACCTGGCTTATGTGCTCGGCTTGTGGCTTAGACGCTGCCGTGCCCCAGTGGACTCACTGTGCCTCCCCCCACGACGGACGGAAATGGGCCCCTCCAGGACAGGCGGCGCATGCGCCTTGGGGCCCGCGGGCGGCGGGGGCGAGGAGCCGGGAGCACGGTGGAGCGGTGGAGGGCGTCACTGGGTTTCGGCGTCTGGCAAGCGGTTCAGCTGTCTGCTCCCTAGCAGCCGGCCTTCGGGTCGGGCGTCTCCGCCGGCTACTGCCGCTTCAGTTCTCCCGGTGTGGCCACGAGTCGGGTGAGTCTCGGGAGTCCAGGCCGTTCCGAACGCGTTCCGTTGTTCCTCCTCAGGTCCCTGATGGCGCGTCCCGCCGAGCCCCTTCCTGCCGCCCGTCGGCCCCAGGAGGTGGGGACCAGGAAGACCCGGCTGCCGCAGGCCCACAGCCGGGCTGCTGCGCTGGGGAGGCTGCGAGCGAGGTGGCTGGGCGCTCGCTGGAACACGCTGGTGGCCGAGACAGGCCGTGGGCGTCGCTCGGGGTTGGGATCCGCCCGCCACTCACTCAACTGGCTGGTGACCTTGGGCGCGCTCCTCCCCTCCCGGAGCCGGGGCTTCCTCGCCGGTAAAATGGACCTTGAGGAATGGAGCCCTCAACACAGGGTTTGACACGATGAGCGCCCAATAAAGTGTTGTTATTGTTGTTTATCTAGCAATTGAGAATTTGCGGGTAGAAAACGGGGGCCGTTCAAGCAAGTCTCAGCTGCAGTGCCCTGTGATGTGAGAACCCACCAAGAGCCCCATCAGTACACTTTACTCTTTTTTCTCCTTTAATGCTTTTTTTTTCCAGGAAAGTAATACATTCATCTTGCTTTTCTTGCGTTTAAAGATCAGGCGTTTTACGTAGAGTCTTAAGTAAATCAGTTTTGGAAGTCTTCATTTAAAACCTCAAAGGCATGGAAGTTTTCGATGGCAAAGGAATTATGTTGTGATGCCATTCGTATCTCCTCTCCTTTATATGTATGGCTTTTGCACTTGTTTAGTTGATTTAAAATGAGTTTCTTTTTCATCCTTTTCCTACTGCGTTGAGGCCTGAACTAGTTGTCAGTTTCTGACATTCCGCGAACATCGATTGGGCATTTACCATGTGCATTGGCAAGAATGCTCCCTCACGAGCCTGTGCGTTCCTTGAGATGTGTGAACGAGTATTTTCCTCTGAAATTCACATGATTCTGGCAGAGTGCTAGGCACCTTGTAAGTCCTGGTAATGTTTATTCAGGGAAAGCTGCGAGGGCGCATTCTCTGAGAAACTCTTCGGTGGAAGTCAGAGTAGTTAAGCCCTTCTCCCTAGGCAGCACCCCCGGGTCCCTCCCAGAAGCAGCCTGGCATGGGGTCTACAGTGCCAGCGCCAGTCGCTTTCTTAGTGGTATCGGTTTAGAACTGGTCCTGTGATAAGTGGAAGTGGGCAGGGGAGGCCGTCCCCGACCGTGTCTGCGACCTCTGCTGCAGTATGGCTCATAGCTTGAAAAGTTGAAAAATAATTCTTTAATACCAGGGCCGAAATGTAGGCCTTAAAAATGTTTTATGTTATTTATTTATATATATATATATTTAAATTTTATTTTGAGACGGCGTCTTGTTTTGTCGCCCAGGCTGGAGTGCAGTGGCGCGATCTCGGCTCACTGCAACCTCCACCTCCCGAGTTCTAGTGATTCTCGTGCCTCAACCTCCTGAGTAGCTAGGGTTACAGGCCACGCCTGGCTAATTTTTGTATTTTTAGTAGAGACGGGGATTCACCATGTTGGCCAGGCTTGTCCTGACCTCAAGTGATCTGCCTGCCTCGGCCTCCCGAAGTGGTGGGATTACAGGCGTGAGCCACCGCGCCTAGCCTAAAAAGATATATTTTAGAAAGCGGAGTGTTTACAGTTTTTTTTTCTGGAGAACAGTTTCTTCAGACTCTGCACAACAGACTTTTCTGGCCTTGTTTTTTGCTTATTTTGCAGTAGCATTAGAAATTACAACTGTAGTGTAAATTTCCTGTGCAGCCGCACAATAGGAAAATCTTTCTAAAGAAAAGCCAACTGGCATTAAAATACAGGGTTCTTCCTTGTGATTATAGATTTGCTGAAGTGAGTTATTAGAATGCTTACCCGTTTTCTTTATACTAGAGTTAATACAGCGCTGGCTCTTGGTTTATTTTCTAAAATTGTGCCACCTGGTGGTTGAAATCTGTCTTAGACTACTCTTGAGGAAAATTGTACCTCAGAGTCAGTAGACAAAGATTGAAGGAGTGAGTAAAAGAAAGCTATAATTTTTATATCTTCACTAAGAGTACCCTACCGCTTCTACCCTCCCAGCTTACTCCCCAGGAAAAGTTAAAATTGCCCTTATGGGCCCCTTAGCTAGCTATCAAAACACATTTGACAGCTGAAAATTTTAAGGAATTTCAGTGGACTGTTTTGGTATCATTGTGTGCATACACAGTGGATGGGGCTGGATTGAGGAGGGAGGTGGTGGAATCGTGACAAGTTTACCTTTTTGATGTTTTCTTAAATGCCATTGTAAAGATGAGACTGACAAACTGATGGAAGTCAGAGTAGTTAAGCCTTCCTCCCCAGGCAGTCCCTGGGGTCGCTCCCAGGAGCAGCCTGGCTTGGGGTCTGCACTGGAATTAAATATTATTCTATTCAAATAATAACAGTTTGAATGGAATTTATCCCTCTCTATTTCACTGGAAACATCCAAGAACGAGGTCTTATGTTCCTTTCACTTTCGTTTCCACCATGCTGCTGATGTTCATAATTATTATTTTTTGAGATGGAGTCTCACTCTTTCGACCAGGCTAGAGTGCAGGTGGTGCCATCTCAGCTCACTGCAACCTCTGCCTCCAGGGCTGAAGCGATTCCCCTGCCTCAGCCTCCCAAGTAGCTGGATTACAGGCCCCCACCACCACGCCCAGCGAATTTTTGTATTTTTAGTAGAGACTGGGTTTCACCATGTTGGCTAGGCTGGTCTCGAACTCCTGACCTCAAGTGATCTGCCCACCTCGGCCTGCCAAAGTTCTGAGATTACAGGCGTGAGCCACAGCTTCCAGCCTCACATAAGTTATTTTAAACCCATGCCATCACTGAGATATATAGGTCAAGAGCAAATTCCATTTTATGGAAGAGAGACTTAGGTCTCAGATTAGTAACCAAAATGATGTAACTTGTGAGTAGCTGACTAGTGACAAATACAATACTCTTCTCTTTTTTTGTGTCTTGACAGACTCACTATTTCCACACTTACAGGATAGTATTACGTTGGCTGCTTTGGAACTTGGGCCTAGAATGACTACCTTTTGAACTTGTAGTCAATCAGAAGCTCTTTGGGAAATAGTTTTTCCATCTGAATGTATTTCATTCACAAACTGCTGTGAATGCCTGTCTTTCCTATTTTGAACATGGATTAAAAATCTGTCATGGTTAGAGATTATGTTGGGTTGTGACTTTGCAGCTAACTACTGTGTGACCTGGGGCTTAGTTTCTCTATGAAAATGTGGGCAGTGCATATTTTGACCTATAAAAAGACAGTTTCTCATGGTTCAACTGAATTTAAAAGGCTACCCGTTTCATAAGGTTATTGCATTGTAAGACTTGTGCTTAGCACTTGGCAAGTGTTCAACAAATTATTTTCTAAACTAATAACGTTGATATCTTCTTATGACTTTGAAGAAATTTTAAGAATAAGAATATGGAATACGTATTTAGCGTTTCTTCAGTTTGTTAAATATATTTTGAGTTAAATTGTGTTACTAGAATAGTCTTTTAAAGGTGAGTGCTGGAAGACATCAGCACTTAATTACATGTGTTCTGAGAGAACATTGCCATTTTTACAGTTGTACCTTACATATTACACCCCAGAATACAGCAGTACATCTGTGTATGCACCAACATTTAGGCAAAGCCAAGTGACACAAAGTGGATGGAAGTGAGCATAGGTGACGGGTAGGTAGAGGGCAAGGGGAGGAAGAACATATCTAGCTAAAAATATGTGGTAGAAGAAAGAAGGGAGTGATGGGGAAAGCAAGGAATCTGTTGGATAAGGGATAAGGTGAGTGTTTAGAGCTTTAGGTTAAGTAGTAGCTTCTTACCAAGAATAGGAAAAGGAAATGAAATTAAACCATTTTATTCTTTGACATAGTCATCTAGGCTAAGAAAGTAGAAGGGCCTTATAAATATATACAATTATTATTTGTCAATTCAAAGTAAAACTAAATAATGTGAATTAGAAGGGAAGACGTTTTATTGGTACCCTACCCTGATTGACAATAGCATATGTATTTGAGGTAAACTTGTTATAGAGGGAGGAAAATATGTACCATTTTATGTACTTAGGCTTATATACATCTTTGCATCTATTAATATTGTCTCAGTCAAGTGTCTTCTCAGGTATTTGTCAATTAAAGAAATCATTTCAGTACATCATAAGCTTGTTTCTGAATTGTAAAGGCACACATTTGAGTGCCGGTTGATAGAAATGTGCAAAAATATTTTGTCAAATACATTTAGAAAATGTTAGAGACATTTTCTAGTGATTAAACCAGTGTCTGTTTTCTGTTATTGTTGTTTTTGAGATGGAGACTTGCGCTGTTACCCAAGCTGGAGGTCAGTGGTGCCATCTTGGCTCACTGCAACCTTGCCTCCCAGGTTCAAGTGATTCTCCTGCTTCGGCCTCCCAAGTAGCTGGGATTACAGGCGCCCACCAACACGCCCAGCTAATTTTTTGAATTTTTAGTAGAGATGGGGTTTCGGCATGTTGGCCAGGTTGGTCTTGAACTCTTGACTTCAGGTGATCCACCTGCCTCAGCCTCCCAAAGTGCTGGGATTACAGGTGTGAGCCACCGCATCTGGCCTATACCAGTGTATGTTTTCTTTAGGAAAAAATAAGGCAGAAACCAGAAAACTAACACTTCACATAAATGTAGGTGCAGAATATTGGTACGATATTGGATAACTTAAATTGCTGAACTGTATGAAACTTAATTTTTCTAAGGCAAAAATTGATATCATTGGAAGGATCTTGGAGTCAGTGGCAGGCAAACAAAATTTAAACTTGGCTGCATTTTCTTTTTTCGTTTCAAATGAATACTTAACTAGGTGCAATGGCTTTATTTGTGGTCTTCAGCTGTGGTGTGTGTGTGTGTGTGTGTGTGTTTAGTAGTTACTGAATAGTACAGGGACCTACTGCATTTTTATAAGTTGCAATTGAAATAGTAGCTATGCTATAATCCTTTGGAATTATTTGTTCAGACAGTTTTTTGTTTCTGTTGAGTGGGAGGTGGATGGGCAGTTTGAATTTCTCACAGGTTTTTTTTTAACAGCTTGAGGTATAATTTACATACCATAAAATTCGCATGGTGAAATGCACGTAACATAAAATTTACCATCTTAACCATTTAAATGCACAGTTCAGTGGTATCAGATACATTAATAATGTTGTGCAACCATCACCACCGTCCATCTCCATAATACTTTTTATCTTGTAAAACTGCTTGTTAAACAGTAACTCCCCATTCATCTCCTCCTGCCCTTCCACCTCCCTCTGGTAACCACCATTCCACTTTCCGTCTCTTTGATTTTGACTACTTTAGGTGCCTCGTATAAGTGGAATGTTAAAGTATTTGCCTTTTAAAAAATATATAATTTCAAATTTTATTTCAGATTTTGGATATAAGTAATGTGCAGGTTTCTTACATGGGTACATTGGATGACACTGAGGTTTGGGGTACTGTTGATCCCATCATGCAGGTAAGTGAGCATAGTACCTAATGGTTTTTCAGCCCTTACCCTCCTTCTACCGTCTATTAGTCCCCAATGTCTTTTGTTGCCATCTTTATGTCTGTGAGTATCCAGTGTTTAGCTCCCACTTATAAGTGAGAATATGCCATATTTGGCTTTCTGTTGCTGCGTTAATTCACTTAGGATAATGGCTTCCAGCTGCATCCATGTTGCTGCAAAGGACATAATTTCGTCCTTTTTTATGGCTGTTTAGTATTCCATGGTGTATATGTACATATTTTCTTTATCCAATCCATTACTGATAGACACTTAGGTTGATTCCATATCTTTGCTATTGTGAATAGAGCTACAAAGAACTTATGAGTGCATGTTTTTCTTTTTGTAAAACGGTTTATTTTCTTTTGGCTATATACCCAGTAATGGGATTGCTGGATCTAGTGGTAGCTGTTTTAAGCTCTTTGAGAACTCTCCAGACTGCTTTCCACAGTGGGTGAACTAATTGACATTCCCACAACAGTGTATAAGCATTCTCTTTTCTCACAACCTCCCCCAGCATCTGTGTTTTTTTGACTTTTTAGTAATAGCCATTCTCACTGATGTGAGGTGATATCTCATTGTGGTTTTGATTTGCATTTCTCTGATGATTAGTGATGTTGAGCATTTTTTCATGTTTTTTGGCCACTTGTATATCTTTTGAGAAGTGGCTGTTGATGTCTTTTGCCCACTTTTTTTTAAAATTTGTTTATTTGTTTTGTTTTTTCGAGACGGAGTCTCACTCTGTTACCTAGGCTGGAGTGCAGTGGCGCCATCTTGGCTCACTGCAACCTCCGCCTCCTGGGTTCAAGCGATTCTCCTTCCTCAGCCTCTCGAGTAGCTGGGACTACAGGCGCCCGCCACCACACCCGGCTAATTTTTGCATCTTTAGTAGAGATGGGGTTTCACCATATTGGCCAGGCTGGTCTCGAACTCCTGACCTTGTGATCTGCCTGCCTTGGCCTCCCAAAGCGCTGGGATTACAGGTGTGAGCTACCGTGCCCAGCCTTTTGCCCACTTTTTAATGGGATTATTTATTTTTTACTTGTTGAATTAATTTCTTTATAGATTCTGGATATTAGACCTTTGTTGGATGCATAGTTTGTGAATATTTTGTCCTATTCTGTAGGTTGTCTTTATTCTATTCATAGTTTCTTTTGCTGTTTTGAGATCTTTAATTAGGTTTCAGTTTTTGTTGTAATTGTGTTTGAGTACTTAGTCCTAATTCTCTTCCGAAGGTGAATGTCCAGAATGGTGTTTCCTGGGTTTTCTTCTAGGATTCTTATAGTTTGAGGCATTCTGTGTAAATCTGTAATCTATCTAGAGTTAATTTTTGTATATGATGAAAGGTAGGGGTCCACTTTTATTCTTCTGCATATAGCTAGCCAACTATCCCAGCACCATTTATTGAATGGGAAGTCCTTTTGCCATTGCTTATTTTTGTTGACTTTGTCAAAGATCAAAAGTGTGTGGCTTTATTTCTGGGCTGTTATGTTCCATTGGTCCATGTGTGTGTTTTTGTAGGAGAAGCTTGCTGATTTGGTTATTGTAGCCTTATAGTCTGAAGTAGGGTAATGTGATACGTTTGGTTTTTGTTCTTTTTGCTTAGGATTCTTTTGGCTATTTGAGCCCCTTTTTGGTTCCATATGAATTTTTGGATAGTTTTTTCTAATTGTGTGAAAAAATGCCATTGGTAGTTTGATAGGAGTAGTGTTGAATATGTAGATTGCTTTGGGCAATATGGCCATTTCAGTGATATTGATTCTCCCAATCCATGAGCACGGAATGTTTTTCTATTTGTTTGTGTCATCTGTGATTTCTTTCAGCAGTGTTTTGTAGTTCTTCCTGTAGAGATCTTTTACCTCCTTGGTTGGATGTATTCCTGGGTATTTTATTTTTTTGGTGGCAATTGAAAATGGGATTGTATTCTTGATTTGGCTTTCAGGTTGAACCTTATAGTGTATAGACGTGCTACTGATTTTTCTATGTTGATCTTGTATCCTGAAACTACTCAAGTCATTTGGCAGAGTCTTTAGGGTTTTCTGGGTATAGAATCATATCGTCAGTGAAGAGAGACAGTTTGACTTCTTTTCTTATTCGGATGCCTTTTATTTCTCTTGACTGATTGCTTTGGCTAGGAAATAAGTACTGTGTTGAATAGGAGTGGTGAGAGCGGGCATCCTGTTCCCTTGTTCCGGTCCTCAAGGGAAATGCTTCCATCTTTTGCCTGTTCAGTATGATGTTGGCTGTGAGTTTGTCATAGATGGCTCTTATTTTGAGGTATGTTCTTCAGTGCCTAGTTTGTTGAGGGTTTTTATCATGAAGGGATGTTGGATTTTATCAAAGGCTTTTTCGCATCTATTGAGATAATCACATGGTTTTTGTGTTTAATTCTGTTTGTGTGGAGAATCACATTTATTGATTTGCGTATGTTGAACCCTATATATATGTTTTTTGACTGGCTTATTTCATTCAGAATGTCCTCACATTTCATCCATGTTGTAGCATATGCCAGAATTTCCTTCCATTTTAAGGCTGAATAGTATTCCATTGTATGTATATACCACATTGTGCTGATCCATTGTCTGTTGGACTCTTGGGTTGCTTCCATGTTTTAATTATTGTGAATAATATGCCGTGAACATGGGTGTTCAAATATCTCTTCAAAACCCTGCATTTAATTCTTATGAAAATATAGCCGGAAGTGGAATTGTTGGATCATATGGTAATTTCATTTTTAATTTTTTGAGGAACTGCTATACCAGTTTCCACAGTGGCTATCCCAGTTTACATGCCCGCCCACAGTGCGCAGGAGTTTCAGTTTCTCCACATCCTCTTTAGCGTTTGTTATTTTCTGTTTTTTTTTCAGCAGTAGCCATCCTAATGGATATGGGTTGGTTCCTGTTTTCTATTTGGAACTTTAAAAAAAATTAAAGCAGGTAATCGGTTCTTTCTTTTGGTAATCATTTCTGAGTTAGAGTAGGTTAAGCCCAGGTGGGGCACGGTAGCTCATGCCTGTCCCAACACTTTGGGAGGCTGAGGATCACTTGAGGACAGGAGTTTGAAACCAGCCTGGGCAACATAGCAAGACCCCTGACTACAAAAAAAAAAAAAAAAAAAGAACAGCTGCCCATGATGTTTTTCCTTTGACCTTGGCTGCTAATTTTCCACCTTGTGGATGATCCAATTAAACTTAAGTTCAGGGATTTCAGCTTCATGTTTTCAGTGTAATAATTAGTTTTATGGCTATATCTGTTAAATTTGAAATTTTTTTTCACAACTTCTGGTTTCATTTCATTGTTTAGTTTTTTTTTCAGCCAGCTATTAAGAAAAAAGCAATCTATATTCACACTAATATGAGACTAATGACCCTTTAACCCTCAGAATAATATACATTTTAAAATAATAAGCCAATTCTCTTAATTGGTAGAATTTCATCTGAACAAAATGAGTTGTTAATTTCGAGAATGTGGCGAAAATATTTGAAGTCAGGCTTATTAATATAAGCAAGCTGTTTCTGCTTTAGTGCTTATTTCCGGGATTGGGTCTCTTGAGGCTTCCTGCTTTTCTCCTGAACCTGTAGGTTCTCTAAATACTACTGATAACTTGCTGAATATCTTAAATCATTGAATTAGAAAGCTTTGTCTCAAGTTTAATAATTTGCCTGAGGTCACACAGCTGGTTAATGGTTAACATACTTCTCTGATAAAGGTCACTAGAGGTTCTTATGAAGATACTTTTAGGTGGCGTAACAAATGTGTTTATGCATATTCAAGACACTCTTGTATCCACAGGTTGCACTGCTGTGATCCATCCTCATCTCCTAAAGATGCATCCTGACTTATCTCCACACTTGCACACTGAAGAATGCAACGTCTTGATTAACTTGCTTAAGGAATGTCACAAAAATGTAAGAGTTCAGAAAAACGACTGTACAGCCAAAATGAAACTTAGTTATAACCCACTGATGTAAAATGTTATCTCCGTTGATAGAAGGAAACGATAATGTCTTAGTAAGGAGTCTGAGTTTAGTCAAGATTAGCAGTTGATATGTGCGATTTTTTTCTTTTTTTTACACAAACTACCTCCTTTTATGATTAGTAAAAATCAGACATGGTAGTTTGTTAGGGAACGTCTGAACTGGTATGTAACAGTTGGAATCCATGTTCTTACAATAAAATGCTTTCTCTTTCCTAATTATAGGGCACTAGAACAGTTATATTCAGCGCTGACACTTCTGATTATAATGGAATTATTCTAAAAGTATCTGCTCTTTGATGGCTACCATTCTGTGTTTAATGGTAATAGAAACGTGTTATATAATTAGACATTAACTAGATTTATGATTGGCTTAATCTGATGTGTTTAGTTGTTAGTGGAATGGAAGTAAAATTACATGGTTAAAACCAAAATAGAAAAGGAGCCCATCCATATTTGGAATACATTAAATCAAGCTGACATTTTTATAGCTGTTGAATATTTAGCTTTTCCTTATATGTTTGATATATGACACCGTTGTTACAAGAAGCATTTGTTTTTTCTTTAGCTTTGCATAGTTTTTCTCATGATGTCTACAAACTGTAGATATATCAAATTATAATAATATAAAGTATCACTTAAATGAGTAAAATTTATAGACCAAAAGTAAGGTGGTAAGTAGTGCTTATAAAATGTGAAGTCAGATATTTTTACTGGTTCAAAGAATGTTGTTGATGACAATATTTTTTGGGCTATTTCACTATACATATAGATCAAATGAGCCAGACTACATCAATAAAACATAACGTTTTGATTTTTAAAGTAAAAACTATATAAAATATTCACTGTTTAAAGAACAAGAACTAATTATTTGTGTTAAAGTAGAATATTTCAATTTGTATATGGTCAGTTATAGTCAGAGACAGAAAAGGGGAGAGGGTCTGGCAACAGAGAGGCACAGCGGAGAGAAAGAGACTCTGTGGAATAACATTTCAGTCTTGTTATTGAGGATTTTGCCAGTATAGCCCTTTAGATTTATGTTGTGCTTTTTGTAATACTAGACATAAATAAGGATATTATCGCATCATATTTATTTCCATGGTTAATCAAATTAAGGGGCAGAGTTTTTCAACCCTTGCTTTTAAGTAATCTTTGTTTTATGTTTATATTTGTATATTGCTTTTTGGTCCATGACTGTTTTTAAATTGAAATCTATTTAAACGTTGTTGTTTTTTTTTTCTTTCAAATGGATTTCTTATAATAAAGGTGGCTTCTTGAATCACTGGAACTAAAGATGGATTTTAAAAAATTAACTTTATTGAGGTGTAATTTACATGTAAGGAAATGCATCTATTTTAAGTATACAGTTTGATGAGTTTTGTCATATATAGATACCCATGCAACCACCATCACAGTCAAGATCTAAAACATTTCTATCAGTTTCCTGTGCCCCTTTGCAGTGAGTCCCCAACCCTTAACTTACGTCTTGCCCAGGTAACCACTGCACTACTTTTTGTTGATATAGATGAATTTTGCAGTTCTAGAATTTGTTAGAAATTTACACTACATCGTATATTCTTTTTGTTTTTGAGATGGAGTCTCACTCTGTCACCCAACCTAGAGTGTAGTGGCGCGATCTTGGCTCACTGCAACCTCCGCCTCCCAGGTTCAAGTGTTTCTCCTGTCTCAGTTTGCCTAGTAGCTGGGATTACAGGCGTGCGCCACCAGGCCTGGCTAATTTTTTTTATCTTTAGTAGAGACGGAGTTTCACCATGTTGGGCAGGCTGGTCTCGAACTCCTGACCTCAGGTGATCCTCCCGCCTCGGCCTCCCAAAGTGCTGGGATTACAGGCATGAGCCACTGCACCTGGCCTACATTGTATATTCCTATATTTTGCACCATGATATGTTTTTGAGGGTCATAACATGCTGTTGCACATGTCATTAGTTCATTTATTTTTATTTCTGAGTAGTAGTTCATTGTATGGATATGCCACAGTTTATTTACCTATTAATGGACATTTAGGCAAATAAACAGTTTGCAGCTGTGCTATTTTGGATAAAGCTGCTATGAACATTCATGCACAAGTCATTTGTTTTTGAGACAGAGTCTCGCTCTGTCACCCAGGCTGGAGTGCAGGGGCCCAATCTTGGCTCACTGCAACCTCTGCCTCCCAGGTTCAAGCAATTCTCCTGCCTCAGCCTCTTGAGGAGCTGGGATTACAGGTGTGTGTCACCACACCTGGCTCATTTTTGTATATTTAGTAGAGACGGGGTTTCATTATGTTGGTCAGGCTGGTCTCGAACTCCTGATCTCAGGTGATCCACCTGCCATGGCCCCCCAAAGTGCTGGGATTACAGGCATGAGCCACCGCACCCAGCCATCATGTGCAAGTCTTTGTGTAAACATCATTTTATTTCTCTTGGGTAAATACCTAGGAATGGAATGACTAGGTCATGTGTTAAGTGTATATGTACCTTCATAAAAGGCCACCAAACTGTTTTCCATTTTATACTACTCTACATTCCTACCACTGTCCATCACCACTGCCTAATATTATAAACTTTTTAAGTTCA
Source organism: Homo sapiens (assembly GCF_000001405.40). Classification (NCBI taxonomy): domain Eukaryota; kingdom Metazoa; phylum Chordata; class Mammalia; order Primates; family Hominidae; genus Homo; species Homo sapiens. The sequence goes on along the minus strand of NC_000016.10, from coordinate 80,994,669 downwards.
GCCATTGTGTGGATATGTAGTAGTATCTCCTTTTGGTTTTAAATTGTATTTCCCTGATGACTAATGATTTTGACATGCTTTTCATGTGCTTCTTTGGCCATTCATATAAAATTTTTTGCCTGTATTTTAAAATTGGATTGTTTTATGACTGAGTTATAAGCATTCTTTTTATCATTTGGGATACAAATCCTTTGATAAGTGTATTGTGAATATTTTCTCTGTGGCTTTTTTTTTTTTACTTCCTTTAGGATGTGTTTCAAAGAGTAGCTTGTACATTTGATGAAGTCTTTTTTTTTTCTTTCATGGTTTGTGCTTTTTGTGTCTTAAGGATCTTTGTGTATTCTGTGGTCACAAAGATACTCCTGTATTTTCTTTTAGTTCTATCGTATTAGCTTTACATTGGTCTATGATTCGTTTCAAGTTAATTTCATTTTTTTCTTTTGATATTTGTGTATTCTTATCTGAGATTTCAAGTTAATTTTTGTGTATAGTATGAGGTGTGAGTTGAAGTTGATTTTCTTTGCCTGTGGGTAGCCAGTTGTCTCAACACCATATGTTGAAGAGACTGTTCTATCCCTGCTGATTTACCATGGTCCCTTTGTCAAAAATCAATTTACCATATGTGAGTGGGTCTATTTCTGGGCTCTCTAGTCTGTTTCACTGATTTATATGTCTCTTCTTAACACCAGTACCATGCTGTCTTAATTACTGTTGCCTTGTAGTAAGTCTCAGTCATATAGTATAAATCCTCCAATTTTGTTCTTTTTTCAAAGTTGTTTTGGCTATTCTAAGTACTTTCATTTCCATATTAATTTTAGAATCAGCTTGTCATTTTCTACAAAAAACTTGTTTACTGGTTTTTTGTTTTTTGAGGCTGAACATTGTTGATGACTTGGATTTTATCTTTTGTATCAGCAGGCAGTTCGTGTTTTTACATATTTTTAGGGCATAGCTGGCATAGTCTTTACTCTAGAGTTAGCTTAGCCCAATTACTAAATTAGGATTCTTTACTGATTGACTTGCATATTCAATGAGATCTCTACTTTGGCTTATAAGGACTCCATTGACTCCCAGCCCTGTGTGAGCTCTGCGTTTTTCAGCTTGTAGCTGCTGTAATTGTTCTTCGTAGTGACTATGGCATTGTGAAAGTCACCCAATACATGTGTAGTGAATACTCAGTCAGTGACTCAAGGCAGCTCCATGTAGATTTCTGGAGTTCTTTTGCTGCTTATCTCTACCTCACAAATTCCGGCTGCCCCAGCCTGCCCGAATTCCTCTGACGTTTGCCTCCTCTGCTCGGTGAAACTACCATTCTCCTCTTGAGTTCTGTTCTCTGCTACATGGTTTGGAAATTGTCTGTGGGTAGAAAGCTAGGTGAATGTAGGGTTCACTTTGTTTTGTTTTTTTCTTTCAGTTATCACAGTCCTGTAGTCTGTTGTCCCAATATCTGAAAATAGTTGTTTTATATATTCAGTTTGTTCTTTCATGGCTAGAAGCAGAAGTCTGGAAAATAGATTTTTAAGTAAATAGCATGGGGACAATTACATAGCTGTTTGGAAAAAGTTAGAATACCATACATATGAATCAACTAATGGGGCAGACATCTAAATGTCAAAAATGAAACGATACAAACACTAAGAAACCTGGATAAATTCTTATATAACCTAGGTGTGGGGAAAGTGTGCCTAAGTAAGGACCCTGAATTCCAGAGACAATAAAATCAAAGATTGATAAAGGATCGTTTGAGGCCTGGAGTTCCAGACCAGCTTGGGCAACATAGCAAGATCCTGTCTCTACAAAAAATAAAAATAAAAGTGGCCGGGCATGGCACATGCCTGTAGTCCTAGCTACTTGGAAGGTTGAGGTAGTAGGATCACTTACCCAGTTGTTTGAGGCTGCAGTACAACACATCAGCCTGTGTGACAAAGTGAGACCCTGTCTTTACACAAAAAAAAAAAAAAAAAGGAGGGGGAATAAGAGGCCAAAAATCAGAGAGAAAAATGAGCAAAAGCATGAGAGACAATTTAAAAAAAAAAGAAAAGATGGCCTTTAAACATGAGAAGATGTTCAACCTCAATAATTAGAGAAATACAAATTAAATATACTGAACATACCATTACTTATCTGCAGGGGGGCCAAATTAAACAGTGTGACAGCGCATTCTGTTGGCAACACTGTATACCCTCATACATTTCTGATGGGACTGCAAATTGTTATAATCTTTATAGAGAGGAATTTGCTGCCTTGTAGCAAAACTGCCGTATATTTGCTTTTTAATCCATCAGTCCCACTTATAGGAATTTATCTTAAAAGTATAACTCTAACAGTATGAAAAAATGTATGCATAGAGTTATTTACTGCAGTGTTGTTTGCACTTGGAAAATGTTGGGAACACACTTTCCCAACGTAAAGTAGTTGAACGACCTATGGTGCATCCACACAATGGAGCACTATACAGCTGTTTTGTAATTTTTATTTTTAAATAGACTTTGTTTTTTTAGAACAGTTTTAGATTTACAGAGAAATTGTGAATGCAGTACAGGGAGTTCCCATATACCTCACATCTAGTGTCCCTTATTATTAACATCTTACATTGATAAGGTGTTTGTTACAGTTAATAAACCAATATTGATACATGATCGTTATTTAAAGTCCATGCTTACTCAGATTGCTTCAGGTTAGTGTTTACCTAATGTCTTTTCTCTGTTACAGGATTCCGTCCAGGATACACATTACACTTAGTTCTTGTCACTCTTTAGGCTCCTGTTATCTGTGACATTTTCTTTGTTTTTGATGACCCGAAAAGGTTTGAGGCATAATGGCCAGGTATTTGGTAGAATGCTCCTCTGTTTGAATTTGTCTTGTTTTCCTCATAATTGGATTGGGATCATGTGTTTTCGGATGAAGACCACAGAGGTAAAGTACATTTTCATCAAGGCTGCATACTACAACATAATTTATCACTGTTAATGTTGACGTTGATCACCTGGCTGAGATACGTGTTAGGTTTCTGTACCTTTTTTTTTTTTGGAGACAGGGTCCACTATGTCTTCCAGGCTGGAGTGCAGTAGTGTCATTTTGGCTTACTGCAGCTTCAACCTCCTGGGCCTGGGTGATCCTCTCATCTCACCCTCCCGAGTAGCTGGGACTACAGGCCACGTCACCATGCTCGAATAATTTTTTGTATTTGTATATTTGTAGAGAACGGGTTTTCGCCATGTTGCTCAGGCTGGTCTTGAACTCCTGGGCTCAAGCAATCTGTCTGCCTTAGCCTACCAAAGTGCTGGTATTACAGATGTGAGCTATTGCACGTGGCTAGGTTTCTCTGCTTTGAAGTTACTCTTTTTCTCCCTTTTCATAACTCTTTGGAAGGAAGTCACTGTGTGCAGCCTACACGTAAGGACTGGGAAGTTACCCTGTTCCTCCAAGGTGGTGGAGTATCTACATAATCTTGTGGAATTCTGTTCTGGAGAGTTGCCTGTTCTCCCCCATTTATTTACTTATGTCAGTATGGACTCATGTATATTTACTTTATACCTTGGGTTATAATCCAATACTACTTTGTTTTGTTGCTCAAATTGTTCCAGCTTTGGCCACTGAGAGTCTTTCAGTTGGCAGTGCAGCTGTTAAAAAAAAAAAAAAAAGCCAGGCTTGGTGGCTCAGTCCTGTAATCCCAGCACTTTGGGAGTCTGAGGCGGGAGGATTGCTTGAGCCCAGGAGTTCAAGACCTACATGGGCAACATAGTGAGACACCTGTTTCTAGAAAAAATTAAAAAAAATTATGTCACTAGATGACACATGCCTGTAGTCCCAGCTCCTCAGGAGGCTGAGGTTGAGGTGGGAGGATCACTTGAGCCTGGGAGGTCAAGGCTGCAGTAAGTCATGATTGTGCCACTGCATTCCAGCCTGGGTGACAGAGTAAGACCCTGCCTCTGAAAAGAAGAAAAAAAAATTTCTTTGAACCAACATGTAATGACTTCCAGGATATATTTCGTGAAGAAGTCAAAGGACAAAACAGTATTTATAGTATCCTAGCGTTTGTATAAAAAAGGAGGAGAAGATAGCAAAACATATTTGTATCTCTTCATTTGTGCAAAAAGAAACAAGATAACCAGAAGCTAATGAGATTGATTACGTTCTGAGAGGTTGGTAGGAGCAAAGCAGAGAGAGTGGAGGAGTGACACTTTTACAAAATCTTTTGGCCGGTGGCGGTGGCTCATGCCTGTAATCCCAGCACTTTGGGAGGCCATGGCGGGCAGATCACTTGAGTCCAGGAGTTTGAGACCAGCCTGGCCAACATCACAAAACTTCATCTCTACCAAAAATAAAAAATTAGCTGTGCGTGGTGGCGGACCCCTGTAATCCCAGCTACTCAGGAGGCTGAGGCAGGAGAATCACTTGAACCTGGGAGACAGAGGTTGCAGTGAGCTGAGACTGTGTCACTGGACGCTAGCCTGGGTGACAGAGTGAGACTGTGTCTCAAAAAACAACAGAAAAAAATTATATGTTTTGTATAATTCATGCTGTTTGAACTTTGTTAATGTTTCATATACTCAAAAAAAGGGGAGGGAATGAAAAAAAGGATGAGCAGAGTTGGGAAGAAAACTCAAAAATGGAATACAAGCAAAACCAAACAAACTTACTTGAAATGAGTCATCTAATTACACTAAAGAAAAAAATGAACTAACCCAAGTAATTTGAACGTAGGCTAAAGACAAAGTAGAGCTGTTGTTAGTAGTATGGATTTTGCAGCAGTGTGGATTGGCAGTTCTGACACTGGCTTCTATGTATTCTGTGTATTCCAAGACTGAGCAAATAAGTAAACATATTGTAGACGAAAAGAGACAGGTTTCTTACTGTCATAAATATAGAAGTGGAAAGACTAGGATGTATCCTGTGATGTTGGATTGGAATTAGAGGTATCAGTGTGAACTCATGGTTTTCAATATATATAAGATGTAGAATAGATAATGTGTGTCTATGTTTGTTTCATGTATATATTCAATATATGTTTTCCTGTAGCAATGAGCATACGTAACGCCCAGATTTTGTTTTTTAAATACCGCTCTTCCGTAAACAGAAACAGGGATCCTTGGAGAAATGACTGATTGTAGGGCTAGGGCTGGGAAAGAACAAGAAGAACCTGCAACATCTTGTACCAGAAAGTATGACATTTATCAAAGAATGATAGGGACTGTTAAAAGGACAGGGGCTAGCTTGAAGGGATTCCCACTGGCCAAAAATGGGGCAGAGCATCAAAGTAATGAAAATAATATAATCAATTGAATAAGGATCCATGAGTCCAAACTCATATAAATATATAAATGGATGAGAAGGGAAAGTTTCCCTTACAGTAGAATGCCAACTAAAATATAAGAGGAGTGCTAGAATTAGAAAATCACTTTTTGTTAACTGTTGTAGTAGTAATTGATTTAGTCAGTAATCATTAATAGATCCTCATACTAGTGGGTGAAAAGTTTGAGGAAATAATTGGATAGTTAAATGGTCTCAAAGTGTGTCCCCATAATAATTAGAGAGGAAAAACGAATACGGTGTAGAAACTTGGCAGGTAGCTTCTTACCTAGGTAATAAAAGTTAACATCAATAATGGGACAAATTGCCATGTGCCTCTTGATGTGATACACTGAAGACACAACATCACTTCTAGGGTATTCCTGCCAAAAAGTCACGACCTGAATCGAGTTGTGAAGAAACACCAGACAAACCCACGTGGGGGAGCATTTTGCAAAATAACTGGCCTGTACTCTTTAAAATGTTAAGGTAATGAAAGAAAAAAGAGACAAGCTGTTTCAAATAAAGATTAAAGATAAGAAAAATATTGTTTAGAGTTGGAAAAAAAAAAGACTAAAAAGACGTGACAACTAAATGCAATGGCAATCCTGGATCGGGAAAAAAAACCCACCCAACTTTTTTTGCCTTTTGCATGAATGATATTATTAGGCAAATTGGTGAAATTTGAATAAGGTCTATAAATTAGATACTAGTGTTAATGTTAATTTCCTAATTTTGGTAATCGTATGGAGACTTAAATTTAAGTCCTTGTTTTTTTTAGGAAACGTGCATCATATCTGCAACTTACTCGGTTCAGAAGAAAAGCTCGGGTGTATATGTAAGAGCTAGAAGGATAAAGCAAATTTGGTGAAATGTTACTATTTGGAAATTCTTTGTACTGTTCTTGGAACTTTTCTTCAAGTTTGAAATTGACAAATGTTTTTAAAGACATCTGCTGTCATCAAGAAATACTTTACCTAACTGATCTTTCTGAAGACTTGCACTTTTTAAGTGTTAAATTGAGCCCAGGAGTTTGAGTGTATAGTGAGCTATGATGTCACTCCGGCACTTCAGCCTGGGCAACGGAGTGAGACCATGTCTCTCAACAGCAACACCACCACCACTTAGTGACTTAAAACAACCATAATTCTGCAGGTCTATATCTGGGGGGGAAAAGTTAATTAAAAGTTTATCGGGAGGATGTCTCACTCTGTCACCCAGGCTCGAGTGCGGTGGCACAATCAAAGTTCACAGCAGCCTTGAACTCCTGGGCTCAAGTGATCCTTCTGCCTCATCCTCCTGAGCAGATGGGAGTACAGGTGTGTGCCATCATGCCTGGCTAATTCAATTTTTTTTTTTTTTCCTCCTAGAGACAGGCTCTCCTGTGTTGCCCAGGCTCATCTCAAACTCCTGGCTTCAAGCTGTCCTCCTACCTTGGCCTCCCAAAGTGCTGGGATTACAGGCATGAGCCACTGTGCCTGGCCTGATCCCAGTTATTTAATTAATAAATCGAGTGAATTATATTACCTAAGATGTCTTCTAGCCCTGAGTTTGTGTAATTCTGTTTTAGTCTTTTTTGTTGATTAGTCTTCCTGAATACCCCTGTCTGTGCTGGAATGCTGCAGTGCTCTCCAACCTGCTTGAAGTGCATGAGTGTTTTATCTCCAAATAGCCTACCTTGCTGTGCTTTTATCATTCTTTCCGTGCTTTTATAGTTCTGCTGTGATCTTTGCAGGCAAGTGTTATTTCCACAGCTTTCAGGTGTCTGTGGGTGGCTTCTGATCTACTGGCCTATTTTGCCTAAATTTGTCAGCAAGACTTAGATATTCTTTGCATCTGAAGGTAAAATACAGAATTTAGAACAGCTTATTTCGTCAAAGCTACTTGGAAATCCTTGTGTATTTTTTCTGATTTATAAAAGTAATATGTAAATAATACATATCATTTTAGATAGTGTTAAAAAAGTAGGAAAGTATAAAGCAAACAAAAATTACCTTTTGTTCAACCATCCAGAGATAAACTCACTAAGTACTGGGTTTTTCCACCATTTAAAAATTTTTGTATTTTCCCTTTTTCTCTTCTTCTTATTAGCATTTTGAAATGCCCACTTTTTTTCCATCGTGAGAAAATAAATACATAAGATTCCTTCCCATAATCCCAGCCTTCTGGTATCTTGTGTTAGCGTCCCTTTCAGAGCTATTGAAAGAATACTGCTTTCTTCTTTCAGGTTGGCTTCTACCCTCACTAGGGTCCCAAAACTTTCAAGATCACTAATGACTGCACTACTGGCAAATTTGGTGGATGTTTTCAGTAGTTACCTCACTTTTCTCCCAGCAGCAATTGATTCCCTCTCAAAACACTCTTCCACAGGCTTCTACCATAACTTTCTCTTCCCTGGTTTTCCTTAAGTTTTTTTGGCCACTCTTCAGGATACCCTAGGCTACACCTTCCTGCAAAAAATCATTCGCTTTCCTGGTTTCAGTAACTCCCAAATCTGTATCTCTGGCTCAGATTTTCTCTGAGTTCCAGGTTTATCTCAGCTAGATAGTGGACTTAACTGTTCCACCAATAAACTCAACATGTCCAGATACAAATTTATCTTATCTCTTTTTAAAACTTCCACTGTCATTCTTGGCTGAAAGCCAGTGTCATCTTTAATTCCTCCATCTGCCTCACCTCTTCCTGTGAGTCCTTACCAGGGCTGTGTGTTCTCTGCCGAATCTCTCTTGAACCATTGTTCTCCTTTGCCAGTGCCACTGCCATAGTCCATGGCAACACTTTTATTGGGGCCACCTGTAAAGGACTTCTATCTGGTCTCCTGGCGGTTTTGTTTTCTTTTTTGTTTAAATCAATTTTCCACCCTGGATTTAGAGTGATCTTTCAAAAATAAGTTTAATCATTGTTACCTTTTTTTTTTTCTTTTGAGACGGAGTTTCACTCTGTCGCCCAGGCTGGAGTGCAGTGGTACAATCTCAGCTCACTGTAGCTGTTAGGAATCTGCATTTTATTTATTTATTTAGTTAGTTTTGAGGCAGAGTTTCTCTCTGTCGCCCAGGCTGGAGTGTAGTGGCATGATCTTGGCTCACTACAACTTCCGTCTCTCCGGTTCAAGCGATTCTCCTGCCTCAGCCTCACGAGTAGCTGGGATTACAGGTACCAGGCCATTATGCCTGGCTAATTTTTGTATTTTTAGTAGAGATGGGGTTTCACCATGTTAGCCCAGGCTGGCCTCAAACTCCTGACCTCAGGTGATCCGCCCGCCTGGGCCTCCCAAAGTGCTGGAATTACAGGCATGAGCCACCGCACCTGGCTCATTGTCACCTTTTTAATAGATCCTTTTGCCTATACAATGCGTTATAAATGTCTTGCCTTGTGTTTCAAGTCCTTAATGAAACTCATCCTTGAGTAGCTGTTAGTCTTCACCACTCTCCCACAGCTCCTTCCCCTTCATTCCTGTGGTTTTTTTTTTTTTTTTTGCAGGTATATGGGAGAATGATATTTCTGTCTTCCAAGCCTTGATTTTTCCTTTGCTGAGCTTAGTGCATTCCTCCTGGCTCCACTTACTGTTTGCTAAACCAGGTCTTATCATCCTTCAGGTTTTCTTCAGCTTAGTTGGTCGTTTCCTTTTCCCTTTCCTGGCCTAGATTCTCCTGGTGCAGTCACTCTGTTTGAGTAGCATCATACATAACAGCTTTTCTCCTTCGTGGCAGTTCTCACACTTTTTGGTCTCAGGACTCTTTTGCACTCTTTTAACATTATTTAGGATTCTAGGGAGCTATTGTTTATGTGGGTGATATCTACAATATTTATTGGATTAGAAATGAAGGCTGAGAAATGAAGAAAAAATTATTTTAAAATTACAATGATAAATTATAATTTTACATGTTAAGATGACATGTTAGCATAGTTATTTTTCACGAAAATCTTATTTTTCAAACCAGAAAAAAGCGAAAAGAATTGCATTGCTTTTCATTTTTTAAATGTCTGAATTAATAAAATATACCTGAATTCTCATGTCTGCCTCTACATTCAATCTGTTGTGATGTTAGACTTCATGTAGCCCCGGGAAAACTCCGCTATACCCTTGTGGGAGGATGAAAATGAACAAAACAAATGTTTTTGTATTATTGAGAAGATAGTTTTGACCTTGTACCTTCCCTGAAAAGGTCTCAGGAACCCCTCGGTGTCTCTGGACTGCACTTTGAGAACCACTGCTTTATGGCAGTGACTTCTTATTTGCCTCTTTCCCTCTGACTATGTACTGTGAGAGTAGGACCCAGATCCACCTTGCTCACTTCTGTGTCCCTGGTACCTGGGACATTGTTCTTTATGTAAAAGGTTCGCAGATATCTGTTGATTCACTTATTCAATCAGTTACTCGGTTGGTTTGGTTCTCAAGAAATTGACACCAGGCACTAGAGACTCAGTCCATGTAAGTATAAGAAAATTGTAGCCTGTGGGCATTTCTTCTACCAATTTCTCTGGGGCACTTGGGTCTAATATTTTTCATGTAACATCACAAGAGTATAATTCTCATTTTACCTTAGTTAATATTGAGGTAAAAGGAAGCATATAAATTAGTTTTTGTCATGGATTTTTGAATTAAGATGTACATATGTGGAATGATATGAATAAATGTCAACTATGTAATATTGCCTCACATTTGAAAAGTCTACTTGACTTGAAGGCATGAAAATGCATTGTCATGTTTATTTGTTGTCAAGGAAGTAGTAGTATAGTAAAATACACAGGAAATATTTATTCTTTGGGAATGATAGAGGAAAGAAAAAAGTAAAATAAAAATTAAGTACAAAAAGTTTTTTTAATTAAAAAATTTATTCTGGAAAGGTCATTAGGTAACAAATAGGAGACTTTAGTCTATGTTAAATGCTTTCTGGAAAAACTGACCACTTATTCAGTGTGGAATTGAAACGTACGTTTAAAATGGTGGTGAAGCAGGAAAAAAAGAAATAGCATGAGGCATAGCTTATTAATTATGTGTTGTCTGGTTTCCATGAAAGCCTTAATTAGAACGAAAAGGAAAAGATGTGCTTATTATTACAACTACCAAGTTCAGCATTTATGACCTGTCATTATAAAACAGATCACCATGCTGTCTGACCCACCCTTGAAAATCGTGAAGTGCAAACACACTAATTATGTTCCTACTGAAATTCAGGTTCTTAACTTCAGGCTTCAGCTTAACCTGCTTTAGAGCACGCATACTTTTTGCCACGATAATACTCATAGGACTAGAAACAACTAGGAGATGTTATTTTATTTTTTAAATCAGACTGAACTTCAGGCAGATTTCCTTATATTGTAAATTAGTGGCTTATTTATATGACCTTTATAGGGCATCTAATGATAGTGGGTTTTTTTTTCTTTTTTTTTTTGAGATGGAGTTTCGCTCTTGTTGCCCAGGCTGGAGTGCAATGGTGCGATCTCAGCTCACCGCAACCTCCACCTCCCAGGTTCAAGCAGTTCTCCTGCCTCAGCCTCCAGAGTAGTTGGGATTACAGGCATATGCCACCATGCCTGGCTAATTTTGTATTTTTAGTAGAGATGGGATTTCTCCATGTCGGTCAGGCTGGTCTCAAGCTCCTGACCTGAGGTGATCCGCCCACCTTGGCCTCCCAAAGTGCTGAGATTATAGGCGTGAGCCACTGCGCGCATCTGTGTTACTTATTTGATGTATTTTGGTGACATTTTGAATGGGGGCAAATGAGAAAAGGGCTCTGGCACTAAGCATTTATTAGATAACTCTTTTACAGGACAGTGTTTGGTAGTGAAGTTACTCTGCCCATGGCAGTGTGGCCATGCTGCAGCTTGACACCACTCCCTGTAATAGAGAATGGATTGTGCTGTGATTTTAACATTTCCCTTAAGAAAAGGGTGTTAGGTTATGATAAAACTTTTATACTGTCTTTGTGAGGTTTTGGTGAGTTAGTAAGTAGGCTTCCCTATCATTAAGAAAAAGTCTTTAAATCTTTGTTTCTACTTGCAGAACATTTATTCCTTCTTTGTAAGAAGAACCAGGATAATTTGTTCATTTGTATAGTTGATCCTTGAACAGCTTGGAAGTTCGGGGCACTGACCCCCATGCAGTTGAAAGTCCACATATAACTTTTTGACTCCCCAAAAACTTGTCTGAGAGTTTCCTGTTGTCTGAAAGCCTTACTGATAGCATAAATAGGTGATTAACACATGTTTTGTATGTTATATGTATTATATATTGTATTCATGCAATAAAGTAGGCTAGAGAAAAAATAAGGAAGAGAAAATACATTTATGGTATGGTATTGTATTTATTGATATTGTAAGTTTACATCATCTGTTTACAAGATGATGTATGTCAGTCCGAAATGGTAGGTAACCACAGCTGCAGACCTCAATCTACAGTACATTTCAAGTAGTTCAACTTTTTCCTGTAATGTCATTACTTTTCTCTGCTTCTTGGGAGCACTTCCAGCATTACTAGTGGCACTTCGTATGGGTCCCATGGTGTTATTCAAGTTTTATGGTTATTACAGTAAACATGACTTGCTTACTGTGTATGTTATTGGTATCACAGGGTGTTATAAGTGGATAATTGTAGTGTCTGAGCCCAGTGTAATAGCAATAGGAGGTGACTTCAGAATTATTACGGCAGTACAGTATATACCGCAGTTAATTTTATGTAGTTGTGATTTGATATATCTTTATGTTTGCTTACAATTCTCTCAAATTTGAATGATGCTATTTATGTTCTGTGTGTGTGTTAGTTTTGATAAATTTTATCTTTTTAAAATTTGTATATGTTTTATGGTAGTAAATGACAAAATAGACTAGTATTCACTTTTTTTTTTTTTTTTTTTTTTTTTCCTGAGACGGAGTTTCACTCCGTCGCCCAGGCTGGAGTAGTGCAGGGGCGCGATCTCGACTCACTACATCCTCCGCCTCCTGGGTTTAAGCAGTTCTCCTGCCTCAGCCTCCCAAGTAGCTGAGATTACAGGCGCCCACCACCACGCCTGGCTAATTTTTTGTGTACTTTTAGTAGAGATGAGGTTTCACCATTTTGGCCAGGCCGATCTTGACGCCTGACCTCGTGATCCACCCACCCGTCTTGGCCTCCCAAAGTGCTGGAATTTACAGTTGTGAGCTACCGTGCCCGGCCAGTATTTACATGTTTTACACATTTATGCCGTATCTTTCTCTTAAATTTTTTTGATATTTCTAGGCTATGGTAGTTCATCTGTGAGGTTTTTTTTAATTGTTCCAAATGTTCAAAAATGTTTTCAATATATTTATTGAAAGAAAATCCAGGTATAAGTGGACTCATGCAGTTCAAATCCATGTTGTTCAAGGGCCAACTGTGTTTTATACATGTGATTTAACTATTACTTGTTTATTAACAAAGTGACACTGTAAACTCATGTCTGTGGCAGTATTTAAATTTTATGTGCCCCAAACCTTGGCATATTATGGGATGAAATATTTTACTCCTTTTCTTCCTTTTAGCACAACATTCTGAAATTTTTTGGTTATTGTAATGATGTTGATCGGGAGTTGAGAAAATGCCTGAAGAATGAGGTAAGAAAAGTGTCAAAGGATGGATATGGTTGAACAATAGAACAGAACATTTTTGAATATTGTGTATTACTGCCATTATTGAATTTTTCCCACATTTTAGTGTAACAGAAAATTGACTTTACATGTATGAACTTCCTCTGTTTAGGGGAAGAAATGAAAGCTTTTCTGGGGACAGTTTTAGAACATGGCTTTTTGGCCATGAACACAAATGAGGAAAACAACTTCCTTATGATGATTACTGTAGGTCATCTGGATGAATTTAATGGTTTAGGAAGTTGTATCTCTGGCCGGCAGAAAGACTTATATCAGTCACCTATTAGCTGATTGGTAGGTAACTAAAACTCTCAGGGCCTCAATTTCTATATATAAATTGAGGAGGCTAGAATTAGGCTGTTTTCAGCTTTAACATTTTGAATTTCTTTGTAGTTATGGTTTGTGTAAGCCACAGGGATCTAATTTGACTTGTTTTGGAACACTGTCATCTCCTGAACTTGATTTTAGGGCACAACTTGGACTTGGGCAAATAGCCACAGTACACAGTTCATTGTCTTTTTCCAGGCACTGCCAAATAAGCAGAGTGCATTTTAAACCTTTGAAAAGAAATTTGATTCAATTTCTGTTTCATACATCAGATTTTTTGTGTCCAGAACTTTTAAAAATATATGATGGCTAAAATTTTGCCTTTCAGATATCATTTTTGTTATTTTTGAACTTTTTTTTTTTTTTGCCTCATATTGAAAGATTTAAATATAATATTTGAAGTTGTCCAACATCTTTCTTTTGATTTTGTTTTCTGCTTAGGCTGTTTTTCCCTTCCTGGATTCCCTTTAAATTGTGACATTCACCTTTACTGTTTGAAGAACTTTTTGGAGTACTCAGTGAAGAGTAATAGTTTGTTTCTTTTTTTCTTTTTTCTTTTGAGACAGGTTCTTGCTCTGTCACCTAAGCTGGAGTGCAGTAGGGTGATCGTAACTCACGGAAGCCTCAAACTCAAGTGATCCTCCCACCTCAGCCTCCTGAGTAGCTAGGACGACAGGTGCGTACCACCATGCCTGGTTAAGGTTTTACACATTTTTTTGTAGAGATGAGAGTCTCACTGTTTTGGCCAGGCTGGTCTCAAACTGCTAACCTCAAGCAGTCCTCCCACCTTGGCCTCCCAAAGTGCTGGGACTACAGACATGAGTCACCATTCCCAGCCTTATTAGTGTTTTTAAATTATTTACTAAAAATGTTTGTCCTTTATATGAAAAAGCCAGTTTACATGAAAAATACACCTAGGGTGAGTCCTCCCACCTTGGCCTCCCAAAGTGCTGGGACTACAGACATGAGTCACCATTCCCAGCCTTATTAGTGTTTTTAAATTATTTACTAAAAATGTTTGTCCTTTATATGAAAAAGCCAGTTTACATGAAAAATACACCTAGGGTGAGTCCTCCCACCTTGGCCTCCCAAAGTGCTGGGACTACAGACATGAGTCACCATTCCCAGCCTTATTAGTGTTTTTAAATTATTTACTAAAAATGTTTGTCCTTTATATGAAAAAGCCAGTTTACATGAAAAATACACCTAGGGTGATGTTTCTTTAATAGTAAACTTGTGAGCTGGCATCTGTAATCCCAGCTATTCGGGAGGCTGAGGCAGGAGGATCCTTTGAGGTGAAAGCTTTGAGGCCAACTTGGGCAACATAGTGAGACCCTGTCTCAAAGAAATCTCTTAAAATTTAGCCAAGTGTGGTGGCACAGACCTGTGGTCCCAGCTACTTGGGAGGCTGAGGCGGGAGGATCGCTTGAGCCCAGGAGTTCATGGCTGCAGTGAGCTATCTAGGTCGCCACAGTGCTTCAGTCTGGGTGACAGAGTGAGACCCTATCTCTAAAAAATAATATTGGCCGGGTGTGGTGGCCCACGCCTATAATCCCAGCATTCTGAGAGGCCAAGACAGGCGGATCACCTGAGGTCAGGAGTTTGAGACCAGCCTAGCCAACATGGTGAAACCCAGCTCTACTGAAAGTACAAAAAAATTAGCCAGGCATGGTGGCGGGCGCCTGTAGTTCCAGCTACTCGGGAGGCTGAGGCAGGAGAATAACTTGAGCCTGGGAGACGGAGGTTGCGGTGAGCCCAGATCACATTACTGCATTCTAGCCTGGGTGACAGAGTGAGAGACTCTGTCTCTAAATAAATTAAAAAAAAATAAAATAAAAAATAAATAAAATAAATAGCTTATGGAAAAATATAGCTCATATTATTTTATTCAGTATGGCTATTTGTTTTTTACATACTTTCAGCTGTATAACATAGGTTTTTTTCATGTTTTTAAATTTTTTTCCTGTATAGTTCAGAAATTTTGCCACTGCTTTGTCAATTAGATCTTCATATGAAATTGTCTTCTCAGCTGGCCTGAGATCTGTTAGTGACTTTTTGGTAGACCGTTGGAGATATTTTTCTTATTTTGTCTGAGTTTGTTTTCCTATACATCTCATGTTTTCTCTTTGAATTCTTTTCTAAGTCCTCTGTGTAGTTATGTTACTTTATTCTCTAATTTGTAGATGTTTATTCTCTAATTTGTAGATGTTTTTCTGTCTGCTTGCCCATCACTAATCTCTGAGTCTGCACTCATGTATTTCTTCTCTACTCTTAATGCTTGCTTCAGATGCTTTCCTGCTACTGTTTGCTTCATATGTCATCTGATTACTTCATTCCATGAAGCTTTTTTATTTTTTTATTTTTTTTGCCAGAGTCTCACTCTGTCACCCAGGCTGGAGTGCAGTGGCGCAATCTCAGCCCACTGCAAGCTCCTCCTCCCGGGTTCACGCCATTCTCCTGCCTCAGCCTCCTGAGTAACTGGGACTACAGGTGCCCACCACCACGCCCAGCTAATTTTTTGTATTTTTAGTAGAGACGGGGCTTCACCGTGTTAGCTAGGATGGTCTTGATCTTCTGAGCTTGTTATCCGCCCGCCTTGGCCTCCTAAAGTGCTGGGGTTACAGGCGTGAGCCACTGCGCCCAGCCTCCATGAAGCTTTTAAGTAGAAAAAGGGTATGGCCATTTCTTGTTGGGACTCCGCTGTGTCACTCCTTTTATTCTTTTTTTTTTTCTTTTTTTTAGAGAGATGGAGTCTTGTTGTGTTGCCCAGGGTGGTCTCAGACTCCTGGGCTCAAGGAGTTCTCCCATCTTGGCCTCCCAAAGTTTTGGATTACAGGTGTGAGCCACTGCACCTGGCCTTTTGTTCTTCTTCTTGAAAAGAAACACTAATAGTACTTTTGTGGCATTCTCTTTTGTCCCTCTTAATTGTTTTGTTTGGTTTGGGGTTAATTGGCCTTTCATTCTGTCTGTATTGTTTGATTGAGTTTTGTGAGTAACTTCATATTCATCCTTTTCTCCCCTTTTATTCAGGGACCATCTGGACTTCCTTTGGAGATGTCTTAGCATATTTTAATGTAGACTATATTTTAATTTGCTTTGTAACTTATTTTATTGGCCTGCTACAAAGTATTATCTTCTGAAGAGTTTCCCTTAAGACCCTTCTCAACCTGATTGCTGGGGGCAATCCAGTAGACGTGATTAAAGGTAGATATGAAAGCTTTTTCTCAGAGCAGGTATCCTTCCTTGTTCTAGAATACGTTTTATTGATTTTTTCCCCAACAATTTTATGAGTAAATTTAATGTATGATAGATAAAATGAATGACTTTGAAGGGACCTGGTGCTTCATGTGTAATTTAAAGTAGCTTTTTTTTTGAGACGAAGTCTCACTCTTGTCACCCAGGCTGGAGTGCTGTGGTGCGATCTCGGCTCACTGCAACCTCCTCCTTCTGGATTCAAGTGATTCTCCTGCCTCAGCCTCCTGAATAGCTGGAATTACAGGTGCATGCCACCATGCCCTGCTAATTTTTGTATTTTCAGTAGAGACGGGGTTTCACCATGTTGGCCAGGCTGGTCCCTAACTCCTGACCTCAGGTGATCTGCTCGCCTCAGCCTCCCAAAGTGCTGGGATTATAAGCATGAGTCACCGCACCCGGCCTGAAGTAGCCTTTTGACAAGGAAGTAATAAAAAGTTTGAAAACTACCATTCCAGAAGATATGTTAGAATCCTTCAGTCAAAACTTTTGACCTAGAAAACTTCTTAAAGATTATCTAGCCCACCTCCTTATATTTGAAGTTACTGGTCCAGAAGAGTGAAGTAACTCAAAGTCATGAATCCCCTCATTACTCTCTCTTGGGTGGCGGGGTTTGTCCCTGATGAGCTCGGTATCACTAATCTTTAATTTCTGTGGCCTCGCTCTCCAGATCTGTGGCTCCTAAAAGATTCTGATGTTTAACTGTTCACATGTTTTCAGTTTTTTCTGTTTGAATTTACTTTTACCCTTTTCCCCTTCTGCCCAGGGGAAAACACACTCATCCACCTTTAAAGTGTGTTGGATTGGTGTATGTATTATAAGCATGTACATATATACATATAAAAACACTTTTAAGGTCCTCTGCTTTAAATGTAGGTTAACTATTTAAGAAAATCTAAGTGCCAGGCTTTGTGTCTCCTGTTGTAACCTGCTGGCCAGATCAGAATACTAGGCTGAAAACCTCTTGAGGTGAAAACTGTGTTTATATGTAGCTGATTAAGAAACATAGGATTTGAGGAGTATCAGGTTTGTTAACTGTTCGTGATGAAGAAACCTTGGGAAGTTGAGCTATGTATTTCCATATGAGTCAATAGGATAATATGGTTGCTAAGAGCTAGTTACTCTTGATAATGTCTAAAGAAATACAATGTGAGCTGGTCTAAGATGTAGGCCCACTGTAGTCTATGTCTGTCATTGTGACTGGAGCACTGTATTCAATTTTGGTTGTGATTTTTTTTTTTGGTAAGGGGCATTAATGTTAAAGTGCTTTATGAAATAAAAGTCATTTTATAGGTTAGATATTAAAAGATGGAGGCTGTGTTCTGTGCAGCAGTTGTGGAAACTAGCAATGTTCAGCGCAAAAGGTAGTAAGTGGGTTATCTGTAATTAAATGTTTGAAAATTATAGCAGACAAGAAGAAATAAAAGGTGGTAGTTGACAAGGCAGCACTTTTGGTTTAAAATGAAAAACTTTGGAACGAGTAGAATTGTCCAACAGTTAGACAGGCTACCTCTCAAGGAGTTTACAGGGAAGCACTTTTGGTTTAAAATGAAAAACTTGGGAATGAGTAGAATTGTCCCAACAGTTAGACAGGCTACCTCTCAAGGAAGTGAGCCTCTCCACTAGAGGTACTCAGCAGAAGTTAGAGGACTAGTTAGACTGCAAGCCCCTGGAGAACATGGACAGAATTTGCCCATCTTCAGTACTTATTTAATTCAAATTTTGGGAGGAAATTGATTGAGCAAACATTTGTGCATCTATTAGCATGTAGATGCTGTACTGTATTGAATGAAATTGTGCTAGATATGAGATACTCTCTAAGGTAACTATTTCCAATCTCAGATTTGGTTAAATAAAAGATAAGAATTTTGTCAGTAAGAACATGTTTAAAAAATTTAAACCCTGTTAACCTCAAAGGACATTTATATTTTGCAAATATTTCTAAATAGTAAACTGCTATAAATAGTGACATAATCTGCTGTTTCTTTTCTCCCCCCCTTCTTTTATTTTTCAGTACGTAGAAAACAGGACCAAGAGCAGGGAGCATGGCATTGCAATGCGAAAGAAACTTTTTAATCCTCCAGAGGAATCCGAAAAATAAATTGTATTTTCACTCGATGCCTTGGCTGAGAGAAGACCTAAAGACTCTGGGTTGATACCTGAAAGAATCCTGTCTTATTTGGTCTCCATAATCCTTTGAATGGAAAGTGACCTGTGAGAGATTGAACCATGGAGAAATATGAAAACCCTGGATTCTGAGTATTTGTTGGGCAGGGCGTTTAGTACTGTCTCCCCTTTACCAGCAAACCTGACTTCACCATGTTTATTCCCTTTGCCTACAACCAGTTAATATCTGAGTAACTTATCTCCTTCAATAAAATAATTTAAATAATTTTTTTCTCCTTTCTCTTAGATTCTTTTGGCATTAGAGGAAAATGTTGCCATTAGGCTTTTTCTTTTTGACAACATGATGTTGAAGAATTCTGGGGAAATCCCAGCAGTGTTAACTATTTGAAAATGTTGCAACTTTATTGTTTTTAAAGAGTGATTTTCTAAATGATTAAAAAAAATTTTTTTTTTGAGACATAGTGTTACTTTGCTGCCCAGGCTGGAGTGCAGTGGTGCGATCTCAGCTTACTGTAACCTCCACCTCCCGGATTCAAGTGATTCTCCAGCCTCAGCCTCTCTAGTAGCTGGGGCTACAGGCGCAGGCTACCATGCCTGGCTGGTTTTTGTATTTTTGGTAGAGACAGAGTTTTGCCATGTTGGCCAGGCTGATCTCAAATTCCTGAGCTTAGGTGATCCGCCCACTTCAGCCTCCCAAAGTGTTGGGATTACAAGCGTGAGCCACTGTGCCCAGACTAAAAGATTAAATATTTACACTTAACATTGATAAAATTTCATCTGGTTAGGAATTGAGTCTTAGCAGACTTTGCTTTCCCATTTGGTTGAATGTGTCCACTCGAGGTGCCAGTTAACTCCTGGACATTAACCTTAGGCCAGTGTGTCTCCTCTCTGCTGAGTATAGGACTGTTCTTCCCGTGCCCAATTCTAGCAGTCATTTCACCAGTGTTCCTTCTGCCAAGTGTTTCTGAGACCTGTGACAATCTGGAAGTCAGCAGCTTCCAGCTGCAGTCACAGCAGGGGCTTGATCTTGTCAGGTGTCAGGGAACAGACTCAGCTGTGAGCTCCTTCTAGTGGAGTTCTGTGTATAATATCCAGCATGAGGCCTTGTTGGTGTTGGTGTTTAATAAGTGACTTCCCCATCACAGGAGGTATTCAAGAAGCTGGACTTTCGCTCAGTACGTCGATTACAGAGCATAACAGACATTCAGTGAAAGGATGGGGAAAGAACCAGAATTAATTCTGAAGTACCTTCCAAGACAAAGTGTATGAATATTTATTCAGTCCCCCTAGTGTCAGGCAGTAGAAATACAGAAATGAGACATTTTGCCTTTAGAATCTTGTAGTTAACTGAAAAGTTGACTTTTAGTCACCTGTAATCATCAAAGTGCCATGATTAGGTAGATGTCATAGAAGACAGAGGACTTTCATGTTCAGTCTTCATGAAGAAGGAGCTATTCCAAGAAAGCTATTTAGCAAAGATGACCTTTGACAAATGAGTGAAAATGGGATACATTCTGAGGCGCACTTTAAGGCATTTAGCATGACTAGAATATGGGAGCTTAGAGTGGAGGAAGATCATAGACAGCTTTGAAATCTGTTGGAATTTTATTTTCAGTGCTGTGATGACCAGTTGCAGGTTTTAATATGGTGATTAGGGATTTGGGTAGAGGAGTTAGTTGGAAGGCTGATATATTTCAATTTGTATTTTAGTAAGTTTTTTTGGTTATAGTTTGGGGGATAAATTGGAGGGGAAGGAAGATAACGCCCAAGGAGAGCAATTAGGTTTTTGTGCTAACTTGAGTGAGAAATGAGGGCCTGGATGAAAGATGTGGCTTTGGGGATTAGGAGGAGTGACGATTCAAGCATTGAGTCAGCATGACTGACTAGGTGTAGGGTTTAAGGAAGTGTCTAGGATGTCTCAGGCATTTGATTTGTGCCTGCTTGGGAGGGAGTACTGGGGAGGTGAAGTGTGTGTGGAGGATCCAGCGGGAGAGGGCTTCCGGGTTGCTGCTGGGTATTTAGGTCTGCAGCTTGTTAGAGTCACCTGGATTAGAACAAAATTGGGAGATGTCAGCATGCAGATGCCAGCTAAGGCCCTGTAGGCCAATGTCAGTAGCTGACCATAAGAGCAGGATGAAACTTTGGAAGTTCATTCTTAAAAATTTTATAAGTAATATATGAGTACGTTTTTATGGGATATTCAAACCACCTACTGTTTTTAGGTCTTACTCTCTTGTGTTGCAGCTGTTGCTGATCCCTGTAGAGTAAAGTACACACTGAAGGCTATGGCAATGATCTACCTTTCCAGCTTCCTCTAGGAAGGGAGTTTGACAAATAAAATGCTAGTGAACTGGAGCACAGTGAGCAAGGGGGAGGGTGGCATGAGCTGAGGACACAGGTGGGCAGGGCCAGAACACACAGGCCTTGGACATCACCTCAGGGAACTTGCATGTTATTTGGAGCATAATGGAAAACCATTAGAAAGTTTTAGGGAGTGGTTATGATTTCATTTATTTATATTTTATAAAGATCTTTCTGGTTATTCGGTGAATAGTTATGGTTAAACCAGTTCAACCCAGTGACAGTACCTGTCACATAGAGTTATTGTGAGGATTGGTTGAGATGTATGTGATAGATTATCTGGCACAAAGTAAGGGCCCCCTCAATATTGTTTTTCTCTCAAGTGCACCCAAATTGGGGTATTGGAAACACTTCCTCCGTAGTTTGGTAGAAGGCACCAAATCACTAGGGCTGATACCGTTTGAGTGGGGCCCCAGCTGATGGGGCAGGGGGTAAAGGGGTGAGGGGCTTAATATGAGGCAGAAGGAAGGGCCAGGCCTCTAGAACTCATCCCAAGCCGGCCCCATTCTCTGGCTCCCTGTACATCCTGCCTTTCCATAGAGGAAGCCAGTCCCAGGGGTGGCTGCATCTTATTCCATGCTTTACATCTCATCAGCCTTGCTGACTTTCCCCAGCCTGCTGTAGATCAGAGTGAAATCTGTTTCTCCTGTCTAGAGCAAGCGCACTTTTTCCTGAGGATTTCCAAATATTTTGAATTCCCATATGCAGTGGAAGCCGAAGAAGCTGGAGGGAGAGTGGGGTTGGGAGGTGCAGAGGTTCCATGTCTTCTTGCCTTTATGAAGCTTCTGGCATTGTGCTGGGTGCAGGTGATACCATGGAATAAGATGGATGTGGTTCTAGTGACGGTTCACATCACGAAGGACCATCTGTGTCCTCTTAGGGAGTCTGGCTTTCCTGCTAAGGGCAACAGGAAGGCATTGTAGGGTCTGTGCAGGATACCAAGTGAAGGAAGAGATTTCCTTACTGTGGACTTGCAGACGATAAGTAAACTTTTGGGTCATAAGAGACCATCTCTTGGAAGCTGAAGAACTTAGGCCAAGGTTTTCCTGAGAAATCTAGTTTTGCAGAATGTTGTGAACCTTGATGCTCTGGTGACAGTGAATTAATGGTTTATTTTAGGAAGCACTACACAATTTTACTTAAGAGTGAGGCTAGAAAGTTGAGCTGTTTCTCACCTTTTATAAATGAAGTTTAAGATCAGATTAATCTCCATGGAGTTTTTAGCTCAAAGCACAATTAGTTTTCTATAGAAAGGGCTTGGGCTGAACCAAATTATGCCATTGATCTGCCTGGTAGACATACAAATCATTCTGTTCTTAGAAAAAAACAAAAAAAACGAAAAACAAAAAATCCTCACTGTCCCAAGGGAGTTGCTCCTTTCACTACACCCTGATATTGAAACCCTGATATTGAAATTTGTGCCCCTTAAATGATATCATATTCAGGGAACCAGCTATACCAGAATCTACCTTAATCCATAGACATCCCTGCCTCCTCTAGAGAGGTCACTGAAGGAGATAAGTACATAGCAGAAAGTGGTGAAGGGAAAGCAAAGGGATGCTTTATTGTTACCAGTCTCCTGCCTCTGGTATCAGATGGAGCAGGTGGCCTGGGCTAGAGGCCTGTGGGGCCATTTCTGTCCTCTAAGCTCTAGTCTGATCTCACCGGCAGCTGGTCACATGGGAGGACAGGAGATGGAGAACAAGACTGACAGTAGGGAGGGGAGAGCAGAGACAGGTGGCTGAGTTTCTCTCACTTAGAGAAAAGAAACTGGCTGAGTGTATACCACGTCTGAAGTGAGCAAAAGGGAAGATTGCCCAAATCCTGTAAAGGACCTTTTTTGTGGTATTAATGCTATTCTTTTTTATGACAAAATGTTTCAGGTTTACAGAAAACTATACAGACTAATACGAACACTCACATAGCTGCTATCTAAGTCATACTTTTAAAAAATACAGGTTTAAAAAAATAATAATACAAAAGTGGGTAAAGCCTCCTGTGTTTGTCACCCCAAGCCCGTTCCACTTATTTCTTTATTGGTGGTAACTACTACCCTGACTTTGATATATTTCATTCTCATGCATGATTTCATACATATATATATATGCATGATTTCATACATATATATATATATATATATAAAATGTATGTATGTCAGTATCCATAGCCATATTTTATTTTGCATGTTTAGTCATTTTACTTAGGAGGCGTCATGATGTGTGTAGCCTTTGGTAGCGTACCTTTTTTTTTTAAAAAAAAAATACTATGTTGATAAATGAGGTTCTTGTTTATTTGTTTTGCCTGCTATATAGCATTTTGTTGTAGGCCTATACCACGGTTTATGTATTTCCCCGTAGATGGTCACTTAGATATCCAGTCTTTGCTATTGTAAACTTCAATGAACGTTCTTACTTACCTTCTTGTCCAATCTGGGAGAGTGTTTTTAGGTATAAACCTAGGATTTTAATTATTGGGCTGTAAGGTATGCATTTTCAAACTTACTAGAAGTTGCTAAATTACACCCCAAATGTTTTTAAGATTTTATGATTTGTATTTTTGTTGTTGTTTTTTGAGACAGAGTCTCACCCTGTCACCCAGGCTGGAGTGCAGTGGTATGATCTCAGCTCGCTGCAACTTCCACCTCCTGGCTTCAAGCAATTCTCGTGCCTTAGCCTCCTGAGTGGCTGGGACTACAGGCATGTGCCACCATGCCCTGCTAATTTTTGTATTTTTTAGTAGAGATAGGGTTTCACCATGTCCAGGCTGGAAAATTTTATGATTTTTAAAATAGTGTTCTTATACATCTTTTGCTAGATTTGTGTCTAAGGGGTATTTTTAAAATTACTTATTCTAATATCTCTTAAAATTTTTTTATAAAGCAGGGATTATAGGCATGAGCCCCTGCATCCAATTTATTCTAATTTCCTATTACTGATACATTGGAGTGTAATTGACTTCTGTATATTTATCTTACATTCAGAAGGCTTGCCAAACTTTCTTAATAATTCTGGGGCCTATAGATTATTTTAGATTTTTCTATGTAGACAGTCACATCACTTTTGAATAGTAACAGTAATGAATCATTTGTTTCTTTCCAATGTTTATACTTCCTTATTTTATTGTACTTAGAACATTCAGTATAATGTTTAATAGATACATCAGACTTCTCTTGTGACTGATGTTAAATCCTTACATTTCACTGACAAGTAGCAAATTTGTAGTAGGTTTTTGGAAGATGTCTGTTCCTCCCTAAGGAAGTTCCTTTTGGTAATTGTAGATAGACTTGCTCAACCTCTACTGCACCTCCTTCTAGTGTGCCTTCCCATATTTGTGAAACTCAAAAGCTAAATACTGCATTTTCTCCAATTCCTTTACAGTTAGGATTCCAGATAGGAATTAATGTCCATTAATCGGTGAGATTTGGATTTGGAATTGACTTAAATTGAGAGAGAGACGGTCCATGAAGCATCCATTTTCTGGTATGGATCAGAGCAGAAATGGTGGGGTTATAGAGCCTGCAACTGTAGCCGCAGTTTTCTCTTTTTTGCTAGACAGCTTTTTAATTGCAATGTGGCTCTGAAGTTTCTTCATCCCTCCCAATGGTCAGGTAAGTTATTTAAATACCTGTCTGTCATTGCTTACTACACTGTCCTTTTAATCTTCATTATATAAACAATAAAGACATACTTAATGCTCACCGCTAGTCTTGTGTTAATATCTCCCTAGTCATTTTGGTTGTCTGAGCCTCATTTTCCAGCAGATTCCTAAGGAAGTTCTCATGGGAACAATATTCCATGGGTTTTTTTCTTTTCTAATTGAGACGGAGTCTTGCTGTGTCACCCAGGCTGGGGTGCAGTGGTGTGATCTTGGCTCCCTGCAACCTTGCTGCCTGGGTTCAAGTGATTCTTGTGCCTCAGCCTCCCAAGTAGCTGGGATTACAGGCATGCACCATGATGCCCGGCTAATTTTTTTGTCCTTTTAGTAGAGACGGGGTTTCACCATGTTGCCCAGGCTGGTCTTGAACTCCCGACCTCAAGTGATCCACCTGCCTCGGCCTCCTGAAGTGCTGGGATTACAGGCCTGAACCACCGTGCCTGGCTCTCTTCATCACTTCTGTTGTCCCTATCCTGTTCAATTTTTTTTCTGCTCCCTGCAGTTCCTCCTCACTTTGGAGTCTTGTCCTGGGAGGGAACCCTACGGGATCAGTTTTGAGAGTTCATTAATGCTAAATTGTTCCAGCCCCTTCAGACCTTCCTGTGGGCCCCATTTACTGAAGTGGGCAAGAACCTTCCCAGTACCAATTGCTGTTCTCAAATTGGCCCTCCGGGCTTTGCAGTGAATATCTGTTGTTTTGGGTTCTTCGGTCCTTAGTTGGTTCAGGTACCTTGTGCCTCCCTGTGCTGCTTTCCACATCGATGCTGAGACCTCCCAGGACTCCTCTGGCTCTTGATGCTCTGTCCTCACCTCACTCATTTGTATTTTGGGATATGAGGGTTACATTTTAACCTAATTTTGTTGTAAATACTGTCTCTCCTCCTGCCCTTTTTATATCATAAAAAAGATAGTTGCTTCCACAGTCACAACTATCTTTCCAGAATTTCCCACCAGTAACTTTCTGACACACACACTTAACTTACCAATGGGAAACATATTTTTTCTGCTCAGAGCCCAAGGTGAGTCACACTGGCCTTACTCTTACCTCCCTATGCTGGCAAGTGTTATGTTTTCTAGTTAATGTTTTCTTAGAGGATTACCATCTCCTGGCTTTATGTGATATTCTTGTTTCTCACACCATTCCTCGTAGAGACTCAGTATCTTCCATCTTTTTCCATTGTGTTTATGAAAACCTCACTTCCTGGTACCTGGAACTGGTCTAGGCTGCATAGCATGTGCTGATGCACTTACTTTCTGGTTTACAGTTCTCTCTGATTTCAACCCCCAAGGATTTTCTTTCCTTTCTTGTGAGCTCAACTACACCTTTAAAAACTATATTTGATATATGCTATCTAGTATTTGTAGATAGCTTTTTAGCAGGAGTGTTTTCAGATTACCTAATGAGCTATTTTACCAGAAACAGATATCCTGTACATAAAATTTTACCTTGGAAAGACTGCCCCCTAGGAATGATTATATTTTCAACAGTTAGAGAACTAACTCATTCCTAGAAGATGGGGGGAGGATGGGAGTTGGGGAGGGCATGGCAAAGAGAGGAGTTATAAGAGCATCTTCTGTTCAGAGACCTTCATCTTCATCTGCATTTGGGCCATTAGACTGTGGTCCGTGGGCCAGCAGCTTTAGCGTAACCCGGGAAAGTTTGTTAGCAACGCAGAATCTCAGCCGTGTGGGGTGGCTTGCGCCTGTAATCCCAGTACTTTCGAAGGCCGAGGTGGGAGAATTGCTTGAGGCCAGGGAGTTCAAGACCAGCTTGGGCAACATAGTAAGACCCTGTCTCTACAAAAATAAAAATAAAAAAAAGAAATGGAGAGTTTTAGACCCCACCCTGACCTACTAACTGAGAATCTGCATTTTAATGAAATCCCCAGATGATTTGCATGCATATAAAAATTGGAGAAGCATTGACTTAGACTCTTTCTGATGTAACTGCCTTCCATAAAATGCCTACTTCTTTAGGGTTAATGACCTTCATCCACTCTTGTCATCACTTCTAGCTTACTCTTTTTTCTGCATTTAATTTTTAAGCAGTTTCCTCAAATAACTTTTGTATTTAAGTTTTTGAGAAAAGTTCTTATTGGTGATATATTATGTTGAGAATGTGATTTGAAAAAAAAATAGGAAGCGTTAATATGGTATGTTGTCATTGAATATGACAGCAAAATCTTAAGGGCAAAGCTGTTACGAAATTCTCAGGGCATTTACTTTTTCCTCAACTCTGGCGAGTAGAGGGCTAAGAAAGTAAAGCATTCTGCAATTCTGCATACAGAAATTTAGACCTGGCTATTTTTCACTGGAGTATTTGCTTACAGAGCATCCATATTTCCTAAAATGCTATGATTGGATTATTGAGCTAATGATTGGACTTGCTACAAATATTGAAAAGTACGAGGAAGGCTGGGCGAGGTGGCTCACGCCTGTAAACCCAGCACTTTGGGAGGCCGAGGCGGGCGGATCACGAGGTCAGGAGATCGAGACCATCCTGGCTAACACGGTGAAACCCCGTCTCTACTAAAAATACAAAAAATTATCCGGGCGTGGTAGTGGGCGCCTGTAGTCCCAGCTACTTGGGAGGCTGAGGCGGGAGAATGGCGTGAACCCGGGAGGCGGAGCTTGCAGTGAGCCGAGATCGTGCCACTGCACTCCAGCCTGGGCGACACGGCGAGCTCCGTCTCAAAAAACAAAACAAAACAAAACAAAAAACGAGGATATCTTTTCAAAGCAGATACAATTAAAGGAAAATTCTCTAGGGATAGTTCAAGTTGCTGTGATGGCTTTATCTGCTAAAATTTTAGTTAAGCTAGCAGATAATTTATGAGCAAGTTCATGATACATGGAATTCAGGTTATGTGTAGACTGAAAGCTCTCTGGGCTGACACCTCTCTGGGCAGACACCACATTATTCCTGTATCTGCAGCTCTTAGGACAGTGGTTAACACATAATTGGTATTCAATAAATGCTTTTTCACTGAATGAATGAATTTTTAGTGAATAAAGAATAAATAAAGTGTTGAAGTAGCCCAAAGGACTTTAAAATTTACATTTTCTTTTTCTGTAGATCACTTGATAGGTACATTGTTGGATGTAATTAAAATAAGACGGGCTCTATATGTCTACGAATAGGACAGTAGTTAAATAAACAATGATGCATTTACACAAAGGTATACCATGAATCTATACAAAGGAATGAAGATTTCGTGTGTCTGTATGTATGACTATATGGTGATTATATAAAGAAAAGAAGAAATTCCTAAAACTTGAAAACAAGCTGAAACAAATAACTCGAGTACATGTCAAGTTGATTTTATAACCACAGAAAGGAAATGATTATAAGTGTTGTTCAAATACAATATTTTGACTTTACATCTCCAGAAGGTGATACATCCTGAAGATAAGGAGAACTGCAAAAAAAGTAAAACTTTATAATAAAAATAATATTGTTTTGAAATTGGTATTATAAAATATCACGTTTTAAAGTTATGATGTTAGTGTCAGTAGAAACCAAGATTTTCAACCTAAGACCAAAACAAGATACAAGTGTAAAATTCAAGTCAAAACATGCATTAAATTTGAATTGGAAATAGTACTTTGAATTCATTATTTTTTTTAAGAAGTATTTCCTAATTCTGTCCACTGAAAAGGTCTTTGAAGCAATGACACCTCAGTAGCAATTAGCATCCTTAGCACTCAGATTATGCTTCCTAATACCATTGCCCACTAAAAACCAGGTCTCTTTGGAGAAGTGGCTGATTCCAGCTCTTGGGCAGTAAATGTCATGTTGAACCTGAGCTATCTTATGCCAGAAAGCAGGGGAAGCATCAAAGACTGCTGGGGTCCTGTCAATAAGACCCAGGAGCTACCTTGAAGGAGTGCCCAGTGGCCACAGGTGAAACAATGCTTACATCGAAAAGAATAGTGAATGCAATAGATTTATACGCATTGAATACGTAAATATCCATGAGTTCATAAAAATGCTTTGAAAGGCGTTAACATCACTGAAGGTTGTTAGGGTATCCAACTCATTACTGTGAAAGGAAAACAAAATATTTGTCCAAACTTTCTGGCATAAACTATTGAAAATAACCATAACCAAATGGATGACTGAGAGAAAGTTATTTATTTATTTATTTATTTTGAGACAGGGTCTCTGTTGCCCGGACTGGAGTGCCGTGGCATGATCTTGGCTCACTGCAACCTCCACTTCCCAAGCTCAAGCGATTCTCCTGCTTCAGCCCCACCAAGTAGCTGGGATTACAGGTGCATGCCACTACTGCCCAGATAATTTTTTTGTATTTTTAGTAGAGACGGTTTTCACCATGTTGGCCAGGCTGGTCTCGAACTCCTGACCTCAAATGATCCACCCACCTCGGCCTCCCAAAGCGCTGGGATTACAGGCGCGAGCCACTGCGCCCAGCCCATAAAGTTCTTTTTAACATATTTCTTGAGATATAATTCATATACCATGAAACTCAATCATTGAATAAATGGTTTTTATTATATTCACAAAATTGTCCAAACATCACCACAACCCAAGTTTAAAATATACAAGGTCAGGAGATCAAGATCATCCTGGCTAACACGGTGAAACCCCGTCTCTACTAAAAATACAAAAAAATTAGCCAGGCATGGTGGCAGGCGCCTGTAGTCCCAGCTACTCAGGAGGCTGAGGCAGGAGAATCGTGTGAACCCGGGAGGCAGAGCTTGCAGTGAGCAGAAATCGCGCCACTGCACTCCAGCCTGGCCGACAGAGCGAGACTCCGTCTCAAAAAAAAAAAAAAAAAAAAAAAACATATATATATATATATATATATATATATATATATATATATATGTTTTTTTTTTTTTTTTTTTTCATTCACGCCAAAAGAAGCCCTGTACTCCTTAGCAATCACACCCCATTCTCTTTCGCCTTCACAGCCCTAGGCAAATACTAATATGTTTTCTGTCTCTATGGATTTGCCTATCTTCCAGACATATTATATAAACGGAAGCTTTAGTTAAATATGTGCTCTTTTGTGATTGGCTTCTTTCACCAAGCATAATATTTTCAAGGTTCATCCAGATCGCGACATGATCAGTACTTTATACCTTCTTATGCTGAATAATAAAAATAAAGTTCTCAGCCTGGCCAACATGGTGAAACCCCGTCTCTACTAAAAATACAAAAATTAGCTGAGTGTGGTGGTGAGCACCTGTAGTCCTAGCTACTAGGTAGGCTGAGGTGTGAGAATCACTTGAACCTGGGAGGCGGAGGTTGCAGTGAGCCAAGATCGCACTACTGCACTCCAATCTGGGTGACAGAGTGAGACCCTGGCTAAAAAAAAAACAAAAAACAAGTTACAAAGCATCATTTTCAGCTCCTAATACAATAATGGGTGAGTGATGTTTAAAATTATCAGTGGGTGTTTGAAACCATTAGGTGGAAGAGAAAGTGGATAGTAGGAAGGTATAAAATTGGATGAATCACACCAGTGAACCCTGAACTCAGTGATAAATCTTAAAATTATTAAATCATTCAAAGACTGCTACATATTGCATGCCTCCTCTTATTTTTTTAAATGAAATGACTACCATATTATTTTTGAAACTAATCAAACTTCTAGAATTAACTTTCACTTTCTGAAGGCTAGAGAAACACGTTACCACAGAAATCCAAAACGTGTGTGATATTCTATAGGACAAATGACTCAATTGTCTTAGCAAATAAGTAGCATAAAAAAGAAGAGGGAGAGGGATTCAATGTATGCTTTAGATTAAGAGATTTAAGAACATAACCAAATGCAATGTGTGAATCTTGTGTGGATTCTGATGGGAACGAACCAACTGAAAAAAGACATCTTTGAGACAGTTGGAGAAATTTGAGTATGATTGGGTTTCAGATGATGTTAAGAAATTGCTGTCATTTTGTTAAGCATAGTAATGGCATTGTGATTATGTTTTAAAAAAATCCTTACTAGTTAAAGATGCCTTGAAGTATTTACAGGGAAAATGATAGATGTGTGGGATTTACTTTAAATTACCAGCAAACAGAGTGGGTGCAGGGGGATTAATGAAACAAGATTGGCTATGTGTTGGTAACTGTTGAAACTGGATGATAGATTCATAAAGTTTTTTTTTTACATTTGTCTCTAATGAATGCTTGAACATTTTTATAATAATTTTTTTAAAGAGTCCTAGATGCTTAGAGTCAAGAAGCAATTTCATCTAGAATATAACTTGTCAGAATATGTGCTTCTCTGAGAAAAGGACTCAGAACGTCAGTTTTTTTTAAATGCTTAACATTTATTTTGGTCTTTTTTTTTTTTTTTTTTGAGACGGAGTCTCGCTCTGTCGCCCAGGGTGGAGTGCAGTGGCGGGATCTCGGCTCACTGCAAGCTCCGGCTCCCGGGTTCACGCCATTCTCCTGCCTCAGCCTCCCAAGTAGCTGGGACTACAGGCGCCCGCCACTACGCCCGGCTGATTTTTTGTATTTTTAGTAGAGACGGGGTTTCACCGTTTTAGCCGGGATGGTCTCGATCTCCTGACCTCGTGATCCGCCCGCCTCGGCCTCCCAAAGTGCTGGGATTACAGGCGTGAGCCACCGCGCCCGGCCTATTTTGGCCTTTTTGATTCTGAAGAGTTCTGGGTTTTTCTGTTAAATAAAGGGCATCCTTTCAAAAGAAAGACAAATGTTGGCAGTGGAGATGCCAAGAGTGGAATAGGAATATGGTCAAAATAAGAAATATAGGCCCACAGAGAAACTTAGCACTATTTTGAAGGCTTCTCCCCAGGGCTGCATTTTCTATGAGAAGTTTCTATGAATCTAAACTATTTTAATCTTTCTTGAGAGGCAGAATACTGCCATGGTTAGAAGTTTGAAATCAGACAGACCTATATTCAAATTCCAACTCTTGTCACCTATGAGTTGTGATGGAGGGCAAATTTACTTAAACTCCTCAAACCTCAGTTTCTTCATCTGTGAAATGGGAATCATGATAGTATTTACTTCATAGAGTTGAAATGATGATTAAATTAAGCCTTTTGACATATGATGTGGTTTAAGTTATCATACGTTTGGAATACCATGAGTGTCCATGGAGTCCTAGCTGGTGTCTGTGTGTGAGAAAAGTAGAAGCTAAAGCACATGGCCGTATGGACACAAATGCCTTTTGTCTGCCTTTACAGCCTTTTCTCAATAGAGATAACACAGCCTTGTGTTTCAGTATAAGGAATCAATGAAGTAAATTCGCACAAAATTCCTGCATTTCTGGAGTTAAGAACTCAGAAGTGCAATTCCAAATATTTGTCTCATTTCTGTTTGGACTCCATTGATCTTCTCAGCCTCTCCCAAGGAAAGAGTGTGAGATTTGAAAACCTGGCTATGGACTGGTTGAGACAGGCACTGCTAGATGCCACCTGACTACAAAGATGAGGAAGCCCCAGCTATACCTGCAAGAAGACTTGGGGCATGTCTGTATATCTTAAAGGAAGATGGAAGAACAAGTGGTGGTGTAGAACGCAAATTTTACTTTTTAATTTCTTTAAGTTTTATTTTTGACAATTATATATATTTATGGGGTATATAATGTTTTGACACATGTATACATTATGGAATGATCACATTAAGGTAATTAGCCTATGTCACCTCAAATATTTACCATATCTTTGTGGTGACAACATTTATTTTTTATTTATTTTTTTTTATTTTACTTTTTTGGAGACAGAGTTTGGCTCTGTTGCCCAGGTTGGAGTACAGTGGCACAATCTTGGCTCATTGTGACCTCTGCCTCCCAGGCTCAAGCGATCTTCCTGCCTCAGCGTCCTGAGTAGCTGGGATTATGGACACATGCCACCACACTTGGTTAATTTTTGTGTTTTTTTGGAGAGGCAGGGTTTCACTATCTTGCCCGGGCCAGTCTTGAACTCCTGAGCTCAAGTGATCTGCCTGTCTTTGCCTCCCAAAATGCTGGGATTACAGGCATGAGCCACTGCACCTGGCCCTGGGTGAGAACATTTAAAATCCTCTTTTTTAGCTATTTTGAAATATCCGTTATTAACTGTAGTTCCCTTGCTGTGCAGTAGAACACCAAAACGTATTCCTTCTATGCAACTGTAACCTTGTATCCATTTGCCCAACATTGTCCTTTTCACTTTCCACCTACTCCCACCCTCAGCCTCTGGTAACCACTATTCTACTCTCTACTTCTGTGAGTTCAACTTTTTTAGATTTTACGTGTAGGTGAGATAATATGGTATTTGTCTCCCTGGGCCTGACTTATTTCACTTAACATAATGCCCTGTAGGATCACTGATACTTCACAAATGACAGAATTTTCTGTTTCTTTTTCTAAGGCTGAATAGTATTCCATTGTTTGTATTTACCACACTTAAAGTCAATGTATCCATTGATAGACACTTAGGTTGTTTCTGTATCTTGGCTCTTGTGAATAATGCTGCAGTGAGCATGACAGTGCAGACATCTCTTTGACATATTGATTTCAATTCCTTTAGATATATACCAATAGTGGGATTGCTGTAATGTATGGTAATTCTATTTTTAATTTTTGAGGAACCTCCGTACTGTTTTCCAAAATGGTTATACAAATTTCCAACACCACCAAGAGTGTATAAGGATTCCCCTTCCTCCACATTCTCACCAACACTTGGTATTGTTCATCTTTTTGATAACAGGCATTCTAACAGTTGTAAGGTGATTTCTCATTGTGGTTTTAATTCACATTTCTCTGATGATCAGAAATGTTTAGCATTTAAAAAATGTATCTGTTGAACATTTGTATGTCTTCTTCTGAGAAATGTCTATTCAAGTCCTTTGCCCATGTAAAATTTTTCATTTTACTTTTTTTTAGAGATGGGGTCTTGGTATGTTGCCCAGGATGGAGTGCAATGGCTATTCACAGGCATGATTATAGCACACTACAGCCTTGAACTTCTATTGTCAAGTGATCCTCTTGCCTCAGTCTCCTGAGTAGCTGGAACTACAGATGTGTACCACTGCGTCCAGTCTGCCTATTTTTTAAGAGAGTTATTTGTTTTGTTGTTATTGAGTAGTGTGAATTCCTTGTACATTTTGGATACTAGTTTCTGATTCAATGTATGATTTGCAAGTATTTTATCCCAATTTGTAGGTTGCCTCTTCATTCTATTGTTCTCTTTGCTGTGCAGAAGTTTTCTAGTTTGATGCAATCTCATTTATCTATTTTTGATTTTGTTCCTTGTGTTTTTAAGGTCGTATCTAAGAAATCTTTGCCTAGATCAATGTCCTGGAACTCTCTCCCTGTTTTTTCTTAGTAGTTTTACAGTTTCAGGTCTTACATTCAAGTATTTAATCCATTTTGAGTTGGTTCTTGTATAAGGGGTGAAACATGGGTTCATTTTCATTCTTCTGTATGTGGATATGCAATTTTCCCAACACCGTTTATTGATGAGACTGTCTTTTTCTCATTGTGTATTCTTGACACGTTTGTCAAAAATTAATTGGCTTTTGGTGTTTGGGTTTATTTCTCATCTCTCTGTCCTATTCCATTGGTTGATGTGTCTGTTTTTATGTCTGTACCATGCTGTTTTGATTGCTGTAGCTTTGTGATATCTTTTGAAATCCAGTAGTGTGATACCTCCAGTTTCATTCTTTTTGGTTGATAATGCTTTGGCTATTCAGGGTCTTCTGTGGTTCTTTATGAATTTTAGGATGGTTTTTTCTATTCCTGTTGAGAATGGCTTTGAAAGTTTGATAGAGATTGCACTGAATCCGTAGATCACTGTGGGTAATATGGACATCTTAACAATATTAATTTATTCCAATCCATGAATAGGGGTATCTTTTCATTTATTTGTGTTATTTTCAATTTCTTTCATCAATGTTTTATAGTTTTCAGTACACAGATCTTTCACTTCCTTGGTTAAATGTATTCCTGTGTTTATGCTATTGTAAATGGGATTGTTTTCAGACGATTTGTTGTTGGTGTATAGAAACACGACTGATTTTTGTTAAGTTGATTTTGTATCCTGCAACTTTACTGAATTTATCTGTTCTAGCGGTTTTTTCAGGGAGTCTTTAGGATATTCCATATATAACAGCATGTTGTCCACAGAGACCATCTCTTGTCATCCTTTCCTATTTGTATGCTTTATTTCTTTCGCTTGTGTAATTGCTGTGGCTAGGGCTTCCAGTACTGTGTTGAACAGAAGTTTTGAGAGTGAACCTCCTTGTCTTGTTCTTGATTCTAGAGGAAAAGTCTTCAGCTTTTCACTTTTGACCATGATGTTTGCTGTGGGCTTATCATATATGGCTTTTATTGTGTTGAGGAACATTGTTTCCGCATTTCTCTCATGTTTTATTCTTCTTGTGTTTTTTAAGTTCAGGGGTACATGTGCATGTATTTATATAGGTAAATTTGTGTTACGGGGGTTTGTTATACAGATTATTTCAATACTCAGGTATTAAGCCTAGTACCTATTCCTTATTTTTCCTGATCTTCTCCCTCCTCCCATCCTCCATCCCTTGATAGGCCCCAGTGTCTGATAGCTGTAGTTGTGCAGGCTTATTTCTGTGTTCTTTATTCTTTTCCATTGGTCTATGTGTCTATTTTTGAACCATGCTGTTTTGGTTACTGTAGCCCTGTAGTATAGCTTGAAGTCAGGTAGCATGATGCCTCCAGCTTTGTTCTTTTTGCTTAGGATTGCCTTGGCTATTTGGGTCCTCTTTTGGTTCCATATGAATTTTAAAATACCTTTTTCTAGTTCTCTAAAGAATGTCACTGGTAGTTGAATAAGAATAGCATTGAATCTATAAATTACTTTGAGTGATATGGCCATTTTAATGATATTGATTATTCCTAGCCATGAGCATGGAATGTTTTCCCATTTGTTTGTGTCATCTCTGATTTCTTTGAGCAGTGTTTTGTAGCTCTCCTTTTAGAGATCTTTCACCTGCCTGGTTAGCTGTATTCCTAGGTATTTTATACTTTTTGTGGCAGTTGTGAATGGGATTGTATTCCTGATTTATCTCTTGACTTGACTGTTGTTGGTGTATAGGAAATGCCATACACCAACAACATCCCTTTTGTACATTGATTTTATATCCTGAGAGTTTAATGAAGTTGTTTATCAGCTTACGGAGCTTTTGGGCCAAGACTATGGGGTTTTCTAGATACAGAATCTTGTCATCTGTAAACAGCGATAATTTGACTTCCTTTCTTCCTATTTAGATGCCCTTTCTTTCTTTCTCTTGCCTGATTGCTCTGGCCAGGACTTCCAATCTATGTTGAATAGGAGTGGTAAGAGAGGGCATCCTTGTCTTGTACTGGTTTTTAAGGGGAATGCTTCCAGCTTTTGCCTGTTCAGTATGATGTCAGCTGTGGATTTGTTGTAGATGGCTCTTACTGTTTTGAGGTATGTTCCTTCATTACCTAGTTTATTGAGAGTTTTTAACATGAAGGGATGTTGAATTTCATTGAAAACCTTTTCTACATCTGTTGAAGTAATCATGTGGTTTTTGTCTTTAGTTCTGTTTATGCAATGAATCACACTTATTGATTTGTGTATGTTGAACCAACCTTGCATTCCAGGGGTAAAGCATACTTGATTGTGGCAGATAGCTTTTTGATGTGCTGCTGAATTTGGTTTGCCACTATTTTCTTGAAGATTTTTGCATCAGTCTTCATCAAGGATATTGGCTTGAAGTTTTCTTTTTTTTGTTATGTCTTTGCCAGGTTTTGATATCAGGGTGATGGTGGCCTCATAGAATGAGTTAGGGAGGAGTCCCTTTTCCTCAATTTTTAAGAATAGTTTCAGCAGAAATGGTACTAGCTCTGCTTTGTACATCTGGTAGAATTCAGATGTGAATCCATCTGGTCCTGAGCTTTTTTTGGTTGGTAGGCTATTTATTACTGATTCAATTTCAGAGCTTGTTATTGGTCTGTTCAGGGATTCAGTTTCTTTCTGGCTCAGTCTTGGGTGGGTGTATGTTTTCAGGAATTTATCCATTTCTTCTAGATTTTTCTAGTTTGTATGCATAGAGATGTTCATAATATTCTTTGATGGTTTTTTGTATTTCTGTGGAGTCAGGGGTAATTTTCCTTTGTTGTTTCTAATTGTGTTTATTTGGACCTTCTCTCTTTTCTTCCTTATTAATCTCATAGTGGTCTATTTTATTTTTTTTCAAAAAAAAAAACCACCCTAACTCTCGGACTTGTTGATCTTTTGAATGCTTTTTTGTGTCTCAGGCTCCTTCATTTCAGCTCTGATTTTGGTTATTTCTTGTCTAGCAGCTTTGGGGTTGGTTTTCTCTTGGTTCTCTAGTTCTTTTAGTTGTAATGTTTGGTTAAACTGAGATCTTTCTAACTTTTTGATGTGGGCATTTAGTGCTATACATTTCCCTCTTAACACTGCCTTGGCTGTGTCCCAATGATTCTAGTATGTTGTATCTTTGTTCTCATTAGTTTCAAAGAACTTCTTGATTTCTGGCTTGGTTTCATTATTTATCCAAAAGTGATTCAGGAGCAGGTTATTAAATTTTCATGTAATTTTATGTTTTTGGGTGAATTTCTTAATCTTGATTTCTAATTTGATTAGAAATTAGAAATCTGTGGTCCAAGAGACTGGTTGTTATGACTTCAGTTCTTTTGCATTTCCTGAAGAGTGTTTTATGGGAAATTATGTAATTGATTTTAAAGTATGTACCATATGGCAATGAGAAGAATGTATATTCTATTGTTTTTGGATGGAGAGTTGTGTAGATGTCTGTTAGGTCCATTTGATCCAGTACTGAGTTCAGGTCCTGAATATTTTTGTTAATTTTATGCCTTGATGATCTGTCTAATATTGTCAATGGGATGTTAAAGTCTCCCACTATTACTGTGTAGGAGCCTAAGTCTTTTTGAAGGTCTCTAAGAACTTGCTTTATGAATCTGGGTGCTCCTGTCCTGGGTGCATATATATTTTGGATAGTTAGGTCCTCTTGTTGAATTGAACCCTTTTCATTATGTAATGCCCTTGTCTTCTTTGATCTTTGTTAGTTTAAAGTCTGTTTTGTCTGAAATTCAGATTGCAACCCCTGCTTTTTTCTGTTTTCCAGTTACTTGGGTAGATTTTTCTTCATCCCTTTATTTTGAGCCTATGCGTGTCATTGCCTATGAGATAAGTCTCCTGAAGACAGCATACCAATGGCTCTTTGTTCTTTATCCACTCTGTGCCTTTTAAATGAGACATTTATATTCAAGGTTAATGCTGATATGTGTGGATTTGATCCTGTCATCATGATGTTAGCTGGTTTTTGTGCAGACTTGTTTATGTGGTTGGTTTATAGTGTCACTGGTCTGTGTACTTAAGTGTGTTTTTGTAGTAGCTGGTAATGTTCTCTCCTTTTCATATTTAGTGCTTCCTTTCAGAGCTCTTGTAAGGCAGGTCTGGTGGTAATGAATTCCCTCAGCATTTGCTTGTCTGAAAAGAAACTTATTTCTCCTTCGCTTATGATGCTTAGTTTGGCCAGATATGAAATTCTGGGTTAGAATTTCTTTTCTTTAAGATTGTTGAATATTGGCCTCCAATCTCGTCTGACTTGTGGGGTTTCTGCTGAGAGGTCTGCTGTTAGTCTGATGGGCTTCCCTTCATAGGTGACCTGACCTTTCTCTCTATCTGTCTTAACATTTTTTCTTTCATTTTGGCCAAGGAGAATCTGATGATTATGTGATGATCTTCTTGTGAAGTATCTTACTGGGGTTTTCTACATTTCCTGAATTTAAATGTTGGCCTCTCTAGTTGGATTGGAGAAGTTCTCATGGATGATATCCTGAAATATGTTTTCCAAGTTGCCTACACTCTCCCCATCTCTTTCAGGGACACCAATGAGTTATAGATTTGGTCTCTTTATATAATCCCACATTTCTTGGAGGTTTTGTTTGTTCCTTTTCATTCTTTTTTCTTTAATCTTATCTGACTGCCTTGTTTCACAAATCTAGTCTTCAAGCTCTGAGATTCTTCCTTCCACTTGGTCTATTCTGCTATTATACTTGTGATTGTATTATGAATTTATTGTAGTGTGTTTTTCAGCTCTGTCAGGTCAGTTACATTCTTTCCTAAGCTGGTTGTTTTGTCTGTCAGCTCCTACATTGTTTTATTGTGATTCTTAGCTTCTTTGAATTGAGTTTCAATGTACTCCTGTATCTCAGTGATCTTTGTTTCTATCCATATTCTGAATTATATTTCTATCATTTCAGCCATCTCAGCCTGGTTCACAACCCTTGTTGGAGAGGTGATGTGGTTGTTTGGAGGAAGGAAGGCACTCTGGCTTTTTGAGTTGTCAGGGTTCTTGTGCTGGTTCTTTCTCATCATTTTATGTTCCTTCAATCTTTGAACTTGCTGATGGTTTTTTTTTTCCTCTTTTATCCTATCTGATGACCTTGAGGGTTTGTGGTGTAACGTGGATTCAGCAGACTGGCTTTATTTTAGAAGATTTTAGGGAATTAGGGCTCAGCTCCCAACTCCTAGACTGTGTGTTCTAATTCTGGGGAACTTGTATTGGCCTTGACTTTGTTCTCTGTCTCTTCACGGTTAGAAATCCACTGCACTGGCGGGGCTGAGGTGCTCGCAGACCACTGGTCACTACACTTTGATAGTTGGTGTCAGCCAAAGTGTTTCATAATACAGTGACAGGGGGATCTGTCCTTGCTTGTACGTGCCAACAGCAGCAGCAGCAGCAGCAGCAGCGTAGTGGGGTGCTCTCTAGTTGGCTGTGGCAGGGTGATAGCGGGTACCAGCATGCCTGCCCCTGTGCAGGCGTTCACCACAGTGGCAGAGGCAACATGGCTGGGGGTGTCAAGAGGTCCCTGCTGGTGACTATGCTTGTGGTCATGCTGGTGGTGATGTTTGCACAGGTGCTAGCAGGCACAGGCCTTTGTGTGTTCTCCATAGGCAGGAATGGTTGCTCAGAGTGGGGGAGGTTCTGCTGTTCTTCATGCCTAGTTTGACTCCCGTGACAGTGTTGGATCCAGAGCAGGGTGCTGGTGAGGACAGGCCTGGCTGTCTCTGTGCCCACTAAGGCTTCAATTGCAATGGCAGTTGGTAGGGGGAAGGGGCGGGTGGACTGCACTCGCAGTGTAGCAGTGGCAGGGCAAAGAACATATATACATCTACATTGGCAGGGCAAGAAAAGCAAAACCGTTCACACACATGCACCAGTAAAGCAATGTGAGGGGTTGCCGTGGTCCAGGGGGAAGCTGCCATGTGGGGAGGGAGTGTCAGGCTGGTGTGTGGCTGTGGGGGCCCTCCCACTGGAGCTCTCTACAGGTCAGGCATGGTTTGCCAGCGCTAAAGCTATGATACAGGCCCCAGGGCACCTGAGGCTGCCCTGCAAGCAGGCACGGTCAGGCTGGATTTCTGGGAGAGACCAGCAGACCAAGGGGTGCTCAGGTCAGACCAGTCCCATCTGATGGAGAAGACTACCCTGTAGAGTTCAGGTCTGACAGTATCCCTGGGGCTAAAGTCTCCAATGGGAGCAAGTCAGCCAGGGATGGCCATCCCTGGCTGTGCTGTGCTACACACGCTCCTTTACCAAGCGCTCTGGGCTCCATGTCAGCTGGCTTGCTGCCCCTGCCACTTCTCTAAGCAGCTCTCCTTGCCAACTACAGTGTCTGTGGTGGTCTAGGGGTCACCTCTTGCTGGGATTCCAGAGGGCCGTGGTAAGAATGGGGTTGCTCCTGGCCAAGTGAACTAACCTGTTCCCCTAGAGTCATTGGGGGCCAGGAATGAGTCCTGGTGCACGGTAGTCCTGTGCAGCGTTCCCAGTTTCCTTCCCCATCAGCCCAGCCTTCCTCTGTCCACTCTTGGTGCCTTCCCTTTGAAGGTCTGTTAGGAGTGCGCCCATCGTCTTGGTCCCTTGGTGACAGCTGTTCCACCTGACTGTGTCTAGTCAGCCAT
Source organism: Homo sapiens (assembly GCF_000001405.40). Taxonomy (NCBI): domain Eukaryota; kingdom Metazoa; phylum Chordata; class Mammalia; order Primates; family Hominidae; genus Homo; species Homo sapiens. The sequence continues at coordinate 80,954,121 of NC_000016.10, read as the reverse complement.
ATTCTCTTTTTTTTTTTTTAGTCTAGCTAAGTTTTGTTGATCTTTTCTATTGTTTTTCTAGTTTCTATTTAATTTATTTCTGCTCTGGTCTTTATTATTTCCTTTTTTTTTTTTTTTTTTTTTTTGCTAACTTTGAGCTTAGTTCTTCTTTTTCTAGTGCCTTGAGGTATAACATTAGGTTGTTTATTTGAGATCTTTCCTTTTTTTTGATACAGGTATTTATTGGTATACAGTCTCTCTTAGTACTGCTTTTGCTGCATCTCATAAGTTTGGATATGTTGTGTTTCCATTTTCCTTTGTCTCAATATATTTTTATATTTTCTTCTTTAATTTTTTCTTGGACCCAATAGTCATGCAGGAACATATTATTTAGCTTTCATATACTTGTAAATTGTCTGTGATTTTTCCTGTTACTGCTTTTAGTTTCATCTCATTGTGATCAGAAAAGATACTTGATATGATTTCAGTGTTCCTTGATTAAGACTTGTTTTGTGGCCTAACATGTGATCTATCCTGGATAATGTTCCATAGACACTTGAGAAAAATGTATATAAAAGTAAATTTTAGAGTTGGAATTTTTCACTGGATCTTGGCTTCCCCATATACCTTTGGTAACTCACCTCACCTCACCTCTTTAAACCTCCATTTTCTCATCTGTAAAATGGAGATCTGTGCTTCACCAGTTATATGCATCAAAGGAGACCATAGTATTGGTTTTGGAGTATAAAAGGCCATACAAATATTAACCGATATTTTCTAGAGAGTGTGTAATAGAGCGTATCAGACTTCTCTTGGGATCCCACGAGGACATCCCATCAGAACAGGCCAGGAGTGGCCTCTGATGGGTGCTCTGAATGCTAGGTGGCTTTGGGAGCTCCTTGGACTCTCCTGAGGCATGAGTTGGGTCTAGGGAGGGTCTAAGAAGAGTGTTAGTCTCCTCTATCTTGTTCTCAGCCTCCCTGTGCTGCTCCTGGGCTCAGCCAAGGAAGTTTCACTGGCTATGGTCCTTGGCCCATATTGCAGTGACCTTCATGGCATGAGGAAAGCCGTACACAGTCCCTGGTGCCTTCATATGTCTTTACTGGATTCCCAAGGCATCCTGACCAGTGTACTAGGTGTTGGTATATATTATGAAGAAAGCAGACATGGAGTTGATAAGTCTGGGGAGAAATCTGCTGGGTTTTCCAGGTGTCTGGTCCAGCATTGTCCAGTAGCAGCACTTCCTACAATGATGTTAATGTTTATAGATCTGTGCTGTGCAATGTTGTGGTCATATGCCATGCATGGGGGTTGGGCTCTTAAAATGTGGTTTGTGCAAATGAGGGACTAAATTTCTAATTTAACTCAATTAATTTAAAGGTCACATGTGGCTAGTGGCCATTATGTTGGACAGTATTGGTCAGTGCTAGAAACTTCCCGAGATGGTTAGAAGGGCACCCAATCTGGCCAAAGGCTTGACTTCTCTTCCTAAGAAAGGGCTGTGAGACCCAGAAGTGTCCTGAGTCCAGGCCTTTGCTCTGTCTCCTGCTGTGTGTATGGATTTTTCATTCCATTTGGCCTCTTCTCTGTTTAGTTTTTTCATCTGTAAAATTGGATTAATTTTTTAATTGCTAAACCCTTGACTCCATTGTGATTTGTCTTTTAATCCATCTGCAACAGATTACTACAAATGTGATTGGCTTAAAACAACAGAATTTTATTCTCTTTCAATTCTGGAGGCCAGAAGTCTGAAACCAGTTTCGTTAGGCTGAAACCAGGGTTTTAGCAGAGCCACCCTCCACTGGAGGCTCTAGGGAAGAATCCATTCCTTCACTCTTCCAGCTGCTGGTGGCTGCTGGCATTCTTTGGCTTGTAGCTGCATCACTGTGATCTCTCCTTCAGTGGTCATGTGACATTCTCCTCTTCTGTGTTTAGTCTCCCTCTGCCTCTTTCTGATAAGGACATTTGTGATTGCATTTAGGGCCCCTGCTAGATAATTAAAGGTTATCTCTTCATCTCAAGATCCTTATTTAGGCTGGGCACGGTAGCCAATTCCTCTAATCCCAGCTACTTGGGAGGCTGAGGTGGGAAGATTGCCTGAAGCTAGGAGTTTGAGACCAGCCTGGGCAACATAGTAAGACCCCATCTCTAAAAAAAATGCAAAAATCAGCCAGGTGTGGTGGCATGTACCTGTAGTCCCAGCTACTCAGGAGGCTGAGGCGGGAGGATCGCTTTATCCCAGGAGTTCAAGGCTGCAGTGAGCTATAATTGCCACTGCACTCCAGCCTGGGCAACAGTGTGAAACCCCACCTCAAAGAAAAGAAGATCCTTAATTTAATTACATCTGCTAAGATCCATTTTTCACATAAGGTAGCATGTATGAATTCCAGGGATTTGGACATGATATTTTGGGGTGCCATTATTCAGCTAACTACACCTAGTAATATTTATTAATAGTGGACTTCCTTTAGATAAAATGCTGTGGCTATGTCATGGGATGTGTAGAAGTTGCTACCTGTCTGCCAGGATCTCCAGAGAGAATTTTCTCTGTTCTGAATGGAGACCCAAGTTTGATAAAAATTTTGAGATTGCTCCCTTCCCTGCTTCTACCATGAATTACCTTGATTTGTTTACGGCAGCTCATCTTACTAAAAGGTTGGTCAACTCACAAATGTGCCCCACTGCACACTCTACCAATATTTGAATTATTCCCCATATTACCTCCAATTCCTAAAACGTGTGGAAGGAACTTTGGGACTTCAGTTAGGAAAACGCAAACTGTATTGCATCTGAGTGAGAGGAGAGAACATTTGTTCTATCAGCTGGGTAAGTGATGTTTCACAAATTAGAAAATATAGAGGCTTGGCCCTGACACAGCTCAAGAACAGATTGTGACTCTGCTTTGGAATGTCATGTTTTACTGTTATTTAATCAAATCTGAGAGCAGTGGTTGGGAAGTGGGTTTTGTAAATATTGCTCTGAAGCATTCACATTTCAACAGAAAACAGATGCCAAGTGTTTTCATTAGTATCGATATTCAGAGTTATTTGAATAAAACACAAATCTACTTCCTGGTAAAGCAAAACACCTGCAAAGGCCTGGAGTTGGTGGGGTTGGGGGAGAGGGTGGGGGGAATATGTATTTGTAAAGTTTGAATGAGGAATAAAGTTAGCTGGAAGACCTTCATTTTTCCTAAAGAAGCCTAAAAATGAAATATTTATAACTAGAGGGATATAGAAACACAATTATAATTTAAAGTGTGAGTCACAACACCGTCTTATTCAACCAGGGAACAAAATGACTTAAAGGCAGAATAAAATTACTTCATTTATGTGTCTTAAGAATACGACATTCTTTCAGTCTGCTCATGTCCTTGGGTTAAATGGCAGAGTGTCTGTTCTGTTCCCCGAGGTGGTCAGTAGCTTTATTACTGGTCATTCGTCTGGGGTGGCTTTTCCAAGAATTAATAATGATAATAATAACAATTCACTGCCAAGCACTGTGCTTTACTTATGTCATCTCTTTTAATCATGTTGCCTTGTTTGGTAAGTATCATTGTCCCCATTTGATAGGTAAGGAAACTGAGGCTTGGAGAAGCTTGGCCACTTACCCAAACCCACTGAGTTACTAGCTGTCAGAACTGAGGTATGAACCAGTGCCCTTGATCTGGAGCCCAGCCCTCAGTCACTTGCCTACCCTCCCGAATGAGATGGGCTTGGGTGCTCCCCTCACTTTCTTTTGAAAGCCTATGTAACTAACTCCCCTGGCAAATTCCGCTCTGCTATGTTTGGTCATGGTCACCATCAATAGAGAGGGATTAACTTGCATACTAAGGTTTTGACTTTTTTGCAACATCTGGGCATTGATCTCGGCTCACTGCACTCCAGTGTGTGTGTATATATATACATATATGTAAAAAGATACATATATCTATACAGATATACAAAAATAGGTATATATGTATATATTAAAAATATGTATATATGTATATATAAAATGTGTGTGTATATATAATATATATCATATGTCATATATAATATATATTATATATCTTATATATAATATATATTATATATTATATATCTTATATATAATATATATTATATATTATATATCTTATATATAATATATATAATATATATTATATAATATATATTATATAATATATATATCTTATATATTATTATATATCTTATTATATATTATATATATATATATATATATTTTTTTTTTTTTTTGAGATGGAGTCTTGCTCTGTCGCCCAGGCTGGAGTACAGTGGTGTGATCTCGGCTCACTGCAACCTCCATCTCCTGGGTCAAGCAATTTTGCTGCCTCAGCCCCCTCAGTAGCTGGGATTACAGGCGTGTGCTACCACGCTTGACTAATTTTCCCATTTTTAGTAGAGACAGAGTTTCACCACGTTGGCCAGGCTGGTCTCAAACTCCTAACCTCAAGTGATCTGCCTGCCTCAGCCTCCCAAAGTGCTGAGATTACAGGCATGAGCCACCGTGCCCAGCCTTATGTATTTTTTTTTCTTTTTACTGTGACTATGTCTCTTCAAACTCCCTCGTATTTCTAAATGAGAGATGAGATGGAACTCGATAGCTTCCCGGGAATAGAGAAAATCTCCCCACATCTAAAGAAAATTTCATTTACTTTCTCACAGGGGGATATTTCTTCTTCAGATTCCTAGTCTGCTTTTTACTACTGATGAGCTAACACCCTGGGTTTCAGTGTGCTCATGCACTTGAAAGGGCTCATGCCCTTGAGTTCTGTGAGCTGGTGCCATGAAGTGCTGTCTTCACTCATGCACTCTCACTCAAGGAGTTTTCCTTGAGCTCCCTCTCTCTGCTGGGCCTGGGCTTATGTCGGGGAAACACTGTGAATATATCAGGCTACGCCCCTGGCCTCCCAGAAGCCTCAGCATATGCAGTGAGTGCACTGCCAGCCTTTTCGCCTAGACAGTGCCATGTTGTGCAGGTGTATCCTGCCTATTGCAGGCTGTTCATCGAGCCTGGCCCTGACCCACCAACTTCTCAAGCAGGGTGACCGCAACGATGTCACCATACCTTTCCAGGTGCCTCCAGGGGGCGCTGCTGCCCCTGGTTGAGAACCACTGCTGGGAAGTGGCAAGTTTGGATGGAGTCCCCAACCAATTCTGTCTTGGGTGTGGTACCCACTTGTCTTTATTTCTAGGAATTTGGCCCATACTAAGGATGGCAGAAGCAGATATTTGAAAAAGGAGAAGGAAAACCAAATCCATTTATCAGGGTCCTGCACTGAGAGTGGCTGATCTCAGCAGTAGAAAGTTAATGTGTTTAGCTGTTCCCCACTGAGGCTGCCTTCCACAATCTCTTCCTTCACTCCCTTCCCTGCTCACCCCTACCCCAGCTCTATCAAAAGGTAAACTACATGGACCTGAACCACTCCCACCCCGAGGCAGAGGCTGAGGAAGACCTTGGTTGGGAGGGAGAATGGAAGGGGTGAATGACCCAGAGCACTGTGGCTGATGAAGGAGAGGGAGGAGGTCTCGCCACTAAGACTGATAGGCAACTTAAGGGCAAAAGCAAAGACATCTTTTCCCTGTCCTCTAGAATCCGTGTGTGTGCCGATTCAGCTAATAGCAAGATTTTCCCAGTGAACAGAGTATACCCTCCCTCCATTCTTATTGTTAACAACATAACAAAGGAGTGACACAGACAAGAGCAGAGAGGCTGGGGCCCTGCCCTCGAAAATCTATTGTTTCACTGTTCTCCCTGGTGAAATCTGCCAAGTGCTAAGCATTGTCTAGGGTTTGGGAGTGAATGAAATAAAATCCTTACCCATGTGGAGTTTAGAGACTAGTTTAGAGTGGCAGATGGTTGAAAGAAAATGTACAAGATTAACAAATTTTAAAGTTGGACCCAGTATGCACTGGCAAGGATGTAGAGGGGCAGAACTCTCATACGTGGTTTGTGGAGGTTGGTACAACCTCTGTTGAGAACAACAAAAGTTATGACTCAATCATGCCACTCCTATTTACATACCCGAAAGAAACTCCTACAGATACACAGTCAAAAGTGTCTACGACAGCTTTTTTTTGTAGTATGAAAGAAAAAATCAACAAAAATGTTTATGAACAGGAGAATGAATAAATACATTGTAGTACATTCATACGTGGAATGCATCAATGAAAATGTGTGACATGCAGGGCCTGATTAGAAAGAAGGATGACCCATCATTCTTGCCTGTGGTTGGTTCCCACCATGCTCTCTCCCTGTCTGTCTGCTTGCTGAATATGAGAGGAAGCATGTTGCCCTGCTTGCCCATGGCAGCCTTCCTCCAGTAGAGGAACAGCCTGAAAAAGTAACTGACAATGTAAATGGTAGAGTAGAGAGACGATTAAATCCATGTCAACTCTATCACCCTGGTTCTGAGGCTGTTGCTCTTTCAGAATGTGAGTCGGGCATTGTTCTTGAGGCTAACGCTACCTTGGTTTGCGTTTTCCATTGTGTGCAAGACTTGCACCACATAGGTTGCTATGGAAGCGTACAGCAATCATTTCCTAATCAGCAGGAAAATTGTTTCTTAATTTACTCAATTTTAAGTTTTTCTCTATTTTTACTTAAACATTTGCACCTGCTTGGTTGGCTGGTTCTATCAGTACTAGCAAGAGTTAGCCTTTAAGGAAACCCATGAACACAAAGAAACCAACCTTAATGGAAACAATTGTGAAGAGTCCAACGTGATTAGTGTGTCAGCTTATCTTTTTCTGAGAACACGCGTCTTAGTTTCCATTGTATTAACTTGTGTCTGCTATAACAAAAGTACCACAAATGTGGTTAAACCAACAGAAATGTACTTTCTCACAGTTCCGGAGGCCAGAAATCTGAAATCAAGGGATTGGCAGGATGTGCTCCCTCCAAAGACTCTAGGGGGAATTCCATTCGTTCCTTGACTTTTCCATCTTCTGGAGGCTGTTGTCATCACTCTGATCTCTGCCTCTATCTTTACATGGTCTTCTTGTGTCTTTGTGTCTCTCCACTGCTATCTCTTATAAGGATACTTATCATTGGATGTAACCCCAGCTGGGTAATCCAGGATGATCTTATCTCAAAATCCATAACTTAATTACACTTGCAAAGGTCAGTTTCCCAAATAAAGTCACATTCACAAGTTCTGGGGATTAGGATATGGACATATCTGTATAGGGCATCATCATTTAACCAACTACAATGTACTTGTTCTTTGTTTTGATTTTATAGTGCAAACAGATAACGTGATCTTATTTTCAACTTAAAAAGTGGTTCCTGATTCATAAAAATAGGAAAAAATAGATCAGTATTTACTGGTGCTCCATGGAAAACATTGCCTTCCTTTACCCGAATTGGATAACAGATTAGTTAACACTTGAGAGATAAATTTTTTTTAAGATTTTAATAGAGGAACTATGATTGTGCAATATAAATGTTGGACAACATGTTCTTGGTAGTGTGAGTTCCTTGCTCCCTGGGAGAGAGGCCATGTTCAGCCTCAAATATGTCCCAGGACAAATGTGGACAAAGAGGCTCAGCATCAAATACGGGGGTTCCAGAAAAGGAAAATATGAATAAAATTAGCAGAGAGCAGATGAGCGTGAGACGGGAAAAAGTAGTTATGTTTTAAGGCCATTTCATCTCCTCTGAGAGGTAGTAGAGAGATCCCAAAAGGACAGCTGTGAACATTGGAAAGGAAGTAAAGGACTTTGAACCTGGAATCAGATAGACCCTTTTGACATACTTCCATATGATTTTGGGGAAGCAATGCATGCATCCTGAATGAATTTTATCTCCCCCACGTTGTAGAAATTTTATTTTATAAAATGGAGATGACAGTGCATACCTCTCAGGGTTGTTAGGAGGATAAACTGATTTATCCTCTGTGAGAGTACTTTCCCCATGGTAGAGGCTTAGGACATTTCTGTCAAGTTAGAATCTGAACTAGAAATGTCTTCAGTGAGTGACAGGTTGGAAACGCCTGCAGTATGAGTGTGTTATCACAATTCTTTCAGATTCACTAGTTTCTACGAGGTTTTGACTTGAAATGGAAAGGCCAGTATAAATAAATGAGTTCAGTTTCTAGCCATGATGGAGTCACTGATATGGATTATCCTTCATGCAAACAACTTGGCCTGGCCAAAATACGTAGGGCAGCTTTTTATTTCCACCATCCCTGACAGTGGATAGTAAATATAGCAAGACTTTGGTCCTTGAGAGAAGAGAAACTCATGATTCCCAAAATTGTCCAGCTTCCTGGCTAGGGACATTATTCCAACTGTAGAATAAAGAACTGGAATTTGAGCAAAGGACAGTGATCCTACTGACTGAAGGAGGAAGAGATCAGCGTTCAGGGGAACAGAAGAGGTTAGAATCTGTGAGGCGGGAGATTGGAGAGGAGGGAGCTATCCAGAGGGAGCTGTGTGTGGAGATTCTCTGAGTCTGTGCCTGAGAGACACGTGTGCACACAAGACCACCTGAGGCTCATCAGAGAGTGGCTGCTTCAGGGGTGAGAGTGGAATATAGGTACCAGAAGGTAGGCAGTGCTAAGGACGAGCAGTGCTGGGGCATGGTGGATTTTCAGCTCTGCCAGAGTGGAGAGAGATCATTAACGGCTGATTAATCCCCCTGGTACCCAGCTGAGGTGCCAGAAAGGCCACATCTAAGGAGCAGAGTCTTCTCCCAGGTAGTATTGCATTTTGGACAAGAGATTTCTTTTTTGAGTGGGGGCATCCTTTGCATCGTAGGATATTTAGCAGCATCCGTGGCTCCACTCATCAGATGCCAGTAGCACTCCCCCACCAACGTGCGGCAACTAAAAAGACATCGCCACATGTCCTCTAGGTGCAGAATTGCTTCCGTTGAGAACCACTGCCCTAAAGTAAGACCTACTTTGTACCTTACCTAACAAAACCTGAATAAACTCCTGATAAGATTAGCAGTGAGGGCAGAGTTTAGAAGTTGAGTCCTCAAGTAAGAGGGGCCTGGGAAACACTGGGCTTTCCAGAGATCCATAGTAACCACTCATAAACCTATATAAGTTCAAGATGACCAGCCCGTAAATGAAGTGCAGAATCAATACCTTTCAGGAGAAAATAAGAAAATTCAGATACGTGTATGGTAATACATACAATACATAGCCTACTATGTGTTCATCACAATGCCCATTTTTCAAACAAGAAATACTAGACATACAAAGAAACAAAAAAGTTTGATTTTTAGGCAAGAAAAAAGGCAATAAAACTAAGCCCAAGATGGTCCCAGCGTTGCACTTAGAAAATAAAAGCTTAAATGCAGCAATTATAATATGTTCAATGAATTAAAAAAGTAAAAAGAGGTAATCTTAACAAAGACATAGAGACTGCAAAAAAAATGCAAATGCTAGAAGTGACAAGTAAAAAATGAATAATACCTGGAGGTATTTAACAGCAGATTCAAGATGGCAGAGGACAAGGTCGGGGAATTTGAAGGCAGAATAGTACAAATTATCCCATCTAAAGAACAGAGAGATACAATTTTTTTGTTTGCTTGTTTGTTTGTTTGTTTTGAAACGGAGTCTCGCTCGGTCACCCAGGCTGGAGTGCAGTGGCACGATCTTGTCTCACTGCAACCTCTGCCTCCTGGGTTCAAGTGATTCTCCTGCCTCAGCCTCCCAAGTAGCTGGGACTACAGGCGCGTGCCACCACGCTTGGCTAAGTTTTTGTATTTTTAGTAGAGGTGGGGTTTCACTGTGTTAGCCAGGACGGTCTTGATCTCCTGACCCCGTGATCCACCCGCCTCGGCCTCGCAAAGTGCTGGGATTACAGGCATAAGCCACTGTGCCAGGTTTTGTTTTGTTTTGTTTTGTTTTTGAGATAGAGTCTCACTTGGTTGCCCAGGCTCGACAGGCCATAGTGCAGTGGCACACTCTCAGCTCACTGCAACCTCCGCCTCCTGGGTTCAAGCAATTCTCCTGCCTTAGCTTCCCGAGTAGCTGGTATTACAAGTGCTCACCACCGTGCCCAGCTAATTTTTGTATTTTTAGTAGAGACAGGGTTTCTCCATGTTGGCCAGGCTGGTCTTGAACTCCTGACCTCAGGTAATCCACCTGCCTTGGCCTCTCAAAGTGCTGGGATTACAGGCATGAGCCACTGTGCCCAGCCAAAGATTTTTGAAAACAAACTGAGCCTTAGGGATATGTGGGAAAATATCAAATAGTCTTATATATAAATATGTAAATAAATGTAATATGTAAAAATATATAAATATATTCATGTGTAATGTATAACTGTATGTATATAGAGTCCCGGAAGGAGACAAGAGTGAGATTAGGGCAAATAAAACATTTAAATAAATAATGGCTTAAATCTTTCATCCTAATTTGATGAAAAGCATCAACTTACAGGTGTTAGTAGCAATGAACCCCAAGCAGGATGCATACGAAGAGAACTACACCTAGGCTCATCTGTAGTCAAACTGCTGACAATCAGAAATGCAGAGAAAAATCTTGACAGCAGCCGGAGCAAAAAGGTACATTACTGGGGAACAAGGATTAGAATGACTGCGGAATTTTCATCAGAAACTATGAGATCAGAAGACAAAAAAATAATACCTTTAAAGAGCTGAAACAACTCTCAACCCAGAATTTTATATCCAGCGGACATATCTTTCTAAAAAGGTGGTTGAGAGGATTCACTACTAGCAGACCTGAGTTACAAGAAATGCTAAAAGATATCATTCAGGCATAAGAGAAATGATTCTAGAGAGAAATCTGGATCTATAGGAAAGAATGAAGAGCAACTGAATGGTAAATAAGTGGGTAAATATACGGTGTTATGTTTTCCTTTGTGGTAATGTTCTGAAAGACAATTGACTTTTTAAAGTACAATAACAACACTGCAATATGGGGTTTACACTCTATGCAGAGGTAAGTGATGTGGCAACAGTTGTACAAAGAATGAGGGAGAGTGGATAAGTTGAATTACATTGTTGTCTATGTATGAAGTGGGAAATGGTACAGCATTAATTATAAATAGCTTTTGATAAGTAAAAGTTTATATTGTTAGCCCTAGATCAATCACTGTAAAACAACAACGAAAACCCACAATCTTCAAAGAGATATAGGTAAGAAGCTAATATAGAAAATAAAATGGAACACTAAAAAAAATTCAGTTAACCCAAAAGAAATCAGGTAAAGAGCAATAAAGGAAAGGAAACAGAAGAGTCAAATGGAAAACAGATATCAGATTGGAATACCTAAATCCAATCTTTCTTTTTTTTTTTTTTTTTTGAGACTGAGTCTCGCTCTTTCGTCCAGGCTGGAGTGCAGTGGCATGATATCAGCTCACTGCAACCTCCACCTCCCGGATTCAAGCGATTCCCCTGCCTCAGCCTCCTGAGTAGCTGGGATTACAGGCATGTGCGTCCATGCCCAGCTAATTTTTGTATTTTTAGTAGAGATGGGGTTTCACCATGTTGGCCTGGCTGGTCTTGAACTCCTGACTTCAGGTGATCCGCCTGCCTGGGCGTCCCAAAGAGCTGGGATTACAGGCATGAGCCACCGCACCCAGCCTAAACCCATTTTTATTAGGCCATTCTTGCGTTGTTATAGAGAAATACCTGAGACTATGTAATTTATATTAAAAATGTTTAATTGGCTCACAGTTCTGCAGGCTGTCCAGGAAGCATAGTGGCATCTGCTTCTGGGGAGCCCTCAGAAAGCTTCTGATCATGGCAGAAGGCAAAAGGGGAGCAGGCACATCACATGGCAAAAGCAGGAGGAAAAGAGAGAAAGGGAGGTGTTACACACGTTTAAACAGCCAGATCTTGCGAGACCTCACTATCATGAAGACAGCACCAAGCCATGAGGGATCCACCCCCATGATCCAAACACCTCCCACCAGGCCTCATCTCCAGCATTGGGGATTACAATTCAACATGAGACTTGGTTGGGGACAAATATCTGAAGTATATCACCATTCATATCAGCGATTATATTAAATGTAAGTAGACTAAACACTCTATAAAAAGAAGAGGTTGGGCCAGGCGTGGTGGCTCACGCCTGTAACCCCAGCAATTTGGGAGGCCAAGGCAGGTGGATCATGAGATCAAGAGATTGGGACCATCCTGGCCAACATGGTGAATCCCCATGTCTACTAAAAATACAAAAATTAGCTGGGCATGGTGGTGCATGCCTGTAGTCCCAGCTACTTGGGAGGCTGAGGCAGGAGAATCACTTGAACCTAGGAGGCAGAGGTTGCAGGGTGAGCCGAGATTGTGCCACTGCACTGCAGCCTGGGCAACAGAGCAAGACTCCGTCTCAAAACAAACAAAAAGAAGAGATTGTTGTAAGACTCAACTATATGCTGTCTACAAGAGATGTATTTTACATATTAAGGCACAGGCTGACACTAAAAAGATATAAAGAATGAAAAAAGCAAGCATAAATAAAGAAGTTTACAATCATCATACAAATGCACTACCATAAATGTTGCAATATGAAGGCGCTCAATGAGCCTGCCATATTCGTTATTGTTTGTTTTTGAACTGCATGGTAGTAGGAGGTACTCCCACAATTTTCATTTTACAAACATTCATTCCTTGATTTAACCCACCACCACTACAATCACTGTCACTGACTAACTCATCAAAAAGTTTTTATTAATGTTTTTTAAATGTACATATAGCTCACAGTTATTGCAATATTTAATATTTGAAGTGTTTTGGGTCTTTATTGAGAAGTTTGGTGATGTTTTTGTGACCAGAAATATGCTGTAGGAACTTAACTCTTGTTTATATCAGTTAGCCTATGGTAAAATTGGTTTTATTACATGCTGTTTTGCCTAAAGTTGAAGTTTTCATGAAGCTATTCACAGTGTTTATTACATGACAACTTACTGTATGGTAAATGAGCATCACCAAAAATCTTGGCAGCCTTTGCTTACAGGAGAAAATATTCAATCATTTTCTTCCTTGTTCTACGTTTCCAGTGATTATTAGAGATGATCAATTACCTGAAAGCTTTCCTTCTATACATCATTCTAAAATAAAACTTATTATTAATGTTACCCAGAAATATCCATGGGCACAATATAGACCAATCTAGGGACCAGGCCATATTAAAGCAACAACAGCAATGACAATTATGTAGCCAAAATGAAAATTAATTGCAAGCCTCATATGCAGTCCCCCAATAATACTCAAGGGAATCAAATTAGCAATCCACAGAAACACTCCCTGCAATCCCTGTCTTGGTTTTAAATGTCTTCAAATATTCTGACACTCCTCCTTTCAAAAGATGGAAGCTATTTTCCTTCCCCTTCAGTGTAGAATGGGCTTAGTGACTGTCTTCTAATGAACAGAATGTTGTGGAAGTGATAATGTGTGATTTCCAAGACTAGGTCATAAAAGGCCTTGCAGCTTCTTCCGTGTTCTCTCTCGGGTCGGGGAAGCCATCTGTCATGTCATTGAAGGCACTCACACAGCCCTGTGCAGAGCCATTGTGGTTAGAATCTGAGGCCTCTTGCCAATAGCCTCATGAGTGAGCCATCCTGAAAGATGGTCTTCCAATCTTTTGAGCTTTCAGATGACTTCAGGCCTAGCTGACATCTAAACTGCAATCTGATGAGTGACCTTGAGACAGAATAACACAGCTGAGCCTCTCCCAAATAGCTGACCCATAAAAACAGTGAGATGTAATAATGTTGATTTCTTTTTAGCTGCGAAGTTTGGGGTAATTTATCGGGCAGCAGTAGATCACTAATTCAGTCTCCTTCCCTGATTTATCTCAGTCACCACCTCTCACACTAGGTGATGGCTCCAAGATCTCTCATCCTGTTTCTTGTTCTGCACTCTTTCCTTTTCTTTCCTTTTTATTTATTTATTTATTTATTTATTTATTTATTTATTTATTTATTTTTTGAGACGGAGTCTTGCTCTGTGGCCCAGGCTAGAGTGCAGTAGTGCAATCTCGGCTCACTGCAACCTTTGCCTTCTGGGTTCTAGCAATTCTTCTGCCTCAGCCTCCCAAGTAGCTGGGATTACAGGCACCTGACACTGGACCTGGCTAATTTTTGTATTTTTAGTAGAGATGAATTTTCACCACGTTGGTCAGGCTGGTCTCAAACTCCTGACCTCAGGTGATCCACCCCCTCGGTCTGGTTCTCCCACTCATTCACCACATTTCCCAATAAGACCCCAAAGCAGAGGACAGTGTGGGAGAAGGGGCTGAGGAGGATTTGCTGACCAAGTAATACTGGCTTTTAATAGGAGAGGAAAGGGAAAAGCTACAAACACCCAAATACTAATGATTTTGATCCTCATTACATTAGTGTTTATAACAAAATTTGTTGTTTGTTCACTATATGACAAGTCCTGTGCTAGGAGCTTTATTTGTATATATTTAATCCTAAAACACATCCCAGTGAGGTAGATACTATCATTATCCCCTTTTTCAAGAACAAAATTGAAGCACAGAGAAATTAAGTTCCTTGTCCACAGTTGCAGAGCTGTTCAACAACAGGGCCAAGGTCCAAAGCCAGGGGCCGGCTGGGCGCGGTGGCTTACGCCTGTAATCCCAGCACTTTGGGAGGCCGAGGCAGGCAGTTCACTTGAGTTCAGGACTTTGAGACCAGCCTGGCCAACACAGTGAAACCCCATCCCTACTAAAAATACAAAAACTAGCTTGGTGGCAGGCTCCTGTAATCCCAGCTACTCAGGAGGCTGAGGCAGGAGAGTCGCTTGAACCCAGGAGGTGGAGGTTGCCGTGAGTCAAGATCGCACCACTGCACTCCAGCCTGGGTGGCAGAGTGAGACTCCGTCTCAAAAAAAAAACAAACAACAAACAACAACAACAACAACAAAACACAAAGCCTGGGGCCTAAGTCCCTGTGCATATCACATCAAATTGGGTTCAAATAGGCTCAAACTCATTTTAAACTAGTATTTAACTTAGTATTACCAAAACCGTGGGGCTGACTTCTCACAGATTCAATGCCAGTGAAGACATGTTTAAGCCCATGTTCCCTAATTTCCCTTCTTGTGAGCCGGAAAGAAATCCAGGACCTTCTGGATACTGAACTCATAGTGGCCTTTCTTTGTCTTCAACCTCAGACAGAATCTGCAAGTGGAAAACCCCAGGGACGTTTAGATTTTAGAAGTTAAGTCTACTTTGTTCACTGATTCACCCCCATCCACCCCTGCCAAAAAGAAAACACCTGAGAAAAAAAGATTATGCTTATTATTGCCTTCCCATTTATCAGTCGTTACAGTAGATGGCAGGACCATTTGCCCCAGGGGATTGAAATTACACACCTTTGGTGCGTCATCGGACATGCAAATCTTTCTCATCAGTGTGAGGTTTGGCATGGAAAAGCAGTCACTTCTGCTGCCCCATGCTGTTTTCGGCTCCAGGGAGGACACATATACTTTTCTAAAATGCTTCTTTTTCTAATTAAAAAGTAGCACAATCACTCAGTAGAAAACAGAAGAGGATATTACTCATAACCCAATGCCCAGAGACAATGATTATTCTTACGATACACTCGTCAGGCATCCCCCGGGGTCATTGTATTCTGATCTTTTGTTAGGTCCCTGTTTGGGCTCCAGATGTTGGAAGCTCTGGCTCTCAGGACATTGTTTTTGCCACTGGAATTTGGCCTGTCTGCAGCTGAGACTCCGTCTTTGTTCAATTCAAGAGCCTGGGAACTTTATATTCTCTTCCATTCGCCCCACTGGGGGGCTCCCTGCTGTGAAAGGCAGATTTATCCTTAAGTCCCATTGTTCCAGCACTTGTTTCTTGGTACGACCGATTATGTTATTGTTTGCAACTATCTTCTGCCTCTGTCTGAGGGTATTACACGTCCAACACCGTTTGCCACGTGACTTCCAGGAGCAATCCAGTAAGGGGAGTATGTTGGCAGGTTTGGCCTTGTGACTCGCTTCTTCCAATGGAATGTGAGCGGACATGATTTATGCTGTCTGAGCAGAAGCTTTCAATGAGATTGCATAGTTTGGCTTGGCCTCTTGCCTTACTGCTTTCTGCTGTAAGCTCCACAGTTCCCAGATGATGCTGCTCTTTCAGCCTGAGTCCTGGAGTGAGAAGATGGGAGCAGAGCTAAGCAGAGGCAGCTGAGCTGCAGACTTGAGTGCAAGAATTAAACCTCTGCTGTAAACCACGGAGAGTTTTGGAGTCTGGGTTACAACAGAATACTGACTAACACACTGGTTCTTTACGTAAGCCAGGAGGAGACCCTACATCTCCTGGGGCAAACATGCCTCAGTGGAGGCATCAAAACTGCTTCCAGCTCCCTCCTTAAACTGAGGCATAACTTCACCCTGCTTTCACTGACAGGATCCAAATATTGACGTGCATTTTCTCATGTTGATGGAGGCTGAGTTGGAGCCCTACCTCCTGAGTTCTCTGCCACTCACCTCTGTTTGACCTTGGGCAATTTCTCTACCATTTTGTTCCTTATTCTCATTTTGGCAAAGAATACCTACCTTTTGGCAATGAACACCTACCTCATTTTGGCAAAGAATACCTAAGGTAGTTAGAGTATCCCTAAGGTAGTTAGTTATTCCTCTAATAACTACTAATAATAACTCTGAGGTAGTTAGTTATTTTCTAACTGCCTTAGAGTTTAGATTTGAAGAATAAATGTAACAAATGGCAGCGACGATGTTTATCGTTCTCTCACTCCCGCCCATGGATGGACTCTCACTGTCCAGGATGTTGTGTGGGAAGTTCACAGAATGGAAGCTCTAGAATGGAAACTTCTAGAAAGGAGCTGGAGGCCTGGTGCTGTTGGCGCTTCTGCTGCCCAGCTGTCACCTCTTCTGGTTTCTCATGGACTTTATTCCCTCCTCCTGTAGAGGAGCTTCCTCCAAGGCCACAGAGGCAGAGGGCTTTCTGTGCTGTCTCTGTTCACAGCAACACAGGGGAGAACTCTGATGGGCCTGACTTGGGTCATATTGCCATCCCTAAGTCAATCCCTGCGTTCAGGAGGGTATCCCAGCCAGTCGTGCCTGGGCTCACACACCCTGTTGTGAAGGGTAGAGTCAGAGTCTGTTGGTAGAAACATCAAGAGAGCAGCACGGTACTCAAGGTTACCACAAAGACCAGTGCGTGATCACTAAAACTTAGACGTGGCTTGCGGTAGTTGGTGGTAACATGAAAAATGCATGGGTTTGGAAAGCAGGCAACTGTGTGACCCTGAGAAAATGTCTTCATCTTAATATACCTTGATTTCCTCATGTAGAAATGGAGATGATAATTTCTCTCTCTCAGGTTTATGATGATGAGATTAGGTAACGTATGAAAACGTCTGGAGTGTAGGCTTAAACAAATCCTAGTTATTATTCCCCAAGATTAGTTATACTTGAACCCAGGCCTGCCCAAGCAATCACTTTTCAAGCGTTTATTATTTTCATTTACACCAGTAATCCACAGCATAGTTCTTTAGTTAGTGGGCATGGGGCCAAACTATTTCATGGGAAATGCTTCAGAAAGGAGGCATTTCCCCACGCCTGTCTCCCAGCATCTGACTTTGCAATGAGAACCACAGCTCTCAGGTGGACCCAAGTGCTCCCATCAGTAGCTCCCTGTATTCTCTTCCTGGTGGTGAGCCACCTGGGAACCCAGATTGTCAGAGGGTGGCAATGAGACTGAGATATATGCAAGAATTTGGGTGGTTTTAAGAGACTGTCTCAGCTAGGATGCCTGAAACAATTTCACTTGTGACATTAGCAATTCTTAACCTACTAGGTGTAATGAACCACTTTGAGAATCTGAATGAAGTTATAGACATTCTCCTCAGAAAGATGCAGAGGTCGGGCGTGCTGGCTCGTGCCTGTAATTCCAGCACTTTAGGAGGCAGAGGCGGGTGGATCACTTGAGGTCAGGGGTTCAAGACCAGCCTGCCCAGCGTGCTGAAACCCCATCTCTACTAAAAATACAAAAATTAGCCGGGTGTGGTGGCACATGACTGTAATCCCAGCTACTCAGGAGGGTGAGGCAGGAGAATCACTTGAACCCAGGAGGCAGAGGTTGCAGTGAGCTGAGATCGTGCCACTGTACTCCAGCCTGGGTGACAGAGCAAGACTTCATCTCAAAAAAAAAATGCAGAATTAATTACACATACAATTTTAGGAGGTTCATAAAGCTCCAGGAAGCCAGCCCTGGGGCGCCAGGTGGAGACTCTATACCTGTGTTCACTTAACAGTTAACCTGGCTGGTGCTTTCGTGGGCCTTGCCAACTCTTTCTCCATGACCCTCTTTTGTGCAGGCACTCATGTCTGACCAGCCTTTCTTCTGTTGGACACATTCTATGTCAGGTAACTTAGAGTCTTGGCATGAGATATGCTCTCAATAAGTCTTTGCAATCCAGTCTTGCCTTCCAAAGGGCTATTCTGCCTCAAGTTGATCTCATACTTCTATTTTGATTCAGGACATATGAGTTTTAAAGTTTTTCTCTCAAAAGGATATTCTTATTTCAACATGCTTTAGCAGCATGAAGATTCTCTTGCTCGCAATAGATGGAAAGTCTGCATTCAAAATGGCATAGGCAGAGCCTGGTGTGGTGGCTCACGCCTGTAATCCCAGCACTTTGGGAGGCCGAGTTGGGCAGATCACCTAAGGTCAGGAGTTCGAGACCAGCCTGGGCAACATGGTGAAACCCAGTCTCTACCAAAAATATAAAAATTGGCTGGGCGTGGTGGCGGGTGCCTGTAATTCCAGCTGCTCGGGAGGCTGAGGCAGGAGAATTGCTTGAACCCAGGAGGCGGAGGTTGCAGTGAACCGAGATGCGCCATTGCACTCCAGCCTGGGCAACACGGTGAGACTCCGTCTCAAAAAACAAAACACCAAAAAAACCCCATACAAAACAGAACAAAACAAAAACAAAATGGCTTAGGCAAAAACAGGGAATGGCTTACAACTAAAAAGTTCAAGAGTCATGACTGACTTCAGGAACAGCCACCTCTGTGGGCTCAGATGCCATCAGAACTTGTTCTCACTCAAGCTCCTAACACCGTCTTCCTTTGTTTTGGCTCCATTCTCAGGCAGTGTTTTCCTCATGGGGACAGGAAGCAGGACAGCTTCCATTTAATGTTCCAAGGGCACTAACAGATGAACTGTCATCTTCCCCTCAGCTCCAAACCTGCACCTAGCAGTTCCAGGCTTATACCTTATTCACTCTCAGAAATGTGAAGAAGTTCATTTCAAACCAGTTTCCCATGATCTGCTTGGGGAAAAGCAAACCTAAGACCATCTCCTTTCCCCATCTCCAACCAGAATGTACTTAGCCATTCTTCCTTAGTGATCACTGAATGAGTTCTTACTCTGCTGGAGTTGGTGTAGTGGGTGGAGGGGACAGATGGAGACATAAGTCATTGGGTAAAGGCAGTGCAGTAAAGTCTGTGCTGCGGCAGGGATGGGGAGCAGGTATAGTAGGGAACTCAAAAGGACTGCTACATTTTGCCTGTGGGAGTCAGATGATGCTTCTCTCAACGGGGGATATTTGAGCTCATTCTTGAAGCATGAGGAGGAGTTTTCTAGGTAGAGGTGAGGGTAAGCGTCCTTCTAAGTGGAGGAAATAGCAAGTGCAAAGGCTTAGAGGAGCAAAAAAGGCAAGGAGTGTCTAGGAAACAGTGAAAGATTTCACGTAGCTAGAGGAGGGTGCTTGCGTAGGAGTGCTGGGAGATGCAAAGAATGGGGGCAGAGTGGAAAGGAATGCAAAGCTTGTTATCATGATGTGGAGTCTGGACTTCATTCAGGGGCAATTGGCAGGGTACTAAAGAGTTTTAAGCCCCTGCCATAACTAGGTAGGCATTTAGAAAGATCACCCTGACTACAATGTGGAAGATGGGTTTGGAGGGGAAAGCCCTAGAGGCAGGAGGCATCTGAGAAGCTAGTGCCACCTTCCAGGAGAAAAGGGATGCGTTGACCTGAGGCAGGTGAAGAAGGAATGGACTTGCGAGCTCTTTAGGGGGTAAAATGGACAGACCTGGGGACCAGATGGATGGGGATGAGGAAAGAAGGGTCTAGGATGATTCCCAGCTTTCTCCACTGGGAAACTGGATGAACGGTGGTGGCCTGCACTAGCTGGGAGAGGCGCAGGTTTGGAGCTGAGGGGAAGATGACAGTTCACATGTTAGTGCCCTTGGAACATTAAATGGAAGCTGTCCTGACCTCATCTGGGTTCCTGAGTCTGGAGGTGGTGGGTCTGGAGGGGCCCATGAGGCTTGTAGGCTGTGGGTGGTGGTGTGCAAGCAATGATACCCTAGACAGGGTGTCACCACTAGCAAGAAAATGCCCCATGATTGTTATTATTATTGTTATTGTTTTATTCTGTCCTTGCATGTTCCCCTCAAGATTCCAAGTCCTGAGGAAGAGAAGGTCCCTTTGGCCTGTGGGATCATGGGCCCACTCTTGACTCAGGGAGAGCAAGAAACTCTGATTTTCAGCTACCTAAGATGGCACAGTGGGGACAAGGAATTTCTCCAGAAGAAATAAATATATTCACCCTATGAAGAGGAAGTACGTGTCAAGTGACACCAAAATGACAAATATCCACTTGTTACTTTACCGTTTATTTCAGCCTCAGTTGTCCGCATGGTGAGTGCACCTGCCCCTAGCACTGCCCAGAGGCTGCATGAGTGATTTCACCTAAAGCTCTGGCACTCTCTGTTTGTATCATAGCAATCGCTTTTGAAGTGTTTATTACTTTTATTTACACCAGTAATCCACAGCGTCCTTCTTTTTATTTTTATTAAATTAATTAATTAATTTTTGAGACGGAGTTTCACTCTTGTTGCCCATGCTGGAGTGCAATGGCACAATCTTGGTTCACGGCAACCTCCGCCTCCCGGGTTCAAGCGATTCTCCTGCGTCAGCCTCAGCCTCAAGAGTAAGTAGTTGGGATTACAGGCATGCGCCATCACGCCCGGCTAATTTTGTATTTTTAGTAGAGACGGGGTTTCTCCATGTTGGTCAGGCTGTTCTAGAACTCTCGACCTCAGCTGATCTGCCCGCCTCGGCCTCCCAAAGTGTTGGGACTACAGGCATGAGCCACCACGCCCTGCCAGCCTCATTCTTTAGTTAGTGGGCGTGGGGCCAAACTATTTCATAGGAAATGTTTCAGAAAAAAGGCATTTCCCCAAGCTTGTCTCCCGGCGTCAGGCACTACGATGACACAAATCGCTTATGACCAGCGTTCACCGATGGCCATAGCCCGGTCACGATCATAGAGCACGGTTGGCCGGCTCCTGGATCCGTCATGACGCGCCGGCAAAGCAGCTTCCTCCCGAGTGGATGAACTAACATTTTTATTGAGCACACACCACGTGCCGGCTGCTATGCCAGGCACTTTCACACACGTTATTTTATTTATAATCCTCACCTTGACCCTGAGATGTGGATGGCATTTTCTCCATCTTAAAAATGAGAAAAAAAATAGGGCTCGGAAGCGTCAAGTAACTTGCCCAAGGACACGAGCGGAAAGTGGCGGAGCCTAAATGACAACCTGGGCCTGCCTGTCGCAGGCTCTTTCCACCTCGGCACGAGGAGGGCGCCCGGCGTGTGCGCGCGCGCGGCCTCCTGGTGGTTCTCCCTCTGGCCTGGTGGGAACCCGCGGGGCCTTCCCGAGAGCGGCCAGGGCCCCGGAGCCCGGCTCTGCGCAGGCCGCTGCCGAGGTCCAGTTCCCGGGGGAAGGCAGCTTGTGCTCTGGGCGGAGAGCCCGTGGAGCGACTCGGGTTTAATAGACGCGCCGGTCCTCTTCCAAGAGCCTGGAAATCTGCAGAGGGATCCCGCCTTTCCAGGGAAGCCGGGCTGGGTGAAACTGACAGGTCTTGGCGCGCGGAGGAAGGGGTGGCGGGGAGCCCGGCCGGCTCCCTCCCAGTCTGCGCTCGCTGGCGGCTCCCCGAGGCTCCGGGCTTGGCTCCGCGGTACCTCTGGCTGCAAACACATCGGCCCCAGAAAGTAGGTCAGCGTGCGGCAAGCTCTGTCCCAGGCGGCGCTGCCGACTCCCCCGCTCCCCTGGCCCCCAGTCTCCTGCAGCCTCCCCGGCCTGCGGTCGGCGCCCTTGCCCTCCCCCCGGGTCTGCAGTGTCCTCCTCTCCTCTGGCTCATCTCCTACTCGCCTCCTGCCCTCTCTTTCGCTCTCTCCGTCATTTGAGCCCCCCTCTTCTCTCTCTCGCTCCTCTCCCCTTTCTCGCCTCCTGCTCCCCCCAACTCCGTCGGTCTGACACCCTCCCCTCCTTCTTCTCCTTTCCTCTCCTCTTAACATCTTGGCCCATTCACTTCTGGTAGCAGTAGTTAATAATACAACCAATCTGTTGTCTTTTTAAAGAGATACCGTGCTTGTTTCAAAGAAATCAAAGGACGTAGAAAAGTTTACATGTGGAAAAAAAAGAGAAAAATCCCACTACTGAGAAATAGCTTTAGTTAACACGGGATGCACGCTACTCAGATATATTTTTATGTATACATAGAGTTAAAGGATATAAATATTTTATAAAAATGAGACCACAAATAGATGCTTTTTCATTAAAAGTATTCATATTAATTTAATTTTGTTTGAATTCAATACAAAAAAAACTACAGTATAGTGAAGTGGAAAGAATTGTTGAATTTTATTTTATTTTAATTATTTTATTATTATTTCTTTTGGCGATGAAGTCTTTTTCTGTCGTCCAGGGTGGAGTGCAGTGGCGCCGTCTCGGCCCACTGCAACCTCCGCCTCCCGGGTTCAAGCGATTCTCCTGCCTCAGTCTCCCTAGTAGCTGGGATTACAGGCATGCGCCACCACGCTCAGCTAATTTTGAATTTTTAGTAGAGATGGGGTTTCTCCATGTTGATCAGGCTGGTCTCAAACTCCTGACCTCAGGTGATCCGCTCACCTTGGCCTCTCAAAGTGCTGGGATTACAGGCGTGAGCCACCGCGCCTGGCCACGCCCGGCTAATTTTTTGATATTTTTAGTAGAGTCAGGGTTTCATCATGTTGCCCAGGCTGGTCTCTAACTCCTGACCTCAGGTGATCCGACTGCCTCGGCTTCCCAAAGTGCTGGGATTACGGAGTGAACCACTGTGCCCGGTCTGTACCCCTAGTACTTAGAACAGTGCCTGTAACATCGTTGACACTTACAGGTACTTACTGAATGAATAAATAATTGAACATGACTTGGAATCTTGCCTAAAAAACCTAGGCACCAACTTCAACACGGTGATCCAAGTACCCAGCTTTTCCAAATCAGTTAGACTAGGCTTCTAATGAGAAGGACGGGAGCTCTAAGACTAGAGGACTAGAGGTGTCCTAAGGCCATTAGGACTTTTTTTTTTTGAGACAGGGTCTCGCTCTGTTTTCCATCTCTGGCGCCATCTCGGCTCACTTGCAACCTCCGCCTCCTGGGTTCACGCCATTCTGCCTCAGTCTCCTGAGTAGCTGGGTCTACAGGCGCCCGCCACCATGCCTGGCTAATTTTTTTATATTTTTAATAGAGACGGGGTTTCACCGTGTTAGCCAGGATGGTCTCGATCTCCTGACCTTGTGATCCACCTGCCTTGGCCTTCCAAGGTGCTGGGATTAAAGGCGTGAGCCACTGCGCCCGGCCTTAGGCCGTTGTTAACTTCTCCATTGGTAACAATGGAGAAGTGTTTATGTAAATGTGGGGCCATTTGCAGCTCTTGAGATTAAGTGAGATCGCTGGTAGAGAATGGAGAAGAAGGCAGAATTCAAGTTTTCTTCCCTTGAGTTCATTTCTGTGCTGCTTCAATAATAGACACAGACACAGAAAAATCCATTTTCCCCACTCTTTTATTTTTGCTATTCTGATAATTTGTCCCCCTTTTAAAAATAAACTTCCCATGTCTTCCAAAAAAAATAGACCTATTTTTGATTAATATTAGGGACATCAGACCTCCACATCTATAAATTGTTAATCTGTGGAAAATCATAGGCTCTCAAGAAGAAGCAGGTTCCTCTGAGCTCACTCTCTATCTTGCACAGGATTTGCCACCGGGGAAAGGAGGTGCCAGCCTACCTTACCTGGGTGCTTCTTGGGAGGAAAGAAATGTGTCATTCTGCATCCCCTGCCTATGAAGACTAGAGACTCCATTACCTGGCTTAGTTTCCATTCAGCTGCAGCTCTCCTGAGCTGTGGCTTAGCATACCAGGTTCCCTCTGTAGAGGATGGTCCTGAATAGAAGATTGGGCTCCAAGGGCGGTCTTAGCCTTCTTCAGTCAGATATTTATTCAGTAAAGCCTTCCCTGATCACCTGGTCTATGTCAAGATATTTTTATTTCCTGCTTCACAGAACAAATACCATTTCTTGCAAGCACCTATCTCAGTTTATAATTATATATTCATTTGTGTGGGTTTTTGGGTTTGTTTTTTTTTTTTTTGAGATGGAGTTTCACTCTTGTTGCTCAGGCTGGAGTGCAGTGGCACAATCTTGGCTCACTGCAACCTCTGCCTCCCAGGTTCAAGCAATTCTCCTGCCTCAACCTCCCGAATAGCTGGGATTACAGGCGTCCACCACCATGCCTGGCTAGTTTTTTTGTATTTTTAGTAGAGACTGGATTTCACCATATTGGCCAGGCTGGTCGCTAACTCCTGACCTCAAGGGATCCATCCGCCTCGGCCTCCCAAAGCACTGGGTTTACAGGCATGAGCCACTGCACCCAGCCTTGTGTGGTGTTTTCATTAATGCTTGTCGTCACCACTAGACTATAACCTCCATGAGGGCAGGGGCCATATCTGTTTTTATTAACACAGTACTCTCAGAGTGTGTGCTTGGTAAATGTTTATTAGCTGCATAGATGGATAGGTGGATGAGCAGATGAATGGATGGACTGACAAACTAAGGAACTGAAAATGTTTTGGTTAATTTTTCTGAACTACAAAGGCATGCATCACATAAATAAAATCAGGAAGCAGACCATGTCCCCCTCATAGTGCGGCAGGATTTGAGTTAGGAAAAGACCTTGAGCTGAGGGCAATGGAGCCACCTGAAAAGCTTTCGGCTGCAGCACTCAAGATGCCAAAGATCTGGAGGAAAAGTGAACACAAACAACCCTGAGCTAAGGGGGTTTGGAAATTCCAAATACCTGGTGTGGAGATAACCCAGCAGGTGTGGAGCATCTGCGTATGGTTCACATAGACTGTCAAGGTTTAGAAAAGCTGGGCGCAGCCTGATGGGGGTCCTCTCCCAACATGGGGCTCATGGGAGGGACAGGGAGAATCAGATGAACAGACGTAAGACAAGTTCTTGGCACAAGAAGGTGTCACTAACTGAGCTATTATTTGAATAAAACACAGTCAAGTCTCCTGAATGTATTTTGTGAGCCCCGTGATGATATGGTTTGGCTGTGTCCCCACCCAAATCTCATCTTGAATTGCAGCTCCCATAATTCCCATGTGTTGTGGGAGGGACCCAGTGGGAGATAATTGACTCATGGGGGCGGTTTCTCCCATACTGTTCTCATGGTAGTGAATAAGTCTCACGAGATCTGATGGTTTTATAAGGGGAAGCACCTTTTGCTTGGCTCTCATTCTCTCTTGTCTGCTGCCATGTAAGACGTGCCTTTCACCTTCTGCCATGATTGTGTAGCCTCCCCAGCCACATGGAACTGTGAGTCCATTAAACCTCTTTTCCTTTATAAATTACTCAGTCTTGAGTATGTCTTTATCAGCTGTGTGAAAACGGACTAATACACCCTGACAGCCTCTTTTCATATCTTTGGCCTTCATATCTTCCTTGTTAAGGTGTCTGGTGTCCCGCATTGGCAGCCAAGTCTTAAGCTAGCTATGGAGTATGGGGTTGTCCTCATGGATTTGGTATTCTCAGCCTAACCTGAGGACACTAACTGGGCAGTGTGACTTCCTGAGCCCCATCGGAATGCAGAGCTGCTGAAGTGGGCCCCGCGATAGTTTGGGTTCCTGGAATAAGGAGTGGAGGGAAGGCCTTATGTGTTGGCAGATGCTGCGGGAGGAGCCGGCTCAAGCCCACATGCCGGTGTGAATCCACAATTTAGTTTTAGTTTTAGGTGATTTTTTAAAATTCTTGATACCATGTAGATAAAACAACAAGTTGTTTAGCTTTTTCTCTTTGTAACCATTTGCTTCAGAATTAGGTAAGACTCAGAATCCAAAACCCAGTACCCAAGCAGAGAAACAGCTGATTACTAGCATGGAGATTTTGGACAGGGACACACACTTTGCAGGGAACCTGGAAACCAGTCACTAATGACAGAAGCACCATCTGCATTCACCTCCCCACTGATCACCTCCCGCTGGATGTCCCACAGAAACCTGGACCTCAATATGTCAAATATTGAACTTATGACATTCTCTGGGGTCCCCTCTCTTAGTGGCTAACACCACCATTGTTTGTGTTGAGAATCATGCATCTCCTTCAACACTGCCCCTTCCTCACCTCCACATGCATTCCGTGATTGCGTCCTGCTGGTCCTGCCTCCTGAGTGCCTCTCCGAGGCATCCCTTCTCTCCTCCTCTCCACCCACCTCTGGCATCTGTAGCCAGGCACAGGGATTGCATTTGTCTCCCTGCCTTCATTATCACCCCTTCTCAAATCCCATCATTCCACAGCCACTGACGGCCCACATTCTCTTAGGATAAAGACACTTCATGACCTCACGTGGGTGAGTTATCCCAGCTCTATATTTCCCTTCCTGGTGACCCAGGCTCCAGCCAGGATGAACCTCCTTCATTCACCTCCTCCAACACGTGGGCCGCTCTCTGCACTGTCCCTCTAACCTGTCCCCCCACCTTGTTCCCACTGCCTGGGCCACAACACATGGGCCACTCTCTGCACTGTCCCTCCAACCCATCCCCCAACCTTTTCCCATTGCCTGGCTAATTCCTACCCATTTTTTTAAGTCTGGGTAGACAGCACTGCTTGGTCCCCAAAGCTGTCAGGGGGCCGGGAGAGGTGGCTCACGCCTGTAATCCCAGCACTTTAGGAGGCTGAGGCTGGTGGATCAACTGAGGTCAGGAGTTCGAGACCAGCCTGGCCAACATGGCGAAACCCTGTCTCTACTAAAAATACAAAAATTGGCCAGGCATGGTGGCGCGCACCTGTGGTCCCAGCTACTTGAGAGGCTGAGGCAGGAGAATCGCTTGAACCCGGGAGGCAGAAGTTGCAGTGAGCTGACATCATGCCATTGCACTCCAGCCTGGGCCACAGAGTGAGACTCCGTCTCCAAAAAAAAAAAAAAAAAAGGCCGGGCGCGGTGGCTCACGCCTGTAATCCCAGCACTTTGGGAGGCCGAGGCGGGTGGATCATGAGGTCAGGAGATCGAGACCATCCTGGCTAACAAGGTGAAACCCCATCTCTACTAAAAATACAAAAAATTAGCCGGGCGCGGTGGCGGGCGCCTGTAGTCCCAGCTACTCGGGAGGCTGAGGCAGGAGAAGGGCGTGAACCCGGGAAGCGGAGCTTGCAGTGAGCCGAGATTGCGCCACTGCAGTCCGCAGTCCGGCCTGGGCGACAGAGCGAGACTCCGTCTCAAAAAAAAAAAAAAAATAATAATAATAATAATAATAAAAAAAAAAAAAAAAAAAAAAGCTGTCAGGGTAGGGAGCCTCCCTCCTGCAGGTGTCAGTCTGTGTTGGGATTACCTCTTCACTGTTGTAGCTTCAGTACCTAGTGTAGAGTCTGGCACATAGTAGGTGGTCAATAAATGTTTATAAAATGAATGAGTGAACAAAAACAAGAGAGAGAGTTTGGCTTGGCGTGAAATGGGCATATTAAAACCTGATAGGTTACCAGGGTGTATTAGTGAGAAATGATGACTTTCTGGCTAATGAGGTAATGGGTAATTCTAATTTTTTCGTTTCCTTTCTCTACCTCCTCTTTTCCCCCTTCTCCCCCTCCTCCTTTTGGCTTATGTATTTTCTATAACTTATGCAATCAGCATGTATTTATTTTATAATAATGTAAGAAAAAATGTCTTATTCGTTTTATGGCCACAAAGAATGAATTTTGCATTTTGCATCACAAAGATGAAACACTGAACCCTGGGGGCTGTTCTTCGAAGGTCAGTGGCAGCTCTCTCTTCTGGATGTATTTTTCCTTAGCTATATCTCAGCATTTCAAGGATTTTTAGCCAATTAAGGTAGATGTATGTGAATGAAATGGCTAAAAAAAAAGTCTCCCAAGGGCTAAAAGTCAGCAAAATAATAAATGACATTTAAAAGGAAGCAAAAACACTCTGAAGAAACTAAATGCTACATATCATGGAAAAATGAATGCATTTTGACAAATACTTGTTACAAATATGAAATTAAGGTGGACACGTCCTTGGACAGACAGGCCACAAGTGCTCCAGAGTGGAAGGAAGGAGATGCCTCCCCTGTGTGCCGTGCATGGCCATTCGCATGACTGCTGGGTTCTATTCATCCTAGAGGGTTCATAGACATGAGTTCCCACCCAGCCCGCTCCTGCCTGAAGAAGGAAGACGTTCTCCCCCAGCCCAGGTATCTGGGTGTGAGTTGGGTCCTTAGATGGGAAAAGCATGCTGGAAGTTTTATCGGAGATAGGAAAGAAAGAGCACCCTGGTTTTTTTTTTTTTTTTTTTTTTTTTTTTTAAATCTCTTGGTCTTGTTCTTTTGGATCTCGACTTCCAGGAATTGAAATGTTTAGGAAACTGCTCCTGCCCTTAGCCAATGCATTCTCGACACAGCCGCGTGTTCTACTTACCTAGTGCTGCCTACCACATTCCCCAAATTTTCGTGCTGTCAAACAAGGATTTTTAAATGATGGATTCTGTGGGGCAGAATTCTTTTTCTTTTTTGAGATGGAGTCTTGCTCTGTTGCCCAGGCTGGAGGGTACTGGTGCGATCGATCTCAGCTTACTGCAACCTCCTCCTGTTGGGTTCATGTGATTCTCCTGTCTCAGCCTCCCAAGTAGCTGGGATTACAGGTGCGCACCACCACACCCAGCTAATTTTTGTATTTTTAGTAGAGACGGGGTTTCACCATTTTGACCAGGCTGGTCTCGAACTCCTGACCTCAG
The DNA here is from genome assembly GCF_000001405.40 of Homo sapiens. NCBI lineage: Eukaryota > Metazoa > Chordata > Mammalia > Primates > Hominidae > Homo > Homo sapiens. Next base: position 80,925,116 of record NC_000016.10, on the reverse strand, counting down.
GTGATCTGCCCACCTTGGTCTCCCAAAGTGCTGGGACTACAGATGTGAGCTGCTGTGCCCGGCCTGATTTCTTTTTGAAGTATAAGATGTATGCCAATTTTATTCCAGATACATGCCTATTGCAAAGCACGGTGCCTGACACATGATATTCACCCAGCAGAGATGTGTTACATGAACAAATAAGTGTTACAAGGTGCCCAGTTCACACAGGCCAGCTGAAAGCTGATTCTGGGGCTGGCCTGGAGCCCCAGTTGACCACATCTCCTAAAGGTCCCTGGGCTTCGTTCCCTTCTGCTCTCTCCTAGTATCTGCAGCCTTGATTTCATGCTTCACCCTGACCCAACCGTGCTAGGGCATTAAAGAGAGGTCCCTGCCCGTCAAGGCTGGGTGTTAGGTGGGAAGCAACGCCCCCTCGCGGCTAGCGTGCTGGTGGCTGTCACAGATCTCAAAAGGAAGACACCTCTGGGAACCAGAGTTTAGAGATCCAGCTGCCCTTTCCCTTGACATTCATTGAGATTCATTTCCACCCTCAGGGAGTCTGGGTTTTATTGGTATTTGTGAAGGTTTCTTTGTATTACGGTTGGCAACTAGGGAAAGATGTCATCACACAAATAAGCTTGCAAAGAGCTGAGTGGAAAATGTTGCAAATATTAAGAAAGTGACTTTTTGGTCACATTCCCCTGGCTGCCACCAGGTGAATTGACTTAGGGCAACTGTGACTTACTTTTGGCTTATAACTTCCATGAATAAAGCCCGTATAATTATGCTGTGACCCCACAGCTAATTATCTTTCTTTCACTCGCTCTGCTCTGGCCCTGTGGTCTCTGCTGATCTTCAAAGCCATGCAGAAGGCCCCACCATTAGGGCCTTTGCACTTTCTGTCCCCAACTGCTCTTGACCTAGGGGTTTTCACGGCTCACCTCCTTCTCTCCTTCAAGTCTTTACTGAAAGAACATCTTCTCCACAAGGCCTTCTCTGACCAACCTGTTTAAAATTGCAAGCTCCCTGCCATGGTAGGCTCCAGACCCCTCCAAAGAACTTAGCTCCTTTTAAAATAATGTGTTCATTGGCCGGGCCTGTTATCTCAGCACTTGGGGAGGCCAAGGCGGGTGGATCATTTGAGGTCAGGAGTTTGAGACCAGTGTGGCCAACCTGCAGAAACCCTGTCTCTACCAAAAATACAAAAATTAGCCGGGCATGGCAGTGCTTGTACTTGCAACTGCTTACGAGGCTGAGGCCTGGGCAACAGAGCAAGACTCTGTCTCAAAAAAACAAAAACAAAATGATTTTTTGCTAATTGTCTGACTGTTCCCACCAGACGTCATGCTCTAGGAGGGTAGGAATTTGTGTCTGCTTTCTTCACTGCTGCATCCCCAGATCCTGGGACAGTGCCTGGATCATAGTAGGACCTCAATGAATATTTGTTACATGAACGAATAAACAACTCTGTCAATTACCATCTTTCATTCTGGGCATATAACAGTTTTGATAATCAATACCAACAACCTGTAAGATATTTCTTATTGTCTCTGTTTTATAGAAGAAGAAACACAGGCTCAGAGAGGTCAATTAACTTGCCTAACGGCACACAGCTACTTCCTGGCTGAGTTTGAAATAGAGTTAAAATGAAGCTGACACTCAAATCAATGCACAGTGTGCTCTTTTTTTTTTTTTTTTCTTTTGATGGCATCTTGCTCTGTCACCCAGGCTGGAGTGCAGTGGCACAATCTCAGCTCACTGCAACCTCCACCTCCCGCGTTCAAGTGGTTCTCCTGCCTCAGCCTCCCTGGTAGCTGGGATTACAGGTGTGTGCCACCACGCCTGCCTAATTTTTGTGTTTTCAATAGATACGGGGTTTCACCATGTTGGCCAGGCTGGTCTCTAACTCCTGACTTCAGATGATCCACTCACTTTGGCCTCCCAAGCTGCTGGGATTACAGGCATGAGCCACCGCACCCAGCCCAATGCACTCTTGAGCTCTGCATTCTCTCCTATTGATGCAAACACCTCAAAGAGGCCCAGCGCTCCTCCATGGCTGGGCGAGGACAGGCAGGATCAAAGAGGAACAGTAATACAATTCCAGGGACGAGACATTTGGTATAGGCAGAAAGTGCAAAGGAATGTAGGCTGTTCAGCCGGAGGGTTCCTTTGTAAGTTTTGGGTGAAGCACTGATTGGTTGTTCTCCATGCCAGGCTACAGAGGCTGCAAACCAGAAGATGTGGGGGTGCATTTTGGGAAGTCTTGTCTGTAGCAGCCCAGTCTGTGGGAACTGGGAAGCACAATCTCCCTAAACTCCATGCTGATCAGATTTCCCAGAGAAACTGTTTCTGCCAACCACATCTCATATTTGTAATCATGATGATAAATAATTCTATGCGATATGATGATAAATATGGGAGTCACACAAGACATTTTAAACTAAGTGCCTGTTGTCTCCAATTCACAATTGCAGAAATGTGGAACCAGCCCAAATGCCCATCAATCAGTGAGTGGATAAAGAAACTGTGGTATATATATATATACGATGGAATACTACTCAGCCATAAAAAGGAATCAATTAATGGCATTCACAACCACCTGGATGGGATTGGAGATCATTATTCTAAGTGAAGTAACTCAGGAATGGAAAATCAAACATCGTAGGTTATCACTTATAAGTGGAAACTAAACTATGAGGATACAAAGACATAAGAATGATACAATGGACTTTGGAGACTCGGGGGGAAGGGTGGAAAGGTGATGAGGGATAAAAGACTACAAATTGAGTTCAGTGTGTATTGCTTGGGTGATGGGTGCATCAAAATCTCAGAAATTGGCCAGGCGTGGTAGCTCATGCCTGTAATCCCAGCACTTTGGGAGGCCAAGGCATGTGGATCACCTGAGGTCAGGAGTTTGAGACCAACCTCGCCAACATGGTGAAATCCCATTTCTACTAAAAATACAAAAATATTAGCCAGGCATGGTGGTGCATGCCTGTAATCCCAGCTACTCAGGAGGCTGAGGCTGGAGAATTGCTTGAACCTGGGAGGCAGAGGTTGCAGTGAGCCAAGATCGCTCCACCGCACTCCAGTCTGGGCAAGAAGAGCAAAAACTCCGTCTCAAAAAAAAAAAAAAATCTCAGAAATCACTACTAAAGAACTTCCTCATGTAACCAAATACCATCTGTTCCCCAATAACCTGTGGAAATAAAAAATAAAAAATTAAGTGTCTGCTATCTGACTGCCCAGAGTCAGTTCTCAGGAGGGATTCAAAAGAAGAGACCAAGAGATTCTGATATGATGCTGCCGGGTTCCCTCTAGTAGCTTGGAAATAAACTGAACTGAGAGATTTTAGTTCTCAGTGGGGTCTTCAGGGACCCTGGGCCTGAGCAAGGGAGAGCGATGTCATAGATGATCTGTGGTTCTTAAAGTATGGCCCTCGGACCTGCAGCCTTACCTGGAAACCTGTTAGAGATGCAGATTCTCTCCCCTCTCCTACTCAGTGCTGAATCAGGGGTCCCAGCAACCTGTGGTTTGACAAGCCCTCTGGGTAGTTCTGAAGGTTGAGAACCACTTGTATATATCGTTGCAAAAACAGGGCCTCAGTGGCCTTCTGCTCTCTTCAATATTTGTTGTCCCCTAATAGCTGTGCTGTAGGATCTGGAGTCCAATCTGGGTGTGAATGCAAGTTTGAATACACAAGTAGTTAATTTCCCTGAGCCTCAGTTTTCTTATTTGTAATATGGGGATAAATAATACCTGCGGTACAAGTTTATTATAGTTAAGTTAAAATTAAATGAGATAATGTATATGAAGTTCCTGGAACACAGTAGGTACTCAATACCTTCCTTTGCCTCCTGCCTCCCTCCTCTATTAGCCCAGACTTTTGTTCTTGTTATGAGCAACAGAAAGTCAATTCACAGTAACTTAAGAAAAAATTAAAACGTTATGGGTTCAGGGAATTCCGGGAAGACCTGTCCATCCTTGCTGCCTCGAATTTCTCTCGCCCCACTTATTCTTGAACCGCCCCTCACCAGGTTTTTATACCTCTACTCCACTGAAACTTCACTTCTCCAGGTTTACAGTGACCTCCTTGTGACTAAATCCAATGGTCCTTTCTCAGTCTCTATCTGGCATGTGCTGTCAGTAGCGTTTGGCACAGTTTATCACTTTCTTCTTTTTTTTTTTTGAGATGGAGTCTGGCTCTGTCACCCAGGCTGGAGTGCAATGGCGTGATCTTGGCTCACTGCAACCTCCGTCTCGCGGGTTCAAGCGATTCTCCTGCCTCAGCCTCCTGAGGAGCTGGGACTACAGGCGCGTGCCACCACGCCCAGCTGATTTTTGTATTTTTAGTAGAGATGGGGTTTCACCATTTGGCCAGGATGGTTTTGATCTCTTGACCTCATGATCCACCCACTTCGGCCTCCCAAAGTGCTGGGATTACAGGCGTGAGCCACCGCCCCCAGCCATCACTTTCTTCTTGACAAGCTTTCTTCTCTTGGCTTCCAGGACACCCTCCTCTCCTGGTCCTCCCATTTCTGAGTCTTCTTGATCTCTGTCGTTCTGGAGCTCTCTAAAGGTTCAAGTCCCCCAGATCCCATTTTGTGGCCCTCTTCTTTTTCTTCCTTTTTTTTTTTTTTTTTTTTTTTTTTTGAGGCGAGTCTCATTCTGTCTCCCAGGCTGGAGTGCAATGGCATGATCTTGGCTTACTGCAACCTCTGCCTCCTGGGTTCCAGTGATTCTCCCGCCTCAGCCTCCTGAGTAGCTGGGATTACAGGTGTGTACCACCACGCCCAGCTCATTTTTTGTATTTTTAGTACAGACAGGGTTTCACCCTGTTGCCCAGGGTGGTCTCGAACTCCTGACCTCAAGTGATCCACCCACCTCGGCCTCCCAAAATGCTGGGATTACAGGCATGAGCCACCATACCCGGCCCCTCTTCTCTTTTCCATCCACACTCTCTTCCTAGATGATCTCATCTAACTTCATGTTTTAATCCCATCCATGTGCTGACAGCTTCCAAATTTATATCTCCAGCTGGGACCTCTTTTTTGAATTCTACTCTAGAATATCCAACTGCCTTTGCAGCGTCTCCACTTAGATATCTAATAGCTCTGTCAAACGTAGCATGTCCCAAACGGAGCTTCCAATCGCGCCTGTGCACACCAGAACCCGCTCCATCACAGTTTTCCCATCTCAATTAATGGCAGCTCCATGTTAATGTAACTCAGGCCCAAATCGCTGGCTTCAGGCTTGTTGCCTCTTTTTCTCTCATATTGTACGTCCAGTTGGCAGCAAGTCTTGTTGGTTCTGCTTTCAGGATCTATCTGGAGTCTAATTCAATGGTAGCGGTCTCCATCATCTCTCACCTAGATTTTTGTAGTGGCTTCTTCAGTGCCTGTGCCCGCTACAGGTAATCTCTATACAGCATTCAGGGCAATCATGTTAAAATACAAATCAGATGATCTGACTCTTATGCCCCCAGATCCTCCAGTACATGTTCCCCCCACCCGTTGCCTCTCTGTGTTAGTTTCTCAGGACCAATGTCGCAAATGACCACCAACTCATGGCTTAAAACAACAGAATTCTATTCTTTTCCAGTTGTGGAAGCTAGGTGTCTGAAAGCAAGATGTCATGCTCCCCGTTGGAAGTCTGAGAAACGATCCCATGCCTCCGATGGTGGCCAGCCATCCTTGAATGATCTCATGCCTCCGATGGTGGCCAGACATCCTTGGCATTCCTTGGGTTGTGGCATCATCACTCCGATCTCTGCCTGCATTCTCACATGGCCTTCTCCTCCATGTGTGTGTCTCTACACAGACTTCTTATAGGGGCACCAGTCTTTGGACTTAGCACCCACCCTACTCCAGTATGAAAGGAAAAAACTCTTGGGGCCCCCAAATCACTAAGCTAAAGGGAAAAGTCAAGCTGGGAACTGCTCAGGGAAAACCTGCCTCCCATTCTATTCAAAGTCACCCGTTTGCTCACTGAGATAAATGCATATCTGATGGCCTGCTTTGGAGAGGCTAATCAGAAACTCAAAGAAATGCAGCCGTTTGTCTCTTATGTACCTATGAACTGGAAGCCCCCTCCCTGCTTTGAGTTGTCCTGCTTTTCCAGACTGAACCAATGTTCATCTTACATATGTTGATTGATGTCTCTTGTCTCCCTAAATTGTATAAAACCAAACTGTGCTGACTACCTTGGGCACATGTTATCAAAACTTCCTGAGGCTGTGTCACAGGTGTGCGTCCTCAACCTTGGCAAAATAAGCTTTCTGAATTAACTGAGAGCTATCTCAGATATTCAGGGTTCACAGCAATATGACCCCATCTTGACTAATTACATCTGCAATGACCTTATTTCCAAATAAGGTCATATTCTGAGGATCTAGCAGACATGAATTTTGGGGAGACATTAGTGCACCCAGCCTACTCTCTAACCTCATGTCCTGGTCCTCTGCCTTCCTTCTCCTTCCTGCTTCAGCCACCGTATCCGGATCACTGCCGTTTAGACATGCCAGGCTAGGTCTCAGGGTCTTTGCATTTTCCATTCCCATTGCCTGGAAGGCTCCCGCAGACACCCACATGACCCACTCAAGTCTTTTCTAAAATGTTACCTTCTCAATGAAACCTTCCCTGGCCACCCAATCTAAAATTTTAACACCTCCCATCAAATTGCATATTCTTCTTTTCAGTATTATTTGTCCCTCTGTAGCACTGATCACTTTCTGACTTACTATACATTTTACAAAAAAGAATGTGTTGAAAACATTTTGAATTAATCAACTCAGTAGAATCTAGGAGTGGGCTACTTTGGTTATTGAAATTATGTCATTTAAATCTAAATGTAAGCACTCTTTGTTTCTTTCTGTTGGCTTCCTTTTCATGTAGGCTCTTCTCTTATTTTGGTCTGATGACCACCAGAAACTCTAGGTTTATATCTTACCAGCTTGACGAGAATCTTAATCAGCTATTACCATAATAATGCTGCATAACAAAACACCTCAAAACTCAATGGCTTACAACAAGAAGCGCTGATTTTTATTTTATTTTCTTTTTTCTTTCTTTTTTAGAGATGAGGTCTCACAGTGTTGCCTAGGCTGGTCTCAAACTCCCGGGCTCAACTGATCCTCCCATCTTAACCTTCCAAAGAGCTGGGATTACAGGTGTGAGCCAGCGCACCTGGCTGAGCATTTATTTTTCTATTTCACAGTTCTGCTGCTTGGCTGAGACAGCTCTGCTCCTGATAGGGGATTGGCTGGGCTTGGCTCTAGGGCTGCAGTTTGGAATCAGGTCTGCTCCATATGTCTCTATATTTCCATGGCATCTGCATCTGTCCATGGACTCTTCTGCTCATGGCACATGGTGGGAACTCAAGAATGCCAGTGGAAACATGGGATGCCTCTCAATAGTTTGACTAGGAATCATGCACTGTCATTTCTGACTACATCCCAATGGCCAAAATAAGTCACTTGGGGTGGGGAAACAAACCCCAGCTACCCGCATGCACTGCAAGGTCACATGCAGGAGAGAGTGAAGGATTTAGAACACTCATCTAATATCCAATAGTAAGCTTGGCAGAAAGAAAGAAATTCTTGTCCATTAGTTCCTGAGAAGGTCTTGGGCTGATTCTCATTTGACTGAACTGCTTCACTCAATCCCTGGGACTTGGGGCAGAAACAGAAATGATTAGACTTGCGCCATGCGCTCACTCACATAGAGATGGGCAGCGGGGTGGGTGGGGTAGGGAGGTTACCCTTTTCCAAGGCCCTGGATTGAGAATTAGAAAGAGATGTCCTTCCAAAGGAAATTTGGGGTTGTTCTTACCAATTTGGGGTTGTTTGGGTGCTGTGCAAAGAAAATCACAAGTCTTTAACCCTGGAGTATTGCCTCCTAAAGATAGATACCTGTCCGAATCCCCCAAACCTGCAAATATGTTATCCTACATGGCAAGGAGAAATTAAGGTTGCAGATGGAATTAAGGTTGCTAGTTACTAACCTTAAGATGGGAGAGTAACCTGGATTATCCAGGTGTACCCAATGTAATCACAGGTGTTCTAAAAAATGGAAGAGGGGCCGGGCACCGTGGCTCACGTCTGTAATACCAGCACTTTGGGAGGCCGAGGCGAGCAGAACACGAGGTCAGGAGATCGAGACCATCCTGGCGAACACAGTGAAACCCCATCTCTACTAAAAATACAAAAACAATTAGCTGGGCGTGGTGGCAGTTGCCTGTAGTCCCAGCTACTAGTAAGGCTGAGGCAGGAGAATGGCGTGAACCCGGAGGCGGAGCTTGCAGTGAGCTAAGATGGTGCCACTGCACTCCAGCCTGGGTGACAGAGCGAGACTGTGTCTCAAAAAAAAAAAAAAAAAAAAAAAAGGAAGGTGGGGCAGTGACAGTCATGAAGATAGAAGCCTGGAGGCATCTGGCAAGTGGTAGGCCTGGGAAGCAGAAACATTACATGGCATGGAACAGGCACTGTGGCACTTGGCTTGGGAGTCTGAAACTAGTACCTTGCCTAGGAATATGACGAAAGGAAAATCCAAGGGCTACCTCAAACGGACATGTCCCATTCTTTGCATGGGAAGTGGGTCATCGTGGCAGGGCTGGACGCTGTAGGGGAGAATACGCTTCCTTGCTTTTCCCAGCTTTTGAAGGCTGCCCACATTTCCTTGGCTCATGGCCTCTTTTTACCTTCAAAGTCAGCAACAAAGCATCTCTGTAACCCTGCTTCTGTTTTCATGTTTCTCTCATTGCCTCCTTCCTTTTTTTTGTTTTTGAGATGGAGTCTCTCTCTGTAGCCCAGGCTCGACTGCAGTGGCTCGATCTCGGCTCACTGCAACGTCCGCCTCCCGGGTTCAAGCAATTCTCTGCCTCACCCTCCTCCTGAGTAGCTGGGATTGTAGGTGGCTGCCACCACACCCGGCTAATTTTTGTATTTTTAGTAGAGATGGAGTTTCACCATCTTGGCCAGGCTGGTCTTCAGCTCCTGACCTCATGCGATCCACCCGCCTCGGCCTCCCAAAGTGCTGGGATTACAGGCGTGAGTCACCGTGCCTTGCCAGGAACAGTGTTTTAAAGTGTTCTTGGCCGGGCACGGTGGTGGGCAAGAGGAAGGAATGGGGTGCTGGAAGGAACCTCATGTAAGCTGGGGTTAAAGGGCAGATAGAGAAGAGGTGTGTTCATAGAGGAAGTAGCCACACCCAAATCTGTCTTGGCAGGGAGGGAGCATAGGAGGCCATCTCTCTCCTTCTACCCTGTGGTCACCTGCATGTGCTTCCTGTTGGTTGAACCCAACTAACAACAGAAGGGTAATTTGGAAGAGAGAATAATGACCAAATACCCATAACCTGTGACTGTGTTACCTTACATGGTAAAAGGGGCTTTGCAAATGTAATTGAATTCAGTTCTTGAGATGAGGGGATTAAACTAGATTATCTGGGTGGTCCCAGTGTAATCACAAGGGCTCTTGTAAGAGAAAGAAGAAATCACGAGAGGAAGGATGAGAGGTGCTGATGTGACAATGGAAGTAGCCAAGGGCCAAGGACTGTCAGTGGCCTCTAGAAGCTGGAAGAGGCAAGGAATGTATTCTGCCCAGGAGATTCTCCCCAGGAACCTCTAAAAGGGGCCAGACCTGCTAATATGTTAATTTTAGACTCATAAGTTCATGCTAAATCATAAGACTCATTTTGGATATTTGGCCTCCAGAACTTTAGGAATAAATCAGTGTTGTTTTAAGCCACTAAGTTTGTGGTCATTTGTTACAGCAGGCACAGGACACTAATTTAATAAGGGAGTCCTGTGATGTGGTCCATAGGGTTGGCTTCTGGTGTCACATGGAAGGGCGGAGAATGGAGTGGGAAAGCAGACAGAATAAGAACAAGTGTCAACATTCGGAAGTCAGGAGCTCTCTCTGGAAAGCCACAATCCTTCTGCCCATGGTTAGTGTGAAGCACAAAGGGACTAGTGGATGAGGAAGTCGCTTTGAAGTGCAAATGATTATTATGGGGATGTACATGATTTTGGTATAGTGCCAAAGACCCCCTGCACCTGTCTATAGTGGAATGGCAGGAGTCTCTGATTTTTGTTTGGGCTTCAACTCTTACCCCCATTTCCAGGCCAGGTGTTTGGCTGAGGCCCCGTCTCTCTTCCTCCAGTGACGGGCATGAGACCTAGAACTGCACTAATCAGCATTGCCCTATCCTGGCCAAATGATTGGTTGAAGGATGAGCATATGACCCAAGTTGGTCAAATCAGAGTGAAACCCAGGACTTGCCCAGGAGCTACCCGGAAGAGAATTTCTCTCTTTTTATGCAGGACTCGAACCTGGGAAAATGTGAGGGAAAATCTTTCTGAGCTGTAGCCAACACAAGGAGAAGAAAAAGGCAGAGAAAAGCCAGTGACATTGTTCAAGTTCCATAATCTGGCCACACCTCTGTCTGCCATAGCTCTGATCTTTTCTGTTTTATGTCAATGAGTCACTTTTTTGCTTAACCATTTTGAGTGAAGACCTTTGCTCGGGACCCACCCGGCCTCTTGCTTGGTCTCTTTGTATCTCATTGTGCATTGAACATTTGCTCGCCTGTGGTTTCAACACCCGTGCAATTTATCAAAGAGGACCGTAGACACAGGTGACAGACAGGTCATTAATGACAGGTTTTCTGAGTGGCAAAAACTGTCCCCAAAATAGGATGCTTTGTGTTCTTCCATTTGAAATGGCTTCACCATCAAGTCACGCAGGGAGGTTTTGGCCCTTACATTTGTAGGGGCGTAACATTGCAACAAAGACCCAAGAATCAATTTCCCTTTTTTGGAGTGAGTAAATATAGAACTAGCCATTTCCAGAAAGCAATGTGCTAGATAGATGTACTCTCATAAGAGGGTGATTTTCCTTATAATTATACCAAACTAACTATCATTTTATAGTCTTTATTGTTTGCAAAAATTTGTACATACATTATCTGATCAAATCAACCCAAGTTAAAACCACCGCAAGAGGTGTGTATCATAATCCCCATTTTATAGATCTGGAAATCGAAACTCCACTCTATGAGGTTAAAATAGGTCACCCATGTTCTCTAGTTAATGAGGGTAAGAGACAGAATTGGAATTTGGGTCTCTGTGATTTCAAAATTCCATGTAGTTCACATCATACCACACTGGCAGAATGAGAAAGTTTGTGGCAGTGTTAAGTCGAATTGGCTCAGAGTCCACTTTATGGCTCAGAGTCCACTTTATACTCTTTGCCGCCAAGCCCATCTCCATGGCTTCCTTGGACCATTGGAAAAGGGCCATGGAAACATCAGAGTGTCTCTAATAGAAAGTAGTGTCAGAAGTTAAGAGGTTACCAACTTGGTCTTCTTCCCTCATCTTTCACTGCATCATGAGACGAACATGCCTTGGCTGGACAGGTAGTCCAAGGAAGAAGATGAGAGATATGTGACGCAGATGTGCCTCAGTAGAGCCCAACCGATATCAGCCAAACTCTAGCTGACTTGTAGACATATGAATGATAATAAATGATTGTTATTTTAAGCCACTGAGTTTTGGAGTGTTCAGGTGATTTGTTACACAGCAATAGCTGACTGATACAATCCTCAATGAAAATGATTCCCACTGGGCATAGCCATTTCTGCTGGTGTGTTGTGGTTTGTGGTCAACTGTGAGTGTGACTGTCCTTTTTCCTGACCATCACTTTTGGTCATGTGGGACTGCTTATGCCCAATTTCTCAAATCGTCTTTTTTGTACATAGCTCCTTCAACTTCTGGCCATTAGCCATTCTTCCATGCAAGCTGAAAACTGACTTCTAACGCTAGGCAAGCAGACAGTCACCATGGCAACCCCTCCATCCACCTGCTCTTTTCCATCTCCAAACTCCAAATCCTACCATCTGCTTTTACCAACAAATCACATCAAATAAAAACAAAAAGATTAAAGCCTGCTTGTATTGATAGGCATGCAAACTCATGCAAACACCTGACTGTAGGCAGCAGTAGCCTATCCAGTTTGTCAAACATCCAGGTTCTGGGTGACAGTTCAGGTCTTGGAGAAGCAGGAAGAGCCAGGATGAGCCTTCAATACCTGTGAAAGGAGAGTTGAAAAGGAAGGGGAATTGGGCAGAAAGAGCCTCAGACCACAGCACACGTTTAAGAACATTTTTTTCCAGGTTGATAAGGAGGTAAAGTTACCCTTAGAGGAGTCCCAAATCCTCAAGAAGGGGTTGGCACTGTACTGTGCTGTGCTCAGTCACTGGGTGGAGTAAGCTTGGTAGAAGCACAGCCTCAGGGTGAACATGAGCCAACTTTGTTCCTTCAGCAGGAGATCTGGGTGATGCCTTTCTGTGGCCACTATACTCTAAATCCCAGGTTGGCCCTCAACCGATATGCCTTGAATAGAGAAATGTGTTTAAATAAAGGGTTGAGAGAATGGGGCGTGGGGGAGGTGGAGAAATTTGACCTCTCCATGGAGAGGTCGGCTTTTCTAGAACATATTCCTACAGAGCAGACACGGAATACCTGTCTTAGAGACAGGGACCCAAGACTAGTTGCCTTTCTTTGTCTAAATCGGGAATAGTACCTAGATGTCCTTGGAGTGGGTGGCAGGATTTGTGGTTGTTGAACAACATGTTGCTGACTGTCAAAGGTTACATGGTAGCAAAACAAGAGCATAGGAATCATTTCTGCAGGTTCCCCTTTAGAGCAAAGGAGGAGGTGTACAAAGTCCTCAAGATCTGCCTCTGTAGCCAGACTCCAGGTGTAGAGAGTTAGTTTAGGGTCATTTAACCAACTTAACTTAACAAATAATAATTGCACACTTGTGCTCAGACTGCACCAGGGGGATGTTCCAGATAGCCCCCATCTGCCTGTTCAGACCCCTCTTTGCTCTGTACCCGTCTCCATCTTGCTCTGGCTGCAGAGGCTGAATTGTATGGAAAGCATCAGGCTCCAGTACCCCCTGGCTTATGGTTGGGATTGGCCAATGGTGACAAGTAGTGGGAGGGGAGGTCTCCCAGCAGAAGATGGGAAGGAGGAAGGAAAGTGGGCTCAGGCAACTTCCGCTCTGGCTCTTTCTCTTTGACTACATGATTGGCAATCAGGATTTTTCTCAGGGGGCTGATTCTTTACAGCTGTCTCTCTTGTGACTTCCTTAACTGACCCCTCCTATGGTAGTAAGTACTGGTTATTGCCCCTACACCCACTCCTTTGTGTAACTAAACCCTCCTGTACTTACTCAACCGATTCAGGTGTGCCATCAGTCTCCGGCGAGACCTGGGAGTGATAAAGGAGCAATAATATAACAGACATGGCCTGTCTGGGGATGATAGACATTGTCTTAGTCTTCTCAGGCTTAAACAACATACCATAGACTGGGTAGCTTATTTCTCACAGTTCTGAAGACTGGGACCGTCAAGCTCAAGGTGCTGGCCAATTTGGTTCCTGGCGAGGTCTCTTTTCCTGGTTTGTAGATGGCCACCTTCTTGCTGTATCTTTACATAGTGGAGAGAGATTGAGAATGAGCAAATTCTGTGTTGTCTCTTCTTTTTTTTTTTTTGAGATGGAGTCTTGCTCTGTCACCCAGGCTGGAATGCAGTGGCGCGATCTTGGCTCACTGCAAGCTCTGCCTCCCAGGTTCACGCCATTCTCCTGCCTCAGCCTCCCGAGTAGCTGGTACTACAGGTGACTGCCACCACGCCCGGCTAATTTTTTTAATTTTTTTAGTGGAGACGGGGTTTCACCATGTTAGCCAGGATGGTCTCGATCTCTTGACCTCATTATCCGCCTGCCTCGGCCTCCCAAAGTGCTGGGATTACAGGCGTGAGCCACCACGCCCGGCTGTCTCTTCTTATAAGGGCACTAATTTTATCATGAGGATACCCTCCACCCATGACCTCATATGTACCTAATTATCTCCCAAAGGCCTCATCTCCAAATAATATCACATTGGGGGTTGGAGATTCAGCATATGAATTTTGGGGGTATACAATTTAGCCCATAGCAGACATCAAACACATTATTCCATAAACATTTTAAATTATAATACAATAAAGTCTACAATGGAAAAGTACTTGGTGCTCCTTGTCTGGGATCAGATGCAGTCAGAAAAGGCTCCCGGAGAGGTGCCATATTTCACGTGCTCTCTGGTAGGCACCAAAGGAATGTGCCAGGCACAGAAAGACCTGAGGTGGGAAGGAGTTTGGGGTGTTCTAGGAACCTAAGAAGGCTGTGGGTGGCGGTTGGAAGAGTGGCAGAGAGGAGGCTCAGGAGGCAGGTGGGGCCATGGGGGACCTTATCCCAGGAGATGGCCAACATATCTGCATGGGAAAAGAATCTCAGCCCTCCAAGTCCCCTTGTCCAACCCCTCAGGAGATACACTATCTCCATCTGGCCATTCCCTTGTCTCCTCTCCTTGAGCCCTGAAATTTGAAGGTCATCAAAGTTACTTTTCAATTCATGTTTGACCAGTCCCTATCAATCTGTCTTCTGTCTGTCTTTTTTCAAAAGAATAGGCTTCATGGGCGGGGAGGAGGTTGGTCAAAGGGTACAAAGTTCAGTTATGCAGGACAAATCAGCTCTGGAGATCTAGTGTACAACATGGTGAATGTGGATAATACTGTGCTGTATAACTGAAACTTGCTAAGATAGTAGATCTTAAATGTTCTTATCACACACACGCAAAAGTAATTATGTGAAGTAATGGATATATTAATTAGCTTGACAGGTAATCGTTTCATAATGCTTATGTATATCAAAACATCATCTTGTATACCTTTAATATATACAGTTTTTGTCATTTATACATCAAAAAAGCTGGAAGAAAAGAAAATCAGGGGAAAAAACCCAAAAAAAGAAAAGAGAGAGAGAAAGAAAGAAAATAAGATTCAAAGAGGTCTCTAGCCCACGATCAGCTGCTGGTCTTAATAAGGACATGGTTCAGGGGCCCCCGGCTGGGTCAAGGGAAAAGTCCCAAGGGTTAAAATGCTGAGTAAAGACTGGGGCACCTTCTGCTCTCCTGTCTTCCTCTGGACTGTAGAGGGCTGGGAGGATTAACACGTTGTGAACCACATGGCAAGATGGCCCAAATGGCTCACAGGCAGAACCAGCCCAGTGCACAGAAGCTTGGTTATTAAAAGCTCCCAGGGGCCGGGGCATGCAAGGCAGACTGCATTTTGGCAGGACACTGTGGAATCTCATTTATTGGCTCCATTATCTGAATTAGGAACAATTTGAACTTATGACCACAAGATAGAAATAAATGATAAGAGCACTTACAATTTTCCTCT
This sequence comes from Homo sapiens, assembly GCF_000001405.40. Taxonomy (NCBI): domain Eukaryota; kingdom Metazoa; phylum Chordata; class Mammalia; order Primates; family Hominidae; genus Homo; species Homo sapiens. Next base: position 80,909,853 of record NC_000016.10, on the reverse strand, counting down.
TCCCTGCTTGTCTGTGTTGTGGGCATTGTGAGGGCCTCGCCTACCTTTCCTCATCTTTCAGAATCATTTAATTAAATTTAATCAGTTCTTCTAGATCCCAGAAAAGGAAGAAGGGAGCCAGTATTTGTTATGTGCTAGGCTCTGCATTAGTTTTAATCCGGAAGCCACACACAGCAATTCAGCATCTCATTTAATCCTCCCAGTGGCCCTAACACAAAGGTATTCTTATCTGCATCGTGAGTGTTGATATGCTGAAGCTTAGCAAGCCTGAACAACTAACTGTAGTCCCTGAGAGTCCATACATGCATCTGTTCATCCATCCACCTATTTATCTGGCGACCCATCCTTCCTTCCATCTATCTGTCCATCTGTCTCGCACCCACGCAGCAATTACTTATTGTTCACGTTTTTTGTGCTCTGTGCTGGGCCCTGGGGTATCATCGAGGCAGGAAACACTTGGTCTTTGGCCCTCATGGAGTTCCCAGCCTAGTGGGGTGAGTGCTCAGCCCTTCCTGGGTCCCTTCGGTGGGTTGTCCCAGAGAACTCCTCACCTGCCTGGGCACAGTGGCTCACGCCTGTAATTCCAACATTTTGGGAGGTCAAGGCAAGTGGATTGCCTGAGCTGAGGAGCTCAAGACCAGCCTGGGCAACATGGTGAAACCCTGTCTCTACTAAAATACAAAAAATTAGCTGGGTGTGGTGGCAGGTGCCTGTAATCCCAGCTACTGGGGAGGTTGAGGTATGAGAATCGCTTGAACCCGGGAGGCGGAGGTTGCAGTGAGCCGAGATTTCACCACGGCACTCCAGCCTGGGTGACAGAGTGAGACTGTCATAAAAAAAAAAAAAAAAAAAAGAACTTCTTACCCACAGCCCCGATTCAAGGTCTTCTGCAGTCTTGATCTTGACTTTGGTACCCACAGGAACTTGGGGCATGTCAGTGGCACATGGGTCACCCTCAGCCCTCCAAAAGGAACGCGTTTTAGGGTAAGCAACTCTCAGATGCCTGAGACTGGGGGGTCTCCCAGGACATAGAGTTTTAAGCGCTAACACGAGTCTTGGAAAAACTAGGGTGGAGAGTCACCATAGCTCAGTTGTTCTCAACAGGGGGGTGCTTTTGTTCACCCCCCATCCCCCTGCCCAGGAGTGCAGTGGCTCGATCTCCGGTCACTGCAACCTCCGTTGCCCGGATTCGAGCAATTTTCCTGCCTCAGCCTCCGGAGTAGCTGGGATTACAGGCGACTGCCACCCACACAACTTGGGTGGAGGTGCTATTCCTGACCTCTAGTGGGTCGAGGCCGGGGATGCTGCAAAACATCCTCCAGAGCACAGGGCACCTGCCGTCCCAACCCCCAGAAAGAATTATCCAGTCTAAAATGTCAATAGTGCCAGGAATGAGAAGCCCTGCCCTAGTTGGTAAGGACAATGGAAGGTGGAGGGAAAAGGGAGTATATAACTGGTGGGTTTATCTAGATCAAGATGGAAATTGAACAGCTCTGTGTGGCTACCAGGTAGTTAGACCCCAAGGTTCCTAATCCACGGTTCTGCTGAGTCCTTGTTTCTCAGTGTTTGGTCTTTTATTTTTGAGACAGGGTCTCCCTCTGTCACCTAGGATGGAGTGTGGTGGTGCAATCTTGGCTCCGTGCTTGGTCTTAAGAATTGCCTGGAGTGCTTGTTAACAGTCAGGATTCTAGGACCGTCTCTGGTCTTGCTAGATCCAAATCCAGGAGAGGAGACTGGGAATCTGTATTTTTGTCACATGAGGTTGGAAAACTCTGTGCTGAGTCACCGATGGACACATGCAAAGCTGAAGGGGCTGAGGGATATGTGGAGCCCGACCCTGGCCACCTGGGTGCTGGTTCCACTGTGGGACAGACAGAAAGCGTATTTCTGTTGCTGGTCAGGTACTCATGGTCTTTCATGCCCACAAATTACTCAAGCTGTTAGAGGCTAACTGGCCATCTGCTCTGGGAAGTCAACCTGAGCAGATGTGCATGCACCTGGAAGGGCTGTTTGAGGACATATGGGGACCTTCTTGCTGTCCGTTTCGGGAGGTGGAGTCCCTAAAGTCAGATCCAGCAATAACTTGTCACAGAGCAAAAGGGCCAGGGCCAGGGCTAGGACTTTGAGAACTCCTGGGTCCATGACATTTTTTTCTTTGCGACAGAGTCGCACTCTGTTACCCAGGCTGGAGTGCAGTGGTGCCATCTCAGCTTACTGCAACCTCCAGCTCCTGGCTTCAAGTGATTCTTCTGCCACAGCCTCCCTAGTAGCTGGGACTACAGGCATGCACCACCGTGCCTGGCTAATTTTTTATTTATGTATTTATTTTTCGAGATAGAGTCTTGCTCTGTCACCCAGGCTGGAGTGCAGTGGTGTGATCTTGGCTCACTGCAACCTCCGCCTCCTGGGTTTAAGCAATTCTCCTGCCTCAGCCTCTTGAGTAGCTGGGATTACAGGCATGTACCACCATGCCTGGCTAATTTATTTTTGTATTTTCAGTAGAGATGGAGTTTCACCATGTTGGCCAGGCTGGTCTCGAACTCCTGGCCTCTAGTGATCTGCCCGCCTCGGCCTCCCAAAGTGCTGGGATTACAGGCATGAGCCACCGCGCCTGGCCCATGACATTTTGTATTACTCTGTGCACCTTCTCTCCAGAGCTGAGAGCTGGGAGCCTGTGGGTGGGGGTAGCAGGCAGGTTCCTCAGGACTGACTATAAAACTCACTGCGGGATTCTCTCTGCCAGCAGAATAAGAAACTGCTCTTTGTCTTACTTTGTTTCTATCCTGCCATGGATATACACCACAGGATTTTGAATCAGCTTACAAAAAACCCACACACAGAGTAACACAGAAGATTGTACAAAAGAATTATAAAAAAATCCAACCCAGGCTGGGCATGGGGGCTCACGCCTGTAATCCAAGGACTTTGGGAGGCTGGGGTGGGAGGATCTCTTGAGCCCAGGAGTTCAAGTCTGTTCTGGGCAATATAGTGAGACCCTGTCTCTACAAAAACAAAACAAGTTAGCCAGGCATGGTGATATATGCTTGTGGTCCCAGCTACTCAGAAGGCTGAGGTGAGAGGGTGGTTTAAGCCCAGGAGGTCAAGGCTGCAGTGAGTCATGATCATGCCACTGCACTCCAGCCTAGGAGACAGAGCAAGACCCTATCACGAAAAAAAAAAAAAAAAAAAAAAAAAAAAAAAAAAAAAAAAAAAAAAAATCAAACCTAGAGGAATTATCTGTAGTATGGGGAATCATGCTCAGATTTGACGTTAAACTTCCTGCTAGCCAAAGTAAAAAGAAAGACACTGTTAGTTGCATAATTTTAATACCAAATGTTTTAGAAACTTATGTGATTTCTATAGGGGCAACTGGAAACAGGAAAATTTTTTACATGGGCTTCATTTGGGGACAATGGATAGAATGATTTTTTTCAACATCATCCCTGCTATAATGCTATAATCAGTTGCACAAGACCATTTCTTATTTATTTATTTATTTATTTATTTATTTATTTATTTATTTATTTTTGAGACAGGGTCTCACTGTCACCCAGGCTGGAGTGTAATGGTGCGATCTCTGCTCACTGCAACCTCTCCTTCCTGAGTTCAAGCGATTCTCCTGCCTCAGCCTTCCAAGAAGCTGGGATTACAGGCACCTGCCACCATGCCTGGGTAATTTTTGTATTTTTGTAGAAACAGGGTTTCACCATCTTGGCTAGGCGGGTCTTGAACCCCTGAGCTCAGGTGATCTATCCGCCTCGGCCTCCCAAAATGATGGGATTACAGGTGTGAGCCACCGCATCCTGCCACAAGACCTTTTCTTACAACAACCCATTGAAAGTCAAGGTCATATATACAGGGGTCCATGATTTTAGGGGTTAAGGAAAGTTTTTATGGCAGCACAAGTTACTTTGGAAGGGTCTACAGAATATTTTGCTATTGATATAAACAGAATATTGTAATTCTTGGACAGATGACTCAGTAATTCTGCTTCTACAAATCTATCTTGAAGAAATAATTGTGGGCAAAGATTTATATACCAAAGCATTTACTTGTCATTACTTAGCCCATTCCTTAAACATGTATTCGGTATTATTTCTATGGTGACAGGCTGTATTCTAGTGTGGACATGCAATGGTGATGTAAAAGCTCATAGAGCCTATAGTCCAGTCTAGTGGCATTGCTCTAACTAATGGCATTGTCATTGCATAGATAAACACAGTTGTGTGTGAGAGAAGTAGTAGAATCCCTAGCATCTGACAATACCTGTTTTAGTCTGTTTTGGATTGCTCTAAAAAATACCTGAGGCTGGGTAATACATAAAGAAAAGAGGTGTATTTTGGCTCATGGTTCTACAGAGTGTACAAGAAGCATAATGCCAGCATTTGCTTCTGGTGAGGTCCTTAAGAAACTTACAGTCATGGCAGAAGGTGAAGGGGAGCAGGTCTGTCACACGGCACAGGAGAGAGAAAGAGAGATGTCAGGTTCTTTTAAACAACCAGCTCTCACATGAGCTAACAGAAGAACTCACTCATTCCCAAGGGTTTCACCCCGTGACCAAAACACCTCCTACTAAGCTCCACCTCTAACATTGGGGATCACATTTTAACATAATATTTGGAGGGGACAATATCCAAACTATATCAGCATGGAACCAATAGTTGCTTTATTGCAATTAAAGTGAAGAACCAAGGCAACTTGCTCTTGGCAAGCTGAGATGGAGGTAGACGTGTGCATGCATTTCAGGAAGTACTGTATTAGATTGAAGGGTCCAGTGGGCATCAACAGAATGATTTACACAAGGGATAGAGAATGCTGGTTCTCCTGGAGCATGGTTAGGTGAAGGTGGGTTCAAAGTTCTACAGGGAAGCAAATGCATTGATGCCCTTCCCAGATCCTCTGGTCTCTATTCTATTACGTGCCAACAGAGTCCTCTGCAGATATTGCATCTGCAGAGGACTCTGCAAAGATTGAAATGTGGAGGCAGAGATTGCATCTCTGCAGTATCTGTGCCTCTCCACCAAAGGGCCTGCTCTGCCCCATGCACAGGGGACAAGCTAGAAATGCTGAAGAGTTCCTAATGCCAGGAGCATCATTCAGCCAATGGCAAGTGGCAGTTGGAGGATACTACCGCTGCATCCTTGCCTCTTAGGGGAAAGACTCCGACATATGTTCTATGTTGTCTCAAAGACTTTCCCGGTAGAACTCAGCCCCAGTTGTACATGGCAGTGGCCTACTCAGTAACAGAACCCTTTATTGGCCACCTTCCATTCCCTGATTAATTTTTCCACTGTCCTTCTGATGCTTCCTTAAAACTACTAGCACTCGGCTGGGCGCAGTGGCTCACGCCTGTAATCCCAGCACTTTGGGAGGCCGAGGCAGGCGGATCACAAGGTCAGGAGTTCAAGACCAGCCTGGCCAATATGGTGAAACCCCGTCTCTACTGAAAATACGAAAATAAGCCAGGTGTGGTGGCAGGCGCCTATAGTCCCAGCTACTCAAGAGGCTGAGGCAGGAGAATTGCTTGAACCCAGGAGGTGGAGGTTGCAGTGAGCTCAGATCGCGCCACTGCACTCCAGCGTAGGCAACAGAGCGAGACTCCATCTCAAAAACAAAAAACAAAAAACAAACAAACAACAACAACAAAAAAAACAAAAAACTATTGGCACTCAAATTCTTAAGATTTGCTTCTAGTGGAACCCAATGATCTTTATAAACAGAAAAATTAAACATAGTCAATTTCAGTTAATAGATAACAGTGGATTGGCTACTTGGAAACTCTGTCCCGCTTTCACGTTTTTGGTCCCCAAACTCAGTTCATGGATCCTACTGCGTAGCCAAGTGCAGCAGCTATATGAGAGTGGGCCGTCACCGAACAGGCTCTTCACGCAGAAGCTGCCATGGCATGGCTGTCTTTGGGAGGCCTCAGGTGCGTCTAGACTTGCCAGAGGGACTTAAGAAGGGAGTGATGGTGTTGGTGTGAGACATGGGAAGGGAGGCTAGAGCCAGCCAGGCCAGGCTGGGATTCCTTTGACCTTGACTTATTGACAGATGGGAGCCATTTCTGTTGGCCTTGTAATTGTACATTGGAGATTTTTGTGGCATCAGTGAGTGTGCGTTAGTGGAGTGGGTAAGATTCCAGGCCTAGAGTCAGACCAGCAGTGGGTCTGACACCTGGAGTTGTATGTCCACACTTACCTTATACATGCATATATGTGTGTGTGTGTTTGTTTGTGTGTGTGTGTGTGTGTGTGTGTGTGTGTGTGTGTGTGTATGTATAATTCAAAATATAATTTTGCAGTTTGCAGGTTATCAGGCCTAGAAAATGTGGCTGGCTCATCTCCAAAATATATATTTACAGAGAGATAAGACCCATGAGCATGGGAAAAAGACCTATTTTCTTCAAAGAAAATTTTCAGTATTGAAAATTTCAAATATACACAAAAGTAGAAGAATAATGTCATGAATCCCTAAATATTCATCACCCAGCTTCAGCAGTTATCAATATCTTACCAATCCCGTTTTGTCAATGTAGCCCTCAGCAATTTTTTTTTTTGTGTAGAATTTTGAAGCAAATTCCAGGCAACAAGTCATTTCTGCTGTTATTTTCAGTTTGCATGGTAATGGATTTAGGCTCATTCTTCTTCACGCCTAAGACCCTCTCTGTAGGCTGAAGACGCTCTCTGTAGGGCCCGAGGACTGTCATCTGTGCCGGGCTGTGGAGTCCTGTTTGCCCCCTCCCACAGCCCTGGGCACCCCCCTGCTTGCAACCCCTGCTTTCCTCCTGGGGTCATTGTTTGCAGCGATGTTTCAAGGTTGTACCTCACTTATATCCAGGTACCTGCCACCTGCTTCTCTAGACTTACCTGGTGTAATTCATGCTGAGTGCCTGTCGCGTCTCAGGGAAGGCGCTGCTGCCTCCACATTTCACAATAAATATCTTTTTAAATGGCCTGGTGTTCAGGCTCGTTTCTCATTTCCAAGGAGGCTTTTGACTGATGACCTGAAGAATTGCTTCCCCGTGACTGACAGGCTAATGCAGTATCGCAGCTTTCCCAACTGTCTCCCTCCAGGAGGCTGGGTGGGAGCTGTGACTTCCAAGTGCCACCGGCTGCCTCCAACAGAGGTGTTTGCCCCCAGCTACTGCCTGCTCTCCTCTGCCCTTGCAGGCTGCTGGCTGCTGGTCAGTAAGTCAGCTCCATCCTGGGGTGCTCCAATAGGATACATTTTCTCAGGCAATAGACGTGAAAGGCCTCCAAGGTGAAGGGGAATTGGGCTTTCTGCCTACTGGACTCTGTGAATGCTATCACTGGAGTCTGGAGGCAGCCCTCAAAGGCACAGTTCGGTAAAGACTTTGGACTCCACCGCACGCAAAACCTGTACAAAGGATTCTGGTTAGAATTCTGTCTTGGCACAAAGGCCCTGAGCTGTCAGGGCCGGTCATAGGCCCTAGGCACTCTTACTTTGTGAAGCCCCTTCTTACATTGATCATAATTAAAAGTACCCACATCCCACGTGACATGTAATTCGTACAAAAACACTGAGTTGCAAATGACTCAAATGCAGTTGACATTCTGTAGACATTAAAGTAAACATCTATTAGGCTTGCATTCCAAGTTACATTCTCAATGTACGTATGCATCTGTTAACTTGGTATTTTAGGGGACGTTCTTTTTAAAATTATTATTATTATTTTTTGAGATGGAATCTTGCTCTGTTGCCCGGGCTGGAGTGCAGTGGTGCAATCAGGGATTACTGCAACCTCCGCCTCCCAGGTTCAAGTGATTGTCCTGCCTCAGCCTTCCGAGCAGCTGGGATTACAGGTGCCCACCACCACACATGGCTAATTTTTGTATTTTTAGTAGAGATGTGGTTTCACCATGTTGGCCAGACTGGTCTTGAACTCCCAACCTCAAATGATCCTCCCACCTGTGCCTCCCAAAGTGCTGGGATTACAGGCGTGAGCCACCATGCCCTGCCGAATTGTGCATTTCAAATGAGTGAATTGTATGGTATGTGGATTATATCTCAATAAAGCTGTTTTAAACAATCCTAGCTCTACCACTTATTAGTTGCCTGACCTTGGGCAAATAACTAATCACTTCAGTGCCTTAGTTTTCTCATCTTTAAAATGGGGACCATCACGGCATCCACTATATCAGTGTCCTGGGGCTGCCATAACAAATAACCCCAAACTGGGTGGCTTGAGATGGCAGGCATGTGTTCTTTCACAGTTCTGGTGGCCAGAAGTCGGAAATCAAGGTATCAGCAGGTCTGTGTTCTCTCCAAAGTCTCTGGGAAGGAACCTGTTCCATGCCTCTCCCAGTGTCTGGTGGTGGCTGGCAGTCCTTGTCACTCCTCGACTTGTAGAGGCGTCACTCCAATCCCTCCCTCTGCCATCACATGTCCTTCTTCCCTGTGTGTCTTTGTCCCAATACCCCTTTCCTTCCAAGGATACCAGTCATTGGATTAGGGCCCACCAGAATCCAGTATGACCTCATCTTAATGTAGTTACATTTGCAAAGATCTTATTTCCAAATAAGGTCACATTCACCAATTCCAGGCAGACAAGAATCTCACAGGGGATACTGTTCAACACAGTATACCCCCTAAAAGGTTGCTTTTTCTTATGTTCCGCCACCATGAGACAGTAAAGTCCTCTTACCCCCCCTAGGTGGTTCACATTAGGGTTTTTTTTTTTTTTTTTTCACTTGTAGGTAAGAAACTTGACTAAAACAGGGGCAAAGGCACTCTTTCCTCAGAGGAGCAAGATGGGAGAAATGTGACCAGGTCCAGTCCGAGACATCCCTGCAGACCTTTGCAACTAGGTCTGGGGTGCAGATGTGGGTCAGGGCGGTTCCATTTGTGAGTCTTTTCAAGGTAGACAACACTGGGCTTGTAGAGGGGAGAGGAAATGAGTCCCTAATCTGAGGAGGAACCTGGACTCTGTTATGAAGCCTCTTTCTAGACAGTTGCCTACATGGCAACGAGGCTCTCAGCAAGCAGTTGTTGATTGACACATTGTCCCAAACAGGCTGTCCTGTCAGAAGTCCCGGAATGACACTCCTTCCAGTTCCGTCCAGTGGCCGGCCTCGACAATGTTGCTCCGAAGACAGCACAGAAATTGCCCGTGGCCACTCGGAGACTACAGGAAGGCAATGGCTGCACTCAAAGATAAAAGGTCCACTCAGCAGCTTCAAAAACATTTTGTTCTCTCCCAGCCAAGTTTCTGTTCTGCTAGGAGTTTTTACTTGTTACCTAGAAGCGGCCAGTGCCCAAGGGAATGATGCTGTCTAAACTTCCTCCTATTTACTGGCCTCTCCAACCCCTCCCACTGCCGCTGGGAGACTAGTGCTTCCCAGGAGCCTTTGAGGCAGCCGTGCCTGCAGCCAGCCTCCAGCCACATCACCGCTGAGAACTCCATCCTATCAGATGGAGGCCCAGAGCTGGACGGCAGCCAGTCATAGCCACGAATGTTGGCACCGGGCTTAAATCCACATGGGCCTCCCGCCCGCCTGCAGTGGGTCCAGTCTGGTCTCCCTGCTCTGCTTCTCTCCCTGCTCTGGCCAAGTTGTGTGTGCAGAGTTTCTTGGTCCAAACCATACACTAACAGCTGGGATTTGTATTACTACATTGCATCCTTAGCTTTGTAGATACAGACTCTGGAAATGTCTGTAAGTTCATTTTTCTTTTGCACATTGATTAGTTTGATCCATTAACATGGGCACCCCATTTCAGAAATTCCAGAGCCCACTTTTGCTTGTCTGTGAGTGGAAGTGACCACTTGTCTTGTTGCCCAGAACTGGCTGGGAGCAGGGCCAAGATTCCCCCCTTAGACACACCACTCAGTGCGTGCAGCCATCTAAAATTCTCCAAAACCTCTGACTCATCCTCTTTCTCACTGTCATTCATTCATTCTAAGAATATTGAAATCTACTGTGTGCTAAGGGCACAGTGCTGAAAAAGAGACAACGGCCCTGCCAGCCTGGAGTATCCTTGGAGTCTAGTGCAGGGTAGGAATAAGTAAACAGTGTAACCCACTGAGGTAGGAGGAAAAGATAGGAGCACAGAAGAGGAACACCCGGCCCAGCCTTGGAAATTCAGGAAAGTTTCAGGAAGAAAGGCCATACACATCAGGCATACAAAATGTCAACATCAGGCAGCGGGGAATTGGTTGATGTTGGCATTAAACATGGCCTTAAGGTGCACCAAGTGCCTGTCATATGGGCAAATGCCGCAATTGCACCAGACATGAGGAAAATGGGGAAGGCATTGACTTGCTGGTTTTTCCATTTCTTGGTACAAAATCTCTTCATTGGCAGCCTTTAAAAATGAGGTGGCAGTGTCATGGACACAGGCAGGGGAACATCACACACAGGGGCCTGTTGGAGGGTGGGGGCAAAGGGGAGGGAGAGCATTAGGACAAATACTTAATGCGCGTGGGGCTTAAAACCTAGATGACAGGTTGATAGGTGCAGCAGACCACCGTGGCACATGTATACCTATGTGACAAACCTGTACGTTCAGCACATGTATCCCAGAACTTAAAGTAAAAAAAAAAAATGAGGTGGCAGTGAATTGCTTCTCACTCCTTTACTTCTAAGAGTCTGTACTTTGCAGAGTCAAGACTTTGTTCGATGTCCTAATGGATGAGTATATCACCATGGGGAAGCTCCAACTGAAACCCCTCGCAAGGTCCACCTCACCTATGCGCCCCCCTTCATGGACACCAACCATGGCCTTCCTGTGGGAGGAAAGCCTTAAAAATATGTGCTAGGCCAGATGTGGTGGCTGACACCCGTAATCCCAGCACTTTGGGAGGCCAGGGAGGGAGGATTGCCTGAGCCCAGGAGTTTGAGACCAGCCTGACAACATGCCGAGACCCTCATCTCTACAAAAAATAAAATTAAAAAGTTAGCTGGGTGTGGCCGGGTGCGGTGGCTCACGCCTGTGAACCCAGCACTTTGGGAGGCCGAGGCGGGTGGATCATGAGGTCAGGAGATCGAGACCATCCTGGCTAACACGTTGAAACCCCGTCTCTACTAAAAATACAAAAAAATTAGCTGGGCGTGGTGGTGGGTGCCTGTAGTCCCAGCTACTCGTGAGGCTGAGGCAGGAGAATGGCGTGAACCCAGGAGGTGGAGCTTGCAGTGAGCCAAGATCGCGCCACTGCACTCCAGCCTGGGCAACAGAGTGAGACTCCGTCTCAAAAAAAAAAAAAAAAAAAGGTAGCTGGGTGTGATGGTGTGCACCTGTGGTCCCAGCTACTCAGGAGGCTGAGGTCGGAGGATTGCTTGAGCCCTGGGAGGTTGAGGCTTCAGTGACCAGAGCTGCACCACAGCAGGGCAATAGAGGGAGACCCTGTCTCAAAAAAAAAAAGAAAAGAAAAGAAAAGAAAAATACATGTGCTGAGTGAGCGAGGGTGGGCAGACAGGGAAAAGAACACCGTTTCTTTTATATACAGGAAAACAAAGCACCAATAACTTTGAAAAATTTAGTTCAATTTGTGGTCATTTCAGGTGAATAACAGTAACATTGAGGGCCTAAGCTGTGGCAGGCGCTAAGTGCTTGCTGTTTGACCGCATTTGTCCACATAATTGTACTGTGAGGTAGGAACTATGCTCTCTTGAGTACAGATGGGGAAGGCAAGGCACGGGAGGTTGAGTAATTTGCTCACTGTCCCCAGAATGGCCAGGCAGGGGCAAGAACTCAGGGCACCTTGATTTGGAGTCTGGGCTCCTGACCACGCTGCCTTGCCACGGTCCCGTTTGTTCCTTGGTTTCTCACACTCAGGGAACTGAGGTCGCTGTAAGGCCTCTGGTTTGATTCATGGGGTTGAGAGAATGTTTGGTCTGGGGAATGAAAGTACGAGCAAAGAACATGGAGAGAGAGTTGTGTGTGCCCTGGCGCTTCACAGCTGCGCTGGTCGGTAGGCGAGGCTGCCAGCCTGTCCTTACAGCCTCTGTGCTCTTGCACATGGGGTTCATAACCCTCAGATATGAGTGGGTGGGTGGGGCTCACATCCAGCACAACTCCCTTTGTCAAATCCAAAGGGGGTGCCCTGTTCTGATTCTGCACAGGCACCCTCAGGGTGAACCCTGGCCTGCTCTGCTGTGTCCTGGAGTGGTGGCACCTCCCCTGTCCCTCAGTTTCCCTGCTGGCAGGCCCAGCTCTCCAGAACCTACTTTTGCCTCTGGGCCTGCCCCATTTCGAGTGGGAACTTTGGGGGACCACCATGGTTCTCTTCGGCCTACATCCTGCATGCCCACCCCAAGCTCACGCTCGGATGGCAGAATCTAACACCAGGAGTGGTTTCTGGTTTCTGGCCTTCCTGGAAGGGGGTTCCAGCAAGAGCAGAACGTTAGGGAAGAAAGAAGAATGGGAAAGAGAAGAGAGAGGAAGACTAGCGTGGGTGATGGACTGCCCATTTGAGGTCACTCACTGGAGCCTTGGGAGAAAGGGGCCGCGCGTTTCAGGCCAGAAATAATTCCAGCCCTCTCGGCCCTTTGCCGCTCATGTGGGAAATAAGTTGGACTAACGCGATCAGCAGACATCTACAAACAGATAGAGAGCCCTGGAGACACAGGCACACAGCAACACACCAGAGCACTGGATTTTCATTTTCCCCCAAGCTCCTGTAAGAAATATTAAATGACAGATATGAAACCAACTAAATATATCCTTGGAAAGCTAACTTCTTCCAGCCAGAATAAGAAATAAGACATTATTCTCATTTCTAGGAGACTGTATGTTTCCACAAGACAGGAGATCTTGTCTGTGTCTGTGCACGTGTCTTAGGTGTGTCTGCATGTATGGTGCCTGTGCTGGTGTGTGCCTGTACATGTTTGCATGTGTGTGTACACGTGGGACTCTGCCTGCAGTGTTAGTAAGCCCGAAGGCACAGTTGCTTTGGAAACAGGATTCTTGCCTTGCCACAGCTGGGGACAAGGGGTGTGGCAGGCCGCAACATGACTCTGGGTGGCTGTGATTCTCTCAGGGATGTGGAGGCTCTCATGCTCTTGGGTCCTTCCCTCTCTCATGCCCTTGGGTCCTTCCCTTTAGGTGGCGAATATGCATGGGCTCTGCAGGATAGCAAGGTGCGGAGAGATCTTTTTCAAGGAAGTTATGAAACCCTTATTTGAAGGCAGATCTGGAAAAGAAAACTAATTGGCTGTGTGACTTGCTCTTGCATCTTTGTTTTTTGCCACCTAAAGAGTGGAACCAGGCCGGGCATGGTGGCTGATGCCTGTAATCCTAGCACTTTGGGAGGCCGAGGCGGGCGGATCACCTGAGGTCAGGAGTTCAAGACCATCCTGACCAACATGGTGAAACCCTGTCTCTACTAAAAATACAAAAATTAGCCGGGCATGGTGTGCCTGTAATCCCAACTACTCAGGAGGCTGAGACAGGAGAATCACTTGCACCTGGGGGGCGGAGGTTGCAGTGAGCCGAGATTGCACCATTGCACTCCAGCCTGGGCGACAGAGCAAGGCTCCGTCTCAAAAGAAAAAAAAAGAAAAGAAAAGAGTGGAACCAATTCCTCCCTTCATTGAAATCTTTTCCAGAGGAGGTAGGTGCTAGGGCATGGTGGTGCTTGTTTCTGGCCACTGGGGGACATGACTTAGGGCATTCTAGGGAGCCTCCTGTATTTGTTTTACATAATGGGATGTTAGCAGCCACACTCTGTGCCTGGGTGCAGAGAAGTTTTGTGATGATTGCTGGGCAAATATAAAAGAGATCAAGGAGGAAACATTTGCTTAGAGGTGATGGCCTTGTGGGAACTCTTTTTTTTTTTTTTTTTTTTGAGACGGGGTCTTGCTTTGTCACCCAGGCTGGAGTGCAGTGGCGCCATCTTGGCTAACTGCAACCTCCACCTCCCGGTTTCAAGTGATTCTTCTGCCTCAGCCTCCCGAGTAGCTGGGTGGGACTACAGGCGCGTGCCACCACACCTGGCTAATTTTTGTATTGTTAGTAGAGACGGGGGTTTCACCACATTGGCCAGGCTGGTCTCGAACTCCTGACCTCGTGATCTGCCCACCTTGGCCTCCCAAAGTGCTGGGATTACAGGCATGCGCCACCGCACCCAGCCGTGGGAACTCTTACAATGACAGATGTTGATTTATACAGAGTGTGTGCTGATGTGTTTTTTTAAAAAGGTGTTTATTCTCACATCTTAATGAATAATATCATTAAATCATTTGGGAAATCCAGAAGCTAGACAGTGAAGATCCAGGGATAAAAGATCCAGCCCATCTTCAGAAGGAATTCGCAGGATGGAGAATGCATTTAATTCAAGAGACAATTGCAATAAAGTCTGAGTAGCTCTAAGAAAGAAGTAGTGGGTGTTGTGGAGCACCTAATTGGGAGGTCGAACCCAGCAGGGGTGGGGTGGTGTGTTCTCCGTCTCATCCCCAAGCCCTAGGAACTTGTCATTCCTGACCAATAGGTCGGTTGAGGGGAGAATGGTCATGAGCAAAGGAAGGTCAATGTCAATGTCAATGTCACTTGGGGGGTGGGGGGACCACACTAGTGGGCTGTGCTGGGCTGTAATTCAACAGATCAAAGCACTCAGTGCAATTGGTATGCCTGTTCGTGAATATGAAAGTCACTTTGCAAGTGGTCACTCAATGGGAGTGGAGATGGGTACTCATGCCAAGAGCAGCTGTTGTTTCTTTGGTCTGCAGGATGACAGGCACGGTGCAAAGAACTCTGTGTCCCTCATCTTAGGTATGACCACACGAATCCTTGTCCTCAGTATTTAGTTGAGAAAACTTCCCCTCCACCAGATTACTGGGTGGTGGAGCTTCAGGTCTTTTTGTCTCTAAGGCCTGAGTCCTTCCCATGGATCTCCCTGCCCACTCCAGACATGCAATCTATGCTCATACATATGTAATTGACCCTCATAGAGTGGGATCAAATCAACTGTATTTCATTCTCCCCTCTGCACACTCCTACCCACGTTGCGAGAGGAGTCCTTCTCTTGCCCCTGGTTAGAAGCTTTTCCAGCCAGTCTCAGATAATATGAGTACCCAGTTCACTTTACATCCCAAAGAACCCTCATTTCAGTCATTGATGTGTCCCATCCATGTAGGGATCCAAACCCCAGACCTTCCTAAAGCTGCAACTTCTGCCCTGCTCCCGACAGCGGGCCTGCTGCTGTATGGTCAATTTTGCCTCTGTTTCTCTGCCTTTACCTCCCCTAGCTTGGTAAGCAGTTTCTGATCCCTGCAGGGCCCAGGTGGTGGAGGGAGGGAGCAGAACGATCTTATTTGTCAGGTTCTGTCCCAAACTTGTCACCGTATCATGTGGTAGCATAAAGGGAATATAATTTTAGCTTAAAAAATAAAAGCATATTTGTTTAGTTTTGGAGGAAAGAGATCACTGGGAAATAATAATGGTGGACAAAATATATTGAGCTATTTTTCTGTATTTTCAAACACATACACAACCAGAAGTGGCTACTATTACTTTTTCCCACTTTGTTTTTAAGAAAACAGAAGCTCTGAGATGAGTAATTTGTCAAGGTCAAATAGCTTTTTAAGTGGGAGAGCAGGGCTTTGAGCCCAGAGACTTTGACTGCGGAACCTGGCCTCTTTACTGCTCTGCTATATGAAGTTGGGAAATACTGCCAGAGCAGATTGCGTTTCCTTTTAATAGCTGGTATCAAAGCAAATCTAATGAAAACGTGTAACTTGAAAACAATGTCTCTGAAATTTATGCTCTTAAAGGGGATTTCTTGTGTTTGAAAATAACCAACTCAATTGGATGATATGTAAGGAATTAGGAAAAAAACCAAGCAATTCTCAAGGGAACTAATTTGTATAACTAGGAAATATCTCAAGAGAATTATTTCTTGCATTGTATGATACTTGGGAGCATATACCATACAGTCAGATTTGCAACCAGAAATAATTTGTTGTGCGAAATAAGACACCTTCCCTCCAACACTTGGTCTGTAGGGAGAGGAGACGAGATCACCGATAATGATTTTCACATGTAAGGCTGTGATTTCAGTTGTTGCAATTTGTTCCTTTCTCGACGCTTCAGTTTGGTTGGTATTCACAGGAGCATTGACATACTTTTTACATAATATAATTTTCCAAAGCGTTTTTAACCCAAGAGGTTGGAATATTTTGGGTGGAAGCAGGCATTTTGGACTGGGTACCCTGCATACACCAGTCTTCACCCTGTTGCCCAAGCTATTGTCTCTACTGTTGAACTTCTACTCATCATTCAAGGCCCACACAGATTGTCACCTCCTCATTGTAAGCCTTTCTAATTGTCAGAACAAAATGAGCTGCCTGCCTCCATTGGACCATAGCCAATTTTTTTTTTTTTTTTTAAGATAGAGTTTTTCTCTTGCTGCGCAGGCTGGAGTGCAATGGTGCTACCGCAACCTCTGCCTCCTGGGTTAAAGTGATTCTCCTGCCTCAGCCTCCCAAATAGCTGGGATTACAGGCATGCGCCACCACATCCGTCTAATTTTGTATTTTTAGTAGAGATGGGGTTTCTCCATGTTCGTCAGGCTGGTCTGAAACTCCGGACCTCGGGTGATCCACCCGCCTCGGCCTCCCAAAGTGCTGGGATTACAGGTGTGAGCCACTGTGCCCAGCCGACCATAGCCAATTTTGTAACTCACAACATTTTACCTTCTATTAGATTGTCCTGTCTTTGCGTCATTGCTCTGCTTAAAAGTTTCCATTTAGTAGGTAGCGTAGTCTTGTTTCCGTGCTTGCCAAACTATGGCCTGAGGGCCAAATCCAGCCTGCTGCCTGGTGTGGTATAGCCCTTGGGATTAAAATGACTTTTTGCTTTTTTAAATGATTGGGGGACATAGGCCAAAAGAAAGGTAACACTTCATGACACATGAAAATGATATAACATCCTGATTTCATTGTCCATCATTAAAGTTTTATTGGAGCACAGTCATGCTCATTTATTTATGCATTGTCGGTGGCTGCTTTTGCGCAACAGCGACTTTGAGTAGTTGCAAAACAGACCATCTGGCCCTCAAAGCCGAAAATATTTTCTATCTGGCCCTTTACAGAAAGCCTTTGTTGACCTGTGACACGGTTTGGCTCTGTGTCCCCACCCAAATTTCATCTTGTAGCTCCCATAATTCCCACGTGTTATGGGAGGGACCCAATGGGAGATGCCTGAATTATGGGGGCGGGTCTTTCCTGAGCCGTTTCTCGTGAGAGTGAATAGTTCTCACGAGATCTGATGGTTTTAAAAACGGGAGTTGCGTTGTACAAGCTTTCTTTTTGTTTGCTGCCTTCCGTAGAAGATGTGGCTTGCTCATGCTTGACTTCTGCCATGGTTGTGAGGCCTCCCCAGCCATGTGGAACTGTAAGTCCAATAAACTTCCTTCTTTTGTAAATTGCCCAGTCTCGGGTATGTCTTTATCATCAGCCTGAAAACTGACTAATACAACCTGTGTAGTAGAGCAGGGAGAAATCTCTCACATTTTAGTGTTTATCAGAATAACCTGGAGGGCTTGTTATAACCAAGTGTTGGACCCTACCCCTATAGTTTCTGATTCAGCAGGGCTGGGGTGAGCCCTGAGAATTTGCGTTTCTAAGAAGTTCCCAGGTGCGGCTGCTGCTGCTGCTGGTTGAGTCCTCTACTTTGAGAGTCACTGGTTTAGAGGTAAAGGACGGTCTCTGAAGACACAGATACATCTGGAGCTAGTTTCTTATTAATCAAACAGTTAACCTCTCTGAATCTCCATCTGTAAAATGGGGATAAATGGCAGCCTCTTCAGATTGTTTGAAGATTTGGTAGATAAAGCCTATGAAAGTTCCTGGAAGGTATAGTAAAGATTCAATACATGTTTTTCTCTCCTTCTTTCTGTTCTCTGCCTACACCTTGTCTCCCTCAGCGAAGGAACTGTAAACACTTCATTTTCTCAGGGACTAAGAACTCCCCTTCTTTATAGGGTTGCTTGGGAACTGTATAGTCGTGGACAAGTCCTGAAGAGCTTCCCTCTAGCGTCATACTTTTCATGTAACCCCAGGTAGGCTGGGAAAACCATTCCGACCTAACTTACTTGCACGCCTACTGTGTACAAGCATCTGTACTAAGTAAGAAAATTAACATCCAGGACTAGAAAAGAGATGATCTCTTAACCTGACAGATGATTTCACGACAAAGGCAGAGGCCAGGCCTTAAAAAAGAATGGTTGTGCTTTTGTTAATTATAACCAGCTGATTTTGTCTTCTTCCTTAGGAAGAATGATAAAGGGCAAGTGCTTTAGAAACCAAGCCGTGCTGAAATGTTTAAGGAACCAGATATGAGTGCATTCAAAAGAAATACAGGCAATTTGAAAGTAGTGTTTTTCTGGAGCTTGGCTTTAGAACCAGGGTTAAGCACACAAAACCCTAAGTTTTCCCTAAGAATTTTTTTCCCTTTGAAACTTAGCCATTCCTACTTCGTAAAATTGTTGTGAGGATCAAGGGAGATAATAATATAATTATATTTGAAAAGTATAAAGCACTGTTTACATGCAAGGGAATCAGGTTTAACACATTAAATGGAAATCAAATTAGGGACGAAAGAGTGCAGTTTATTGGATGAATAGCAGAGGGTTCAGAAAATCTGGGGAATGCTGTAGGAATCCACTTCTGTCTGTCTTAGCCTCTAGAAATGTGTGCACCTTAATTTGCTTGTTAAATTAATTATAGAGATAGTCTTTTGACCTTCTTGTTCTCAAATTTCTTACTTTCTCTGCATGTGGCAGAACGTGACAGATGAACAATTAATAGCATACAGTTTCCCTCCACATAGGGCACAAAACATCAGTTGCTTACTCCCTGTTAGCCCTACTTAGAAAGAGGTACTTTTCCACTTTGCCTTCATATTTTTGCATTGTGCCTCCGTCCCTTTACCTCTTTGATGGCTTCAGCTGTGGCTAGATTTGCAAATCACGTTTATTTTGATAACCTTCTACTGAAAAATATTTTTCAGCAGAGGTGTGCTGGTAAATGTTTAACAACCAGTTCCCTGGGAGAGTGTATGTATGTATATGCTATTTATTTGATGTTTACTATCAATATTGCTGATTTAAAGGATGTGTAACACACAATTTACAAATAATGATAAAGTATGCAATACTCTTCATTGTAAATTCCGTATAACCAATTGATAGCAGGATGCCTTTGCTGATTTGTAACCAATTCTTGTCTATAGCCAACCTGTTATTGCAATTGACCAGCAAGTGTAATTCCAACATAAATGTTGGTTGATATTTACTTTTATGTTAATTAGTAAGATGAAGGTGAAACAACCAAAAATATATGTATGCCAGTAATAAGGAGTGACTACTTTTTCTAATTGGATAATAGTTTTGAATACTAGAAGAATATTTTCTTAATTTTTTATGCTATCATACCTACAGACCCAACATTCACTTAATTTTAATCTGTGTAATTAACATTTTTCACCTTCACTTTTTTAAGCCTAGAAAACTAACAAAACAATAAATCAAGCCCTGACTTGTAGCATTTACCAGTTCCCATGGTATAAATAATCCTACTGCTGATTTCAAGTTACCAATGAGATGTCCCTGAACATAGAGGTAGGAAGAGATGTGCTGGTTCACAGTTTTGTGAGCCACATAATTTCTGTTGCAGCTACCCAGTTCTGCTGTTGCAACACAGAGACAACCATAGACGATATGTAAATGAATGGGTGTGAGTGGCTGTGTCCCAATAAAACTTTATTTACAAAAACAGCCTGTGGCCAGGTTTGGCCCACAGGCTATCATTTGCCAATTCATGGTCTTTAGTCAATCTCCTAATTATAATGCTTTTCAACTTTTTAAAATAGACTTTATTATTATTTTTAGAGCAGTTTCAGGTTTACTAAGTGGAAGGTACAGGGATTTCCCACATGCCCCCTGTCCCCCAAATCCATACCTTCCCTCACTATCAACACCCCTCAACCAGAGTGATTCGTTTATTACCACTGATAAGCCTACATCAACAGGTCGTTATCACCCAGAGTTGATAGTTTACTTTAGGGTTCGCTTTCTGTGGTGTACATTTTGTGGGTTTGGACAAACATGTACTCATATATATCCACCATTATAGTGTCACACAGAGTAATTTCACTGCCCTCAAGATCCTCTGTGCTCCACTGGATCAGATCCAAGTAGCAGTTGCCAGGGGTTGGGGGAGGAGGGATGAATAGATGAAGCTCAACTTTATTTTTAATCAGGAAAAAAATACTTAAATCTACAGCAAACAACAGCTATTTATTGAATACCTAATATAAGCCATACGAGCCAAGCACTGTGCTTAGTTTTAAGAATCTGGGCTGGGCACGGTGGCTTATGCCTGTAGTCCCAGCACTTTGGGAGGTAGAGGTGGGCAGATCATGAGGTCAGGAGTTTGAGACCAGCCTGGCCAACATGGTGAAACCCCGTCTCTACTAGAGATACAAAAAATTAGCTGGGCGTGGTGGTGCGCACCTGTAATCCCAGCTACTTGGGAAGCTGAGGCAGAAGAGTCCCTTGAACCCGGGAGGCAGAGGTTGCAGTGAGCCGAGATCGCACCATTGCACTCCAGTCTAGGTGACAGGGTGAGACTCTGTCTCAAAAAAAAAAAAAAAAACAAAACCAAAAACAAACAAACAGCAAGAATCTGGGAGCACATCACTCATAGATAGGTTCTTCATGGATCTTACATTCTAGTCAGGGTAGACTGACAGTTACTAGAAACAAAGCAAAACAAACAGACAAAAGAGCTATGAATCTTAACTGGAATTCAATACATAAAATAGATAAAAGCTCAGAGTCCTAAAAACTTGAGCACTTTCTCACCCTGCTGGTTCCCCCTGTGTTTAACTGTAGGACTCTACTGATAAGAACTGGAAAACCATGACCCAACTGTCAGTAGGATGTTGACAATTTTTTTGTTATTATGTTGCTGCTTTGAATTTTTTTGCATAATACATGATTTTTTTTTTGAGACAGGATCTTGCTCTGTTGCCCAGGCTGGAGTGCAGTAGCACGATCAGATCTCGCTGCAGCTTCCATCTCCTGGGCTTAAGTGATATTCCTTCCCCAGCCTCCCAAGTAGCTGGGAATACAGGCAGGTGCCCCTATGACTGGCTAATTTTTTATTTTATTTTATTTATTTTTAGTAGAGATGAGGTCTCTCTATGTTGCCCAGGCTGGTCTCAAACTCCTGAGCTCCAACGATCCTCCCACCTCACTCTCCCGAAGTGCTGGGATTACAGGTATGAGCCACCGAACCTGGTGGCTTGTACATAACCCTTGATCACATTATTTTATTACAAAAGATTTCTAGCAGAAAATTTAGGGGGTCAAAGGGGTATGGCTATTTTTAAGGCTCTTGTTCTATTTTGTGAATACATTTTTCAGTTTGTGCTACCGTGAGCACTATTATGTGAGTTGTATCTCACCTTTGTCAACATCTCATATTGGCATTTAAAAAACATTTGCAAATTTGATAGATGAAAAATATTACCTTGTTTTAATTTGCATTTCTTTGATTAGTTGAGTGCTGAACAATTTTTTCATTTTAGTCATTTGCATTTTTCCTCTGAATTGACGAGAATAGGACAGTTTGAACATAATTTAAGTAGAGCTTTGGAAAGAGATTAATGAATCAGTTTTTACCTCCAGATACCAGATTTGAGTTTGAATGAGGTCATGGCCAAGAAAAGCAGAATTCTGAGAATTCTATAGAATTCTCCAGCGTAGCCAGGTCTGCATTTTATTCTGGACACATTACTCTTCTTTAATAACATTATTTTTTCAAGTATTTAAAAACACTATCTGAAAACTTACAGGTAAAGATTTAAATATGAGGGAGAAACCATGTGATATTACTCAGCAGAAGAGAAAAAGATGAAACTAGATGTAATGAAAGTACAAGGTTTGTAGTATGGACTAAATGCTTGTATCCCCCCAAATTCATATGTTGAAGCCTAATCCCCAGTGTGATGGTATTTGGAGGTGGGGCTTTTGGGAGGTAATTAGATCATAAGGGTGGAGCCCCTATGAATGGGATTAGTGCTCTTATAAGAAGAGACACAACAGGGATGATTATTATCTCTGCAAACCAGATCTCTACAAGACAGCCATCTGCAAACCAGGTCCCTCTCCACACACTGGATCTGCCTTGACTTTGGACTTCCAGCCTCTAGAACTGTGAGAAAAAATTCATATTGTCGAAACCACCTAGTCTGTGGTATTTTGTTATAGCAGCCTGATCTAAGACAGAAATTTGTGTTAGGGTTCTCTAGATAAACAGAACCAATTATATGAGAAATCCCATCTGTCGTCTACGAGTTGGAGATCCAGGCAAACTAGAGTGTAGTTCAAAGATCTGAGAGCCAGAGAGAGACAGTGCTAACACTGTAGCTTCCAGTTTAGTCTGGAGGCAGGAGGACCAGGAGTGCTGAGGGCAGGAGAAGACTGATGTCCCAGCTAAGCAGTCAGCATGAGAGGGCAAATTCAACCTTCCTCTGCCATTTTGTTCTATATATGCCCTCAAAAGATTGGATGATACCGCCTCCACATTGAGGAACATGCTAATCTCTCCCAGATACACCCTTGTAGACACACCCAGAAATAATGTTTAACCAGCTAGCTCGGCAGTCCATGGCCTAGTCAAGTGTTGACACATAAAACCATCGCTGTAGGACACTTTTAGGTGGATGGGAGAGAAAGTCTGAGTAGTTGAATTAGTTTACTTTTTCATAGTCTTCATAAGCAAAATATGTGCCTGCTGACAGTAATTCCAAAAATATACTTAACTGTGTTCCTATTTTGAAACAGGTATGGTTTACTTCCAGGCTTTTTGCATCTAGTGTTTTTCATTTTTATTTTTTCAATTGTAAAGCAACATTTTACTCAAAAGTTGGCTCGACTGTCAAAAGAAATATTCCTTCCTTTGAATATTTATCAGTTTTTCTCTCATCCCAGAGCTCTCTTAGAGTTTCTTTAGATTATTATGGGATTTTTCAAAAATACATACAGGTAAATATAATAATTTCATGTGAATCCATTACCCAGCTTCAACAATTAGCACGTCTTATCAATCTGGCTTTACCTACCCCTTTCTGTCCTCTGAACTTCTATCCCCTGCCACCCTCAGCCATGCACATGCACACACACACACACACACACACACACACACACACACCCCTATTTTTTTATTGTTTTTGGGATTAAAACAATAAAAATTGATTAACATAATTATCCAATAGCATTGTATAATATTTTGGCAGTCTTAAACAATTTTGTTTTGAATTACTTATTTGTGATAAAACTCTTATTTTTATTTTATTTCATTAATATGTTTTAGAAGAATTTTGTTTGTTGTGAAAATAAAAGCAATACCTTTTATTGTAGAAAAATTTGAAATTACAATAAGCAAAAAGAAAAAAATCAATGTATGTTACCATTTATATTTTGGTTTATATAATTCTTATTTTTTTCTACATATGTCTTCTATGAAATCATATTTTATATTCTGCTATTTTTCCCTCAGTAAAATACTATGAATATCTTTCTATAACATTGACTTTTTTTCTATTTTAACGGCTGAATAGGCTTCCTATTGTAGGGATGGAAAAAGTTTATTTCATCAGTTATTGTTGGAAATTCTTTAAAAAATTTTTGGCTATTAATTGCCTTGCTACAGTAAATATGGATGTATCTAATTCCTTGTGCACATAATTATTTTCATTGGATAAATTGCCAAAATGAACATATAATTATTTGTTTTCTTCTTGAGTGGCTTGCCAGTTTATGTCCTTTTCTAATTTTTTATTGGTGACGTCAACATTTTTTTGTGGTTTTTTATATATTATAAAAGGTTTATTTACCTATTTGTCATTTGTTTCACTTTTTAAATTGTCATGTTTTTCATTTACCTTACGTGGCAGATTGTATTTTCCAAAGATGGTCTTAACACTTCTGCCCTAGAGATGTGAGTTGATGTCACCTCCATTTGAATCTGAGCAGGCCTGAGACTCAACTTGTAATTTCTAAGCCTAGGTAAGAAAATGTGTGCGGCTTCTGCCTTGTTCGCTGGAGCACTCTCCTGTGGTACCCTAATCTGCCATATGGGAATTGTGACTATTCTGAGGTGGCCATGCTGTAAGGAGCCCAGACTATACAGAGAGACCATGTGTAGGCATTCTAGTTGTGACATTCCCAGCTGTGATCCCAGCCACAGGCAGCATCACCAGCGAGACGTGAACAAAGCCACCTTTACATGATTCCAGCCCCTACCTATCAAGTCATATGCAGCCTTTGAGTATTCTCACTGAAGATCCAGATGTCATGGAGCAGAAACAAGCCAATCCTGTTATGCCCAGTCCAAAATAATTATCCACAGAATATGTGCTCACAATAAAATTCTTGTAAGCTACTAAGTTTGGGGGATATGTGTTACACAGTAGAACACTAAAACCAGAACATGTTATGATTCTGTTATGAAGTTATAAAACGTAGAAAGTTAACATTTTTATATGGCCACATATTTCAATGTTTTCCCATTTTTTTTTTTTTTTTCGAGTGAGGGTCTCACTTTATCGCCCAGGCTGGACCATCTCTGCTCACTGCAACCTCTGCCTCCCAGGTTCAAGCAATTCCCCTGTCTCAGTCTCCTGAGTAGCTGGGACTACAGGCGCACGCCACGATGACCATTTAATTTTTGTATTTTTAGTAAAGATGGGGTTTCACCATGATGGCCAGGCTGCTCTTGAACTCGTGGCCTCAAGTGATCTGCCTGTGTCTACCTCCCAAAGTGCTGGGATTACAGGCGTGAGCCACTACACCGGGACTGCTTTGATTTTTACCTTTTATTCACCCCTCATGATTAGAAGGGACTTTTCCATCTGCTATGGACTCATTTGTGTCCCCCTGAAATTCATATATTGAATTCCCAACCCTCAATGTGACTGCATTTGGAGACAGTGCCTATAAGGAGATAATTAAGGCTAAATCAGATCATAAGTGTGGGGTCTTGATCCATAGGATTCGTGCCCTTACAAGAAGAGCTACCTGAGAGCTTGCTCTGTCTCTCCATGCTTACTCAGAGGAAAGACCAGGGTGGGACAAAGCAGCCATCTGCAAGTCAGGAAGGGAGCCCTCTCCAGAAACCCAGCCCTGCTGGAACCTTGATCGTGGACTTACCAGCTTCCAGAACTGTGAGAAAATAAATTTCTGTTGTTACAGCCATGCAATCTGCAGTATATTTTATGGCAGCCCTAGCTGGCTAATATACCAACCAAAGGTTGAATAATATTCTTCCTTATTTAAAAATAGTTCTTTTATAATCTTGTTTTTTGGTCTTCATCTTCCCTGGTCTCTCTGTAGCACTGAGGACAGGTGACCTCCTTTGCCTCTTGCTGTGGCTTCTCAAACTCTATACCCCGTAGCTGTTACTCCTACCCTTTCCAGATTCTCCTCCTTGGTTGTCTTTGCACAAACATCTTTCTCCAACTTAGTCTTTAAATTTTGTAGTTCCTCAAGTCTCGGTTCTGGTTTCTTTTATCTTCACACTCCATTCCCTCTAGGATACCTCATCTACTTGTGTGACTTCAGTGACCAGTTTGAGCTGATGGTCCCTAAATTAAAATTTCCTTTCCCGACGCTTTTTTGAGCTCAAGACCAAATACCCAACCGCTTTTTCTTCATCTCCGCATGGCTATCTTATAGACACCTCCAAATAAACCCATGAGTTCAAAACTAAGCTCATGCTCTATGTCCGTCCTTGCCCTCCTACTCTCAAACCTGGCCCCTTTCCCATGTTTGTGATGTGGAGTGGCACCATCAGATACCTTGAGGTCACCTGGACTGCTGCCTTCTGCCTCCTCCCCCTCATGGAAGATCAACTCCCAATTCCTGTTGGTTTACCTCGGAAATAACCTTGACCTCTCTGTACTCCTCTGGTTCTTTCCTACTCTTGCTTTTGTCCCCTATACCATCATTTTTTATCTCACTTCAGTAGAATATTTACTGGTCTTCTTGCTTCCAGCCTTTGACTTCTTCCAATCGACTCTACAGCCAGAATGATCTTTTCAAAATGTGAGCGTAGTCACAACACCTTCTGGCTTTGTCTGTCCGTGGGTTCTCATTGCTCTGAGGATAAAGATGAACCTCCTCGCTATGACCCAGGGGACCCTTCATGGTCACGGCCCCCATCACATATAGCAGTCTCCTCTGACCTCATTCTCCCACCCAGTCTCTGAACTTCATCCTCATCAGCCATTCTCCAGTTCCCCAAACCACACGCCCAGTCACAAAGTCTTCTCTGCACACGTTCACCCTCACCCTCTATGTGAGCCCCTCTGTGTATTTAATTCCTGCTCCTTGCTCAGAGCTCTCAGATGTTCTCGGGAAAGCCTCACCTGACCCCTGTTGTATGAATTCCTTGACCCCGGACTTCTCTGGCATTATCACAAAGGTAATTAAATAACTGGTTGTGCAATTCAACCTTTGATGTCTGCATTATGGCTGCTGTGTCAATTAAGGTAAGAACAATTGGAAGGCAGAATTGGAGGCAGTTTTATTGGCCACATGCCACACCTGAGACCATACCTGCCAGGTAACAGCTTAGTCCAACCACTGACAAGAGGGGGAGAGAGAGAGACAGACAGCAGACAGAGAGACTGACTTATGCATTCATTTATTTTTAAGCAGAATTTCTCCTCTCTCCTCTCATTGATTCTGACCCTGTTGGGGGGAATGTTATCAGGCATGGCAGGATAAATTACCCGTTATTGCTACCTTTGCCCTTTGTTCTGGAAGAACCCTTTCACCTTCTTGTGAACTTGTGGCTCTCTGTCTTCAGTATCTGCTGATAAATGCTGAAGAAGCTGGGTTTTAAACATCCTGGTGTTTGATCACCTCCCCATCCAATATTTCCTAAAGGTGAGCAGGAAACCACCTCCAGTGTACTATCAGCAAGGGAAAGGGGAAGAGTGAAAGGGTTGTCACCTGGTGGCTCTGTGTGCCAGATAAAAGCAATGCAAGGTGGAGAGCAAAACCCTACCTAATCCTGGAGGAGCTGTGATGGGACCCTTGATACTTAACTGTAGTTCTTTGGAACTCATCAGACCATCCTGTTAAGCCTCAGCTAAACTGCAACTCCAAGACTGTGGAATAAATGGGGGTTTTCTCCATGGTTATGTCCTCACTGCCCCACAGTGATCTTGCTTGTATTAATAATTTTGTACTTGGTAAATATATATAATAATTTTAATATAAATAGAATAATTTTGTACTTGGTACATATTTGTTAAATGTATGAAGAAATTAAACTCTTTTGCTTGAGACAACGTCTTGCTGTGTTGCCTAGTGTGGAGTGCAGTGGCGTGATCAAGGCTCACTGCAGCCTCCATCTCCTGGGCTCTGGTGATCCTCCTACCTTAGCCTCTCGAGTAGCTGGGGTTACAGGTGTGCAGCACCATGTCCAGCTAATTTTTGCATGTTTTGTAGAGATGGGGTTTCACCATGTTGCCCAGGCTGGGTCTCAAACTTCTGGGCTCAAGTGATCTGCCCACCTCCGCCTCCCAAAGTGCTGGGGTTACCAGCATGAGCTACCACGCCCAGCCAAATTAAACTCTTTAATCCATTTGGAATTCATTTTAGTGTGTGCTGTGATTTAGGGAATAGCTCTATTTTTCCCCACAAATGATTAGTTCCCTCAATGGCAAATGTTTAATAATTTATTCTTTTCCTAGTAACTTAAAACATTACAATTACTATATACTTCAGTCATGTATACACTAGGTGCTGTTTCTAAACTTTCTATTGTTTATTAATCTCTTGGTTTGTTACCATTACCATCACCCTTTAAAACATTTTTCTTGATTTATGTGTTCTTGTTTTTATGAAAACATTTGTTTTTTTTAACATACTTTTAATATATCTATTTTATTTTTAAAAATACATGACTATTGGAAGTGAAATGAAAAGCTGTGCTCTGTGAAGTGTAAAGTGTGTTAAGAGAACTTGATATTTTGATATTCTGTGATTTGGGTTCTGAGTTTTAAAGATAGTGATGTATCCTGGCACAATTTATGAAATTAAGATATTTCTGGCTGGAGCGGTGGCTCACACCTATAATTTCAGCATTTTGGGAGGCTGAGGTGGGTGGATCACCTGAGGTCAGGAGTTCCAGACCAGCCTGGCAAACATGGTGAAACCCCATCTCTACTAAAAATACAAAAATTAGCCGGCTATGGTGGCTCACACCTGTAGTCCCAGCTACTTATGAGGCTGAGGGAGGAGAATTGCTTGAACCCGGGAGACGGAGGTTGCAGTGAGCTGAGATCACGCCACTGTACTGCAGCCTGGGCAACAGAGCAAGACCCCATCTCAAAAAAAAAAGATATTTCTATAAAAAAGTAAATTTTTGATTGCCCATTGAAAAACATAAATGGTGGCAGCTTGCAGTAATGTTCTTTGTTTTCTATGAACAACCATGAGTACGCTGCAAGAATCCAAACTTCTAGTCTTCTGGGAGTCTTCTAGTCTTGTGAAATGCATCAATAGCCCTTGATGCATTTCTGATGTGGCTCCTCTTTCCTTGTTACTAATGTTCAAAATCTTCTTGGCTGTTCTCAGTCATTTATTATTCCAGATGAACCTTACAATTATTGTGTCAAATTCTGAAAGTGAAATCCTGCTGATATTTTGACTGGAATTGAATTATATTCACAGATTCATTTGGGGAAATTTTAGTTCTTTGCAGTATTGAATGTTTTCATCCAGGAAAATGACATGCCTTAAAAAAAAAAAACTCAAGTTGTTTTTGATGTCCCTTAATAAACATTTTTAGCTTCATGTGAGTCATGTCTCTCTCTCTCTCCCTCCCTTTCTCTCTCTCTCTCTTATCCTTGTCTTTCCTTCCCTCCCTTCCCTCCCTCCTCCCTTCCGTCGCCTGCCTGCCTGCCCGCCCTCCTTCCCTATTGTGAATGAGTATGTTTTCCCCATGAACTTTTCAGAACTAGTCATATATTTAACAAATAATCATTGAACGCTTGTATAGTTACAGCCTTATTCCAGGTAATCCAAGTTATTGATTTTCTTCTGTGGTAAAATACATTAAACATAAGAGTAACCACTTCAGCAATTTTTAAGTGTACAGTTTAGTGGAATTAGGTACAGTCACATCACCACTATCCATCTGGAAAATGTTTTCATAATCTCAAACTGTAACCAGCCATTGAATTTTGAGTAACCAGTATGATAAGACACTTTAGAAAACTCTCATTAGTTTCAGTTGTTGACAATTGTTTTGTTTCATAGATGTACACCTGTATTGTATGTGGTCTGTCTCCTTTCCAGTAGGTGCCTCACTTACTTTTCTTGCATTATTGCAAAGGTACATAGAACTGTCACCATAATCTGAAATAACATAAGTGATTATGGGCATCCTTGTCTTGTGTATTTTAATGAGAATGCCTTTAGTGGCTGGGAGTGGTGGCTCACATCCATACTACCAGCAGTTTGGGAGGATGAAGTAGGAAGATTGCTTAAGGCCAAAAGTTCGAGACCAGCATGGGCAACATAGTGAGCCCCCTCCCCCCAGCCCCCACCATCTCTACAATTTTTTTTTTTTTTAAATTAGCAGAGCATGGTGGTGTGCACTTGTAGTCCTAGCTACTTGGGAGGCAACACTTTAAAGCAAATTTAAATAAAATGAAGAGAATGGCTTTAGTATTTTTAAAAAGTGTACTATTACTTGCTGGCTTGCTGTTTAATATTGATATTTCTTAGAGAAGTATACTTATTTTATTGGGAGATTTTTAATAATCGAGAAGAATGCTGTATTTTATAAAATGCTTTTCTTTTTTAAATTTTACTTATTTATTTATTTTTGAGACAAGGTCTCATTCCGTCACCCAGGCTGGAGTGCAGGGGCATGATCACCGCTCACTGCAGCCGTGACCTCCCAGGGTCGGGTGATCCTCCCACCTCAGCCTCCTGCAACTACCTGGTAAAGGAATTATTTTTATTGTTTTTTTTTTTTTTGTTTAATAATGAAAGCATGGAAGCATGGATGAATACAGCTTTGACTACATGCTTTGAGAGGTACTATTTATTGTTTTACTAAGTGGTGGAGTGGTGAGATCACGTGGTCTGTACAAATTCTATTTTTGAAGACTAATAGATGATTGGTGTCTGTGTCTACCTACTTTATAAAATATGAAGTGTGTTACTGTAATTTTTGGTCAGTTTTTCCTTGAAATTTTTATAGTAATTGCTTTATACGTTTTGATGCTAGTACATAAAGGACTTGACTGTTGTTTGTTTATTGATCTGCCTTTACCAGGCAGTTGCATTTTATGTGAGGGAAGTACTTCTGAAGACTGCAAATCTAAGACTGATTTTCTTTTTTATAATTTTTTTATTTTTTATTTTTATTTTATTTTGTCGAGTTATTTTCTTATTGGGATAAATGTAGAATGTGTGTGAGAGTGTATTCTTGTGTGCATAAATCATTAACCTATAGTCTAATTTTGCTTTAATGATTCTATATTCTACAGCGTTATTCTGATACTTTTTTCAAAGGGCCTAATGTAGCATGATGGCTTTTGACCCTTCTTATATGACCCTTCTTATAATGTTGTGTAATATCTAACTTCTGCTTTAAAGGGAATGGTTTAGGGGTACCATTTCAGCAATAGCCATAGCATTATTATTTAATAAAAATTGTTATAATACACAAATTTTTATTTTATTTTTAGATGGAGTCTCACTCTGTCTCCCAGGCTGGAGTGCAGTGGCACCATCTCGTTTCACTGCAACCTCCATCTCCTGGGTTCAGGCAATTCTCCTGCCTCAGCCTCCCAAGTAGCTGGGATTACAGGCATGCACCACCATGCCTGGCTAATTTTTTTTTGCATTTTTAGTAGAGATGGGGTTTCACCATGTTGGTCAGGCTGGTCTCAAACTCCTCATCTCAAATGATCCACTCGTCTTGGCCTCCCAAATTGCTGAGATTATGGGTGTGAGCCACTGTGCCTGGCCAATACACAAACAATTTAAATTAAAAAAATACTTTTTACTATAATCTATTTTTACTCTATACTGTAGTAAAATAACAAATGCCCACCAAAATCATCTGCATAAGTTCTGACATTTAACAGCAACATGAGTCTTAGGATAATGACAAAGATTAGTGGGTTGTTTTCTGCTAACGTGTTGCCTTCATGTGGCAGCATCAGCCATCATCATCATCATCACCACGACCATCATCTTCATCCTCGCCATAACAAATACTGGGTAATATTTGCGTATGCTTGGCTGTGTTCTAAGTACTTAAATATATTAACTCTTTTAATACTTGTGACATCGTATGACATGGTTATTATTAGTCTCACTCACGTCATAGATGAAGAAACCAAGGCACAGGGAGAGAAAGCAATTTGTCCAAGGTCACACAGCTTATAAATGGCAGAACTGGAATTTGAACCCAGGCAGCTTAGCCCTGGAGTCCGAATCCCTAACTACCATGCCATGCTGCTTCTCCACAGTTTACAACTCACTTGGCTAGAAAGGTCTGTAAGTTTCCTATGTTTTTCAATTTTTTAAAATACTGAGCTTTGGCCGGGTGCAGTGGCTCACGCCTGTAATCCCAGCACTTTGGGAGGCCGAGGTGGGGGGATCACGAGGTCAGGAGATTGAGACCATCCTGGCTAACACAATGAAACCCCATCTCTACTGAAAATAGGAAAAAAATTAGCTGGGCGTGGTGGCGGGCGCCTGTAGTCTCAGCTACTCGGGAGGCTGAGGCAGGAGAATGGCGTGAACCCGGGAGGCAGAGCTTGCAGTGAACTGAGATCCTGCCACTGCACTCCAGCCTGGGTGACAAAGCGAGACTCTGTCTTAAAAAAAAAAAAAATACTGAGCTTTGCATTATTTCAAATTTTGCACATAAAGTAAAATTTTCTTAATATGTTTATCCCACTTTTAAATTCACTTAATTTAAAATCAGACAAAATGTAACTATACTGTTTTGCTAAATTGCATTACAGAGAGTTTGCATGAGTTTATATCACAACTACCATTATTTAAAAGAAATCTTTTTCAATAAGGGGATGTGTAAGGTGACCTATTATTTTAATTTGCATCTTTCATTAAATAAAAAATGAATTTATTAACCTTTAGTGTCTCTTCTGTAGGTTTTCTGCGTATGCCAATTTTTCTACTGGGTTTTAGTATTTTATTTTTTGATTTCTGAAAAAAATCCTTTTTATTTTATTTTTGTTATTTTTATTTTTATTTTTTGTGACAAGATCTAGCTCTGTCACCCAGGCTGGATGGAGTGCAGTAATATGATCTCAGCTCACTGCAACCTCTGCCTCCCAGGCTCACACAACCCACCCACCTCAGCCTCCCAAAGTGCTGGGATTACAGGTGTGCGCCACTGCACACAGCCCCCTTTCTGTTTTAAAGGTATCAACTACTCTTTCAAATGTAAAGAAACGTGGCAAAATAGGGCACTTGCATTTTATGTTACTTAAAAAGTTATATCTGTTATGATTTTTTTGTTCGCGTTTCTATTTGGTGAATGGAAGTTTTACATTTGTATGTTATCAAGTCAGTTGCTGTTTCCCTTTATAATTTATTACATAGTCTTTCCTTCTCCCTTAATAAGTTGATAAACATTTAATAATATTTATTCTATTTTTATGATATAATTTTATTTAATTGTTTAATCCAGCTGGGATTTCTGTTTGTGGATGGTGAAAAGAAAAATCCACAATTGAAAGTGAATCTTTACATTCCCCTTGCAGTTTTAGCATGTTGTGCTAACAAAATTTATTAAAATGTCTGTCTCTGATTTCAGAAACACCTTTAATTAAACTGATGTACACAATGGATTCTGTTTCTTAGTGATTGGTTTTGTTCCACCAACTGCCTTGATCTCTTCTCATATAGTAGCACGCTGTCTGTCCTATCTTGAGATAGTGGTTAGGGCTGGTTTGCTTCCATTAGTGTTATTCTTTGATAGTCGTATTTATTTTTCCAGTTTCATTTTAAAATACAAGTTGTAGAGGAGTTCAGATCATAGACTCTGGAGCCGGATTTACTGATTTTAAATCCTCAGTTGATGCCTTCCAGCCCTGAAACACCTGGGCAGATTGCTTGACCTTTGTATATGCCTCAGTGTCCTCATCTGTACAAAGAAAGTATCTTTAGGGGGTTGTAGTGAGAATCAATAGTTAAAATACGTACAGCTCATATATTAATAATTGGCACAGAGTAAGCTTTAAGCATGCTAGTTATTCTCACAATTTTGTGAAGTTCAAAACTCATCCTATTGGGATCTTGATTTCAATCACATTAAACCAAACCTATGGATTGATTGGGGAAGATTGATAACTCCCTCTTCAGGAGCATAGTTTGATTTATTCAACTTCTATCGCACATTTTCTCAATGAGCATTTGTAGTTTTACCCACATGAGGTTGCAGTCTTAATTAACTAGAGCAATTAAGACCTGAGTGGGGAGAAAGATTCTGATCACTCCAAATCCATCTGGATGCAACCGTTGAACTGGATGCTCCCACTCCTGTCTCAAACGGGATGAGACTCTTACTGGGGGCAGTGAATAAAGAAGATAGAGGCAGTATAAACCTTTCCTCTCTCTGGTGACCCTACAGCAAGACCCTCCCTGATTTGGATGTTCTCATTGGCACAAGATGCGGCCGGCAGCAGTGGTGATTTATACTAGGCTTGACCTCTGGGTACCACCACCAGGCTTGTTGCAGAGGAAGGCAAGGTTGAGCACTCCAGCCTTCCCTCCTAAATCAGGCTCCAGACCTTGTTTGAGCTGCATCCCTACTCCAGAAAGAAGTAGGAGCCCTCAACTCACCAGCCCTTGCCCAGCTCATTCCATCAGAAACAGGGATTAAATTGCACAGACTTTATTCCTGGCATGTGCATACGTGGAGCACTTATTGACTGATATCCTTTCTTTCACTCAGCTAGTCAACGTTTCCCATGTTAGGAGCTATAACATTCTTCCAGCTCCCACTTGCAGACCAGCACGACGTGGTTACTTTTGCTTTCTTATCAAGCACACGCTGTTCATGAATACATTTGGAACTTGTTATCCTTTCTTTATCTCTCAAGGCTAGATATCTGTAAACAGAACATGTTTAATAAATATTTGTAGTTTTTTTATATGTCACACATAGTTTTCATTTAGATATTTTATAGATACTGCAATTCCTTTGTTATATTTATGAATTGAATTACTTTTCTAAATGTAAAATTTGTTATACTAATATTAAAGGAATGTTACTGATTTTTTGAATGTGTATGTTTTAGCAAGCTTTTATTTTTCTTTCATAACTTCTATTCAATTAATAAAGTTTTCCTTATTATTTTCCTTCTCCCCCACTGATTTAGAAAGTATGTATTCTTTTTCTATTCTTTTAGTCTTCCTTAAATTTTTAATGCACATATTTGACTGAAGACTTCAAATTAATACCTTTATTCTCTTTCCAACTATATGATGTCCTTAAAATGGTTTAACTCTGGTCTCCCCAACATCGTGGATGTTTTTGTTATCTAGTGATTACATCTTGTTATTGTTTATTTTTTCATACCAGCAAATTCAGCTTTAATCTCTTTTTTTTCAGTCTTTTATTTTAAAATTGTAGACTCACAGGAAGTTGTAAAGATAGTACAGAGAGATTCCTGTACCCCCCACCCAGTTTCATCATCCATGACCCCTGGCAACTTATCTATTCTCCATTTCAATCACTGGGTCATTTCATGAATGTCACACAAATGGGATCATGCAGTATGTGGCCATCTGAGATTGACTCTCTTCCCACAGCATAATGCCCTTGACATCCATCCAAGTTGTTGAGTATATCAATAGTTTGTTCCTTTTTATTACTAACTAGTATACCACCATTTTGTATTTATTCCCTCAACAGCTGTTATTAACATTATCATTTTTATTGATATGTTTACCAGCTTGTCTACTTACTATTATTCCTTGTATGTGCTTCCTTCTGAATTTGATTTCCTAAAAGTACTGTAGCCTTCAGTAATTCTTTCCATGAGTATTTGCTCGTGCTATTTTTTTTTCAGTCTTTATTTTTCCCAAATTATCCTTCCCCTCTCTTAATTTGAATGAATAGAAGGTTCTAGATTTATGGGTTTTTTTTTTTTTAATCTTTTTCTTTTTTGAGACAGACTCTCACTCTCGGGCTGGAGTGCAGCGGCATGATCTCGGCTCACTGCAACCTCTGCCTCCCGGGTTCATGTAATTCTCATGCCTCAGCCTCCCAAGTAGCTGGGATTACAGGCACACGCCACCATGCCTGGCTGATTTAAGATTATTTTTTTCACAAAACTTTGAAGACATATCTTCTTATCTTCTGGCTTCTGTTGTTGTTCATTTACAGGTAATCTTGTTGGCCCTCGTCTTCTGTACCCTCTCTCTGCTGCTGCCATGACTTTGAAGATGATCTTGCTGCCTTTTGCCTTCTA
This sequence comes from Homo sapiens, assembly GCF_000001405.40. NCBI lineage: Eukaryota > Metazoa > Chordata > Mammalia > Primates > Hominidae > Homo > Homo sapiens. Next base: position 80,874,348 of record NC_000016.10, on the reverse strand, counting down.
TAGTTTCACCACAATGTATTTAATGTATATTTGTTTTTGTTTATTCTATTCTTGTCTCAGACCAAATATTCAAAATGAAGATTCATGACTTTCTTTAAAGCTTAGAAAATGTTTAGCCAACATGTCTTTAATATTTTCTTCTTCCCTTTATTATTTTTCTGAAGTAAGGATTATTGAAGGCCAGTTTACATGCAGTAAAATTCAGCTCATTTACACATATAGGTAAGTGATTTTTGACATTTATAGTATTGTAAACACCACTATAACCATAATACAGAATATTTTCATCACCCCAAAAAGTTCTGTCACCTCCTTTATAGTCAATTCCCTATCTCTGCCCCAACCCCTGACAACTTCATCTGGTTGATGACTCTATAGTTTTGCATTTTCTAGATAATCATGTAAATGGAATTGGAGTATGAAATGTTTGTGCGTGGCCTTTTTTTTTTCACTCAGCACAATACACTTGGTTTATTAATACTGTTGCGTGTACTTAGTAATTCCTTCCTTTTTATTTCCATGTAGTATTTCATTATAAGGCTATACCATAATTTGTGTTCACCAGTTGATTAGTATTTGGGCTTTTTCCTGGTTTGAGTGATTATGAATAGGCTGCTATAAATATTCATGTTCAGGTCTTTCAGCGGACATATGTTTTATTTCTTTTGAGTAAATATCTAAGATTGGGATTATTGGTTCGTATGGTAATTGCATGAGTAGCTTTAGAAGAAACTGTTTTCCAAAGTGGCTGTAGCACTTTGCATTTCCACGAGCTCTGCATAGAATTCCATTTGCTCCATGCCCTTACCATCACTTAGTATTGATAGATTTTTTTTTATTGTCATTCTGATAGGAGTGTAGTGGCATCTCATTGTGGCCTTAATTTCCCTAGTCACCAATTATGTTGAGCTTCTTTTTCATGTGCCTATTTTTCCATCTACAGATGTCCCCAATTTACAATTGTTTCACTACAATTTTTCAACTTGGTGCAAAAGTGATAGGAATTCAGTAGAAACTATACTTTGAGTACCCATATACCCATTCTATTTTTTATTTTCAACCATTTATTGGATTCTGGTAAGGTATTCAATAAATTACATGAGATAGTCAACACTTTATTATAAAATAGGCTTTGTGTTAGATTATTTTGCCAAGCTGTAGGCTAATGTAAGTTTTGTGAGCACATTTGAGGTAGGATAGACTAAGCTCTGATGTACCACAGGATAAGTGTATTAAACGTATTTTTGGCTTACAGTATTTTCAACTTAAGATGGGTTTATTGAGATGTGACCCCATCATAAGTTGAGCATATGTATATATCTTCTTTGGTGGAATGTTTGTTCAAATTTTTTGTTCAATTTTAAAATTAGTCTTTAAAAATATTGTATTTTGAGAATCCTTTAAATATTCTCAAGATATTTCCTTTATCAAATATGTTTTTAGCAAGTATTTTCTCCCTGTCTGTGACTTGTCTTTTGCTTTTAATTTCTATTCATTTTTCTGTAGAGATAGGGTCTCACTATCTTGCCCAGGCTGGTCTCAAACTTCTGGCCTTAAGCAGTCCTCCCACCTCCACCTTCCAGAGTGTTGGGATTACAGGCATGAGCCACTACACATGGCCCTTTTCCTTTTTAAAATACAGTCTTTCCGAAAAGCAGAATTTTTTTATTTGGATGAAATCTTTTTTTCTTTCATGATACATACTTTTTTGTGTCCTGTGTAAGAAATCCTACTGTATCCCAAGATCACAAAGATTTTCTTTTAAGATTTCTTCTACAAGTTTTGTAGTTTAGGTTTTAGATTTAGGTCTAGGACCTAATTTGTGTGTGTGTTGTGAGGTAAGAGCTGAAATTCCTCTCCCCAGTTCCCACAAAGTTTAATATGCTATGTTTTTATTTTTATTCAGTTCAATACACTTCCTAATTTCCCTGATTTCTTCTTTGAGCCATGGATTATATAAAAGTGTTTTATTTAGTTTTCACATATGTAGGGGATTTTCCAGAGTTCTTTGTGTTACTGATGTCTAATTCCTTTGTGGTCAGAGAACACATTTTGTATGACTTGAATATTTTAAATTTATTGAACCATATTTCATGGCTCAGAATATGATGTGTTTTGGTAAATGTCGTAAGTGTTCCATGTGCAGTTGAAAAGAAGGTGTGAGATCTTTCTTTTGTTGGCAGAGTGCTCTATAAATGTCAATTAGATCAAATTGGTTCGTATTGTTTCTCAAACCTTCTGTGCATTTACTGATTTTCTCTTTCTTCTATAGATAATTGAAATGGACTTTGAAATAAACTCTGATTTTGGATTTGTCTATTTCTCTTTATGGTTCAACCAGTTGCTGCCTCATGAATTTGAAGATCAGTTACTAGGTTATAAATGTTTAGGAATTGTCTTGTCCTTTTGATTAATTGACCCCCTTGTTTTGCTTTTTTTTTTGAGACGGAGTTTTGCTCTTGTCGCCCAAGGCACGATCTTGGCTCACGACAACCTCCGCCTCCTGGGTTCAAGCGATTCTCCTGCCTTAGCCTCCTGAGTAGCTGGGATTACAGGTGTGCGCCACCATGCCCAGCTAATTTTTGTATTTTAATAGAGATGGCATTTCACCATGTTAGCCAGGCTGGTCTTGAACTTCTGACCTCAGGTGATGCACCAACCTCAGCCTTCCAAAGTGCTGAGATTACAGGCGTGAGGCACTGTGTCCGGCCTGTTGGAAAGCTTTTAATGACTGATTTTATCTCTTTACTTGCTATAGGTCTGTTCGGGGTTTTATTTCTTCTTGGGTCAATTTTGGTAGTTTTGTGTTTCTAAAAATTTTTCCATCTCTTCTAGGTTATCTAACTTGTTGGTGTACAATTGTTCATAGTATTGTCTTGTAATTCTTTTAGTTTTTTAAGGTTGGTAGTAAAGTCCCAATTTTTATTGTGATTTTTAGATATTTGTATCTTCTTTCTTTTTTGTGTAGTCAGCCTAAAGTTTTGTAAATTGTGCTAGCCTTTTCGAAGGACTAACTTTGGTGATTTTCTCTATTATCTTTCTATTCTTGGCTTCATTCATCTCTGCTCCAATCTTCCTACTGCTAGCTTTATGTTTAGTTTGCACTTCTTTTTCTAGTTTCTTAAGATGTAGTTAGGTTATACTTTATTTCTTCTTCTTATTTCTTATACTTAATTATTGCATGTACAACTTTTTCAGAGTGTCTATTCAGATGTTCTCCCCATTTCAAAAATTGGGTTGCTGTGTTCTTTCTATTAACTTGTAATTGTTCCTTTTATATTTTGGATGCAAATATTTGTTCGGATGAGAACACATGGACACAGGGAGGGGAACAATACACATTGGGGCCTGTCAGGGGGTTGGGGGAGGGAAAGCATCAGGATGAGTAGTTAATGCATGTGGGGCTTAGATGGGTTGATAGGTGCAGCAGACCACCATGGCACAAGTTTACCTATGTTAACAAACCTGCATGTTCTGCGCTTGTATCCAAGAACTTAAAACCAAAAAACAAATATTTGTTTAGATATAGGCATTGCACATATTTTATTCGAGTCTGTGTCTTGTGATTTCAAGTGTTTTTCAAAGAGTAAAAGTTTAAAATTTTGTTGAAGCCCAATTTATTAACTGTTTTAAATGTTTAGCGTCTTCTATATTCTAAGTAACCATTGTCTGCTCCACAGTTTGCAAAGACTTCTCCTGTCTTCCAGAAATTTTAATCTTTTAGATACAGGTCTAAGATCCATCTTGAGTTAATAAAATTGTTTGATGTGAGATAAGGGTTAAGGTTAATTTCCAATAGACCTCTAGTTCTTTCAGAACCTTTTGTTCAAAAGACTATCTCTTCCCATTGAATTAAATTGGAACTTTGGAATCTTAATAGAAAACCAACTGACTTGGCTTGGTAATAACTTGATACGTGTTAATCTTTTCCTAGAATCTCTATTCTGTTCCATTTGCTTCTATTCTATTCTTATTACAAAGTTGTTTTTATTAGTGAAGCTGCATAGTACGTCTTAAAGGTAGTATAAATTTTCCAGCTTTGTTCTTTTTTCAAAATAATTTTGACTATTCTAAGTTGTTGGCATTGCTATCTACCTTTCAGAATCACCTTGTTAATTTCTTCAAATAATCCTAATGAGATTTTGATGATGATTGCCTTAAATCTATAGATCAATTTTATGAGATCTGACATTATTACAACATTTAATCTTTTAATACACGAACGTGGTGTATATCTCAAACTATTCTTTACATTTTCTCAGCAGTTTTTCGTGTAGCAGTCTTGTGAATATTTTGTTAAATCTGTAAGTATTTCATGGTTTTTGACACTTACATCTTTATAAAATTTCAATTCAGATTGATAGTAGATTGAAATATAACTGACTTTGTATCCTCTGACATTGATACATTTACTTAATAATTATGTTAATTAAATTAATAAGTTTAAAAATATATTCCTTATGACAGTCTATGAATATGATCATATCACCTGTGGATAAATACAGTTTTACTTTATTGCTAAGATTTATGACCTTTATTTCTTTTTCTTTCCTTAATATACTGGCTAGGACCACCATTAAAATGTTGACTGGGAGTTGTAAAGTAGACATTCTTGCTCATTTCCTGATCATAGGGGGAAATTTTATGGCCTTTTGCTGTAAAGTATAAGGGTAGGTAGTGATTTTTATTTATTTATTTATTATTTATTTATTTTTTTTGAGATGGAGTCTCACTCTGTCGCCTAGGGTGGAGTGCAGTGGCATGATCTCGGCTCACTGCAAGCTCTGCCTCTCAGGTTTATGCCATTCTCCTGCCTCAGCCTCCTGAGTAGCTGGAACTACAGGTGCCCGCCACCACGCCTGGCTAATTTTTTATATTTTTTAGTAGAGACAGTGTTTCACCGTGTTAGTCAGGATGGTCTCGATCTTCTGACATCGTGATCCACCCGCCTCGGCCTCCCAAAGTGCTAGGATTACAGGCGTGAGTCACTGCACTCAGCCAGGTAGTGATTTTTAAATGCTTGTTATCATTATCTCTTTGAGAAAATGCTCTTCTATTCCTAGACTTATCACAGGTTTTTTCATGCATGGGTGTTAAGTTTTGTCAAATGCTTTTTCTGCACCTATTGAGACGATCATGTGGTTTATTTTTTCATGTGTAAAAATGGCTAATTCTATTTCTTGATTTTTGAATGATAAGACAACATTGTATTTCTGGGATAGCACACACACAGCCATAATGTATTACCCTATTTAAATATTGTCGGACTTGATTTGCTAATATTTGTTGAGGAGTTATTTTTTATGTTCGTGAGGAATATTGGTTTGTACTTTTTTTTTTTGTAATGTCTTTTTGGCTGTCAGAGTAATATCATAGTAATGCTGGCCTCAAAATGTTGTGGGAAGTATTCCCTTGTTCATTATTTTTCTGAGACAGTTTTGCCTGGTTGGTTTTTTTTTATTTTATTTTTTTTACCTAAATATTTGCAAAAATTCATCAGTGAAACTATCTAGACTTGGTATTTCCTTTGTGGAACTATTTTAAATTGTGAGTTTAATTTCTTTCATATAAAGGGGTTTTCAGATTTTATATTTCTTCTTGCATGAGTTTTGGTAATTTGTGTCCTTCAGGGAATTTGTCTATTTTATCTAAGTCACCACATATTGGTATAAGCTGTTAATATAGTCTCTTACTATCTTTTAATGCCTGTAAGATCTATAGTGATACCTCATTTTTTTTTAACAAAAATTTCAACTGTTGTTATAGCTTTAAAGGGCACACATGCAGGTTTGTTACATGTGTAAATTGTGTGATGCTGAGGCTTGGAGTCCCAGTGATCTCGTCACCTAGGTAGTAAGCATAGTACCCAACAGGTGGTTCTTCAGCTTACGCCCCACTCCCTTCTTCCCTCTCACATCTAGTGATCCCAAGCGTCTGTTGTTCCCATCTTTATGTTCATGTGTATTCAATGTCTATCTCCCACTTATAAGTGAGAATATGTGCTATTTGGTTTTCTGTTCTTGTGGTAGGTCACTTAGGATAATGGTTTCCAGCTCTATCCATGTTGCTGCAAAGGACATGATTTCATTCTCTTTTATGGTTGTGTGTATTCTATGTTGTGTATATACCACACTTCCTTTATCCAATCCAGTGTGATGGGCACTTAGGTTGATTATATGAGTTTACTATTGTAAATAGCACTGCAGTGAACATAAAGATGGATGTGTCTTTTTGATACGATGAGTTATTTTCCTTTGGGTATGTACCCAGTAGTGGGATTGCTGGGTCAAATGGTAGTTATATCTTAAGTTCTTTGGGTATCTCCAAACTGCTTTCCACAGTGGTCGAACTAATTTACATTTCTACCAACAGTGTCTGAGCATTTCCTTTTTTTTCCGTAACCTCGCCAATGTCTGTTGTTTTTTTGACTTTTCAATAATCACCATTTTGACTGGTGTGAGATGATATCTCACTATGGTTTTCATTTACATTTCTCTGATGATTAGTGATGTTGAACATTTTTTCATGTTTATTGGCTGTTTGTATGTCTTCTTTTGAGAAGTGTCTGTTCGTGTCCTTAGTCCATTTACTTTAATTGGATTTTTTGTTTGTTGCTTGTTCATTTGTTTAAGTTCCTTGTAGATTCTGGATATTAGTCCTTTGTCAGATACATAGTTTGTAAATATTTTCTTCCATTCTGTAGGTTGTCTGTTTACTCTGTTGGTAATTTCTTTTGCTGTGCAGAAGTGGTTAAGTTTAACTAGGTTCCGCTTGTCAAAATTTTTTTTTTTTTTTTTGTCATTGCTTTTGGGGACTTGGCTAAGTTAAATTCTTTGTCAAAGCCTATGTTGAGAAGGGTATTTCCTAGGTTTTCTTCTAGGATTTTTATAGTTTGAGGTCTTACATTTAAATATTTAATCAATCTTCAGTTAATTTTTATATATGGTGAGAGGCAGAGGCCCAGTTTCTTTCTTCTACATATGGCTAGCCAGTTATCCCTGCACCGTTCAATAAATATGGAGTTCTTTCCCCATTACTTATTTTTGTTGATTTTGTTAAAGAGCAAATGGTTGTGAGTGTGCAGGTTTATTTCTGGGTTGTCTATTCTGTTCCACTGGTCTATGTGCCTGTTTTTATACCAGTGCTATGGCATATAGTTTGAAGTCGGGCAATGTGATTCCTCTGGCCTTGTTCTTTTTGCTTAGGATTACTTTGGCTATTAGGGCTCTTTTTTGGTTCCAAATGAATTTTGGAATAGATTTTTCTAGTTCTGTGAAAACTGACATTGGAATTTTGATAGGGATAACATTGCACAGTATGACCATTTTAACTGTATTGACTCTTCCAGTTCCAGAGCATGGAATATATTTCTATTTATTTTTGTTATCTCTGATTTCTTTCAGCAGTGTTTTGCAGTTGCCATTGTAGAGATCTTTCACCTCCTTTGTTAGATAAATTCCTAGGTATTTCATTTTCTTTGTGGCTAATGTAAATCATATTGTGTTCTTGATTTGGTTCTCAGCTAGAGTGTTATTGGTCTATACATATGCTACTGACTTTTGTACATTGATTTTCTATCCCAAGACTTTACCAAATTTCTTTATCAGTTCCAGGAGCTTTTTGGCGGAGTCTTGAGGGTTTTCTATGTATAGAATCATATTTTTGGCAAAGAGAGATAGTTTGACTTCCTTCTTTTACTATTGGGATGCCTTTTACTTCTTTCTTTTACCTGATATGCCCTGGCTAGAACTTCCAGTACTATGGTGAATAGAAGCAGTGACAGTGGGCATCCTTGTCTTGTTCTAGTACACAAGAGGAATGGTTCCAGCTTTTGCCCATTCAGTGTGATGTTGGCTGTGGGTTTGTCAGAAATGGTTGTCATTATTTTGAGGTATGGTCCTTCAATGCCTAATCTGTTGAGGATTTTTATGAAGGAATATTATTGAAGGCTTTTTCTGCATCTTTTGAGATGATCATATGATTTTTGTTTTTGATCCTGTTTATGTGCTGAATTATATATATTGATTTGTGTGTGTTGAACCAATCTTGCATCTCAGAAATGAAGCCTACTTGATCATGGTCATTTAACAGTTTTGTTTGTTTGTTTGTTTGTTTTTTGAGATGTAATCTTACTCTGTCACCCAAGCTGGAGTGCAATGGTATGATCTCGTTTCGCTGCAACCTCTGCCTCCTAGGTTTAAGTGATTCTCCTGCCTCAGCCTCCCATGTAGCTGGATTACAGGTGGACACCACCACACCCAGCTAATTTTTATATTTTTAGCAGAGACAGGGTTTCACGATGTTGGCCAGGCTGGTCTCGAACTCCTGACCTCGAGTGATCCACATGCCTTGGCCTCCCAAAGTGCTGGGATTACAGGCACGAGCCACCGTGCCCAGCCTCATTTAAGATTTTAATATGCTGCTGGATTCAGTGTGCTAGTATTTTGTTGAGGATTTTTATATCTATATTTATGAGGGATATTGGCCTGAAGTTTTCTTTTTTTGTTATATTTCTGCCAGATTTTGGTATCAGGATGATGTTGGCTTTGTAGAATGAGTTAGGGAGGAGCCACACCTCCTTGATTTTTTGGAAAAGTTTTAGTGGGATTGGTATCAGTTCTTTTTTGTACATCTGGTAGAATTTGGCTGTAAATCCATTTGGTCCAGGGCTTTTTGTGTTTGGTAGGTTTTTGATTACTGATTCAATTCCTGAACTTGCTATTGTTCTGTTCAGGTTTTCACTTTCTTCCTGATTAAATCTTTGGAGGTTGTGTATTTCCAGGAATTTATCCGTTTCCTCTAGATTTTCTAATTTCCATGCATAGAGGTGTTCATAATAGTCTCTGAGGATCTTTTGTATTTCTGTGGGATTGGTTGTAAAGCCATCTTTGTCATTTCTGATTGCACTTATTTGAATATTCTTTTTCTTTGTTAATCTAGCTAAGGGTATATCAATCTTATTCTTTCAAATAACCAACTCTTGGTTTCATTGGTCTTTTGTATGGACTTTTGGGTCTCAATTTCATTCAGTTCTTCTCTGATTTTAGTAATTTTCTTCCAGTAGTTTTAGAGTTAGATTGTTATTTTTTTGTAGGACCTCTAACTGCAATGTTAGATTGTTAGTTTGAGATCTTTCTTACCTCTTGATGAAGATGTTTAGTGCTATAAATTTTCCTCTTAACACTGCTTTAGCTGCATCATAAAGGTTTTGATAAGTTGTGTCTCTATTTTCATTAATTTCAAAGAATTTTTTTTATTTCTGCCTTAATTTCATTTTTTCCCAAGAGTTATTCAGAAGAAAGTTGTTAATTTCCAGGTTTTTGTGTAATTTTGAGAGCTCTTCTTGGTATTTATTTCTATTTTTATTGCACTGTCGTCCTGATATCTCAGTTTTATTACTGATATTAGAATTTGCTTCTTCTCTTTTTTCTTCATCAGTTAATCTGGAATTTATTATTTCAATTCACCTCTTGAAATAGCTAGATTTTAGTTTTATTGATTTCAAGTGTTTGTCCATAATCTATTTTATTTGTTTCTTCTATTATCTTTATTATTTGCATTCTCCTACCTACAATGAGTTTCATTTTCTCTTCTTTTCTAACTTTTTAAGGTTAGATAATTAATATTAGATCTTTTAACAAATTTTCTAATATAAGCATTTAAAGCCATAAAATTTCCTCTAAGTATTATTTTATTTGCATTCCACAATTTTTATATATTTTTGTTTTCATTGCTGCTCGGTTCAAAGTGTTGTCTAATTTCCTAGGTGATTTATTCTTAGGTTTTCTTTTTTTTAAGCATGCTGTTTAATTTCCAAATATTTGGAGATTTTCCAGATACTTTTTTTCTGTTGAGTTCTATTTTAATTCCCCTGTGATCAGATCAGAAATGTACTCTAATGCTTTCATTTCTTCTAAATTTATTGAGTTCTTTTACATGGCCCACCATATGGTCTTTACTGGGCTATGTTCCATGTGCACTTGCAGAAAATGTATATTTGACTATAGTTGAGTGTAGTTTTGTGTAAATGTCAATCAGGTCAGGTTGGTTGATAGTGTTTTTCTAGTCATTTACTTCTTTGATGATATTCTTTTTGCTCTATCAAGCACTGAGAGAGGAATACTACAGTTTTTAACTATCATTATGTACATATTCGTTTCTTTTTTCAGTCCTGCCGGTTTTTTTTCTTCATGTATTTTGAAGCTCTGTAATTTTGCACATTTAAAAAATGGTTATATCTTCCTTGCGAATTGAGCTTTTTGCCATTATGAAATGTCCCTTTTTATCTCTAGCGAAATACCTTTTGCTAAAGTCTACTTTGTCTATTATTGATGTAGTTACTCCAGCATTCTAATAATTAATGTTTGCCTGGTAGGTCTTTTACTTTTGATCTGTGTCTTTATGTTTAAAATTCATTTACTATAGGCATATAGTTTCTTGTAGCATATAGTTGAAGTTTCTTTTTTATTCTTCTGATACATGTTTTAATTGGAATACTTAGAACATTTACATTTAATGTAACTACTGATATAGTTTTCTTTCAGCTTTCACTTTAGTACTTGCTTTCTAATTCTGTTTTTGGTTTATTTCTAACCTTTCTTTCCTAATTTAGATTAATTGGGTTTTATTTATTTAGTATTCTATTTTATCTTTGCTATTAGCTTATATGTTATGTCTCCTTATTCTTTGTTTAATGCGATTGTTCTCTGAGTTACTATATATGTATTTGAAACTTATCTCAGTCTATTTTAAATTAATGTACTACTTTACATATCATGTAAGAACCATACAACAGAATATTTTTATTTCCCCCTTTTGCTTTGTGCTTCTGATGTCATACATTAATCCCAAAATATATTTCTATTATTTTTGTGTTAAGTGATTGTGTGTTTTTTTTTTTTTTTTTTGGAGACGGAGTCTTGCTCTGTTGCCCAGGCTGGAGTGCAGTGGTGCGAACTTGGCTCACTGCAAGCTCTGCCTCCCAGGTTCATGCCATTCTCCTACCTCAGTCTCCCCGGTAGCTGAGACTATAGGCGCCCACCACCACGCCCAGCTAATTTTTTTTTGTATTTTTTTAGTAGAGATGGGGTTTCACCATGCTTGCTAGGATGGTCTCGATCTCCTGACCTCATGATCCGCCCACCTCGGCCTCCCAAAGTGCTGGGATTACAGGCGTGAGCCACCGCACCCGGCCCGATTAATTGTGTTTTTAAAGAAATTTAAAAATAAGAAATACAAATCTTATATTTATCTGCATATTTGCCATTTCTGGTTCTCTTCATTTCTTTTTGTAGATCTGGCTTTCCATCTGGTATCATTTTTCTTCAACTTAAATGACATTTTTACACCTTTTTTGCAGTACAGGTTTCTTACAGAAGAATTCTCTCACATTTTGTATGTCTGAAAAAGTATTTATTTTATCTTTATCTTAATGTGTGTGTGTGTGTGTGTGTGTGTGTGTGTAAAAGATATATATATCTATCCTTTATAGATGTTCTGCAAAGATACAGAAGTTCTACAAAGTCTGTCATTCTGGTGATTGGAACTTGAAAGTCTTCCAGTTTGAGGAATATGTGAACTTAGAGTTTCCTAGTTTCACCCTACACATGCACAGCTTAATACTCATCAGTGTACACAATGAGACTCTTATGAAGGTTTTTTTTGTGTGTGTGTGTGCTTTACTAAAAGAGATGGTGTCTCACTATGTTGCCCAGGCTGGATTTGCGTAGCTGGGCTCAAGTGATTCTCTTGTTTCAGCCTCCAAAGGAGCTGGCATTCTTACGAAGATTTGTTTAGCTCTTTCTCTGTGTAACTTCCTCTTTTCTGATATAGTCTTTCAAGTTACAGCTGCCTTAGCCTCCCCCAAATCTCACCTCTCTCTCCTCAGCTCAGCAGGACCACCTTGCTCTCACTCTCTCTGTGCTGGAGTCTAGAATTGCCTTCAGACAGAAAGCCAGGTGATTGTAGGGGAGTCATGTGTTTTCCTTCCCACAGAAATCACAGCCTCACAGTGCCTGTAGTCTAATGTCTGTATCCAGCTGTTCAATTTTCTTTTCCAGTTTCCTATTTATTACGGGAGGGCAAGTCTGCTACCAATTACTTCAACAAGGCTTAAAGTGAAACTGGGTAATACTGTTTAATCTTTCATTACAAGAGAGTGTAAAAACACTAACTTTGAATTTAAAACAAACAAAGCAAAATCCTTCCTTTATTCCCGGATTTTTAGGAGCTTTCATTATTTTTTTAGGTGTTGATTATTTAAATACATAAAATAGACAATAAATATAACACTTTTCCCATTAGTGGTTAACCCCTTTGTATATCTTTAGCGGAAGTTACAGCTAAACAATATAGTCATAGTCAATATCAGTCTTTTTTTGTTATTTATTCTTTTAGTGTATACATATATAATACTATAAAAGTATACATATATGTATGTATAGAATTTTCAGGAGAAGTTTTTTTTGAGACAGGGTCTGGCTCCATCGCCCAGGCTGGAGTGCAGTGGAGCGATCACAGCTCACTGTGCAACCTCTGACCTCCTGGGCTCAAGGGATCCTCCCACCTCAGCCTCCAGAGTAGCTGGGATTACAGGCATGTGCCACCATGCCTGGCTAATTTTTTTTTTTTTTTTTTGAGACGGAGTCTGGCTCTGTCGCCCAGGCTGGAGTGCAGTGGCGCAATCTCGGCTCACTGTAAGCTCCGCCTCCCAGGTTCACGCCATTCTCCTGCCTCAGCCGCCCGAGTAGCTGGGACTACAGGCGCCCGCCACTACACCCGGCTAATTTTTTTGTATTTTTAGTAGAGACGGGTTTCACCGTGTTAGCCAGGATGGTCTCGATCTCCTGAGCTCGTGATCCGCCCGCCTCGGCCTCCCAAAGTGCTGGGATTACAGGCGTGAGCCGCCACGCCTGGCCAATTTTTGTGTTTTTTTTGTAGAGATGGAGTTTCGCCATGTTGCCCAGGCTGGTCTCAAACTCTTGGACTCAAGCAATCCTCTCACCTTGACCTTCCAAAGTGCTGGGATCATAGGCATGAACCATCATACCCAACCAGGAGGGTCTTTTTTAAAGCACTGTTCTTAAAATAGTATAATTAGATTGAAATTTTTCTCAGATCTTTGAAAATGAGAATATATTTCTGTTGCTTTTAAACATAAGTAAGTTTGGTATGGTATAGTATTCCCATTTTGTACATTTAAAAAAATTTCTCTACCGACTTTTAGAATTTATTATTGAACATGAGACAAACATGATTTTAATTGCTTTGAAGGTAATACTTTTGTTCTGCTAGTATTCTTGTAGAATTTCCCCCCATTCTTCAATTGAATGTCCTGATGTGTTCTACTCAATAAATTGTCTAATGATATGGTCAACGCTTCCAATCTAAAAATTTATTTTATCTTACTTAATTTTTAGGGACAGGGTCTTCCTCCGTTGCCCAGGCTGGAGTGCAGTGGCACAAGCCATACCTCATTGCAACCTTGAACTCCCCGACTCAAGTGATCCTCCCACCTCAGCGTCCTGAGTAGCTACAACTACAGGCATGTGCCACTATCTCTGGCTAATTAAATTTTTTTTTCTTTTTTTTTGTGAAGACAGAGTCTCACTATGTTGCCCAGGCTGGTCTTGAACTCCTGGCCCCAAGCAGTCTTCCTGCCTTCACCTCCCAATGCACTGGGATTTCAGGTGGGAGCCACTATGCCTGGCCAACCTACAATATTAAATGGTTTATTAAGTCTATAAAATTTTCTTTTGTAATATCTATTATTATTGCTTTTAGTACAATCATTCTTTTTTTTTTTTTTTTTTTTTTTTTTGAGACAGCGTCTCACTGTGTTGCCCAGGCTGGAGTGCAGTGGTGTGATCTTGGTTCATTGCAACCTCTGTCTCCCGGGTTCTAGCAATTCTCCTGCCTCAGCTACCCGAGTAGCTGGGATTACAGGCACATGCCACCACAACTGGCTAAGTTTTGTATGTTTAGTAGAGACAGGGTTTTGCCATGTTGGTCAGGCTGGTCTTGAACCCTGACCTAAGGTGATTTGCCCACCTGGGCCTCCCAAAGTGATGGGATTACAGGCGTGAGCCACACTGCACCCAGCCATTCTCTTATCTTTGTTCTCTACTCTACTCATTTCATTCTCTGCTGCATCATAAGCACTTTTTAACTTTGCTTTTACTATGATTTTAATTTTTGGTACTGTATTCTTAGCCATTAAAACATTAGTTATCTTCTTTAGTTCTCTAGTTTGCCCAATTTTTGACAATTTAGTAGACTAACACATCCCTACATGAGGTATATTCCTCAAAATTTCCTCATATTTTAATGGAATAAGCCTGTATTATGGAAAAGATTACATTGTTTTCCCATAAGAATACTCAAGGCCAGAATTTTCTTGGCCACAACTTTTTTCGCGTAAGTCTCCCTTTCTTTCATGTCCTTATCTTGAGTGATTGAGTAATTGTACTGAAGGGGTAATTTTTGAGAACTGCCCTTAGCCTCCTGTGTCTGCTCACCTGAGTATTCACAGATGAGACATATCACTTCTGAAGCTGGGGGGCACCTTGGGATTTGAGTCCCAAAACGGTCCCTAGTACAACTCGGCTTCTAAGTGTATAGTCCCATCCACAGTCTCCAGGCAGTGCAAAATGATCTTTAAAATATAGATGAGGCCAAGGTGGGTGGATCACCTGAGGTCAGGAGTTCAAGACCAGCCTAACCAACATGGTGAAACCCTGTCTCTACTAAAAATATACAAAATTAACTCAGCATGGTGGTACACACCTGTAATCCCAGCTACTTGGGAAGCTGAGGCAGGAGAATCACTTGAACTGGGGAGGTGGAGGTTGCATTGGGCTGAGATGGCGCCATTGCACTCCAGCCTCGGCAACAAGAGCAAAACTCAGTCTCAAAAAAATAAAATAAAATAAAATAAAAATGGTAATAGTTTAAGCCTTTCTAATGCTCTGAGTCAGTGACTTTAGTGAGTGGATGACTGATTAATGAAATATTAATTAAGAGTATGGGCTAGGTGCAGTGGCTCTCACCTCTAATCCCAGTGCTTTGCGAGGCTGAGGCAGTAGGATTGCTTGAGGCTAGGAGTTCAAGAACAGCCTGAGCAACATAGTGACACCCTATCTCTAAAAACATTAATTTGCTGGGTGCAGCGTGTGTGCCTGTGGTCCCAGCTATTCGGGAGACTGGGATGGGAGGATCGCTTGAGCCCAGCAGTTGGCAGTTACGGGGAGCTATGATTGCACCACTGGACTCTGGCCTAGGTGACAGAGTGAGACCCTATCTCTTAAAAAAAAAAAAAAAAGAGTATGATGAATGTTAACGAGGTTAAGAGGGCTATGGTGGATATACTGTTAGAATAATTTTATCTGCCTAAGAAGGAAAGAGAAGCCTTCCTGAGAAAGTGATAAAACAAAAGAGGAAATTTTAATGATAAATCAACGTTGGCTAGATTGAGAGATGGAAAGTGGGAGAGAAAGAAAAACACATAGACAAAGCGAAAATTACATGTCAATGCAATGATTGAGAAGCAGGTGCTACATCAAGAAATACTGGAGGACATCAAGCAAACAGGAGAGTGATACTTAGAGTATGCAGAAAGGAGGGTTCTATAAGATCATGTGAGTTTTAAGATCTTCTACAAAAGAAAAGCCAAAATGAAAGGTTTTAAATAGCTATGGGAAGTGGGCATGGCTAAGTACATGACCAGCTTTCTATTTTAGAAAGATCTTTCTGGTTGTAGAGTAAGTGGATTTAGGGGTGAGACACAAGATTCGTGTCTAGGAGGCCACATTGGAGGCTACTACAGGAGCCCAGTTGAAAGACAGTTGTGGGCCGGGCACGGTGGCTCATGCCTGTAATCTCAGCACTTTGAGAGGCAGAGACGGGTGGACCACTTGAGTTCAGGAGCTCAAGACCAGCTTGACCAACATGGCGAAACCCCGTCTCTACTAAAAATACAAAAATTAGCCAGGTGTGGTGGCGTGTGCCTGTAGTCCCAGCTACTTGGGAGGCTGAGGCAGGAGAATCGCTTGGACCCGGGAGGGAGAGGTCGCAGTGAGCCGAGATGGTGCCACTGCACTCCAGCCTGGGTGATAGAGTGAGACTCCGTCTCAAAAAAAAAAAAAAAAAAAAAAGACAACAGTGGCTTGAAAGACAAAGGTGACAGTGTGACAGTAGTGGGGATGCAGAGAAATACACAGATGTGAAAAATCCTTAACATGTTGAATCAAGAGGACTAGATTTTTGAGTGTTGGCAAGAGAAAGTGAGAAGAATGAAAAATAACTGAGATTTTTTAGCTTGAGCAACTAAATAAATAATGGTGCCATTTATTGAAATAGGGGATAATGGCACAGGGACAAGTATGGGAGAAGAAGGGGGAGAAGTTTGGAGGTGAGGTCTAGTCATATCAGGAAATACAACATATGGATTTGGAGTTTGTGGGACAGGACTGAGCTGGGAGATGGGAGTTGGAAGTCGTTGGCATACCAAGGGCCGTGGAAGCTGAGGAAGATGGAGTTGCACACAGAAAGTGTGTAGATGGAGTCAGGAACAAGGACAGAACCTGCAAGATTGTCTAATGTTAAGGATGGAGCAAAGGAGGATCCAAGAAAGGAGAATAAGTAAAAATACTTAGAAAAGGTGGGAAGGAAACCAGGAAAGTATGGCTGCTCTCACCCCAGGGAAAAGTGTATTTTTCAAAAAGAGTAGTCAGTGGTATCACATGTTGCAGATAAATAAGACAAGCAAGATCAAACAAGACAAGGGTTCAAAAGTGTTCTTTAGATTTAGTTGCAAGAAGGCTCTGATTTTTCTTGGTGAGAACAGTTTCAGTGGAAAAAGTGGAAGTCACAATGAGGTAGTTGAAGACTAAGGTGGAGAAAATAAATAAAAGCCATCAGAGTGGACAGCAATTTGAAGAAGTTCAACTTTTCCCCTGACTTCTGGGTTGTCTACTCTAAAGGATACTTTTACATTCTTTATTTTTCTTAGAAAAATTGAGCATTATACACTTTGGCATGGATGTCCACTTGTCAATTTTGTCTGAAATATGGTTGGTTATCTCATAATTATAAAAATTAAAAATACTTAATTTGTATGTTTTCCCTTATTACACTTTTAATTACTGGTTTGAGCTATTTGCTCTTTTTTTCTGCAGAAACATTCATTTGTTGAATGTTTATGATCTATCCAATTTATCTGCCAACTTCTGTAATATATTTCTGTTTTACTTTTATTCAATATTGTTTTAAAATTGATTTGTAAGAATTCTGTTACTATTTCTTAAATTAATTCTCTGCATCATTTTATCAGGTTTTGGCAACTTGAAGTCTTTCTTTTACCTTTTCCTATATGACCTTTTTTAAATTTTAGTTTTTTAATGGCTTGACAGTTTGTCAGATTGTTCTTATTTCATAAAAATTGTATCTCTCATATCCTGCTGAACATAAGAGGTAGATCTTTTCTGAACTCCTATTTCATGAAGTTTAGTAGAAGATCATTTATCTGGGAGTCTAAATATAAAAGTATATGATGGAATTGTTATATACATATTATGTCCTTTTTAAAAACCATTGTTTAGATTTAAAAATCATTTATTATAATAATTGAAGAATAATTTCCTGAAATGAATGGTCCATGGTGATGGTGAGCTCCACTGGGCCATATCAGTGATGGTGAGAGTTGTAATAGATGGATGAAGGATGCCTTTACCTGATGCTATTTTATACCGTGGAAAGCTCATACGTTTTATGGAACAAATGTCATTTGTTACTGATTACTGAACAGGAGATGGCTCAGATGTAGAAGCTGGAAAAGAAACCTGAAAAAAGCAGACCAAAAAACAAAAAAAATTTCATCAACGCTGTGGCACCATTTCATTCTTCAGTTTCTGTGCTGCCTTTACATCAAATCCTGTCTCTTTAGATCAACAAAGATTTCCTGGAAAATAAAAACTTCATTTAAAAAAGTAATTTATCATTTTTATGTGTGTATTATCTTTAAAGGAAACAAGTGCAAGCAAATTCTCTTTGTGTTTATGAGACTTGATAAGTAAAATATATTTGCTGTGTTTCTGTTGCTAAATATTTAGATATATTTTTCCCATTTTTAAGTTAGTCCAGATTTTTTATGGGTGCAATTGATGACTTATATTTGATACATTCTTCAGTTAGTTTGCATGATACATTTATGTTAGATAAAACTCTTGTAGGATATGTATGCCTTTACTAATATAATTTTGGCCAGGTGCGGTGACTCACGCCTGTAATCCCAGCTCTTTGGGAGGTGGATGGTTCACTTGAGGTCAGGAGTTCGAGACCAGCCTGGCCAACATGGAGAAACCCTGTCTCTACTAAAAATACAAAAATTAGCCAGGTGTGGTGGTGCATGCCTGTAGTCCCAGCTACTCG
Organism: Homo sapiens; assembly: GCF_000001405.40. NCBI lineage: Eukaryota > Metazoa > Chordata > Mammalia > Primates > Hominidae > Homo > Homo sapiens. Next base: position 80,855,922 of record NC_000016.10, on the reverse strand, counting down.
GGAGGCTGAGGCAGGAAAATTGCTTGAACCCAGGAGGCAGAGGTTGCAGTGAGCCGAGATTGCACCACTGCACTCCAGCCTGGGCAACAGAGTGAGACCGTCTCAAGAAAAATCAAAACAAAACGCTAATTTTTTTTTTGTATTTTGTAGGTCCCCCATAATGTTCTATGATGCTTTTTTTTTTTTTAACCATTCTGCTTGTTTGAGGTTAACGTGTATAAAACTGGAAATATATTATTCTGAAAGAGATCAGATCATAGACATTCTGGCTAAGTGATCCTTTATTGTAAAATTATTTTACAAGAAAATCTTCTAAGATTCTAAGCAAGAGAGGCGAGTCAACATGGATGGTTCATACTTGCAGATTCATAAGCATAAAGACAGAAAAAGATGGCAGGATGATAGCACATTGAGGTGCTCTCAAGTGTACAGATTCAATATATCTTCCTTATCCTTCCAAAAATGAGTTTATTATTTGCCAGCTGCGACAACTCTTCCCAAATGCCACCCCAGTTTCTATCCATCTCTCTTTTTCATTTACAATTACATTCTTTATCTGATCCACAGGCTTAAATCTTTTTCCGAGACATCTTTTTTTTTTTTTTTTTTTTTTTTAACTGACATTTGTCTAATTTGGATTCAGGAATTCTGTTTCAATCACAGCAATTTTACATTCTAAATAATCCCATATGTGCATCATCATATACAGAACCTCATACAAAGTCCATTTTCCATATGTAATATTTAATCAGACACAATATCTTCCCATCTTAGGAGGATATACTTTTTGGTCTTTTTGTACTTTTTTTTGGTCTTGATCCATGTGGCCCATTAGACTCTACATTAATTTTTATTTTCCACTTCTTGAATATACAATGATATATCAAGATCGAGTGTTGGAGAGTAATTAGTATTGTTTCTAATTCTAAGGGATACAGAGGCTGACAGATACCCCCTTCTATATCTGAAGTTCATAGTGGCTTTGTCTATAGTGTCTTGCTGCTAATGTTGCATAGCAAATGTTTAACAAAATATCCCAAACTTCCAAACACACTAGGAAAGATTAAAGGCCTTTGTAAGTAGAGTTGCATTTTGGGTAATGAGAAACTGTGAGGCCAATGGCTTTTAAAATATGATTGTGAGATTACTGAGGTTGTGACTTATAGACGGCTGAAGGAAATGTCAAGCTAGAGAATTTTTTCCCATTGCCTCTTCAAATGTCAAATACAGATATGGCCATGGATTTTAATTTATTTCATTTTTTTCAGACAAGATTTCACTCTGTCACCCAGGCTGGAGTGTAGTGGCGTGATCTTGGCACACTGCACCTTCCACCTCTTGGGTTCAAGTGATTCTCCTGCCTCAGCCTCCCAAGTAGCTGGGATTATAGGTGTGCACCACCACACCTGGCTAATTGGTGTGTTTTTAGTAAAGATGCCATTTCACCATGTTGGACAGGCTGGTCTAGAACTCCTGGCCTCAAGTAATCCACCCGTCTTGGTCTCCTAAAGTGCTGGATTATAGGCGTGAGCCACCACACTTGGCCTGGCCATGGATATTTTTGATGCTGTCAAAGATGGTGGAATGACTGGATTCACTATTTCATAGACAATATGGAATGTCTGTTATGTGGCAGGCACTGTACTAGGTCTTGTGCATACCAGAAGGGGTCCCTGCATGCACACTGCCCAAAGCAACCTTACTGTCTGTTGAGTGAGTGGGGAACAGGACAAAGAGCGGACATGTCAGCAAGTGATATAACACAGTGTAGGAGGAGCTCTCCTTTAGGTCTCTACAAAGTGCTGTGGGATACACGAATGTTCAGAGCAGCAATTTCATGATAGCCAAAAAGTTGAAACAACCCAATTGTCCATCAGCTGATGAGTAGAACAAAATGTGGTATATCCATGCAATGGAAGATACTTGGCAATAAAGAGGAGCAAAGTACTAATACATGGTATGACATGAATGAACCTTGAACACATGGTTAAGTGAAAGAAGCCAGTTTCAAAGATTATATGCTGCATGATTCCATTTATATGAGATGTCCGTAATAGATAAATCTATAGAAACAAAAAGTAGATTGGTGGCTGCTTAGGGCTGACAGTAAAGTGAGGGAGAAAGAATGGGAGGGTGACAGCTAAGGGAAGTAGGATTTCTTTTTGGAGTAATGAAATGTTCTTAAATTGATTGTGGTGATAGATGCTCAACTCTGAATATTCTAAAAGCCATTAAGTTATGCACTTTAAATGAGTGAACTGCATGGTATATGAATGACACCTCAATTAAGCTGTTAAAAATGCTGTGGGAGCAAAGAAATGCGTGATCGTTGCCAATGTCATGGGGATGGGAACAATATTTACAGAACGCATGTTCCTCTAGACAGCCTGCCGGTGAGTGCCCTTACCCCCATTTTCAGAGAATAGAACTTGTCCCTGGTCTCAGGGCAGAGACTGGGCATAGTCCCCCATCTGTAGGAAGCAGTAAACACTCTTCCTTACCATACTTGCATACAGAGGAGGTAATATTTATGCTCCTCCTTTAAGTATCAGAGTTAATGAGGGACGGGTGACCAGAGAGGGACATTCCGGCAGAGAGGCATATGGTCAGGGTCCTGGTGGGAAAGAGATGGCACATGTGATCTGGATAATTTGAGGAGAGATCAATAAAGTGACTACCTATAGAGGTATGGGAAGAGTTTAAGGGAACCAAAGTGGGGATGGTGGCAACGTGGAGCATTACCATCCCAGGCCTGAATGGGTGAGGTGAGGAAGCCATTGTAGGAACACAGAGAGGGTGGCTGTATATACAGGGCTGCCTTCCACAGGGGGACAGCCCAAATGACAACTGCCCGGATTCATTCTCCTCCTACCCTCTGATTTCTGCTGGTCACTTTCATTGGCTGTACCCAACAAGAAGCAAGAGGGCAAGAGAGCCCACTGATGTAATCCATACTGGTCAGCCTCATGGGACAGGGAAAGGCACAGAAGCTGGACCCACAGGGATGAATGGGAGGTAATCAGCACAGATAAGGAAGTATAAAGATAACGCATATTGTAGGACTGGTAAAGGTCCCATTGAGTCATTACACCATTGTAACGCGGTCTATGCTGATTATCATTCTTCTCCAAATTCTTGCCCTGAGACCATGTTTTTTTTTCTGGTAAATTTGAGAAGTGTCTTCCAGAAGCTTTTCTCAGTGGACTCCAAATCCTTTCATTCTTTTCGCAAGGCATTCCAGCCTCTCACTTTCCTGGTTCTTCGTAAGGCCCATGGTTGCTCTCAGTGCAGATCTCAGATAAGCCAGGCCCTCTAAGTCAGGTCAGGAAGCCCAAGGCCATCTTTGGGGGAACCAGTGCTCATCTTATTCAAGTAAATGAGCCCCCCAGTGCTGAGGAGGGTAGAAAACAATTCCCCTGGCAGGGAAAGTTCAGGAAGGAGGGTTTGTAAGTCTATGGGGATCCATTTATGTCTGCCACCAGGGGGCAGGTGGACCCATTTTTAGGACTACTCTAGAAAAGTGTTTTGCTAGAGTCTTCCAAGAACAGAGGCAGAGAAAAATGGGGACTTGGAAAAGAAACAGGGTTTTTGTTTTGTTTTTCTCTTGCTTCTAAAGTTGTTCTCGGATCAAGGAAAGTGTACAGAAACCAAAAAACTCTCCTGCTAGAAATAAACAGCTAGGCCACTGAAGTGTTCTTCATTGACGTTGGTAAATTTCTTCAAGTCCCCATTGGATCTCTCCTTCATCTTTGCAGACTAAGAAGTGAGAGTTTGTACCGGAGATAGCTTGACCTAGGATCACAGGCCATATGAACAAGGCTGTCGGAGACCAAAGCGTCGAACAGATACTCGTTTATTGGTTTATAATAAGAAACATGTTGGGGAGATAAGGCAGCTGCCAAGGCTTGATTAGGACATTCTTTTGTTCAAAAAAACTTCATGGGAAACCAAAGCATAATCAGAAGATGACTGGGAATGAGAATAAAGTGAAGCTGGTTGTATGACTGGAAGTTTACTGCTTAGGTCTGCTGTGTCTAGCCTCAAAGCAGAGATTTTTGTGATAGTTGAAAGGGCAGCCTGCTCCTTAGATGACACTGAGATGGAAAGCTCCAATACTGCCCCGTGACTCTCTTCTCTCTGTTGCTGAGCACTCGTGTTTAGTGTTAAGTATTCTCTCTCTTTCATCTATCTAATCTAATCTAATCTTTGTGTCTATCATCTATGCACTATCTACCAACGATATATCTATCATCAATTGATCTATCATCTATTGATTATCAATCATCTATCAACCATCTATCTACCAACAATCTGTCATAATTGATTTATCATCTTTCAATCATCCATCCATCCTGCCAACAAGTCGGGCATATTTTAATGTTAGGGCCTGTGAGTCATTTTGGGTCTTTAAGATGAATTCATAGATCGTTGCTCCAGTTCCTGTATCTTGATTTACAGTTTGACTCTCAGAGGAGGACCTTCACTTCTTCTGGGTAGTTGTACCTTTGGATAACTGAGAGGCCAGAACACTCAGATTGAGGATGCGCTGAACATGTATGATAGAATAGGTACAAACTGAACACTCAGTTTAGACCACAGGGTGAAGGTATGAGAATCTAACACCTGCTGGTGAGGTCTGAGGATAGGAAGACACCACATCCCTCAAGGATTAGGTAAGATACTATTTAAAAGAATGGACTTCAGTGAGTTTTTTTATTTATCTGAGCTGTCTCAAAATTTAAGCCTTTGTCATCTCATTCTGAGATTTATGCATACAATGATGACTGTTGGGTTGTCCAGAATAATCACTTTCAAAGTGTCTTGAGAAATGCTAGAGTTAAATAAAGATATGCTGTAGATCAGGGTTGACAAACAATAGCCCAAGGCCTGAATCCAGCCTGCTGCCAGCTTTTGTAGATAAAGTTTTATTGGAACACAACTACACCCATCTATTCACATATTGCCTATGGCTGCTTTCTCACCACAACAGCAGAGTTGAGAGGTTGTCACAATGAATGAGTGGCCCATAAAGGCTAGACTAGGGGCTAGCTGGCCCTTTACAGAAAACAATTGCTGAACCCTGCTGTGGAGGAAAGAATACAAGCTTTTAAGCTAGATATTTTCTAGCTGCCTGACATGAGGCAAGTTTTTGCCTCTGTATGTCTCCATTTTACCATCTGTAAATGAGAATAATTATATCTACTTTTAAGTTAGGTTTAGATGAAATAACTTATTTAAAACATCTACCATATAAGGCTCTCAGGAAATTATTATTAATAAATGGGAAAACTTTACCCAAACCTCTGTGGCAGAGTTAACATGAAGACACGTACATTTGAAACAATAACCATGGCAGTAAGTTTGACTGGGAGCAACTGTTCAACACAACTCTGTAGGAATACACCGATTTTTTATAACTGTGCTGCCTAATATGGTAGCCACATGTGGTTTCTGAGCACTTGAAATGTAGGTAGTCCAAATTGAGATATGCTAGAAACATAAAATACACATCAGACTTCAAAGGCTTAGTATGAAAAAAATGTATATGAAAAAATTTCATATCGATGATCTTGAATATAGAGGCTGGAAAAAATTATTTCATATTGATTATATACTAAAAGATAACATTTCAGATACACTGGGTTGAGTAAACTATATTATTAAGTTTAATTTCTCCTGTTTCTTTTTACTTCTTTTTTTATCTTGGCTACTGAAATTTAAAAATCACATTTGTGGTATGTATTATATTTCTATTAGGACTGTTTTAGAAGAAAGGAATGTTAGTTACACAACCACTAAGAAGTTAGTTTTGGGAAATCTTTGCCGCCTAATAAACAAGTATAGCTGGAAAATCACGGTTGCAAATGTAAACGGAGACATTTTATTTAGAAGTTGAAGGAATGATTTCTCATAAAAGGATGTAACTTCTTTGGAAACAGATGTTGGTTGTGCCATCTTCATGTTTCCCAGGGAAGAGTCAGGCATGTATTAGGTGCTCAGTGACTGTTGAATTGAATTGACAGAGATAAGGGAAAGGCAGATTCATCAGAAGAGGAAATGAGGCCAGAAGAAAAGTCAGTGAGCCTCACTCTGTCTTGCTAAAAGAAAGAACGGGTCTGGGGCTTTAACAGATTTAAGTCTAAGAGGAGATGTCTTAAGAGTCAGGATTTAAGGCCCTGGAGAGAGAGCCATTCTGTATAGAACTGGAAACTCCCAATAACTCAAATCTGGATTGGGGAGGCAGTTTCCAAACGCAGGGCCATCCAAGTGGAGTCAGGAGCCTTAATGCCAATCACAGCCCTGGGATAGGCCGAGGAGGCTCATTGTTCACTCACTCAAGAACTGATGAAGTGCCTGTTATGTACCAGGCACAATGCTAGGTGCTGAGGACATAGAGTTGAAAGGATATGGTCTCTATCTTCAAGGAGCTTACAGTTTAAAGGGAGGCAGACGTGGTCATTTACAGTATGAAGTGGCCATTGCTTACACAATTATACTTAATGAATACCCATATTCCATTTTAAGATATAAGAATCTATAACCATTTTGAAAATTAGTGATATATGAGGAAGAAACACTCCAACCCAATATGCAGTGTTTCAGCAGCCCTTATAGCGCCATTCACTTAAGCAATTCACAGTCTTCACAATCTTTGTTCATTCTGTGTGTCCTCAGCATGATAAACATTTGGGGCTAATAAGCTAGTTTTTTTTTTTTCTTTAACTTACATACTAGGGCTTTCAACAGTAGAGTTTGATGTTTACAGCTTTGATTAGTTGAATTGTAGACTTATTGTGGTGGTTGGGACCATCATTCAATATACTTGCTCCCCCTGTGGTTGGAATACACCTTCCTGCATCATTGAGTTTGGCTTGGCCATGTGACTTGCTTTGGCCAAAGGAAGGCTAGCAGACTTGAGGTGAAGAGAGGCCTTAAATCTGCTTGTGTGACTTAGCTTGGCTTTTGCACTTTGTTACTCCCGTGGAAAGAAAAAGCCCTAAGAAGCCACTGGTCCAAGAAGAAGACAAGTAGTAAAGATATGAATGAAACTCACAGCAGGAAATCCAGCCCAGCTGACCTACAGCTTAAAGCAAAGCCACTCTCTGGGCCCAGCCTAGACAAGCCAAACTGCAGTGGACCTGCAGACCCAAGAACATGAGAATAAATGTTTGTGGTTGTAGAAACTTTGAGTTTTGGGGTGATTTGTTGTGCAGTGCTATTTTGGCAATAATTGTGTAATACACTCATCAGGAGTCAGTTATGTTTGTTCCTAATCCTTTTTAGACTGATTGAATGTTTATTATATTCATATAATTTAATGAAACATTACACACACTAATGGAATATGAGTGCAAAAACAAAGAGGTTTGTTTTTCTAGATAAATCTTGTTCTATGTTTAATTTTTAAAATCTTTGTTGGGTTTTGGTGTTAAATGTGACGTTGGACTCCTAAAATGAATCAAAGAGTTTTCTATCTTTTTCTACTGGCTGAAATAGTTAAAATTATATTGGTTTTATATATTTTGAAAACATGAACCTATGTTGTCCTAAAGCCTTGTACAAGAGTAGACATTTAATCATCTTATTTTTCCATCATAATGGTTTATTCAAGTTTTCCATTTTGGGGGGTGGTTTTGGTAATAAACACATTTCTAGAAAATCATTCATTTACTAAAAGTTTAAAAAATATTTATGGTAGTATTTTCTTATAATATTTTTAAGCATTCTGAATCTTGCATATATAATTTCCCTGTTCTTTTTTTGTTTAATCAAACTTGTAAAAGGTTTTCCAGTTTTTGGAATTTTTACTTATCCTACTTTTGGTTATTTATATATTTTCTATAATTTTTTGTTATTTCATTAATCAGAGCATGTAATTTTTAAACTTTAAGTTCCAGAGTACATATGCAGGATGTGCAGGTTTGTTACATAGGTAAATGTGTGCCATGGTGGTTTGCTGTACCTGTCAACCCATCACCAAGGTATTAAGCCCAGCACGCATTAGCTATTTTTCCTAATGTTCTCCCTCCCCTGACCTTACCTCTTGACAAGCCTCAGGGTGTGTTTTTCCCCTCCCTGTGTCCATGTGTTCTCACTGTTCAGCTCCCAGTTATCCATGAGAACAGGGCATGTAATTTTAATTGCTCTTTTCTAAATTCTATTTCAGTCTTAATAGGTTGTATGTTTCTAGGAATTTATTCATTTCTTCTAGGTTATATGATGTGTTGGTGTATAAATGCTTATAGTAGCCTATTATGATCCTTTGAATTTCTGTGTTATTGGTTATAATATTTCCTCTTTCAGTTTTGATTTTGACTCTTCTTTTAGTCTAGATAAAGCTTTGTCAATTTTGTTTATCTTTTCAAAAAAGAAACTTAGTTTTCTTGATCTCTTGTTTTTCTACTCTATCTGATTATTTTTGCTCTGATCTTTATTATTTCCTTCTTTTTAATAACTATGGGCTTAGTTTGTTCTTTGTTTACCTTGAGGTGTAAAGTTAGGTGAATTATTTAAGATCTTATTTTTCCCCCCATGTGGGCATTTATTGCTATAAGCTTCCCTCCTAGAACGCTTTTGCTGCGTCTCATAAAGTTTGCTATATTGTATTTCCATTTTTGTTTGTCTCAAGATATTTTTAAATTTCTCTTTTGATTTCTTCTTTGACTCATTGGTTGTTAAGGAGCATGTTGTTTATTCTTTATCAACTTGAGGAAGTTGCTCTCTATTCCTAGTTTATTGAGAGTTTTTATCACAAATTGGTGTTGGATTTTGTCAAATGCTTTTTCTGCATCTATTGATATCATCATGTGAGGAGTAGGTTGTTTAATTTCTACCTATTTGTGAATATCACAGTTTTCCTCCTGTTATTGATTTCTAGTTTTGTACTATTGTGGTTGGAAAAGATGTATGATAGAGGTCAATCTTAAATTTGTTGAGGCTTGCTTTGTGGCTGCTATCGTCAAAATTCATATGTTGAAACTTAATCCCCAATATGATAGTATCAGGAGGCAAGGCCTTTATGAGGTGATCAAGTCATGAGGGCTTTGCCCTCACGAATGGGGTTAAGTGCCATTACAAAAAAAAAAAAAAGTTGAGGAGCTGCCTTCTCCTGCCATGTGAGGGTGTGGCAAGAGGAGCCGTCTGTGAAGCAAAGTGCAAGATTTCATCAGACACTGAATCTGCTGGGGACTTAATCTTGGAGTTTCCAGTCTCCAGAATTATAAGAAATAAATTTCTATTATTTATAAATTAACCAATCTAAGGTATTCTGTTTAGCAGCCCGAATAATGGACTAAGACAGACGCCTAACATATGATCTATCCTAGATAATGCTCTCTTCGCATTCAGGAAGAATGTATATTCTGCTTCTGAATGGAAAAAAACAAAATCAGGATCAGGCACGGTGGCGCATAAGGCCAGGAGTTTGAGACGTCTAGGCAACACAGCAAGATCCATTTGGTCCAAAGTATAGTTCAAGTCTAATGTTCGCTTATTGATTTTCTGTCTTGATGATCTACTGTTTGTTCTAAGTGGGGTGCTGAAGCCCCGTGCTATTATTGTATTGCTGCCTATTTCTCTCTTTGTGTCTGTTAATATTTGCCTTACATATTTTGGTTCTCTGGTGTTGGGCACATATATATTTACAATTGTTAGTCCTCTTGATGAATTAACTCCTTTATCATTATATAATGATCTACTTTGTCTGTTTGTCAATTTTTGACTTAGTCTATTTTGTGTGATATAAATATGGCTACCTTGCTCTCTTTTGTTTTCTTTTTGCATGGAATATCTTTTTCACTTTCAGTTTACATGTGTCCTTAAAGCTGAAGTGAGTCTCTTGTAGGTAGCATATAGTTGAGGGGAGGGGGGTCTTCTTTTTTTTGTTGTTGCTGTTTGTTTGATAGGGTCTTAATCTGTCACCCAGGTTGGAGTGCAGTGGTATGATCACAGCTTACTGTAACCTTGAACTCCTGGACTCAAGCAATTCTCTTGCCTCAGCCTCCCGGGTAGCTAGAGGTACAGGCATACACCACCGTACTGAGCTAATTATTTTATTATTATTATTATTATTATTTTTTTTTTTAGAGAAAGGGTCTCATTGTGTTGCCTAGACTGGTCTCAAACTCCTGGCTTCAAGCCATCCTCCTGCCTTGGCCTCCCAAAGTGCTAAGATTACAGACATGAGCCACCTGGCTCTGTTTTTTTTTTTTTTTTTTTTTTTTTTAGTCCATTCAGCCACTGTATGTCTTTTGATTGGAGCATTTAATTCATTTACACTCAATTAATGATAGGTAAGGACTTACTGTTCTCATTTTGTTAATTGCTTTCTGGCTCTTTTTTTTTTTAAAAAAAGATGTTTTGTTCCTTTCTCCTTCTCTTGCTGTCTTCCTTTGTGATTTGATCATTTTCTATAGCGGTGTGATTTCATTCTTTTCTCTTCATCTGCTGTGTATCTATTCTAGGTTTTTGCTTTGTGGTTATCAGGAAGCCTATATAAAACATATCATAGTTATAACAGTTAATTTTAAGCTGATGTCATCTTAACTTTGATTGCATATAAAAACTTAGCACTTTTACTCCCTTTCCCTCACATTTTATGTTTTTGTTGTCACAATTTACATCTTTTAATATTTTGTATGTATTAGCACATTATTGAAGCTATTATTATTATTAATTTTTGTTTCTTTGAGACGGAGTCTCTCTCTGTCGCCCAGGTTGGAGTGCAGTGGTGCGATCTCGGCTCACTGCAAGCTCCGCCTCCCGGGTTCCCGCCATTCTCCTGCCTCAGCCTCTGGAGTAGCTGGGACTACAGGTGTCCGCCACCACGCCTGGCTAATTTTTTGTATTTTTAGTAAAGACGGGGTTTCACTGTGTTAGCCAGGATGATCTCGATCTCCTGACCTCGTGATCTGCCCACCTCCGCCTCCCAAAGTGCTGGGATTACAGGCGTGAGCCACCGTGCCCAGCCGCTATTATTATTTTAATAGTTCTGTCTTTTAACCTTTGTACTAGGGTTATAAGTGATTTACACACCACCATTACAGTATTAGAGTATTCTGAATTTGACTATATACTCACTTTTACCAGTGAGTTTTATATTTTCCTATGTTTTCATCTTACTAATTAGTGTTCTTTTGTCTCAGTTTGAAGAACTGCATTTAGCATTTTTTGTAAGGCAAGTCTAGCAGTGATGTACTTCCTGAGCTTCGTTTATCTTGGAAAGTCTTTATCTCTTCTTCATTTCTGAAGGACAGCTTTGCCAGATATAATATTCTTGATTGACAGTTATTTTCCTTTAAGCACTGTGACTATGTCATCCCACTGTCTCCTGACCTGCAAAGTTTCTGCTGAGAAATTTGCTGATATCCTTATGAGAGTTCCCTTGTATGTGAGGAATCTCTTTCCACTTCCTGCTTTCAAAATCTTTTTTTTTTTTCCTTTAATTTTTGGCAGTTTGATTATAATATGATTTGGTAAAGAATTATTTGGATTGACCCTGATTGGAGACTTTTGAGCTTCATATATCTGGATGTCCATATGTCTCACCAGATATAGGAAGGTTTCAGCCATTATTTTTTTCAATAAACACTCTGCCCATTTCTTTATTCCTTCTTCTGAGACTTCTATAATGTGAATGGTAGCTCTTATGATGGTGTCATATAAATCTTATAGGCTCTCTTCATTCCTTTTCATTCTTTTTTCTTTTTCCTTCTTTGTCTGAATATTTTTTAGAGACCGGTCTTTGAGTTTACAGATTACTTGCCTAATCATATCTGCCATTGTCCCCTTCTATTGCAGTTTTTTCATTTTATTCATTGTTTTCTTCAATTCCAGAATTTTTGTTTTTTTAAAATGATTTCTATTTCTTTATTGAACTTGTTGTTTCATTTATTTATTGTTTTGTTGCTGTTTTTTTTTTTTTTTTTTTTTACAGCTCTTTGAGTTTTCTTAAGAAATTATTTTGAAATCTTTTCAGGCAATTACAGATCTCCTTATCTTTGGAGTTGGTTATTCTGTTCTTTTGGTGGTGTCATGTTTTCTTGATTTCTTTTTTTCCCTACCCTGTCCTCCTTTTCCTTGATTTTTCATGCTTCTCTACATTTTGTGTTGCTATCTTCACATTTGAAGGAGTAGTCACCTCTTCCAGTCTTTACTGACTGTCCTTGGGAGAGAAATGCCTCCACCAAACAGCCCAGCTGGGAATTTCAAGGCTCTCTTGGATGCTTTCTATGGATACATCCACTGTACACCTCTTGTTCCCTCTAAGGGGATTTCTCTTCTCCTTCTCCTCCTTCTCCTTCTTCTTTGCCCAGGCTGGAGTGCAGTTGCACGAACTTGGGTCACTGCAACCTCTTCCTCCTGGGTTCAAGCAGTTCTTCTACCTCAGCCTCCCAAATAGCTGGGACTACAGGCATGTGCCACCACAGCCAGTTAACTTTTGTATTTTTAGTAGAGATGGGGTTTCACCATTTTGGCCAAGCTGGTCTTGAACTCCTAACCTCAAGTGATCCATATGCTATGGCCTCCCAAAGTGCTGGGATTACAGGTGTGAGCCACTGCACCCAGCCCCTCTAAGGGGATTTCTTAAGGTTGTATACCTGCTCTTGACTCTGCAAAGCCAGGCCAGGTGCTCAGAGTCTCCTGTTTGTTTTTCCTAGAATGGTGTCTTGAAACCCTCAAATTGTGTGCATTCCTCCAATCCCACAAAATTGAACTGGCTCTTTTTGTAAGATGCTTGCAGTGCTGTCCACAGGGGCATGCTTGGGAGACTGGTCTGGGGAAGATGGGGTTGAGGGTAAGCAGTGTTTGGGGTGCCTGTGGGTCATTTGGGAGGGGTCCACGAGCAAGGCATCCCAAGTGGCTCGTGGAGGGGTTTCCTGATGGAGTCTGTGGATCTGCATCCTCTCTTCATAGGAACATGCTCTCCCAACCACTGAGCTCTACAGTTCACTTCAGTATTCTTGCCGAGATGAGAAAGAAGTGGTCTTCATGAACTGTGTCCTGCATGGCTGGGGAAGCTGGACATTCACCACTATGCTCTCGCTTTCTCCCGTGGGAGAAACTGTGATCAAAGTGGACAACTCCTTTTTGTCACTGGGCTGTGCCGTCTTGGAGGGCAGATGACATGGATAGTGTTAACTGTTCTTGTTACCCTCTTCAGTGCACCTAGCCTCAGAGTTGTTGTGCCAATAGTGTGCTGAAACTTTTCCACTGGACTCTTCCCAAAGATACTCCTATCTGTTGGTAATTATTAAAGTTAATGCTTCTGTGGAGTGAGGCGTGATGATGGTAGAAAGCTCTGATTCCACCATTTTGCTGATGTCAGTTTTAATTTCTAACTGTTCACCTTCGTTCTGACATTTTGTCCCTGGGCTCTGCTTGTCATTCTCATTCCCTGAGCTCTCATATGTACCAAGAACATGTCTCTTTCCTTCACTTCTGTAGCTAGCGTCACAAAAACAAGAATCTATATGGATCATTGTGTTCGTGATAGAGTCCCTGTTTTAGTGCTTAGTGCTTTTAGCCTTAAATTCCATCTTTTCTGGTAATATTGCTTCCTTTCCTCCTTTGTTTTTCACTGTGTTTTCCTGGTGTCTGCTTGTCCATCCCTTTATTTTTAACTTTTCTTTAGCATAAAGACTGATATGCTCAATCTTACATTTTACATTACTTTAAAATTTACATTCATAATTATTTTAATTATCAATTTCTATTTGTTTTTTCCTCATTTTTTTCTGATTTCATTGGATTACTATTCATTCTATTTTCCTTCTGTTTTCTCCTTGTTAATTTAGATGTTTTATTGAAATTTTTGTTCCATTCTCTTTTCTTATGCTCATTAGACATCTATGTACTATTTTTTTTTTTTTTTTTTGCAGGTGAGATTCCAGTGTTTCCTCCAGAAAGGCACATTATTCCTCCACCATGGTCTTCTTTTTCCTGTGTACCTTGACCCTGTAGGAGATGAGACTTCTAAAGTGATTCCTTTCCCTCTTTTCTCCTCATCACCCCTTCCCACTCTCTAAGGTGAGATCCTTGGAACATTTTTACGTCTCTTCTCCCTCTCCACCTATAACTCCTAGGTTTTCCTGGAATTCTCTAGGATTTTAGTCCCAGATGATTACTGGAATTTTCCTTGCTGTATGTCCCTCCTGTTTCCAAAGGACTTATGTAGCATTTACACTACATAACCCCCAGTAGCCATGAATATCCACTTAACCTGTCTATACTGGGTTCGTTTTTCATCAGTATTGTGTTTCCTCTCATCTCCCTATATCTTGAAGTCTCAATCTAACTCTCACTTTTGAAGATCTTTGCTTGATTATTTTCTTCAGATGGGAATTGCTGGTGGTATACTCTTCACATTCTTTTGTGTTAACAGTTTCCTTCTTTTGCCCTGGTGGGTGAATACCATCTTGAATAAGTAGAGGATCATAAGTTGTTTTCAGCTTAGCTATTGGCAAATGTCATTTCCATTGTCTACTGGCTTCCAATGTTGACAGTAAGAAGTCAGATGCCAATTTTCCCCTTTGCAGATAATGTGTACTTTCTGTTGATTAGCTTGTCAGCATTTTGTTCTGTTTTTGTTTTAAACTTTCAGGAATCTTACCAGGACATGCCCAAGTGAGTGTTTTCCTTTATCAATCAAGTCTAGAACTCTGGGAGTCATTTCAATCTCTAGACTCCAGGGTCTCTTCAGTTTAGGAATAATTTTTTGTATTACACACTTTATAATTATTCCCTCTCCTTTGTTTCCTTTTTTCCTGAGATTGGTATCATTGCTCATGGTAGGTCTCCTGGATCCAGCCCCAAGTCTCATCTTTCCTCTTATTTGTCCACCATTTTGCTTGATCCATATGGTGAGAATTTTTTCCAATGTATTTCTAGTCACTAGTTCATATCTCTCCAATGACCATTCTCTCTTTAACTCATCTACCAAATTGTTCAATGGAACAGCTGCCAGATAAAGTGCAGAACAACTAATTAAATGTGAATCTCAAACAAACATTGAAATTTTTAGTGTAAGTATGTTGACTATAGCATGGGACATAGTATACTAAAATTATTTACTATTTATGTGAAATTAAAATTTAATGGGGTGTCTTGTAGTTGTTTGTATGTAGTTGCTTTAATTCTGGCAACCCTATTCAATGGAGAAATCATATCTCTGAGGTCCAGACATTCTTTTTGTGTATGCATTTGATTTTCCTTAAGTGTCCTTGTTTATTTGCTTGGTTCTTTGTTGTTTTTAAAATCTTCAGTTCACTGGCCAGGTGTTTTGTTTGTTTGGGTTGGTCTTTCTCTGTTTGGATGCTGAGTTTCCCTTACTATGTTATGTTAAAAACAGTCAGAGATCTGCTTGTCATGGGACCCCAAGTAGAGGCTGACCTCTGACTGGTAGAAGATAAAGGAATTTTTCCCATAGCGGGAAGGGGGAGGGTATATGGTAGAAGGTGGACAGCAGTCCCATGCTGAGGGCCTAAGAAGAGCCCCTCTGTGCCAAAGTGTCTTTGTGCTCTTCTAGCTTCACAGATGCAAAAGATTAAGTTTACCTGTTCGGTGTCTTTGTGGCCTCTAAGAGCCATGGATCCCACACATACTCAGATAGGATTGATACTGTCTCTCACCTCAGGAATCCTTGTACTACCACAGATCACACTGTCTTTGCAAATCTGTTATTAGCAATCTCTGCTTCCAGGTTTTCAGGTGCTGGTTCCATGGCTCTTCCTGAGCCGAAAATAAGGAAACTCCATAGACCTTGTCCACTGGAACTCGTTCCCATCTACCCTCCACTCTATCCAGGTAAGAAACCAACCATCTCAGGAAAGGAACCAGGCAGGAGTCAGAGGGGAAGATGGGCACTGAAGGTATCAAAATACCCAAAAGATGCAAATTGCTAAAGGAAACAATAATCAGATTAGGTGTGGTGAAAGACCTGGAAAAAAATTTGAAAAAAAAATTAAAGTGTAAGAGGATTCTGCTCTTGGAATATACCACAGTTGTCTTCATGTTCTCACTTCATTTAAACCAACCGAAACTGAAATCAGAAAGGAGGCATATGAATGTGATCTATGCAGAGAAGATAACAAGGATGCTGTGTAGCTAGAGCCACACATGGCTTGGGATGAGTGTATTACAACAGGCATAGAACATTTCATTATTTTGGAGGGTTCTACTGGACAGTACTACAATTAGTTGTCTATACTCACAGAGAGGTCCTTGCCTCTCCATTACAAACACTGGCTAACCAATCTGAATGTTTGTATCTTGAGGTAAAATGATATTTTTCTTTTTTCTTTCTTTCTTTCTTTTTTTTTTTTTGAGACAGAGTCTCGCTCTGTCGCCCAGGCTGGAGTGCAGTGGCGTGATCTCGGCTCACTGCAAGCTCTGCCTCCCGGGTTCATGTCATTCTCCTGCCTCAGCCTCCCGAGTAGCTGGGACTACAGGTGCCCGCCACCACGCCTGGCTAATTTTTTTGTATGTTTTTCGTAGAGACGGAGTTTCACTGTGTTAGCCAGGATGGTCTCGATCTCCTGACCTTGTGATCCACCTGCCTCGGCCTCCCAGAGAGCTGGGATTACAGGCGTGAGCAACTGCGCCTGGCCAAAATGATATTTTTCATACATGTATTGTTTTAATGTGGCACCTGAACCTGGTGGACATCATGCTGAATGAAATAAGTCAGGCTCGGAAACACAAATATCACATCATCTCACTTATAGGTAGAATTTTGAAAAATCAAATTCATAGAAGTAGAGAGTAGAAGGGTGGTACTGGAGACTGGCTGGGGGAAGGAGAAGAAGAAATGAAGAGATATTGGTGCAAGTGTACAAAGTTTCAGTCATACAAGACCAATATGCTTTTGAGATTTATTGCATGACCTAATGACTATAGTTAATAAAAATGATTTGTATATTTCAAAATTGCCGAGAGAGTAAATTTAAATGTCTTACCACAAACATGATAATTAATTGAGGTGATGGATATATTAATTATCTTGCTCTAATCACTTCATATTGAATAAATGTATCAAAACTTCATAGTGTACCCCATAAATATATACAATTATGAGTTGCCATTTTAAAATATTATGAATTTAGGCCAGGCACAGTGGCTCATGCTTGTATTCCCAACACTATGGGAGGCTGAGGCAGGAGGATCACTTGAAGTCAGGAGTTCAAGACCAACCTGGGCAACGTGGTGAAACCCTGTCTCTACTAAAAATACAAAAATTAGCTGGGCGTGGTGGTGCATGCCTGGAATCCCAGCTACTCAGGAGACTGAGGCAGGAGAATCATTCAAACTTGGGAGGTGGAGGTCGCAGTGATCTGGGAGATTGTACCACTGCACTCCAGCCAGGGCGACAATGAGACTCCGTCTCAAAAAAAAAGATTATTAATTTAAAAATATTTTAAGTGATCAGCTGTTACTCTACCCCAATCTCATTGGAGAATAAGATTCTACTGCGGTTCTAAGTCATTGTGTGCTGAGTAAAGTGGTTAACTAGTGATTTGAAAGAATACAGGAGAGAGGGTAGGAGAGTGAGTAACAGGTGGAGCCTCTGTTTTCTTTATAGAAAAAAGTAAACAACTCTTTGTTTAGTTAGAGAGCACTTAATTTTAGGATGGGCTTCACTGGAGGGTAAATGGCTCATTACCCACCTCCATGATTCTGGAGGCGAAGGCACTTGTAGCTCCACCGTTAGCCAGCTGGATAACAGGCCCATGTCTGTCCTGGCCAAGCCTGTTTTGCTGTCTGGTTGCTTCGGCCAAGAAGCCTTCCCAGAACCGTGCCCTCCTTCCTCATGCCTGTGCTTTCTGTGTTGTATTTCTTTGTATTTTCTTTTTGCTTATAATTTTCTCCCCCCACTGTAAGCCCCATGAGGACAAGGAACATGATTGGTTTTGCTCACTGCCGTATCTTCCGTACCTAGTACGTAACAGGACATCAATAAATATTAGTTGAATGGAAGATTAAATCAACAAAATGGTGAGTTCCTGATGATCATAGGTATGTGCCACCTGGGTTCTATTCCAGTAAGGAATGGGAGATTGGCTGCCGGAGGCAAGAACGTGTTTCATTTACATTTACGCATTTGACCCTGAAAAATGTCACCAGATTTTACAAGTTATTTACAATGGTGTCTTGGAATGACTGCAGGCTCGTAAATAACCAGGAAAGATAAGGCTGAAAAAAAAAAAAAAAACAGTTGAAGAATCAGTTGCTTGTTTTAAAAACTCATTTCACAATGCGTTATTTTCTTACCAAAGAGGCAGGAAGCTCAATGTCTATAAAACTTTAAAGTAAGCATTTCCCTTTAAAATGAAGACACACTCTTAAACCTCTCTGTGAACCAATCTCTCCATAAAAATTTATGATGTATTTGAATTAGAGCATGCTAATTTAAGTGTGATGCACAAAGAGCACTGCAAAGGAAAAAACAAACCTTAATTTTATTTAATCTCAAATAATAACTAATAATTGCACAAGAAATAATCAGGATCTTTGAAAATATAAGCAGTCATTTACATTGCCATTGGTAGCTTAAATGTGTAGCCCAGCAATCAGAACAAGGAGTCAAAGTTTCTTTTCAAGGATCTGAAATAAAAAGGCAAATAGCAAAGCATGTGCCCAAACAGCCGGCTTGGAGTAACTCCCTGTCCCAGGATGCTCAATGCCTTTGTAAAAGAAATATCAATCGGGAATGTTCTTCTAACATAAATAAGCTAGAGGAAATATCTTGATTTTTAGAACTGATAGGATTTCAAAACAGGAAAATCTTCAAAGCTGATACATTTTTTTTGAAAGAACAAGATATTTCTTCCCAAGGCAGCATTTGTGCCCTGGAACTAGCTGAGCAATCCTCCTGCTGACCTTTCCCCTTGTTCTGAAAGGCTTAATGGTGACTAGCATGCCATTTCTCATGCGTCTTGAGTCAATGTGGTGTTCTGAGTTTTATTAGGTTGGTGCAAAAGTAATTGCAGTTTTGCCATTAAAAATAATGACAGGCCGGGTGCAGTGGCTCACGCCTGTAATCCCAGCCCTTTATGGAGGCTGAGGCAGGTGGATCATGAGGTCAAGAGACTGAGACCATCCTGGCCAACATGGTAAAACCCCGTCTCTACTAATAATACAAAAATTAGCTGCTGTGGTGGTGCGTGCGTGTAATCCCAGCTTCTCAGGAGGCTGGGCAGGAGAATTGATTTTACCAGGGAGGCAGAGGTTGCAGTGAGCTGAGATCATGCCACTGCATTCCAGCCTGGCGACAGAGCAAGACTCTGTCTCAAAAAAACAAAAAAAAGAAAAAAAAAAAAGAGACAAAAACTGCAACTAGTTTTGCACCAACCTCATAGTTCCTAACTAAACTCCATATTCTTTACAAATACTCCATCTTCAATGATAACAATAGACACTGAGGACTCCTAGAGGGAGAAAGAAGGAGGGGGCAAGGGTTGAAAAATGAACTGTTGTGTACTCTGCTCACTACCCCGGTGACAGGATGTTTCTTAACCCAAACGTCAGCATCATGCAACATACTCACATAACAAACCCGCACGTGTACCCCCGAATCTAAAATAAAAGCAGAAATTATATGAAAAAACTGGGGTGGGAGTTGGAAGGAACTTTAGATATGTAATAAATTTGTTTGAAAACTGTTAATTTCTCATGCTTTCATTAAAAAATAATTTTCCTCAAGAAACCCCAAATTCTCCACCTCAGGAATGAAAAGTGCATTTGAATTTCAAGAAGGTATGGGCATGAGAACCTTGCAGTTTTCTAATTTGTGGAGACAAAATAATTTTTATAACACCAACCAGAGGTTTCCTCTACAAACCCCTTGTAATTCCTTTCTGAGCTCTCTTCCTTCTAGAATCTTGGGGCATCTGAAAAACTCAAAGCTATGTAAACACAACATATTGGTTGTTGGAGACAGGATAGCTTCTTGTCTTCTTTCCCTTGTGATATGGTTTGGCTGTGTCCCCATCCAACTCTCAACTTGAATTGCATCTTCCAGAATTCCCACGTGTTGTAGGAGGGACTCAGGGGGAGGTAATTGAATCATGGGGGCTGGTCTTTCCCCTACTATTCTCCTTATAATTAATAAGCCTCACAAGATCTGATGGGTTTATCAGGGGTTTCCGCTTTTGCTTCTTCCTCATTTTCTCTTGCTGCTGCCATTTTCGCCTCCCGCCATGATTCTGAGGCCTCCCCAGCTATGTGGAACTGTAAGTCCAGTTAAACCTCGTTTTCTTCCCAGTCTCAGGTATGTCTTTATCAGCAGCATGAAACGGACTAATACACCTTGTTTTCTCACTGTGGGGTTGTAAACATTTGTAAATGTGGCCACCTTAGAACAGACGTTGAGTGGAAATAAGAATTGTAGGGTAGCACTGAAGCCAGTTGCCTTGTGTAGGACCATGTTCTCTGTTTTCATGCCTTTTCTTGTCCTCCTCTTAAAAGATGTCTCCTTCTAGTATTCTACCAGACTACCTTAGTCTTCGGATTTTCCTTTCTATCCAAGCTTATTTTTATAAAGGTTGGGATCAATTTATTGATGTGATTGAGATGGACCCTCCTTCTAGCGTCAAGGCATTCTAATGGAATATTAAAATTATAAAGATGACTCCCCCAGACCCAGAAAAAACAAATCCTTGGCCTTGAACAGTTCTGTTAGAACCAATTCTGTAGGGAAGTTTGTGAAAGTAACTTGCAAAGCTACTCAATATGGATATTAAACAGCCTAGTTTTTCCTAATTGTGCCTCATTTCAACTGTGTCCTCTGGGTACTACTGGCTTCCCAGTGGTTGGGTTGAGTATAAGCCCCCAAATATGAGTAAAAGAAGAAAAAGTTAATTCAATCACCAAGTCTTGCTCGCATATTAAAAATTGGATAGATGAATGTTCAATCATATGTTTTGGCTTTGGCCAGCCAGACGAGGTCAATTTTTAGATTTGAACTGCTTAGAATTCTTCAGGCAAGTCTTGATGGAGCACTTCTTGGACAGTTAGAACTTTACCAGGTTCACAGGAGAGCTCAGATGAAGCGAACACCTCATCCACACTGGTTTCCTTTGGAGACCTTTACTGTTGAGAGGTGGTTTTCATAGCCGCAAAATGACAAGTGCAAGTTGAGTAGATCAGTGTTTATCAACCAGGTGCCACATTGTGCCCCAGGAGACATTTGACAATGATGGGGTGTTACTGGCATCTAGTAGACAGAGGTCAGGGATGCTGCTTAACATCTTACAATGCACAGGACAGTTGCCACAGCAAAGCATTACCCAGACCCAAATGCCAATAGTGCCAAGGTTGAGAAGCCCTGCAGTAGAGAATGCTGAATGTCACAACCAGGGAAGCAAAATCTGTCAGTGGTGAAAGGGATGTGTATGGCACTTAGAGTAGAATCACAGCCAGAGTCAGGACACAGGTAGATTTTGGAGAACTGGAAGTGAGGACCAAAACCAGGGGAAAAGTGAGAGAAGCCAAGACCGTGGCTATGATCCAGGTTGTAATACCTGAAGCTTCCTTGGCTTGTATGGTGGGGTACTGGACTTGCCTAATTTCTAGGCATGGAGTTGGGGCTTGTAACAATGGTGGGAGATGGGCAGTGCTTTGGGAATGTAGCTGACCACTGCATGGGTGCTAACTAGCCCAGGGATCTTAAAGAATTTGTGTAGGCCATGAGGATCCACTCCAGCCACTGAATAGTCATAGAATTGAATCTAGGACATCACCGTATGCTACTACCATGCAGTTTTATCCCTTCTAAGAATCCAAATGCCCTAGTTTAATTTCTAAATTTTTGTTTTGTTTATTTTCACTAAAGCAACATGTTAGTGGACTGCGGAGGGAAGTGAATTCATGGCTGGTCCTCATCTTGATATCTTTTAATAGGATCATGAGGCAGTGTGGTAGGAAGAAAACGTTGTATTTAGTTAAAAAAAAAAAAACAAAGAGAATCTGCCTTTTAAGAGAGGAAGAGCATGGCTATCAGAAGTGAATGGCTCTTTGATGGAGTAAAATACTTTGATGAGACTTTGTGGTTGATGAAGATGTCTCTGTCTTGCTTTTTTGACTACTTCTAGGCAAAACCTAGATTTGTAAGGGTAAGTGAGAGAGCTCAACTGCTTCAGCTTAGAAAATAAGGATTTTGACTGTTTGTGGGCAGCCCAAGAATGAGGTAACTGAATGTGGGAAGCCCAAGAATGAGGGGCCCAGTGTGTGAGAATTGGATCCCAGAAATATGGCCATAGGCAGCCTCTGGGGAGAGACCAAGGCCATGAGAAGCTCCCCATGAAGGAGACATTATGGGACGTGTGTGAAAATGACACAGTTTTAAATTACGTGCGTTCTGGCTGTGAAGGAATGGTTGTAAAGAAACCACTTATATTATCCCTAAAAGCCTCAGTAAACGTTTGCCACACGATGTAACAGCTTTGGGATAGTTGCTGGGGAAGAGGGAAGGAGGCTGAGTGGGGTTCAGAAGCAGCAGGGAAGAGAGGTGACCCACAGGAGGGTAAGCCCTACTTCATCCACTCCTCTTTCCCATTCTCACTCTCTGAGGCACTGGAAAGGTCACAGGACCTCTCCTAGTACATGAGATGGGAGCTCGACACATTTTATTTGGAGAATAAAAGAAAATATGCCGTCATCAAACTAGAGCGTGTTGGGGGGCATCTGGTTTACAGAACTAAGTCAAGGAGAAGAACTCTCAAGCAATGGTGACATCTGCCAGCTCTGCAAAGTGGGCCCTGCCTTGTCACACAAGTCTCCTTGGGCAAATGTTTTCTATGTAGATTTTAGACACTTTCCTGTGACTTTCTCAAGGTCTTTTGGTGACACATGCAGCTTGAAGCTTTTGCAAGGGGCTGGAGTCTAATCTCTTCTTGCCCAGCTTGGCTGCAGGAGAAGAAGGGAGATATGTTAGGACTTGGCTTTGACTGAGGTGGTGTAGCCTGGGGTTGCAAGGGCTGTTGCCAAGGCTTTCTGGTGGCATCACATGCTTCAGGAGTTGGATGAATTTTCTGTCATCTTTTGGACTCTGTCGCCTCAAGATCGCTTGTTTTGTTGCATTGCAAAGATCATGTTAGCTGTGTCTCCTTGCCGTTCTGAGAGTGCCTGGCTGCCAAACACAGTCCAAGAACTGTTGAAGAGGCCTCTTGCTAAAGGTGACAAGTTGAAGATGCCAAGGCGTTTGCTGCAGTCATTTTTCTTGCCCAATCTTTATCATCTTCCATTAGTCAGGAGTATTAATGGACAGTCCTGGAGTGTCCAAATGGCAATAATCCATCTTTTTCCCAATCCTACCAAGGGTGTTTCAATGCAGCTGTTGGAATAGTAATGTTTGTGCATTATTGCTGTTCTCAGGGTACTGTAAACTTCTCCCCCTCCTGGATCTTTGCTCACTAAATCAGCCCTAACCCTTTCTCTTCAGTCTCTTTCTCTTGACTTTCCCCTAGATCTTGCCCCTAGACCATCACTCAGCTGGTTCCTCTTCATTGCCTCCATCTTAGTTCAAATGTTTCTTCTTTGGACAGTTTGGAGTTTTGCTCCCCCTCTTCCCTGCCATTCTATAGTAGGTTTTTTTTTTCTTAAAATAGTGCATATCATCTGGGTGCGGTGGCTCATGCCTATAATCCCAGCACTTTGGGAGGCTGAGGGGGTGTATCACGAGGTTAGGAGATAAAGACCATCCTGGCCAACATGGTAAAACCCTGTCTCTACTAAAAATACAAAAAAATTACCTGGGTACGGTGATGCGTGCCTGTAATCCCAGCTACTCGGGAGGCTGAGGCATGAGAATCGCTTGGAGCCGGGAGGCAGAGGTTGCAGTGAGCAGAGATCATGCCACTGCACTCCAGTCTGGTGACAGAGTGAGACTCCGTCTCAAAAAAAAAAAAAAAAAAAAAGGTGCATATCACTACCTGTATTGGCTTGTTTAATGGCTTACTTAGTGTCTTAGTCCGTTGTGTTGCTATAAAGGAACACCTGAGGTTGGGTAATTTATAAAGAAAAGAAGTTTATTTGGCTCATGGTTCTGCAGGCTGTACGTGAAGCATGGCCAGCATTTGCTTCTGGTGAGGGCCTCAGGGAGCTTCCAGTTATGGCGGAAGGCGAAGGAGAGCTGCATCACATGGCGACAGGAAAGAACAGAGAGGAGGAGGTGCTAGGCTTTTTCTTAGTACCCAGATCTTGCCTGAACTAATAGAGTAAGAACTCACTCATAGGTATGGCACCAAGACATTCATGCATGATCTGCCCCCATGGTCCAAAAACCTCCACTAGGCCTCACCTCCAATACTGAGGATCAGATTTCAACGTGAGATTTGCAAGGACAAATACCCAAACTGTATCACTTGCTTATTATCTTTCTCCCTCTACTAGAATATAAGCTCAAGAATGACCAGGATTGCATCCGATATGCTCACCATCGTATCCTTCCCATGTACAACTGTACCCTGCACACACTAGGTTCTCAAGAAATATTCATGTAATAAGTGAATAATTGAATGAATGAATGACTAAGTGAAACTTCTCTTTACAACAAGCAAATGTAATAGCCCTTTCTAAGCTCTCATCATCCTCATTGTCCTTGGTGGATTCCCACCACACTCAGAATTCCTTTTCACCTTTCCATGCATATGAGGCCCCACCTAATCAGGTGCTGGTCTTCTTAGCTTTCTGTCTCCTACCACTTTTTGTCTTGCTTCGGGAACTCCACTGTCTTTTCTGTTATAGGAACATGCTAAGGTTATTCTTCATAGTCAAGAGCACAAGCTCTGAACCCAGCCAAATCTGTTTTTGAACTCAAGTTCCACTTATTGCTAGCTGTGTGATATTGGGAAATTCTTTATGTTCTGTAACCCTCACCTCCCTCATGTGTAAAATGGAAGTAATGATGGTACCTGTCTCATATGTGGCAACTACGTGGGGCAGCACACTCAAGGAATGAAGGAAGTTTCAGTGAATGACAACTTTATAAAGACAGTGTTGAGGCAGCCCAGTGCAGCGGTTTGGGAGCCAGGAACAGCGTGTGGGCCGGAGTGTGGCTGCAGGACAGGAGGTCAAAAATAAGGGTTGAGGGTGGAATAGGAAGACCCCGGAACGTCATCCTGGGAGCTTGAGATTTTATTCTACATTTCTCTTGTTCTTAACTATTTAGGGTGATGGATCTCTGCAGTAAGTGGAAGAGTTCTTCATGGCCCCCAAGGTTATATCCATCTAGAACTTCAGCACGTAATTTCATCTGGAAATAGTGCCTTTGCGGATATAAGTTAGGTAAAACTGAAGATGAGATCATACTGGATTAGGATGGGATCTAAATCCAATGAAAATGTCTTCATAAAAAACAGGAAAGAACCCATAGAAACACAAGGAAGAAGGTCATGTGAAGATGGAGGCAGAGATTGGAGGGATGCAGCCACCGGCCCAGGAATGCCAGCAGCCACCCAGAAGCTGGAAGGAAATGAGGGATTCTCTCCTAGAACCTTTAGAGAGAACATGGTCCTGTGAACAGCTTGATTTTGGACTTGCCCATAGCTTGTATACTCTTACTTTGGATACAATTTTATCCAAACTTGGCTAAACAGTTTCTCAGCCTATGGAAAATTTAAAATGGAGAAGATTCAACTCGATTCTTACAGATTCAAAGCAAGAAAATGATGGGAACATAGGAGGAGACCAAGAAAGCCTATAAAAAGCAAAAATATGAAGTGAACATTGTGGTAGCTTTAAGATGTTTAGTGTAGCTGCAGGCACCCTATACACATGAAAACCCCCAAGGGGAATCCCCATATCACAGTGTAGTGTGATATTTGACATTCGTGATCATCTAGAGATGTACAGAAAAGGTGAATCTGTGTTCTGTATATTCTGCCTAAGGCAAAGAAATGTTTAGCTCTCTTTAAAATAGTTCCATAATTTTTTCTAAAAAGCTTTGCTTGAAAACTGTAAGCTTCCCATATCTGGAGCATTTCACTTTAAATATTTGGATAAATATGTTATCTTCTTACTTGGACATTTCATGTGTTTAGGGATTGTCTTCTAAATTCTTCCTAATTCATATAGCTGCTAACACTTCCCGCAGAGCTAAACCATTACAGATATGAAATAAAGACCTATTGATTTGACTTACTTTTACTTGTAAAACCTTCTGAGTGTTATAACCTCATTTAATCTTTCAGCATTTACAGTTTCAAGAGTTTGTGTCACAATTAGAAGAATTCAGCTGCACCTCCAAGTGACAGCAGTTGCTCTGGTTGGTGGGTGATCTCAGGAGGCTTGAGAATTGCTTTGTCTGTGAGGGAAGTAAGACATTTTCAGAGCCCCACTTTAGAAGGTGTGAACTGGCTAGATAATGAACCCCAGGGCTAACGCTGCTATAGCAGTGGGAAGGAGGTGATGGGTTTTCAGTTTGGACCTCAAACATCAATACCCTCCTGGTACGGGGAGGAACAGAGTCCCTCCTTTACTTCTCCATTAGAAAGAATGAGATGGCAAGACAATGAAACAGGCAAAGTGAACAGAGATGCAAGACAAAATTCAGGTGAGAGAGCCAGAGCATCACTCAGCCATTCCTGACATGTAAAACAGGCAACTAGAAATTTGCAGAAAGGAAGCGAAGTCTCCATAAAGATGTTTTTAAAGTGAGCTTGAAGTATTTGGAGACAATTCAGTGTTACATAAAATCTGCAAATCTCTGGATAAAGAAGCAGAGATCCCAGCATGGGACAAATGGAGCCTCAAAAGTGGGAAGAAGACAGAGAAGACCAGGGCAGAATGCATCTCTTCCTTTCTCTTGGCTTTCCTGGATAAGGACTGCATCATTCCTGTGGAAGGACAGGCCATCAGCTCCGAAACACTGTATGTATTTTCCAGTATATACTGCTAGCTGTGTGATGTTGGGAAAATTTGTTACCCTGTCTAACCCCCACTTCCCTCATCTGTAAAATGGAAATAATGATAGTACCTACCTATCTCATAGGTGGCAACTACAAGGGGCAGCACACTCAGGGAATTAAGGAAGTTTCAGTGAACATCAACTTTATGAACACAGTGTTCATAAAGGCAGGTCAGTGCAGTGGTTTGGGAGCCAGGAGAAGCACGTGGGCCGGAGTGTGCCTGCAGGAGACAAGGTCAGAGATGTTGCTAATAATGGAGAATAAAGGATGCATTCTCATTACTGACCTTGGAGTCGTTCATTCATTCCCAGAATGTGTTTTGTCAGCTTACTAAAACACTAAGTTAAATAATCCCAGGTTTTGTTTATTATAGATACTAGGACTTAGTGGACCCAAGGTTAATGACATCCAGAGTAGACAAACATCAAGTGTGTACTGCTTCTGTGCCAAGCGTCCTTCATCTAGATGTCCATGGATCATATTTGGGAGGAATGAGGAGTTCCTGGAAATTTATATGAAATTCAGTGTAGTTGCACGTGTGCACTTTCATGGCCAGCCAACCAATAGCTTTCACTATGTTTTCCAGGATCTGTGATCCTAGTAGGGATAAACAACACAGCCTTTTAGAATACTCTCTTAAAATTTTATTATTGCCATAGTACATAAATAATATGATACTGAAGTTGTCAAAAATGCATATGAACAAAACGAAAAATTATTAATGCCAAAGACTAGTTATTCCTACAGATGTTAAATATCAAAAATTATATATGTATAAAAATACGCACACACAACTAAAATACACATTAGATATATATACAGTCATGAAGCGCTTAACAACAGGGATATGTTCTGAGAAATGTGTCATTAGATGATTTCATCAATGTGCAATTATCAGTGTACAGTATTTATGCAAACCTAGATAGCATATGTAGAGTTTTATTTATCAACATTTCTTCACATGGAAAAACAACTGTTTCAGCACCATTACTGAATATCAATCATTTCCCCTACTTGATCTGCGGTGCCAATATCAAGTACCACATATCAGGTTTCTATATACGCTCCATAGTAATCTTATGGGACTACCATAATACATGCAGTCTGCTGTTGGCTGAAATGTCATTATGTAGCTCATGACATGTTATATATACTATATATTCTTAGAAAAAATAATGGTATACAACAAAATATTGGTCAACTGTTTTCCCATCTTGAAAAACATGCATGCCTTTTCTTACAAATAAATACACATTTACATAATCATCCTTAACAGCTGTAAATGTATAATAATTTAGTGAAGCATTTAAGACTTCTCTGGATTTTTCCTTATAAATGGCACCAAGATGTATAATACTTTTTGCCCACTTATCCAATTATGTTTAAGGATAAATTCCAGGAGTAGCCTTCCTGAGCCACTTTTTAAGTCTTTCGATGTTTTACCCAGTTGCTTTTTGAAACATTTTATATCAATTTATACCTCAAGGACAGTGTAGGAGGGTGCTTCCTTCCTCTTTTCTATCCCTTAGCCAAAATTGGGTATGATCATACTTTATATCTCTGTTAATAAGATAGTTAAAACAGCAGTCTCAATATTTATTTCAATTTCTTTGGTGGTTAGCCAAATTAAACACATTTTAACGTTTTTTGTGGCTATTTTTATATTTTCTGAAACTTGTCTTTATTAATGTCCTTAGCACCTTAGGACATTCATCTTTTTTTTCACTTGTAAGAATTTTTTACATATGAATCCAGCAGCACATATGCTGCAAATAAATTTTTTGGTTTGGTTTGTGGTTGACTGAGTATTTGTAGAATGAAAATTTTAACCTTTTATGTAGCCAGATCTTTAAACTGTTTCATTTAAGTGTTGCTCTTTCATGTTATTTTTAACTAGATATGAGATTTTATAAATATTCATCAGTGTTTTCTTCTAGAGACTTCATAGTTTCATTTTGACACTTTATCTAATTTCTATTTTTATATCACTCAACACTTTTTTTAGGTTGTGCATGGTAACAAGTGATCCCCAAATTTCAGGGGCTTATAATAATAACGATTTACTTCTCACTCACTTTACATGTTAGCTGTAGGTTACCTTTGGTGCTATTCCAGTTGTGCCTCATTCTGTGACCTAGACCGAAGAGGAAGCCTCTACTCTGAGCTCCTGGAAGAGAGACAAAGAGCAACAGTGGGAGCGTGCAATGGCATATAGAACTTCTACTATACTGGGGTATTTGTCACTTCTGTTCACATTTCATTGGCCAAATTAAGTCACATGGCTAAGCCTGATGTCAATGAGGCATGGAATTGTAATCTCATTGAAAAGGCAGCTCATAATTCAGAACTAAGTACAATCTACCTTATTTTTAGAGTAGGGCCTAACTTTATATTTTCCCAAATACTTAGCTAATTGCTTCAATACTATTTGTTAATAACCTGATTTTTTACACTACTCTGTGATACCACTTTTATCCCATATCACATTCTAATAGGTCCTTCTTCCTGTTCCTAAACTTTGTGTTGGGTTTCACTGAGCACCAGGACAGTTAGTGCTTTTTAAGGCAGATAGGGTAAGGCCCACTTTATTTCCCTTCATTTAAAAAGAGTCTTGGGGCCGGGCACGGTGGCTCATGCCTGTAATCCCAGTACTTTGGGAGGCCAAGGCGGGTGAATCACTTGAGGTCAGGAGTTTGAGACCAGCCTGGACAACATGGTGAAACCCCGTCTCTACTAAAAATTAGCTGGGCATGTTGTTGCCCGGCTGAGGCACGGGAATCACTTGAGCCTGAGAGGTGTAGGTTGCATTGAGCTGAGATCGTGCCACTTGCACTCCAGCCTGGGTGACAAAGTGAGACTCTGTCTCTAAATAAATAAATAGTCTTGGGTATTCTCTATTTACTATTCTAGTTGAATTTTTGAAAACCTGTATTCATTCCAAAAAAAGAAGCCCTATTGAGATATAGGTTGGAATTGCACTATATAAGTGGATTAATTCGGAAAAGAACTGATTTGTTTGCAATATTGTCGTTTCATCCATGAATATAGTATGCCACTTTATTTGTCCATGTCTATTTTTTATTTTTCTTAGAGTTTTGTAGATTTTTAGAAGCGTGTCTTAAGCTTCAGATTTATTTTTTTCAAGAAAAAATAAGTTTTTGATACTTTTGCAAAATTAGTTTCCCCTGTGATATTTTATAAGTAGTTGTAACTGGTTATTTCATTCATAATTTTTTTTACAAGAGTAAGAAAGATTTTAGAAGGAGGGGGAATCTTACTGATATTTATGAACTTTTCCTCTAACCCTAGTGCAGTAGGATTGTTCAACCAAGAATACAGTTGAATTTATCAAAGGCTTTTTTTTTGTCCTTAAAGCTCTTCACAGGATTTTTTGCTTGTTTCTATTATTAAATTATACTGATGATTTTATAATATTGAACTATCCTTGCATGTCTAAAAATAATGCTGACTCGACAGTGATATTCTTTGAATATGCAGTTGTATTAACTTGCTATAATTATTTGGATGACTTTTTGTATCTATATTTAAATTTTAATTTGTCTTCACATTTCCTTTAGGGATATTTTTGTCAGCTTTTTCTGTGGTATCAGAGTTATACTGATTTTATTAAATTAGAGAATCTTCTTTTTAAAATAACATTTTCGAAGAGTTTGGAAGATATAGGAATTAATTGCTTTCTTAAAAGTATTCAATTGATCCTAAACCATGTTGGGGAGAACTTGTTTTCTTTTTACTTCTTACATGGCCATTTGGATTTTTGAGTTTTTGAGTCAAATTATTAATAAATGATATTGAAGCAATTAGTTAAATGAACTCTTGAGTCAGTTTTAGCTATTTATAATTTCCAGCAAAATTTTCCCGTTAGTCATAATTTAAAAATTGATTGACATAGCCTCTAAAGTATCTTGTACCATTTAAAATATTTCAGAAGTTGTAAATTAAAAACAATATTGAAATTTCACTTTACAAGGGTTTTAAGGTACGAACAAAGGCAGAGCAAAGGTGTCAACTCCATCTGCTACCAACAGATGGCGATACAGTCACTTTATGTTACTTTAGATTTAAGAACAAATGGACTGAAAACCTTCCAGAACCTGATTTCTTTAGACCTTTTACCATTCCTAACATTATGTGATTGCCTTGCTTCTCTCTTCCCTCCCTCCTTCCTTCCTCCTTCTCTTCCTCCCTTTCTTCCTCCTTTTCGTCCTCCCTCTTTTTCTCTTTCCCTGTCTTCCTTTCTCTTGTGTAGACTTGGAATGCATTAGTCTTTTCAAAAAATTAGAGATTGGATTTGTTTTTTGATTTATATTTGTTAATTCCTGATTTTTAAATTTCATATCCTTTTCCAGCTTTTTAAAAAGTTAAGTGCTTAGTTTATTTTCCATATTATTTAATAATGAAAGCATTTAACTCCGTAAATAACTCACTGATTAACACCTTGACTGTATTCCATTGGTTTTGATATAATCTGTTTTCACTGTAATTAATGTCTAAATAAGGTCATTGCAATTTTGTTATCTTCTTATACATAATTACGTAGGACAGAATTTGTTTTATATTCCATGAAGGGAGGTCTTTAATATCTAACTCCCTATAGTTATGAAGTTGTATAAGGTAGCAAAGTTGTTGTAACATGAAAGGTTTACTGATGAATTAATTACTTATAAAATTGCTCTTATCTTCAATGTTTCTTGACCAGTAAGACCAGGGCTTATACCTGTTAATCTGGTCATATTTCTTTGTCTAGTAACCGCTAGTTGATTTATGCATATTTTTCTGACAAAACATAGCAGACACATTAGATTTGATTAAAAAGAGATCCTGTAGAATTTTATGAAGTTGATGAAAGTGATGTTGGAGAACTGCTGGAATCACTCAAATTTCTTTGATAAATTAGGATCTGGCAGAATGCAGCTAAAAGAGAAAAATCTACAAAGATGATGACATGGTAGCTTCAGAGAAGAAATATCTAAATAGAAAATCATTAAAAGGACCTTTGGGAAACTGATAAAGGCTTTGATATTTCTTAAGAAAAATTACTCTTGATTATTCAAATACGAAGGATGGCTGTATCCTGAGCTCCTAAATTTTGTCAGAACAAATATGCCAAAAATCAATGTTTAATTTTTCCCAGCACTTTGGGAGGCCGAGGTGGGCAGATTACTTGAGGTCAAGAGTTTAAGACCAGCCTGGCCAATATGGTGAAACCCCATCTCTACTAAAAACACACACACACACACACACACAAAAGTTAGCCAGGCTTGGTGGTAAGCACCTGTAATCCCAGCTACTCAGGAGGCTGAGGCAGGAGAATTGGCTTGAACCCAAGAGGCGGAGGTTGCAGTGAGCCGAGGTCACGCCACTGCGCTCCAGCCTAGGTGACAAGAGTGAGACTTGGTCTCAAAAAATAAATAAATAAATAAAATGTTTGTTCTTTAATTTTATTATATATGCAATAAAATAGACTCCCTGTGATAATTTTTTGTTTGAATTTTCAAGGTAAAGTTCCACTCCAACTTTTTTTTCACATTATAAAATTTTGAACTTCCTTATAAGGGGATTTGCTTTGAAAGGATTATTCTCAGAATCTATTATCCTCAGGCAATGCCTGTAATTTATTTATAGTATTATTGCACTTTATTATGTGTTCTGTGTCAGTGGTCCACAACCTTTTTGGCACCAGGGACCAGTTTCATGGAAGACAGTTTTTTCATGGACGGGTGGGAGGAAGGGATGGTGTTGGGATGATTCAAGAGCATTACATTTATTGTGTACTTTATTTCTGTTATTACATTGTAATATATAATGAAGTAATTATACAACTCGCCATAATATAGAATCAGTGGGAACCCTGAGGTTGTTTTCCTGCAACTAGACAGTCCCATTTGCTGGTGTTGGGAGACAGTGACAGATCATCAGGCATTAGATTCTCATAAGGAGCACGCAACCTAGATCCCTCAAATGTGCAGTTTACAATAGGATTCGCCACTATGTTGCCCAGGCTGGTCTCAAACTGTTGGCCTCAAGTGATCCTCCCACCTTGGCCTCCCAAAATGTTGGGATTGTAGGCATGACCACTGCACCCAGCCCAAAATTCTTTGTAGTTTTTGTTTTTAAAATTAAACTTTCAAACTTTTAATATTCTAGATTATATATATATATATATATATATATATATATATATATATATAGTCTAATTGACCTGCCTAAAACAGAAATGGTATGTTTGAGTTTTTCCAAATTACAGTTTTTGTCAGTTTTTCTTTGTATTGCTAACATTAAAAAATGTATTTAAATGGAATATTCTGAGGAATAGAACAACCCAAAAAAGTTATTTATCTTACTTTAACTTTTAGTAGCAGTTAGCATTAGATGTTTTACATGATTTTTTTTGAAAAGCTGTGAGCATTGATAAGTATTTGCTGAATAGTGCGTCGTATCCTTATTTTGAATTATGACTCTTATTCTTGTAAAATGTCCCCCTTTGTTCCATTTAGTGTTTTTGTCTAGATTTTTTTTAATCTAATATTCATTTTACATTTGTACCATGTCTCTTACATTTCTTGTTTTTTAAACATGTTATAATCACTTTTGTATTTGTATTTTGTGAAAAACATGTTGTTTCTGACCCATCATAATTTGGGGGCCTAATTTAAGAATCTTTGCCTCTCTCTGGGCATTTATCCCATTCACCTTGGTCCTTATGATAGATATTGCCCCTGCTATCTTAACTCATGTTTTTTGTTAACTTCTTGCTGTCTCCTTTATTTTCTACCTTAAGCTGTGTAGAGTATAATGACTTAACTGTTATATTTGTCGGTGTTTTAGAGGCTAATATAGCACGTAAGTTCTAGTAATGAATTATCTTTGGTGTTTTAAATTTGTTTCTAAGATCAGGAGCAAAGCAGTTATGTTTGGGCTCCCAATGCTCTGTCTTCTATGTGAGAGAAAGTATTTAGTATAATTCACTTCCTCCTTCTTCACAGATCTTGGTACCAAATTATTATTACATCGTTACTTTCCCCTTTCCATTTTAAAACTAGACTTAGGCCAGGCACAGTGGCGGGCACCTGTAATCCCTGCTACTCGGGAGGCTGAGGCAGGAGAATTGCTTGAACCTGGAAGGTGGAGATTGCAGTGAGCTGAGATCGTGCCACTGCACTCCAGCCTAGATGACAGAGTGAGACTGTCTCATGCTAACAAACAAACAGAAAACTAGATTTAAAATGACTGAAGTATTTTTACCAGTTTCAGTATTTATTGCCGACCCATTCCTAAGATTTAAATTTTGATTAGATCATACAATCAGGCAGGTTCTTTTTCAAGAAGGGCACATGAAAAGTATATTTTCTGAGTTCTTGTTAATATGAGAATGTTATTGTGTTGTCTATACATGTAAATGACTACTTTCTTTGTATAAAATGGTTACAGGTTTAAACTGTTAAAACTTTAGCTCACCACTTTCTTTATGATATCTTCAGATTTTGCTTTTGTTGTATTTTTTCTCTTTAGTCATAATTTTTATCTTATCTTTGTTCTCTAATCTCCATTTTCCATAATTATCATACCTTCCTTCTTCATCTTAAAATCTTTGTCTTTTTATGCTAAATTCTGAGGGGCAAGGGGAAAGGGAGTATTCTGAAGTTTACTGTCCACGTCATGTACTGTCAATTGTCTACAATGTTGGTTTTTTTGTTTTTTTTTTTTTGAGACAGGGTCTCACTCTGTCTCCCAAGCCAGAGTGCAGTGGCACAATTTCAGCTCACTGCAACCTCTGTCTCCCAGATTAAAGTGATTCTTCTGCCTCAGCCTCCTGAGTAGCTGGGGTTACAGGTATGCACCACCATGCCTGGCTAGTTTTTTTGTTTTTAGTAGAGACGGGGTTTCACCATGTTTGCCAGGCTGGTCTTGAATTTCTGGCCTCAAGCAATCTGCCTGTCTTGGCCTCCCAAAGTGCTGGGATTACAGGTGTAAACCACCACGCCCAGCCTTACAATGTTGATTTTAATTTTACTACAGCATTTAAAGTTTCCTTGAAATCTTTTCTGTCATTCACATTAAAAAAAAAATCTTTCTGTTGCCTATTCATCTCAATCTTATGACTCTCTAGTATTAGAAAAGCTTATTATTTTTTGTTCTTTTTTGAGAATCTCAGCTAGGTTTTGAAATTTTTCTTCTAGATTTTGGAGTAGCTTATCTTTAGAGGTAGGCTGTTCCTGACTTTCTTATTATTTAGTAGGTGTGTCTTTTCTCAGATTAAATTCCTTATTTTCCCACTTACCTTGTGCTAAAGAATATTGAAATTACAGCTTTGTAGATAATTATACATTCAGAAAAGTGTAATAATTCACTCTTAAGAGAAAAATATTCTTCTTCTTAATATGTATTTTTAGCTATACTGTTAATTTAGATCAATAAAATAAACTTTTTTCCAGAGATAACTTGGCCTTTAATGGTCTTCCACCTATTCTGAAGAGTCAATTTATGAAAATGCTTTTATTGTTTTTTTGTTGTTGTTTAAGAACCTTGGTTTAAAAACAATGTTATTTCTTAGAATATTTTTTGATTTACAGAACATTTGCAAAGGTAATAGAGAGAGATCCATATATTGCTCAGTTTTCCCTATTATTAATACAATACATTAATAGGGCACATTTGTCATAATTGGTGACCAACATTGATACATTATCATTAACTAAAGTCTGTATTTTCTTCAGATTACCTTAATTTTTATCAATATTCTTTTTTCTGTCCCAGGATCCCATCCAGGATCCCACATTACATTTGATTGACATGTCTCCTTATATTCCTCTTAGTTGTGACAGTTTCTCCGACTTCCCTTGTTTTTGATACCCTTGACAGTTCCGAGGAGTACTGGTTGTATATTTTGCAGAATGCCCTTTGGCTGAGATTTGTCTGATGTTTTCCTCATGATTTGACTGGGATTATGGGTTTTTGAGAGAAATATCATTTTTATCATGTCATAACAAGGGTACATGCTGTTCACATGATTTGTCACTGTTGCTGTTGGTGTTGATCACCTGGCTAAGGTAGTGTTTGTCAGGTTTCTCTAAAGTAAGGTTATCACTGCTTACCCCCTCACCCTTTCCATACTGTACTCGTTGGAAGGAAGTCACTATGTGCATCCCATTCTTAAGGAGTGGGAATTTATGCTCAATCTCCTTGAGGCGGGAGCATCTATATACATTACTTGGAATTCTCCTGCACAGGAAAATGGTCTATTCTCAACCATTTTCTTATTTAGTTATTTCACTATTGAATCATAAATATTTATTTTATACTTTGAATTTAATCCAATACTACTTCATTTATTTTGACTCAAATTGTCCCAGCTTCGGCCACTGGCAGCATTTTCAGTTGGCTCCTTTGACATGCCCCCATCGCTGTGGGTTTATTTATTTTTGAGCACTTCCTTATTTTCTGGAATCATAAGATGTTCCAGGCTCATCTTGGATATTTCCCATCCTAGTCCTGGAATCAGCCATTCCTCTAAAGCAAAAACACTCTGGTTCTTTTTACTGGAGAACAGTATTAGAAATCCGGATCTGGGCAGTGGGTTTCCTCAATGCTACTGGGGTGTTGTTACTTCTAGACCCTCTCAGTTGACAGAATAAGGAAATGTGTATATACCTACCTGCATATATATACATATTTTTATACATAACTATCTGTATCTATATTAAGTGGAATATGTTCACACTGACATCTCCAGCTCCAGTCCATTACCACATGGATTGTTCTAGCCTCCTCCCATCACTTCTCTGTAGACTGCTTTTCCAGAATCTTGCTTTTAAAACACATTTCCGGCCAGGGGCGGTGGTTCACTCCTGTAATCCCAGCATTTTGGGAGGCTGAGGCGGGCGGGTCACGAGGTCAGGAGTTCGAGACCAGCTTGACCAACATGGTAAAACCCTCTCTCTACTAAAAATACAACAATTAGCCAGGCATGGAGGAGTGTGCCTATAATCTCAGCTACTCGGGAGACTGAGGCAGGAGAATAGCTTGAACCCAGGAGGCGGAGGTTGGAGTGAGCCAAGATCACACCACTGCACTCCAGCCTCGGGGACAGAGTGAGACTTCGTCTCAAAACAAAAACAAAAACAAAAACAACCAAATGCTTAGCATGTCAGGGTGGAATAAGACAGATCAAGACTCTGTCTAGAAAAAAAAATTAAAAAACATTGTTTTTATATGTTTAAATAACATTATGTTCGAATGCTATAAATATATCTATGTTTTAAGTGTGTATGTATTAAAGGTTCGTTGCAGAACATTTGGAAAATTCAACAATGTCTAGGGTAGAAAACCCAAATCTCTTTCTAGACTCAATCACTGCTAACATCTTTACACATATGCACACAATTCTATAAATAAAACTGTGGTGATACTAGACATACTGCTTTGTAATCTGCTATTTCTACTCAACAAGATATAAGGAACTTTACCACCATGTCATTAACTATTTTTCTTAAAGGTCATGATTTTAATTGCCTGCAGAATATTAACCTTTAGTTTTGAACACTTGAGTTTTGATGTTTTTTGGTATTAAAAATAACTATAATAAATACTTTAAAACATAAGTCATTATGCACATATCTGATATTTTTAGTTAGACTATTTTGTGGAAGTTAAGTTACTGGGCCCTAGAGTAGGAATATTTCAAGGAGTATGATAAACAATTCCAAATTTCCTTTCAGAAAAGAAAGCAGTAATTTAGCTTCCTTCCAAAATTGTATATGAGCCATTTTCTCTACATCCTTAGCAACACTATATATTGAAATAATTTTTAAAAATAATTGATTAAAA
This sequence comes from Homo sapiens, assembly GCF_000001405.40. Taxonomy (NCBI): domain Eukaryota; kingdom Metazoa; phylum Chordata; class Mammalia; order Primates; family Hominidae; genus Homo; species Homo sapiens. The sequence continues at coordinate 80,818,171 of NC_000016.10, read as the reverse complement.
TGACATTTCAGTGTTGTTTTATACTGAATTTCTTTTATTACAAGTGTGTTTGAATAGCCTATTTCGTAAGTTCATTGCCCATGTGTATTTCATTTCTATATTTCCTGTTAATGCTGTTTTCAGTTTTTTTCTGAGAGTATTTTAAAAATTATTTCAAAATAGCACTTTAATTTCAAAATAAGTGTGTACTCAATAGAGAAACTTTAAAAAAACACAGAAAAAGACAAAGGAAATGTAATTACTTATGATTCCGTTACCCATTCTTACTTGATTGCTGTCATTTTCACTTTGATGTGTGCTGAGGTCTGAATGTTTGTTTCCCCTCTGCAAATTTTTACATTGAACCCTAAGCACCAGTGTGATGGTTTTAAGAGAGGCACCTTTGGGAGATGATTAGGTCACCAGGGTAGAGCCCTCATGAATGGGATGAGTGCGCTTATAAAGGAGGCCCCCCAGAGAGCTGTCTTGCCTCTCCATCATTCCAGGATGCAGAGAGAAGGTGTCATCTGTGAACCAGAAAATGAGCCCTCCCCAGTACAATCTGCCTTGATCTTGGACTTCCCAGCCTCCCGAACTTTGAGAAATAAATGATGTTGTTTACAGTTTACCCAGTCTATGGTATTTTGTTATAGCTGCCCAAATGGACTAAGACAATGTGTCTATTTAATTCCAGAAATTATATTTTATAAATGGTTAATTGGGAAAATGAGTCTCTAAAATGGTTATAAAAAGGTCAGTCTGCCTTGATCTTGGACTTCCCAGCCTCCAGAACATTGAGAAATAAATTGTGTTTTTTACAGTTTACCCAGTCTATGGTATTTTGTTATAGCTGCCCAAATGGACTAAGAAAATGTATCTGTTTATATTCCAGAAATTATTTTATATTTTATAAATGGTTAATTAGGAAAATGGTGTACCAGACTCCTTGTTTTGTAGCCTGTTTATCGATCACTCAATCATTATTATTTCCCCAGTTAATACAATAGTCTTTTCCTACTTTGAAGGAAGGTGCTCTTGAGAACGCGTATCTACGCATCTTTTCTGTGGCCTGCCTTCATCAGGATATCTGACTGCATTCAACAGGACCCAAGTCTGAACCATCTCCTAATTCCATGGCACCATTCTCTGTCCATGAGGATTTCTCTACAGGATCAGCCTCCTGGAATTGCCAGCCATAGTGTTCCCTTGAGTTGCTGTCACTGCCAGTCTCAGCCTTGGGGACAGTGGGTAGGAGGCATGGTCACTCTCAGCTTTATTACCACATTCCAAGCACATACACAGCTGTCTCTGAATTTTCCACAGCACAACTGAGATATGACTGTAACATTTCACAGAACTTGTCTAAAGTTCTTGACATAAAACAAGAAAAACTGAACACAGAGAAAATTAAAACCAGTAACTGGGTTATTCTCTGAGTCCACAGGTTCAAGTGCCTCTGTCTGAGTCCCCAGCCAGCACTTCCAGGGCCACTTCCTAGATGGGATGACCCTGGTACAGTCTGCTCACCCTCATTTATTTGCTGGTGGCTTCCTCTGATGCCCTTTTCCGTGGTGGAGCTTCAGGTTCCCGCCCCTCTGCAAATTCTCACTTGTCATCCCCAGATTGGTTCCCACCAGGATGATTGACAGTTGCAGAGGCCACACTTCTCAGAAATAAAAATAAGCCTAACGCCCTGCCCACAGTGTTCTTTTGGACACTCTCTCCGAACAGATTGTAACGATCAGGCACCCGTACGTTTTCTTCAGTCAAATTACTCAGCATAAAATTGAAGTCCCCCTATAGGCTAGCAGAAACTCAAAAAGACACAGGCATAAAGCTAATTATTGCAGTACTATTTGTAATTGTAAAAGGCTGTCCATCAACAGGGGACTGGTTGAATAAACTATGATACAGCCACATCATGGGGTATTATGCAGCTGTTGGAAGGAAGAGTAATTCTGAATAATGTTAAGGATGATCTCTAGAATATACTACTTACTGAAAAAAGCAAGGTAGAGAAAACTGCATAGCATGCCAACTTTTTTCTAAGAAAAGGGGGTATATACATGTATGTGCTTATTGGTTTATATTAAAAATTCAGTAAAAAACCATGAAATAGAATGGTTACCTACAAGGGGAGTGAAGGAAGCTAGACTTCTCTAACTATACCTTGTTTGTCGATTTAATTTTGGAATCATGTAAATGTTTCACACAATTAAAAAATTAACAGTTAAAATGTAATCCCTAAAAATCAAAATGAAAACAAGTGAATCTAAGCACATAGTGAGTTGGTGATGCAACCAAGCATGAAGTTGTTTCAAGGGACTTTAAAACAGTCATTTGACTGGACATCTTTTGTGGGATATACTCTAAGTTCCAAAAGAACTACAAAACATTTTGGGCTTTGTCCACTGGAAACAACTAGAAACAATGATCAACCCATAGCCACAACCTGGTGTTCGCTTCATGGTATCTTAATATTTCTCAGTACAAGGAACCAGGAATCATTGGTGAAATGTTAGACCCTAAGTCTGGTGGAGGAAATGGTCAAGATGAGTCTGAGTATCTTATACTAGAAAGCAAGGATGCTATCAAAGGCTCAGGAGCTCCTGCTACCCAAAGCAGGAGCAATTTGGGCAATAAGAAGAGGAATATCCATGTCCCTGCAAAAGACATGATCTTGTTCCTTTTTATGGCTGCATAGTATTCCATAATGTGTATGTACCATATTTTCTTTACGCAGTCTATCATTGATGGGCATTTGGGTTGATTCCATGTCTTTGCTATTGTGAATAGTGCTGCAATGAACATATGCGTGCATGTGTATTTACAATAGAATGATTTATATTCCTTTGGGTATATACTACCCAGTAATGGGATTGCTGGGTCAAATGGTATTTCTGGTTCTAAATCTTTGAGGAATTGCCACACTGTCTTCCACGGTGGTTGAAATAATTTATATTCCCACTCCTCAGCAAACTAATGCAGGAACAGAAAGCCAAACACTTCATGTTCTCACTTGTAAGTGGGAGCTGAATAATGAGAACACATGCACACAGGGAGGGGAACAAGATGCACTGAGGCCTGTTGGGGGAGGCCGGGGGTGGGGAGAGATCAACAGGAAAAGTAGCTAATGCATGCTGGGCTTAATACGTAGGTGATGGGTTGATAGGGGCGGCAAACCACCATGGCACACACTTACCTATGTAACAAACCTGCACATCCTGCACATGTACCCCGGAACTTAAAAAAAAAAAAAAAGAGGAACAATGGCAATGTAGTGAAACATTAAACGTGCTAAAGTTCATGAGTTCACAATTACACTAAAACAAATCCCTCACGATCCTTTGGAGGATGGTAGAGAACCAACTCGTTTGGAGAACTGATAAAGGAAAAGAATAAAGCATTTGGCCAGCCTTCTCTGCACAAGTGTACCCCAGAGAAATGATAGTTGATCAGGGGAGATTTCATAGATGTATCCAGCTAGTAAATAGCGAAGAAATAATAGATGATCACGATTTTGCAACTTGTATTAAAATAGTGAATCTAGGCAAGGATCATCAGTGACTGCAAAGATTACAAAAAGGAAGGCAAGCAAACATTATATGCCTTGTGATGAAAGCACACACCATCAGCTGTAAAGTCCACTTGCCCCCGAAACAAACACAAATCTGATCAAGCCTCTAAATCTAGCTACCAGTATATAGGAAATACTCCGTAGAGAAGAACATGCTAAATGACATCACTGACAAATAATCTAGCTTCTTTAACAAATAAATTGCAAGAAAAAGTTGGCTGGGATGAGGTACCTAAAGGTTAACAAAGGTTTAAGAAACATTGAAAACAAATATTATGAATAGATGTGTAGATTCCGATTTGTATAAACCAACTGTCAAAAAGCATGAGACAACAAAAAGTATTTATGAGAAATGTGGACACCAACTGAATACTTGATAATATTAAGGAATTAGTGTGAATTTAGGTGTAATGATGGAGTCGTGGTTACATTTAAGAGAACAATTCTTATTTAGAGATACATATTGACACTTTCAGATGAGATGATATAATGTCTAGGACTTGCTTCAAAGTAATCTAGTGTGTGTAGTGAGGGAATAGGATAGTAGAGATGAAATAAGAATGGCTTTGAGCTGGTGGATCTTGTAGCTGGGTAACAAGTACATGCACACTCCTTGTATTATTTGCTCTACTTTTGCATAGGTTTGGAATTTTTCATTGTAAAAAGAAGGTAAAATACTTAAAAAAGGAGGAGAAAGAAGAAAAAACCTCCCCCATAGGACTTCACCAATACCCTTTAATTATGTTCCGTTAAGATTCTTCCTAATGCTTGTGGTGAAGAATGATGCTTTCATTTCCTGTGTGTTCCTGGGCTCCTCTGGTTGAGGACACTTCTTGAACGAGAACATGCACCCTCACCTCCCAAGATGTAGGAACAATGCGTTCTATTTAAAAAAGAAACATTTTCATATCATCTGCAAAGATGCAACTTTACCCATAACACAGACAGCCTTTTTTGTGATTCTTTAGACCTGCAGTTCTCAAAGAGTGGTCCAGGCAAACTTGGGGCTGTTGAAGCAATTTCAGGAATCCGTATGGTCAAAACTGTTTTCATAGTAATACCAAGACTTTTTGCCTTTTTCATGCCCATTCTCTCACAGTGTATAGAGGAGTTCTCTAGAAGCTCTGCAACTCTAGATAACTTTATTGCATTTACAGTCAATGGAATGTGTGCTTGTGTGTTATTTTTATGTATGTGTATTCATGTATTTTTTCAGTTTAATTGTTAGTAGCTTGAATATCCATAGATATAACCCAAATAAATACAAGCTCTTCAAAGTTTGTAATCATATTTAAGAGTGTCAGTGGATCCGGAGACCAAAAAGTTGAGAAACTCTAATACAGACAGCAGCTAGGCACTCGATGGGCACATACGCATTTCACAATAATGTCATTGATTTACTGTGCACAAAGAAAAACTGCATTTTGGTCTTCCTAGACAAAGGAGCGTTGAGCTCACAAACTTAAATCTAAGCTCTTTCTTCTTATAACACAAACAACTAAAAGTTGATATTGCTTGCTTCCTACCTTCCATCCACTTCTCACCCCACGGTTTCAAAGTCTATTGTCTTGACTATTGCTTAGTCAAGGCTCAAGGCCAACAACTTGAGTATTTTTTCTCTTTCATGTTGGCTATGTGCAAGAAAGAACTCTTCTCAAGCATGTAGCCAACAGAGAGTCTGGGCCTACTTAAGGCAACAGAAGCTCTACCTGTCTTTTCCACAGGATGTCCCAGGGGTCATGAAATTTTCTTCTTACATTATAAAATGAAGCCAATGTTTCTTACCTTGTTGAAATGATAAAATGATGCAACATGCATGAAATCATTAAGTTCTGCCTACAATGCCTAGAAGGAATGGCAAATTCATTTCATTACCAGAAACTGCTGGAGTCCATAAATAGTGCAACCCATTTCTTTCCTTTTCCTTTTATTTATGGTCAAAGGTAATCTCAGTTGGGTTTCTGGGAGGTCTGTCCTTTTTGCTCTCCCTCCCTTGTTTCTCAGTCCCTCTCCCAACCCCAGTATCCATGGTCTTTTCCATCCCTCAGTCCTTATCCCAAATTCACTCTCTATCTTTGAGGTCTTCAAAGTTCTGAACATTAATCCTGACTCCATCCTAGGGATGGGGGTGGGGGGTGGGACAGCAGCAGGTCCTTACAGTGTAAGTGGGGGAGGCAAGAAAGAGCCAAGGGAAACAAAAGATGGCCACATTTGGAAAGCAGGTGGCCCAGGCAGATGCTTATGAGTGGTAGCTGCCATTACTGATAGCACCATTTCAAGAGTCCTTCTCATTGCTGTTGTGGCCCTACTCTAACAATCTTTGTTCTAATCCATTGACTGACAGTTTTGTTTGTAGTCACCTCCACCCCAAACCCCATGTCATTACATCCCTCCTTATGAAGGCTAAGCTAGATTGGTAACCATCATTCCATCATTTATAATAACTTTCTTACAAACACTCTTAACTCTGTTACCCATCTCTCCTTCTATTGACCTCATATGGCAAATCCCACCGTTGGTTAAATCCAACACCCCAACGCCTTCAGCCTGACCCTGAACAGCTGATTGTGAATGGATAAATTACAAGCATGCTGACTGCTCTGACTAGCCTAACTTTAACTTATGACCACAAATATCCAGTGGGCCTTCAGCATCTTCCAGCAATGCCATTATATTTTCCTAGTTAACCCACTCTTCTCTTGAACTGACTTTTCATATCTTTTAATCTGTCCTGAAACATCTAACACTAGAAAAACCATTCACATGTTATCTAAATGTGGATACCTTTGGGAGTGAAAGAGGTTCTATCAACAGTTTTTTTGTGTGTGTCGGGGTAGGGGGATACAACAGTCAAATCAATATTGTTTCAGGCAAATCACATACCCCTATCTGATACATTCTCTTTTTTCCTCACTTTCATCTGATGACTGCATGGCTTATTTTATGGAGAATACAGAAATAATGAAAGAGAGCTCCAATCTGTCAGGCCACTTTATCTGCAGCCATGCTTGTTCTTCCAATGGATGGTGTTTGAGTTTCCTGCAGTTGTTGTAATAAATTACCAAAACGTGGTGGCTTAAACTAATAAAAATTTATCCTCTCATAGTTTTGGAGGCTAGAAATCTGAAATCAAGGTGTTGGCAGGGCTCCGGGGAAGAATCCTTCCTTGCCCCTTGCTAGCTTCTGGTGGTAGCTGGCAATCCTTGGCATTTCTTGTTTGGCAGATGCATCACTTCAGTCTCTGTGTCCATCTTCACATGGCCTTCTCTCTGTCTGCCTCTGCCTCTGTTTTCTCTTCTTATATGGACACTGGTTACTGGATGAGGGTCTAGCCCTAATGACCTCATCTTAACTAATTACATCTGCGAATAAGGTCATGTTCTGAAGTTCTGGGTGGACATGAATTTTGCGGGGACAGAATTCAACCTAATACAGATTGACTCTGTGCTCCTAAATCTAGTTCCTCCACTTTGGACTTCTACATCCCCTCTCTGTTGGCATTTTCAAAGACTCTGTTCCTGTAATTCTCTCCTCTTTTCATTGCACAACCATTTTCCCATATTTATTGCATGCCTATCATTTTACAAACATACTGCAATAACTACTTCTTTTTTTTTTTGAGTCTCGCTGTGTCACCCAGGCTGGAGTGCAGTGGCACAATCTTGGCTCACTGCAAGCTCTGCCTCTCGGGTTCACTCCATTCTCCTGCCTCAGCCTCCCGAGTAGCTGGGACTACAGGCGCCCACCACCACGCCCGGCTAATTTTTTGTATTTTTAGTAGAAACGGGTTTTCACTGTGTTAGCCAGGATGGTCTCGATCTCTTGACCTCGTGATCCTCCCACCTCGGCCTCCCAAAGTGCTAGGATTACAGGCATGAGCCGCCGCGCCCTGCCAATAGCTTCTATATTAAAAACTATTCCTGCGTCCGGCGCCCCCCTCAACCTACTGACCCACTTCTCTGCTTCTTTATAGCAAAAGGCCTTGAATGAGTCACCTGTGCTCACCATCTGCACTTCTCCTCTGCCAAAGCTCTATTTAACTTGCTTCAGTCTAACTTTGAACTTTCCTGTACCACCAAAACCCATCTCCACATTGCCAAATCCCAGTTCTCTTCTTTCCCAACCTTCCACCAACATTTAAGGTTCATTCTGCTGTCTTTCACTTGAATCTGGGACAGCACATTGTGTTGGTTCCCTCTCTCACTCACGCCTTCTCAGGCTCCTTCACTTCTTCCTCACCCTCTTCCTGACCCTTGAATGCTAACCTGCTCTAGGGCTCAGTCCTAGGGCCTCTCCTCTTTCAGACTTGCGTTCATCCCACCAGTCATCATAGCAAGTATCCTTTCATTGTCATCGATATGCTGCCCAGCCACATAAATGTCCGGCTGAGTTCCTGACTCACATATCTAATACCTCCTTGACTCTACTTGGATATTGAATTCCCATCTCAAAGTTAACTTATCCTAAAATGGAACTATTGATTTCCCTTCACCCACCCCGATACCACCTACTAATGCAATACTCACCCATTGTCCTCAGCTCAGTAAATGGCACCACCTCCATTCACCTGAATACTCAGGCTAAAAATTTAGCATTCCTTTCCCTTCCTCTTGTCTCAAGTATTATCCTATATATCCTCAATCCAACTACATCTCTTCATCTTGACAGCTTCCTCCTTATTCCCCATCACTAGGACTTCACTCAGCGACTTCTGCAAAGGTGGCCCACGTCACCCTTGTCCTTCTTCATGCCATTCCTCTATCTAGGAGCTGAGTGATGCGATCGTATCATTCCTTTGCTCAAAGCCTCCCAGATGACCTCTCTTGTCACTTGGAGGAATCCAAATTCTTTCCCTTGGCCTACCCTGACCTTGGTTAGCTCTCTATCTCTTCCCATGTTCCTTCTTGCTCAGTTGGTTTCAGCCAGACTGGCTTATTTGCAGGACCTTGAACACACCCAGCTTCTCCAGCCTCAGGGCTTTGCCCTTGCTATTTTCTCTCTCTGACATTCTCTGCCCTTTGATTTGATTTGTGTCCTCCTTCATTTTGTTCAAATTTCTGTTGCAATGTCACCACCTTAGTGAGGTATTGCCTAAGCACCTTATCTAAGCCAGCACCCCTTCCTGTCCCCGGCACCCTCCATCTCAGTTCCTGTCGCTTTACCTGCTTCACTTTTCTTCCTACTTCACATCACTACCTGAAATAAAATTATGTATATATGTGTTTTATTTTCTTGGTTTATTCTGTCTCCTCTGTACTGTAAGCTCCATAAGGACACTGTTTTGTTCAACAAGAATAAGCTCCATAAGGGTAGGACACTATTTTGTTCAACAAGAATAATATCTAGCACACTGTAGATACTAAATAAGTATGACTTTAATAATAATAAACATTATTATGGAAGTAAAATATACCAAATGAATGCTGAAAATAAAGCCTAATTAGTAACAAGAATTTCTGCATAGCTTGAAAACAATACTCAGTTTGAAGGTTTTATTTGACTTACTGCCTTTCTATAGGAATCTTTGACATTCAAGGATATTAGTGACTCATATTAAGTTTGAAATGGGTAATAGTTGTCATTACAACAGGGACTATTACTCAGCCCTTATTATAGATGCTTTGCATGGATTAGCTTATTTAATTCTCAAAACAACTCTATGGGGTATCTATCACCTCAATTTATAGATAGGGTGTGGTGGTTTTAAACCATGTCCATAAATTCTTTGATAGTCCTCCCTTTAAAAGGTGGATTCTAATTTGCTTCCTTTTGAGTATGAGCTTGGCTTAGTGGTTCAGTTCTAAAGAATAGAATAAGTGACTATGTTTGGTGTCTAAGATGAGATATTCAAAGGCATTGTGACTTCCTCCTTGCTCTCTCTCTCGGATCACCCAATGTGGGTCTTGGTTTTTCCATCTTCAAAGTGAGGTGTGTGGATCAGATAACATCTCCAGTTATCCAACCTGACATGTCGTAAATCATCTGTGCATCAAATAGTCTTCTTAGCATGGACTATAACATCAGATTCGTTAGCTGCTCTGTGCTAGAAAGAGTTGAAGCTTTGACAGTTTTGCTTCATTTTGTTGGATTTGGGGGGCCAAGATCAGAATGACATGAGAACACTCAAGCAACTTTATGGAGAGACCCATGTGGCTAGGAGCTTAGGCCTCCTGCCAACAGCCATATGAGGGTGCCATCTTGGAGGTGGATTCTCCAGCCCAGCCAACCCTTCAGGTCAATGCAGTCCTAGCAAGCATTTTGACTGCAATCTCACAAGAGATCCTGAGCCAGAACCACCCCCAGTTAAGTTGCTGTCAAATCCACAACCCACACAAACTGTGAAATTAGAAAAACCTTTTGTTTAAAACCATTAAGTTTTGGGGATAATTCATCATGCAGTAATAAATAACACATACATTTGGAAATGGAAGGGTAGAGAGGTTAAACAAAGAGGCTGACACCAGATATCTAGTAGTGATGATGCAAGAATTGGAACCCAGGCCATCTGCCTCTGGAGCCCACATGTTCAGCCACCACAGGATACAGGAGGTCAAGATTATGTCTCAAGTAATACCGGAAGGAGAATATTGCCACATTTCAATGCCACTGTTAAGGCAGTGGATACGATCTTTCCTTGGACATTACACTTGCTGGTCTTGCTCTATTATATTAAAAAGGCCGTGTTCCAGGCAGCTACTGCCCTTGCTTCTAAGTTCCCTTTCTGTCTCAGATTTGTTTTGGCGTAAACACCTACCGTTTCAGTATTCCTTCCACCATTCCTTTAGGCTTCTGCTCAGACCCGATTCCCATCATGTAATTCTGGTAAAACTGCCAATTGTCATATTGTTCCCATAGATAGGAGTATGACTTAAGCCTGGCCAATCATAGTGTCCTATCAGTTATTGACTATGGTGATTGGACCAGTAAGACAGCATATGAGCTACATTGGCCCAATAGAGTCCTTCCCTGGGATTTAGAAATACTGTATAAGGCATAAGCCCAGGTGAGTGGCCAGGTGCCATATTCTCAGCTGCATGGAAGAAGCCTGTCTTCAGCAGGAAAGATACCAGCATGCAGAAAGAAGGAGAGAGTAAGAGAGGCTATTTTGTATCCTTTCATACCTTGAATCCGGCCAATCCTGAGAGCAATTCCATCCTTTTCTAGTCTATATGAGTCAGGAAATACTCTGTTGTTTTAAGTTAGAGCTTTCTATCAGTTCATCTTGAGTTACGACCAATATGAATAGTCTACCACAGTTTGTGGAAGATGGCAGCTATCTTCCATTCTCCATGAGCAACACTAGTTCTCTATCATCTGGAGAACCTAGAGCCTCACTGTTAATTGGTTGGGCTGAACTTCCTACAGTGGGTGAAGACCCTTCCCCCCTTCATCCCTCAGGAAGCACCTGCCTTTTCTGGAAGCTAGCCATGGTCTGGGGGTAAGCTCAAAATAAAATTGTGTTATGACGGATGGGTAGCTCAGTCACTCAGTTTAAAACCTTAGTCATCTCTGTATCCTTTCCTTAGTCGCGGCCCCTCCCCAAGTCCTCAATGCACACACATCCTGTTAGTCATCAAGTCCTGTTGATCTGAATCGAATGCTTCATGGAAGTAGGTGGAGTAACCATAATGAAAGTTAGCCTGGTTCTTCCTTCTGAACATCTCGCAAATCCCATTTTTCTTCTTCATTTCCACTGCTAACACCAGGGACCATTGCAATTGGTCTCCCTGCCCCTAACCTCAAACCCTGCAGTTGATTTCCCATATTTCTTCTAGAATTTGTTTTCTACAGTGCACTTTTGATAGTCACATGCTTTTGATTGATTCAAAAGTCTTCATCAGTTTCTCCACTGTTGACCTACTAAATAGCAAACTTCTTAGCTTGGCTTTCAAGACTATCTCCGAACTGACCCACATTCACCATCCAGGGTCCTGTGACCTCCATAAACCAGTCCTCCAATCTTCTCATACCCTTCCCATAGCAGAATTGCTTACCATCTACTCTGACTTCTTCTCCTCACGGAAAACACTGTCCTTCCTTTTCTATGAGTCTTCAAGATCCATTTCAGTCCTAAAACATTTCCTGAGCATGGTCATCCACACTAAGTATCCTCTTCTGTGAACTCTGTAAACAACTGTTGTCTAGACTAGGGTTTTTCAAACTGCACTCACATTCTCAGGGAGTACTTGGCCAGTACAAGTCAAGCTTTTGGTGTTTTTGTAAAACTACTGATTATATATTCAAATTTGGCTTAGTATATTATTTCCAAGCCCAGTTTCCTTCTTGTCTTCTTCCAAATTACATCCTCATGCTATGGTGGTGCATTTATTCGTGAGTACAAATTAAGACTCATTAAAATTTGTTTAGCTACCTACAGATAGAGAACTGCTTATTATTACTGTTATTATTTAAAACCATGACCACCGGGAAAATATCAATATGAAGAGAGAAGTTCTATAACAATTTCAACAGTTTCTAAGCCAAATATGCTTTCTGATTTATTAATTCCTTATCCTCACCATTTTTTCCTTATCTTCATGCGGGATTTTAACTAGAAATTGGTATAAAATTTGTTATATTGGCATAGTTCGAAAAACAATCACTGTGTACCTACTCTCTCTCAGGAACAGTGGAAGATGCTTGCGATACAAAGATAAACAAGCCCCTATACGAAGAACAAGAATGTTCCAGATGGATTCAATGTGGAAGGACATTCTAGGCAGGGGGAACAGCAAATGCAAATCCATGTGTCCTGGAATGAGCCAGACATGCTTCAGGTTCCATGGAGTTTTTTTTTTTTTTTTTTTTTTTTGGATTAAAAAATTTGGTGACTTTTCAAAGTTTGACAACCTCAGGATTAAACAATTTATCGAGCCCCTCTGCCATCTCACTCTCCATGAGGGCAGTCCAGGTTGAGACTCAGATACAAATCACCTTTATTGAGTTCTGCTGGGATGGACAGGTCACTTCATGTATACGTAGATCCTCTCCTTAATTCTATTTAAATCACTTAGGTGACTATCACCATCTCCCATCAGGGTTCGGTGACCTGCCCACAGCCTCCCAAGTAGAAAATGATCCAGGGAGCATGTGAGTTAATGATACATCACATCTGGAGCCAGGCAGGCATTTCATGGGTGGGGATGAAGATCTTCCCTCCAATTTCAGAAGTCTGACCTTGCAGGTTCTGAAGTAACTATATACATAAATATTTATAAGGAGAACCCTTTAAGCAGAGGGGTGACCATTTATCCATGAGAGATGGCTTAGGAACGGATTTGGGTTTTGGAGAGCTTCTCTAGCTCCTCCAGCTCCGCAGCCTGTCACACGCAGGATGACCTTTTAGAACAACTGAGTGCTCCATTACACTCCTCACTTGCGGATTCAAACTGTCTCTGGGCAGGGTCCCAGTTTTGCCTGTCCAGGGACACTGTGCACTTGGGTTGACTTTGGTAAATGTTTGAGTAAGGGATGAGTGAATAAATTCGGGGAGAGGGGTTGTTGAGGGAAGGCCACCCCTGGCTCTAAAGACTTTCCAGGGTTTATGGGGTGGCCACGCCTGTCCTGGATCCCCATGGTGCCTCTGGATGGGCCATTTCATCCTTCCTCCCTGTGGCCTCCACATCTTACAACCCAGCCTGGAGGGAGGGGCCGCGCAGCCCCGAGGGGCCAGGTCTCCCAGGCGGCGTCCACTCCCCTCGAGGGTGGAGGAGGTAGGTGGGGACCCCGGGCCGGCGGGGCTCGGCTGGGGCCCCTTCCCTGAGGTCTGCAGCCGCAGCCCTCTACCTGGCTCCCCGGCCGCCCCTTCGCGGCCCCAGATCGGGCGCACCCGGCGGGCACCTGGCCCGCCGCCCCCCGGGGGCCCCGCCAGCTGCTCCCGAAGCCGGCCCGGGGTGGCGGGGCGGGCCCGAGCGCTAGTCGACTCTGGGACCGGTCCCCCGGGGCGCGGCCGGGCAGCAGCCCCCGCCTCCCCGCCCCGGGGGCCGGGCCGGGCTCCCGGGGGGCGGGGACTCGCCCAGTGGCAGCAGCGTCCGGGCCGGCGGCGGGCGCCGGGCGGCTTCCTGCAGGCGGCGCCGGGGCGAGCCGTTGCCGGCTGCAGCCACCGCCGCCGGGTCGCCGGGTCGCGGGGGCCGCGGCGCTCGGGCCGCGTCCGTGCCTCCCGGGCGCGCTGCGCGGCCGTCGCTGCTGCCCGCGCTCGTGCCGCCGCCGCCGCCGCCGCCGCTGCTGCCGGTTACGCCAGCCCCGCCGCCGCCCGCTCTGATTCTGCGCATAGGCAGCCCCCAAGCCTGTCATTCTGCAAAAACACAGTTTACTCAACACACCACACACACTCGCACACACACGCGCGCACACACACGCGCACACCGGACCCCGCGCGCACACGCACGGAGGGCGCGAGCGAGCAGACGCGCACACCGGCGAGCCAAGTTCCGCAGCCTGGCATGGCTTCTGGGGACCTTTACGAGGTACGGGGACGCGGGGGCGCGGGCCGGCCCCAGTCAGCGGGCGGCGGCGGGCGGCGGCGGCGGGCGGCGGGGACCGGGCCGGGGCCGGGGCCGGGCGCAATCCGGAGTTGCCGAGCCCGCGGCGGCGGCGGCGGCGGCCGGAGGGTGGCGGGGGCCGGGCGCGCCTCCCGCCCGCCGCCCGCCGCCCGCCGCCTCCCGCGGCGCCCGCGCCCGCTCCCTCTTTCTCTTTCTCTCGCACACACACTCTCTTACTCCATCTACTTTGCGGCCTTGGAGGGGAAGGAGGAAGCCGGGCGGAGCCGGGGCGGGGGAGGTAGCGGTCCCGGGGAGGTGTTTCTCGCCCGACGAGCCGCCTCGAGTACAGAAAGTACAGGTAAAAGTCGGCGCCGGACGTGCTGGGAATGCGGGGGGGCGCGCCGCGGCCGGCGGGGGTGTGGGGCGGGGGTTGCGCGGCCCGGCTGGGCCGGGGGCGCGGGGGAGGAGGGGGGCGGGCGATCGGAGCGGAGCCTGGCCGGGGCGAGGCGGGGTCCCGGGGGGCTGCGAAGGGGGAGGCTGGGTGGGGGTTCGGGGGGACAACCGCCAAACCGCTCCCCGGGGTCCCCGGGCCACCTCCCTCACCCCCCACCTGCTGCCCCCGCACCAGCTCGGACGCCCTCCGGGCTCGGGCGTGGGGGTGGCCCTTGCGGGTGTCGTGCTCCCTGGGGGCGAAAGGGGGCGCTGCGGAGGGCCCTGGGTGGGAGGAGAACGTGGAAGTCTGAGGTGTTGGGGACATAGGACACAGATGCCAGCCCAGCGCCCAGTACTCTCGTCACCCTCAGTGGATACCTGGCTCCAGGTCCTAATGAGTAGTGGCCAGCGTTGGATACTCTCATGTCTTCCCAAAAGTGGCGAAGGAAGACATTAGTCTGGCATCTTTCAAACAATGGAGGAACACCCATGGTCTTTGGGGAGCAAGGGCTTAGGAACACAACTGTTACTGCTTTGGGTTTTCCACAAGTGGACAACACAAGGAACAGCCAGCCACCACTCCCCAGAGGGAATGGCCTCAGAGGTGTTGGCCGCCAAGACCAGGTTCAGGATAAAGAAGTTAAGAGACCAGCCATCTTCAACCAGAGGGCCTTCTGGGCCTCCGTGAAACCAGCCGCATGGGTTAGCCTGGACCTGCACTTCCCGGAACATAAATTGGTTAACGCCATCTGGTTCTTAAGGCTTTGGGGCTCCATTGAGATAAGCACCCAGAAGGGGTAGAATTAGCCTTTTGCATAAGACATTGTAGGGTGATCCACCCACGACAGACTGCAGGGGGTGATTCCTAAGAAGCTCTTTCCTCTAGGCCCTCGTGGGCAGTTGAAGCTTTTTCAGGTGGTGGGTTTGCTGACTGGCGTTAGAGAAGAAGAATGGAGAAAGGAGCACAGGTCTCCTGTGTGACCATGTTCTTGTGAATGATTCTGGAGTTGGTGAGGCCCAGGCCTGGACTGCCGGCCAGCAGGTTCAGGTGGGGTGGGTGGGAGACCTTAGAGCTCCTTGAAAGAATGGTGTATGTTGCCCTCTTCACTACCCTGTGGCCGTCCTCATCTCTATGCTAAGAGACAAGGTGAAGTTGGATAGAGATCTTGTGAAGAACTTCGGCAAATGTGGCCAATGGATCACCCAAGCGCCTTGGTCTGTTTCAAGATGGTGGAACAATTTCTGAAATTGAAAATTGAAGCACAGTAAAATAGAAGGTTTGATTGAGTTTCCTTATGTGTAACCAGTACTGTGGGGACATTGGCTAAAAGTAGATATTGTTTAGGGGTGAAAGTGATCTGGTTGGAATCATGGTTTTCTACGAATTGAGGTTGAGTCAGCTTAGAGCTGTTGACCTTGCCTGAGTGAAAAGTTGTGTCTTGAAGGTGTTAAGAGGATGTACTAGGAGTCATCAGTATTTCCCCATTTAAAGTTTAGAACTTATGAACCTTCTGGGGATAATTTCTTGTTTAATGTTCATCTGCAACTGCCCTCCTTAACGCTGGTAATTGTCGTTGCCAGATTAGTCTGTTAAGAGGAGAGTTTTCACGGTGGCCTTGGAACTATCTTAGTATCTCAAGAGTTTTTATAGAATTTCAGTTAAGGAGGACAATAATAATAATTACTTCTGTGATAGTAGGTAATTGTACTAGATGGAAAATGGCTTTCCCATGGCTGATTATTTGCATAGTCATTACTAAAAGGGCTAAATTGCATTACGAGAATATAACGAATGTCAACATTTTTATAGCCTGTGTCTACATTACATAACATATACTGAGAAATTTAATTTATTGTTCAAATTTAGCTTTAAGAACAATTAAGAAGTGCTAAGTGTACATTAGCATATATATTTCTGACTGTAAAGTTGTTATGTGGGTAAAAAGTAGCATATTGATTTAAGAAAAATATTGGAATATCCAGTGTATGTTGACTGGCCTTGAAAGGAAAAAAAGAAAACAGATTTCATTCTAAATTATGAGACCTGTTTATTACTTTCATTAAATATTATACTAAAGTGTACATAAAATGGCTTCTCGCAATCTCTACTCAAGAAACCACGTTTTTAGTGGGCCAAGAGTTCTTACGTTTGTAATTGATATATTTCACCTGTGTGTCTGCTGACATTATCTTTGAGCCTTTATGGTGAAGTGTGATTTGGATTGTAGAGATTCTTCATCTTTTCTTTGGCATTTCAGACAATTAAGTTGTAAAGAGTGAACCTCCATAAAGCAGTTGTTAGGAATAGGTGCTGATTTTTAAAGACACCAGAAAACGAAAACTTTGTTTATGTAATAGCACTCTTCAATCATAGTGAAGAAATAAGAAATCAAGCTCAGGTTCCAAAATCTTGGATCTTGATAGATAGTTCTGGTTTGTTTCTCCTGTAGTGGAGTTCTCATCATCTTCTGGTGCATTGTAGCCATCACTTATAGGAAGGTGATTTTAAATTTTGGGTTATGTCTTAGAGTCAGGTATCTGTCTGGATCGAAAGTGAAATTTCTTAGCCAGATGCCCTGGTCTATATTCGGCTAAACATAGGGGCCATGGAGTGGCAGCCTGTGAGCCAGGTCTAGGCTGCATACGCATTTTGACTTGGCTCAATGGTAGATAAGAAAAACGATTTGAACACTTTTAGATGGAGCATATGATCTCTAGCTTGTCCCTGTCCCCTTGCTCCCTATTACCAGGCACCCATTCTTCTTAAATCATTCACTGGGCTCCAGTAGACTTTAGAGTTTGCAACCTGATTCTAGTCAATCTTTTGCTAAGATGTTTGGGTGTCAGGAAGAAATAATCAGTGGGATAGGCTCTCAGTTTTCTTGTCTCTCTCTGGGTTTCTACCTGCTTGTACGTTCAATTACTTGTTGACTGAATCAGTGAGCAGAAGACTGGTTTAAGTATATAAAGTACCCTTGTGTGACCTTCGTTGTCCTTCTGTTGAGTGTTACCCTCTATTGTCTTTTTCTTTCCCAAGCTCATGGCCTCTTGGTGGTGGTAAAACCGTGTGTAGGGGTGGCTCAGTTCTCTCTCTGTAGGGAAGTGTCCACAACTATCCATTTTTTTTTGGATCTTTTCGGTTTGTGGTTGGTTGAATCCACAGATGTGGAACCCATGGATATGGAGGGCTGACTCTATCTGCACCTGGCATTCTGCAAAATCACGCACCACTAAGAATAACAGAGTTTATGGGAAAAACAGGATTGAGGCAGACCGCTAAAGAGCTGTGGAACTTTTTTTGCAAGTTGGTCTAGCCTTTGCCGTGTCCACATTGAGCTTTGCTTCCCTCTTGTCTCTGTGGATTGCACAGGGCATTTGCTTCTAAGAGAGACGATTTTATTGAAATTAAGTCTGATCCAGGGTGTAGCCTTCTTCGTTTATCTGTATAAGGAGAAATGTTTTCATAGCTGTTCTTGCAGTTTTGCCATGAGGTCAACATAGTGGAAAGCATAGTGGTTCTTGAAGCTAGAAAATCAGCCACTATTCATGTTAAAGAAAGGCACTTGAGTGCATTTCCAGCTTTGTTCTGAGGTCTTCACACATTGTTAAGTCTTTCTCTTTCCCTGTGAGAGTGCTTACCTTGATTGCTGCAAAGTATAAACAAGCTAGGAAAAACTGCATATGAACCCACACAGACGTCATTCCTCTATTTACGAATCACACCTGAGGTCATTCCTGTCAAAGAAATACATGTACTAGCAGAACTGATGGTCTGTGGTACAGCTTCTTGAATCTCTGTACCAGTATTTGAAGAGGCAGCTATCTTCAGAGAAAATGTTATCAGTTGGATTGGATTGATTCTTGGGCACGTAGAAGACACCTGATGAATATGGAATGAGTATATGATTCTCCCACCTCTTGAAAGTTATTTTAAATTATTCCCTCTGGGCAGGCATCAGCTTATTTTCAAGTAGGCTTTTATGTCAGGTCATTCCTTAGTGCATGAGATAATTTCTTCAGGGGCTTAAGCTGTCCTAGTAAGGAGTTGATACGGCTCCTTGCAGCCTGGCCAATTGCTAAGAAGTGGTTCAGGCCTGGTGATTATTAAAGATCTTTGTATTGGAGGCATGCATTTAGATTACCAAGATTTGGATCCTTCTGTTTCTCTCAGATGGTGAAAAGAAGTGTGGGTGTGGTTGAATTCATAGCACCATCATTCATTTGTTATTTCATATTTATAGACCACCAAATATATGAGAGGCACTTGGGGAACAATGATGATCACGTCCTCCAGGAGCCCAGTGGGAGATATAGTTAAGAAAACAAGTATTTTACGGTACAGTGGGGAAGTGTTAATAGGGATGATGGTGTTCTCTAGGAGTTGCTTGAGAATATTATCTTTTCTGTTTTTGAAAGCATCTCTAAAAAATGAAAGCAAAAAAGAAATAATATCTAAGAGAACTATTGTTATATATTTAGCATGTAATTGATGTTCAATAAATACTAATGTGATATCTGAATTAATTAAAATGTTAGCTTTTGGGGGTAGTTACAAAAGTAGGACTGGGTTTGTTTTCTACACATGTTTATGTAATTTAAAAAAACCAAATCGGGATACTGGGTACATATTCTTTGTAACCTATTTTATTTTCACTTAAATATCTATATATCTATATATATCTATATATAGATAATGTAGGTAAGCATTTTCTCAAATGCTAAAATATTATTTTGTGTTATGAGTTTTAAATGACAGTTTAATTTTCCCTTGAATGTACCATGTTTTCTATAACTAATCCCCTGTTATCGGACATCTAGATAGTTTCCATTTGTAAACCATTATAAATATTGATGTTATGAACATCCATAAACACAATTATGTATTTGCATATCTTACTAGTTTCTTCAGCATAAACAATTTCATATACAGTGAAATTGCTGTATAAAGTTGGCCGTTGGACAATACTTGGATTAGGGGCACTGATCCCCTTTGATGTTGAAAATTCACATATAACTTTTGACTTCCCAGAAACTTAACTACTAGTAGCATACTGTTGACTGGAAGTCTTACTGATAACATAAACAGTTGATGAACATATATTTGTATGTTATATGTAGTATATACTCTATTCTTACAATAAAGTAAGCTAAAGTGGAGAAAATTTTATTAAGAAAAATCATAAGGAATAGAAAATATATTTTCTGTTCATTAAGTGAAGTAGATAATCATAAAAGTCTTCCATCTTCATGGCATTCCCATTGTGTAGACTGAGGAGGAGGAGGAGGAAGGGGAGGGGTTGTCCTTGTGGTCTCAGGGATAGCAGAAGCAGAAGGAAATCTGCCTATAAATGACCTGCACAGGCCGGGCACTGTGGCTCATGCCTGTAATCCCAGCACTGTGGGAGGCCAAGGCAGGTGGATAGCTTGAGCCCAGGAATTCTAGACCAGCCTGGGTGACATGGAGAAACCCCATCTCTACTAAAAGAATACAGAAAATTATTGGGCATGATGGTATGTGTTTGTAGTTCCAGCTACTCAGGAGGCTGAGGTTGGGGGATTGCTTGAGTCTGGAAGGCAGAGGTTGCAGTTAGCTGAGATCACACCACTGCACTCCAGCCTGGGTGACAGAGTGAGGCTCTGTCTCAAAAGCAAAAAACAAAAAACAAACAAACAACAACAACAACAAAACAAAAAAGCAAGACAAACCCCTGCACAATTCAAACTCTTTTGTTCAAGGGTCAACTGTAGTTTGATGAATGGTAACGTTTTTAATGCTGTTGATACATATTCCCAGATTGTCCTTCAAAGTTAACAGTGGATTAGATTAGAGGAAGAATAGAAGTAGGGCAGCCAGTTAATGTGCTGTTTCAATAATTGAAACAAGATGATGGTGGCTTGAACTAAGGGAGTGGTAATGGCGATGGAGTGGAATGGATGCAATTGAAAGGTTGAAAAAGAATCAACATTTGGTATATCAGTCAAGCTTATGTTTGGTGGCATATAATGGAAAATGTACAATAACAGTGGTTTAAAACAGGTTTATTTTACATGAAATAAACTTTGGAGTTAGGCAGTACCAGGGTTGATTGATATGATATGTTCTATGACATTCTGAGAGTACCAGGTATGCTGGAAAAAAAAAGGTAAGGATAGAAGGGTGAAAGTTGAGTATTCTCTCCATAAACAGCTGTCTGGAAGTTCCATACAATCCTGCTTTCTTCTACTGGCCTGAAGATAGTTATGTGGTCACATGTAGCTGAAAGTGTAATTTTCAGCTGCAGTTTCCCCTCCCCTCCTGAAATAAAACTTGATTGATGGTCTGTAGGGATTGAGGGAAAGACAAGAGTTAAGGTATAATTTCCAGGCTTCCATTCTAGTCCATTAGGTGGATGGTGGAGCCAAGGATGAGCATTGGTTGGAGGGAGTGGAGGGAGTGGAAAGGACAGTGAGTTTGGAGTGTTTGTTGAACATCCAGGTACAGACGTCCACAGCAGCAAGTTGTGTGTGCCTGAAGCTCAGGAGCACTATTTGACATGGCGATAGGGATTGGGAATAATTAGTATGTAGATTATAATTAAAGCCAAAAAACAGTGTGTAAACATGAGGAGGGGTCTTGTGATGGAGAAAGTGGACATTTTAGAGATGGAAGAAGAGAAATAAGGTCAGATGTACAAGGGGTAGCAAGAGAGGTAGAAAAAAAAGAGGTGTTGCTGGTATGGAAGGCAATGGAATATTGCATTTTAAGAAGGAGGGGATGGTTAATAATGTCCTTTGGAGTTAATAACCAGTGAGTCATTGGTAACCTTGGGGTGCATCTATTCCATAGAGTGTGTTGGTGGGTCAGGGATGGCTTGATTGCAGTGTGATGAGGAATCGAGGAGTTTGGGTCTTCTGGATTTAGAGACATCTTGTATGGGCAACTCTTCTAAGAGTCTTGGGCATGATAGTAAAAAGAAAGTGAATGTGATATCCAGGGTGAAGTGGGAGAATGGATTAGTCATCTCCACTTTTCTAGTTCTATACACTCTCTGCCCCTTTGGATGACTTGGATAACAAAAGATTGTGGTGTAGACTTTGGATCTACATGTTTAGAAGAGGTGATTTTCCATAAGCCCTGCTGACATATAACAGATGTGTTTCATGTCTTCAGTAATTTTAATTGGAGAAAAAAGTAGAACATACGTAATGGAGTCATACAAAAATTTTGTTCATTAAGAATTTGTTGCAGCCGCATTTAGTGAGGAGGGCTAAGGTGGAAAGAAGATGATGGTGCTATTGATAAGTTATGTGATGGTCAGTTTTATGTGTGAATTTGGCTGGCTCCAGTCTCCAGTTACTCAGTCAAAATCTAGGTGTTGCTGTGAAGGTCTTTTGTAGATTTGATTACAGTTCATAATCAGTTGACTTAATAAGGGAGATTATCCTAAATAATCTTCATGGTCCTGACTCAATCAGTTGAAAGGCCTCAAAACTAGAACTGAGGCTTCCCTGAAGAGCTAGAAATTCCAGATGTGGACAGCAGCTTTAGCCTGGGCCCAAGTATTCCCACTTGCTCTTCCTGATGATCTAGCCTATGGATTTTGGACTTGACTAGCCAGCCCCACAACTATGTAAGATAATTCCTTGCACTAAATCTCTTAATGTATATATTCTAGTGATTCTGCTTCTCTGGTTGAATCCTGACTGATGCAGTTAGGGTTGTTGTCCACAACTCCATCATTTGGTAATAGTGTATGGCTAGACAAAGCTTTTAATCTTTTGAACTTCTATAAAATGAGATCTCTTCTATTTTTGAAAACTCTTCTTCTGTTTCAGTCTATTACTTCTTCAAATAAATGCCTTGATTTCAGTAGCTCACATCATCTCACACATGTATGCATGTGTAATGAGGGGCAAGCGTAGAGCTCTGGGTCTTAGACTAGAACTGGTAACTCTAAGAACTCAACCAGGCCTGGGTGTTCTGTCACACTGGAGTGCTCAGGATGGCAGGCATGGTGGTGCTGGACCTTGAGGAGAGGCCTATCCTGGGCCTGAAATTTATCCTTGTCTGGAGTCAGCCCCTGGCTCTGGTAGGTTGGTGAATGGTGGGGGTTGTGGAGTAGCACTTCTTGGTCCTGATCCACCCCTTCTTGTCCCTTCCCTCAGTTCATTGTCATGCTTCTGTGTTGTGCAGTTAGCCTTAGCCAGCGAGTAGAAGCTGCTACCTCCAAAGGTCACACCACTCCAGTGAAAGGTCCATTCATTGACCAGGACTTTATAAAGCGATGGGTTCCTGAGAAGGCTTGCAGGGCCATTTGTTTATTTTATGTCCCAGTTTCTCTTATAAAGGCCACCGCTGCCAAATTATTCCCACTTGACTCCAGTCATTCCATCTCTCCCAGAATTTTCATGTTGATCAATCACCACATTGATTTATAAGTGACTTACAGAAGTTTCAACATGGAGACTTGAGGGATACGTTTGTGGGACTGGGACCCTGGGCTACACATTGCCATACTACAGATTCCTCTATTGAGAGGCCACTGCCCTCCCCTCAAATTCTTGATCAGGGAACTTTTCTCCTTGATTTTCATTACCTTGTCTTCTAGTCCAGTGTTCTTAAAATTATGTCCTAAGGGGCCTTACTAACAAGCCATGGGAACTTATACAAATGCCGGATTTGAATTTTATTTGAAAGTAGTCATTTGTTTAATGATCCATCAGTCAAATTTTTATTTTATGTCAGCTGTGGACCTAGAACTATGGTGGTACTAGGGCTACAGCCATGAATGCCTTTAAAACTATCACTGAGGCTGGATGCGGTGGCTCATGCCTATACTCCCAGCACTTTGGGAGGCCAAGATGGGCGGATCACCTGAGGTCGGGAGTTCGAGACCAGCCTGACCAACATGGAGAAACTCTGTCTCTACTAAAAACACAAAATTAGCCGGGTGTGTGGTGGCACATGCCTGTAATCCCAGCTGCTCAGGAGGCTGAGGCAGGAGAATCGCTTGAACCTGGGAGGTGGAGGTTGCAGTGAGCCGAGATCACGCCATTGCACTCCAGCCTGGGCAACAAGAGCAGAACTCTGTCCCAAAAAAAAAAAAAAAAAAAAAAAAAAAAAATCACTGGGAATGTAATAATTAAAAAACTCAACAATCGTATATGGTTTAATATACCATATTTTTAACACATTGAAGTTTTCCATATGTTAAAAGGTGCAGCCATGTCAGTTCCTTTTTTGGTGAGCATACCTCAGAATATGGCTTTTTCCGCTATTTTTGACATATATTGGAACTTCTGGTAAATGCACTATTTCAGCAACAGTGGTTCTTCAGTGTTCTTAGAAAAATTCAGGCCTATCCATGTCTCCTCACATAAAATTAAATGAGCGAATACACTTTTACAGCACAGTCACCCCAGTCAAATACCACTTGAGGTTGAGGAGGCTGGTGAATGTTCTAGACATGGTGTAATAATCAGTATGTGATAACAGTGGAATGTGTAACACTTTGTATCATTATATTGTATTAAAGGTAGTGTTGCGGTTTATTGAGAAGACTGGCTCCTTCTGCTCTGACTCAAATTTGAGAGAAGGAATGGGGACAATATTGTGTGTTAGAGGTTTTTCTACATGAAACAGACATTTCCTTCTCTGATTTCAAACTTCAGGATCAATTAGAATGAAGAATATCCTGAGATTCCAAGACAAGATGGTCAAACCACACCCGATACCAGTTATAATTACTTTCATAGCAAATCAAAGATTGTGTTTTTATTTACAAACAACCAAATGCAGAAAGAAATTGACTGCCGAGACTGTTACGGGAAGGCAGCTGACATCTTTGGGCCTCATTAAAAAATTTTGCTATTAGTGAAAACAGGCTTTATTATTCTCGGAAGTTAATGTAGTGATAAGGAAGTATCATAAGCTAAACTTACAAAAGAAATCTACACTGAGAAATTATTTTATGTATCAATTTTTATGTGTTAGGGATCCTGGAAACATATTGTTAGGGAAATGGTTCTATTGCTGAGCTCCACTGTGTTCTGCTAAACCCTAAGCTCGGTGAGGGCAGGGACCATGTCTGTATTATCCAAGGTTGTATTCCAAGCTTGTGGCACTTTGCTGGACCTGTAGCTTTTCAGTAAATATTCATTGAATGAATGGTTGAAAATGTTTGAAACCTATGCTTCCAGGCCACCTTAGCCTTCCTGCAATGAACTTCATTGAGTGCTTCCTGTATGGCATTAGTCCCTCTGTTTTCTAAGAACTTTCTTTCAGATTGTCCTTGAAATTCAGGTTTCCATTTTGCCTTCCACTAGACCTTGTATAGATTTATTAGGTAACAAAAGTGCCTTAAAGCAAATTGAAACATTTAAGCCATTGTCCCTCATCACAGGTTAGGACTGGATTGAGAGTGGCCATTCTCTGTTAAGGTGTGCATGTGATAGAGGCCCTTTCACACTGAGCACGCACAAAGACCGCCCTGTGGTTTGCATTTGCTTCTGCCATTTGCACCTTTGCCTTTCTACTCTAGCCTCAGTGGCTGGCCTAGTTTGAGATATACTGTCCGTTTTAGATTGGGTTGCTTGGAGAAGGACTCTGGAATGGAGAACTGTGTCCAGAGGGTTTGCTGAAGAGTGCTGTTGGGAGACACACTTGTAAGGAAATGTGGAAAGCAGGCTAGGACAGATGGCGAAGCTGCTCTGCATTGAGGTTACAACTAAGATCTCAGCTGATTCTATGGGCAGCTCTGGAGCTGTAATGGCCCTTCAGAAATGTCCCATATTGAGGCAAGGGAACTGGGCCCTTATATCCCAGCGTCGGCCAGTCATTGCTGGTAGGCTGTTCCATGGGAAGGGGTATAGACTTGGGCGGAGTAGTTACCTGTGGCAGAGGGCAGTTCCCTTTGAGGGACACATCTGTGAGCTTTTGGCAGCACAGCAGCGATATTCCTAGCAGCTGTGGGGATGGGCACATCGACCCTGAAAAGGAGATACTCCTGGGTGGATACGTGATACTCCTGGGTGGAGTATCACGTTATCCATGACACCATCCCTTCTTGCCCTTTACTGGTAGGTGAGTCTCTGTACTCTGGATCCCCAGAACACACCTGTCACCTTGGTTGTACTTTTGGTTGTTGGTGCTTCCCTTGAAAACATCACTTGTCATTTGCAGCTTCTTGTTGCAGCCTGGGTGTGAGAACTGATAGACTGGCCATGTGTTAGGAGCATGCTTATGGTTTCTTTGACTCCCCATTGCAACACACAGCACAGGATCATGTATAGGTAAATATTTCAGAGGCTGTGACTTCTTTTGGGTCGCCACCTCTTGTTCTTGAAATATTTTCCTAGAATGGCCCTCCACTCTCAGTTGCCTTTGTGTCCTCATCTCCTGCTGCCTGTTCCTTAAACATTGCAGTTTCTCATGGTTTTGTCCCAGGGTTCTTCTGTTCTTTCATTGTACTATAGTGATTGTATGGATGATTGCCAAGTCTTGGACATTTGCCTGGATTTTTCTCCTGAGCTCTGGAACTATCTATCTAACTTCACTTGGGCTCTTTAAACTCAAAATATCAAAAGTTGAAGTTAGGATCTTCCTTCTGGATTCCTAGCCTCAGTAGCACCCCCATCCACCTGTTCCCAAGGTAGAAGTGCAGCCTCCTTTGTTTTGCGCAGATGCCATGTGTGTTCTATTGAATCAGCATCCTGCATATTTCTTGACTCCATCCTTTTTCCTTAATACTCTCACCACTTTAATTCAGGAGAAAACTGCCATTGCTTGGGTCTTTCTAGTACCTCTCAGCTGATATTTCTGCATCTAGCCCTTCCTACTTCCATTTTTCTCTGGACTATACTCATGAGTCTTTCAACAATGTCCATTTTATTATGTCTCTTTCCTGATTAAATGCCTTTAAGTGATATATAAGCTTTTTGTGGCTTGACTCCTTCTCACCTCCTCCTATTTCTCTGGTTACAGCATGTATTCAATCCAGAGAAATCTGTTTTCAGTTCCTTGAATGTTCTGTGCTCTCTCCTTTAATCATATCCTTCCAAATGACTGGGACACTGTCCGTTACCAATCCTTGTCACATTTTTGCTTGTTTAATTCCTACTCACTTCAGATCTCAGCTTATGTGTTATTCTTGGCAAGCTTCCTCAGCTTATCAGGAGATTTCCACCCTTTCTTTGGGCTCCTGTGGAACCCTTTTCTTCTCTTGTTATAGCACTCAGCTGAATATGTAGTATCTTATTTTCTAAATCTCCCACTTACATTGTAAGCTTTGTGAGGGCAGTGATTGTCTGTCTTGTTTCATCTGTAGCACCTAGCACAGTGCAAGACTCAAAAACCAATCTGTTTAATGAAATAATTAATTTATTCAATCTTTCATTTATATGAAAGTTGGAATCATCTCAGATATCTCTATAGTCTCTTTGGTCTGATGCTTAAAGCCATTTTCAGTCTCTCAGTTTTCCTTAATTCTTGAATGTGTTTCCTATGTCTTTATGGATCAAATAATGGGACATTGTTTTCCTATAAGCCAAACTCACCGAAAGCATCCATCTTTGTGTTATCAATAAATGTAATCTTGTATTTAGAGGATTGCTGAATCTTGGAAATGGCAGAACTCTTGGATGTTGGATGAGAGTTTTGAAGTCGTCTGTTTAGTCTTTCACTGAGATCTCTAACAGGCGATGAAAAGTGAGGGCCTCATATACTCTGTTGAAGGAGACAAATGCTTGAGATGCTAAAACTGGTGATTTGCCTTCACTGAAATCTAAGTGTGTTGGACATGAGACAGAGACTGTATCTTCCCGGACTGTTCTGGAGAGTCTCCTTGAAAATCTTGACATCATTATCGCTTTCTTATGCAAGATTTAGCAGAGGACGGCAGGGAGGCTCAGCACAGCCTTGAGTCTTGTTTAGCTCTCCTGGTGATCAAGAGTGGAGCTGAGACCTACCCCCCTGACTGACTGATATTATAGGGAGCACCTTATATCTAAACTTTTCCTAGAAATCCAAACTCGTCTGTGAACTGTTGGAAGTCAGATCAAGTAATAGAATCCAAAGCACCTGTAACTTTAAGAAGGAAGGATAAAATTTGAATGTCTTGATATTTACATTGCTAATTTGCTTGTCTGTATTGCCACCTGAAACCACATTCACTTTGAGGAATATGGTATATATGAGAGCTGTGAAGCAGACTTTGGTGAGATCTTGTATTTAATAGAAAGAGGAAGGGAGCCACACAATAGCTGCCTTTAGGATGCAAAAATATATGGACTTTCTTCAAACTGTAAACCCTTTTTTTCTCTTAATTGCTGTATATTTTGGTGTTGTGTAGACAAAGGTTGTTTTTGCACCTTGATTATCACACATGGCAGAGATGGCAAAGTCTTTGCTATCTTAGGTATTTCTTTATTTTATTACCACCCCCTTGGCATTTGTGTAGCCACGTCTATGGTATTGGCTTTTTGGGAAGCTGGTGTAAGTCCTGTTAGGTTATTGACTTAATGAATTGCTGTGTAATCTCTTGGAGTAACCTAATCTCTGATCCTAGGTGTTGCATAAAAAGGTTGTTGAAATGATACTTCTTATTTTTCTTGAATATGCTTCATAATAATTGTAAAAAACAGTTATAATAGCGTTTGCTATTATTTTATTTTGTTTTAGATTTTGGGGTACATGTGCTAGTTTGTTACATAAGTATTACATGTATAGTGGTGGGGGCTGCGTTTCTAGTGTAGCCATCATATTGTACCCAGTAGGTAATTTTTCAACCCTCATCCCCCTCACATCTTCTTTCCTTTTGGAGTCCCCAGTGTCTGTTTTCACCACCTTTATGTCCATGTGTACCCTTTGTTTATGTCTCATCTACAAGTGAGAACATACAGTATTTGATTTTCTGCTTCTTTATTAGTTCATTTAGGATAATGGCCTTCAGCTCTATCCATGTTGCTGCAAAAGATATGATTTCATTCTTTTTTTAATGGCTGCATGATATTCCATGGACATTTTCTTTATCCAGTCAACAACTGGTAGACACTTAAATTGGTTTCATGACTTTGCTCTTGTAATAGTGCAGTGATGAACATAGAAGTGCAGGTGTCTTTTTTTTTTTGCTGGAGTCTCACTCTGTTGCCCAGGCTGGAGTGCAGTGGTGTGATCTTGGCTCACTGCAACCTCAGCCTCCCAGGTTCAAATGATTCTTCTGCCTCAGCCTCCTGAGTAGCTGGGATTACAGGTGCCCACCACCATGCCCAGCTAATTTTTGTATTTTTAGTAGAGATGGGGTTTCACCATGTCGGCCAGGCTGGTCTTGAACTCCTGACCTCGTGATCCACCCCCTCGGCCTTCCAAAGTGCTGGGATTACAGGCGTGAGCCACCGCACCTGGCCCCGCAGGTGTCTCTTTAATATAATGATTTCTTTTCCTTTGGGTAGATACCCAGTAATGGGATTGCTGGGTTGAACAGTAGTTCTATTTTTAGCTGTTTGAGATACCTCTATACTGTTTTCCATAGAGGTTGAACTAATTTACATTCCCAGCAATAGTGTATGAGTGTTCCCTTTTCTCCACAACCAAGCCAACTCTGTTGTTTTTTTTTGACTTTTTAATAAAAGCCATTCTGACTGGTTTAAGATGATATCTCACTGTGATTTTAATTTGAATTCTCTGATGATTAGTGATGTTGAGCATTTTTTAATATATATTTTTGGCCACTTGTATGTCTTCTTTTGAGAGATGTCTGGTCATGTCCTTTGCCCAGTTTTTAATGGTTGAAAACAAACAAACAAAACAGTCATAGTTGTTTGTTTTTTTCTTGTTGAGTTGAGTTCTTTGTAGATTCTGGGTATTAGTCCTTTGATGAGGGCATAATAAAAACAGTAATAATAGCATTTAATATGTGCCAGACACTATGGTAAATTCTCCACGTGTATGGTATCATGTAATCCTTTCTATGAGATGGGTACTAGAATTATCTCCATCTTATGATTCATAAATTAATTCACAGACACCAGACGGTTGAACCAACATTTAAGCCAGTCATCCTAGGTGCCTCTAATCATCTCTTGATAAATTATAAAATGCCTATGCTTTTCCTTCTAAATTCTGTCCTTTTGTTGGTAGATGATACTTCTATCATAGCACTGTCTTGCACCTGTGCTTTCCACAGAATCCCAGGTATAGGTCAATGAGTGTTACACTAAGAACAAGAAAAGGAAAAAGAAAATCTTCCTGGTTTTCCATGCTTATGGCACAAAAACAGGTGTCTGTTGTATTGTTCAAGAGAGGGATTGCACAGGGCAGCTTTGGTGTGTAAAGGAGTTCTTGTGAATGAGTTAATCAGGATGGGAAAGCATCTCTTTGAATCTGAATGGATGTTTGTCAATACTACTTTAAGCCATGCTGACTCACAAAAAGTGATGACTGCACATCTTAGTAATTGTGATGGTGGAAACCATTTAAGTCTTGGTCTTCTTCGTGTTGGTTGGCTTTTACTCAACTTTAGCAGTGAGAAGACTGATTTTGAGAGCAGTTGGTAACATTTCTTGGTCAGTCTAATTTTGTCCTTTTAGCATATTTATGAGCCTCAGTGCATTTTTTTCATGTGCTTTTTTTCCTTTTTCTTTCATTTGGCATGGTGCTTGCATTCCTTCACGGTTGGAATTGGCAGGATAATGTTTCTGAAACTTTTCCTTTACTACCATGTACTGTACTTAAGTTTTGTACCTGGTGGACTGTGATGCCTTGGTTATTTGGGTTTGTGCTCAGGATGCCTAGACTTCCTATGGGTAAGGCAGATAATCCCAGATTCTAGCAAATATGTCTGCATGCTTGGCATTAAAAAATATTACCAGAGCATGCACATTACTAATCTTTACTAAAATTAAGATAATATGTTCAAGTAAGTAAAACCATTTACTTCAATACATAAAGAAATGCAAAGGACTAGAAAGAGATATATAAAACTATTTTTCACCACCTGATGACAGGCAGTAAAACACTGATGGTAATTTACCATGATAGTTTTCTGTGAGGAACTCAACGGGAATAGAGAGGAAAACTGAGATATGAGATAATACACACACACAGAGGAGAGAGAGGAGAGAGAGGAGAGAGAGAACGAACATATTTTATATCTGTCCTAGGTGTTTCACATTGAATTTTCTAGGTGACCTGACACTTCTGTTGATTTTAACCAAGAGAGGTCAGAATGTCTTAGATGCTGTCAAGTCTAATTTCTCACCCAGTGTATGTATCCTTATGATCACCCAGTACCTCCTAGGAAACTTCCTAAGGAAGGGAGTGCTTTGCTTTGAAGGGCAGTCTCTTCCATTTTGGCATGGAAGTACTGGCTGTTGGAAGTGCTGTAGTATAAATTGAACCAAAGTCTTCTTGTGTAGTTTCTACCTGAGGAACAATGAATTCTGTCCCCAAGACCTCTCAGTTCCATTTCCTGGCTGGCTTCATTTCCCCTGCTGCCATTCAAGGCACTCATTTCTTTCTTGTGGAAGAAACAATAGTCTCTTAACTAGACTCCCGGCATATCCTCTTTGTCATCTATTCTTGTAATGTATTTAAAGCGACTGTTTGGAAAGGTAATTCTGAGCATGTCACTTTCTTCTTCTTCGTCTTTTTTTTTTAAATTGTACTTTAGGTTCTGGGTTACATGTGCAGAATATGCAGTTTTGTTACATAGGTATGCACGTGCCATGGTGGTTTGCTGCACCCATCAACCCGTCACCTACATTAGGTATTTTTCCTAATGTTATCCCTCCCCTAGCCCCCCACCCCCCACAGGCCCTGGTGTGTGATGTTCCCTTCCCTGTTTTCATGTGTTCTTATTGTTCAACTCCCACTTCTGAGTGAGAACATGCGGTGTTTGGTTTTCTGATCTTGTGATAGTTTGCTGAGAATGATGGTTTCCGGCTTCACCCGTGTCCCTACAAGGGACATGAACTCATCCTTTTTTATGGCTGCATAGTATTCCATGGTGTATATGTGCCACATTTTCTTAATCCAGTCTATCATTGATGGACATTTGGGTTGGTTCCAAGTCTTTGCTATTGTAGAATGATTTATAATCCTTTGGGTATATGCCCAGTAATGGGATTGCTGGGTCAAATGTTATTTCTAGTTCTGGATCCTTGAGGAATTGCCACACTGTCTTCCACAATGGTTGGACTGATTTACACTCCCATCGACAGTGTAAAAGCGTTCCTATTTTTCCACAACCTCTCCAGCATCTCTTGTTTCCTGACTTCTGAATGATCAACATTCTAACTGGCGTGAGATGGTATCTCATTGTGGTTTTGATTTGCATTTCTCTAATGACCAGTGATGATGAGCATTTTTTCATATGTCTGTTGGCTGCATAAATGTCTTCTTTTGAGAAGTGTCTGTTCATATCCTTTGCCCATTTTTTGTTGAGGTTGTTTGCTTTTTTCTTGTAAATTTGTTTAAGTTCTTTGTAGATTCTGGATATTAGCCCTTTGTCAGATGGATAGATTGCAAAAATTTTCTCCCATTGTGTAGGTTGCCTGTTCACTGTGATGATAGTTTCTTTTGCTGCGCAGAAGCTCTTTAGTTTAATTAGATTCCATTTGTCAATTTTGGCTTTTATTGCCATTGCTTTTGGTGTTTTAGACATGAAGTCTTTGCCAAAGCCTATGTCCTGAATGGTATTGCCCAGGTTTTCTTCTAGGATTTTTATGGTCCTAGGTCTTACATTTAAGTCTTTGATCCATCTTGAGTTGATTTTTGTATAAGGTGTAAGGAAGGGGTTCAGCTTCAGTTTTCTGCATATGGCTAGCCAATTTTCCCAACACCATTTATTAAATAGGAAATCTTTTCCCCATTGCTTTTGTGTGTCGGGTTGGTCAAAGATCGGATGACGGTAGATGTGTGGTGTTATTTCTGAGGCCTATTTTCTGTTCCATTGGTCTATATCTCTGTTTTGGTACCAGTACTATGCTGTTTTGTTTACTGTAGCCTTGTAGTAAAGTTTGAAGTCAGGTAGCATGATGCCTCCAGCTTTGTTCTTCTTGCTCCAGATTGTCTTGGCTATGCGGGCTCTTTTTTGGTTCTATATGAAGTTTAAAGTAGTTTTTTCCAGTTCTTTGAAAAAAGTCAGTGGTAGCTTGATGGGGATAGCATTGAATCTATAAATTACTTCGGGCAGTAAGGCCATTTTCATGATACTGATTCTTCCTATCCATGAGCATGGAGTGTTTTTCCATTTGTTTGTGTCCTCTCATTTCCTCGAGCAGTGGTCTGTAGTTCTCTTTGAAGAGGTCCTTCACATCCCTTGTAAGTTGTACTCCTAGGTATTTTATTCTCTTAGTAGCAATTGTGAATGGGAGTTCACTCATGATTTGGCTCTCTGTTTGTCTGTTATTGGTGTGTAGAAATACTTGTGATTTTTGCACAGTGATTTTATATCCTGAGACTTTGCTGAAGTTGCTTATCAGCTTAAGGAGATTTTGGGCTGAGACGATGGGGTTTTTCTAAACATACAATCATGTCATCTGCAAACAGAAACAATTTCACTTCCCCTCTTCCTATTTGAATACGCTTTATGAACATGTCCCTTTCTCCCAAAGTCTTCAGTAGCCTCCCATCACTCTTGGACAAAAGTCCTGTATACTAATGATCTTGCCCTTGCCTACCTTTCCAGGCTTGGCTAACACCACTCCCCGTTTTCTTCCCTGTGTACCAAACTTACTGACTCTTTTTTGTTCATGCAGCTATCCTTTGCTTCATGACCTTTGCTCATGCTGTCTCTTCTGGCCCTGCCTGGTGTCCTCTTACCCTTTTGAGCCCTAAAAACATCCTTGTTTCACTAAGGATGCCTCCCTGACCCCCAGACCAGGATAGACCTCCTTGTGATATATTCTTGGGGCAGCCCAGCTTCTCTCCAGCACTGATCATTGTAATCAGTCAATTGTTTCTGTGCTATTTAAGGACTATGTACTTGAAGACAGAGTCACATCTGTCTTGGTCACTGCTGCATCCCCAGCACCTAGAGCATAAGAGGTGTTTGTGGAGGTCTTTCAAGTATTCCAGAAAGCTCTGGGCTACTAGAAATGCAGACATTTTTCCTTCAGGTTAAACATCACTATCTTTTTTTCCTGCTCTTACCCTGATATGTTTATTAACCATTTCCCCTTCTGGTTTTCTCTCATGGATGTTCTCTAAACAACTTAAGATCCCACTTTAAGTGTGTTACTGGGAAGAATTCTCGGTTCATCAGCAAAGTTCACTTCTCATAATTTGGACACTACTTTTAGTTAATTTAGTCTCATGAAAAACCAGAGCCTAAATTGCAGAATAAATATTTTTTAAAAATAATATGAATGAAAAAAATAGTCTTAGAACTTCTGGATAATGGGTTAAAGTGGTACTCAGAGGAACATTCATAACTTTAAACATGTCTATTAAAAACAAAGAAGAGTAAATTCAGCATTCATTTCAAGAAGTTAGAAAGAGAACAACAAAATGAAAGGAAACCATAAAGAAGGAATAACTTAAATGGAAGCAAAAATATTAAGAAAGTAGAAAAGAAAAATAGCAGGATAGGTGTATTAATGGTTGTATTAGAATTTTTTGATGTCAAAAGTACTTATATATATTTACTACTTTTTATTGTGGTAAAATATATACAGTATAACATAGTATTTTCCATTTTAATCATTTCAAATGTACATTTCAATGGCATTTAGTACTTTCACAATGTTGTCTAGTTCCAGAACATTTTCAATGTTCATTTTTTATGTAGCGGAAACCGCATGCCTATTAAGTGTCACTTGCTGTTTTCCCAGCCCCGGGCACTCATTCATCTGTTTTCTGTTTCTGTGGCTTTTGCCTATTTTGTATATTTCATACAAATGGAATTGTATAACATATGGCCTTTTCTATTTGGCTTTTTAAAACTCAGCCTAATGTTTCTGTGGCTCAGCCATGTTGTAGCTTGTAATCAGCCATGTTTTAGCATGCATTACATATATGTAGCATGTAATCTGACTCATTAAATCAGAGTTCTAATATACTCCTTTTTATGGCTGAATAATATTTCGTGGTATTTTGAATATACCACATGTTGTTTATGCATTCATCCGTTGGTGGACATAGGTTGTTTCCACTTTTCCATTATTGTGGATCTGCATATTGGCTTACCAGTATCTGTTTGAGTCCTTGATTCAGTTCTTTTGGCTGTGTAGGTAGGGGTGGTTGCTGAGTTCCATGGTAATTCTATTTTTAACTTTTTGAGAAACTTCCAAACCATTTTCCATTTTACACCCATAGCAGCAATGTATGAGGATTTTAGTTTGCGTCCTTGCCAACACTTGTTATTTTCTGTTTTTTGATTATAGCCATCCTAGTAGTTGTGAAATGGTATCTCATTGCAGTTTTGATTGCATTTCCCTAAGTGACTAATGTTGTTGAACACCTTTTGATATGCTTATTAGCCATCTGTATGTGTTCTTTGGAGAAATACTTATTCAACTTCTTTGCCTAGTTTCAAATTGAGGTGTTTGTTTTTTTGTTGTTGAATTGTTGAGTTTCAGATACATGATTTGAAAATATTTTCTCCTGTCCTGTTGGTTATCTTTTCACTCTCTTTTAACAACGTCCTTTGATGCACACAAATTGTAGTTTTAAAGAATTCTACTGTATCTGTGTTTTCTTTCATTGCCTTAGCTCTTGGTGTCATGTTTAAGGCAGAACTTCCAGTACTGTGTTAAACAGAAGTGGAGAAAATGGTCATCATTGTCTTATTCCTGATTTTAGGTAAAAAGCTATCAGTCTTTTACCTGAATATGGTGTTAGCTGTGCGTTTTCTTAATTATCTTTTATGATGTTAAGAGAGTTTCATTTTATTACTAGTTTTTCAAAATTTTATTTTTAATCATAATAGGGTATTGAATTTTTCAAATGCCTTTTCTCTGTCAATTGGGATGACTGTGTGTTTTTTTTCCATCATTCTACTCATGTGACATATTACATTTATTGATTTTCATGTTTCGAGCCACCCTTGCATTCCTGGGATAAATCCCTCTTGGTCATGGTGTGTGATCCTTTTAACATACTGCTGAATTTGGTTTCCTAGTATTTTGTTGAGAATTTTTTGCATCTATATTGTCAGGGATATTGGCCTGTAGTTTTTTTTTTTTTTTTTTTTTTCTCCTTATGTCTTTGGCTTTGGGATCAGTTTAGTGCTGGCCTGATAAAATGAGCTTGAAAGTATACCCTCCCTTTTAGCTTTTTAGAAGATTTTAAGAAGAATTGGTGCTAATTCTTTATATGTTTGGTAGAATTCATCAGTGAAGGCTTGGTCTTGGCCTTTTCTTCGTTTGGGGGGCTTTTGATTACTGATTCAATCTCCTTACATGTTACAGATCTATTCAGATTTTCTATTCATTTTTGAGTCTGTTTTGCTTGTTTGTGTTTCCCATTTCATGTAGGTTATACAGTTTGTTGGTGTACAATTATTTATAGCATTTTAAAATAATTCTTTTTATTTCTGTAAAGCCTGTAGTAATTTCTCTTTTTTCATTTCTCATTGAGCCTTCTTCATTTTTCTTTATTAATTTTGTTGGTCTTTCCAAAGAATAGACTTTGGTTTCTTTGATTTTCTCTATTGTTTTTGTATTCTCTACTTTATGCTAATCTTTATTATTTACTTCTTTCTACAAGCTTTTGGTTTATTTGCTCTTTTTTAAATTTACTCAAGATATGCAGTTAGGTTATTGATGTCTTTTTTTTTCTTTTTTAATGTAGGTGTTTACACCTGTAAATGTCCCCTGAGCACTGCTTTCACTGCATTTCATAAATATTGCAGTATTAGTATGTTTTGTTTTCTTTTGTCTCAAGATATTTCCTAAGTTACCTTGTGATTTTTTTCTTTGACACATTGGTTGTTTTAATACAGTGCCATTTATTTTCTACATATTTGTGAGTTTTACAGTTTTCCTTCTATTATTAATTTCTAGTTTATCCCATGTTGGTGAGAAAAGGTACTTTGTATGATTTCCTTTTTTTTCTCAGATTTTAAACCGTTTATTAAAGCCTGTCTTGTGGCCCAACATGTAGTCTATTCAGGAGAACATACCATGTGTACCTGAGAAGAATGTATGCTCTGTTGTTGTTGGGTGGGATGTTCTGTATGTATCTGTTAGGTCTAATAGGTTTACAGTGTTCTTCAAGTCATCTATTTTCTTACTGTTCTGTCTAGTTGTTCTGTCTATTGTTAAATATGGGATATTGAAGTCTCCAACCATTGTGGAACGGTCTGTCTCTCCCTCCTATTTTGTCAGTTTTTTGCTTCATATATTTTGGGGGCTCTGTTGTTAGATGCACATATGTTTATAGTTGCTATGTCTTCTTGATGGATTGAACAATATTAGTATTTAAAAAAATCATTTTGTTATTTGGTTGGGTTATAGGAATCTTGAAGTCAGTTAGAACTTCTCCAACTTTTCATACGAACAGTTCCCAGTAACGGATGTAGGGCCTTTTCTAGCATGTTCTTTTCTTTGGTTTTCTGATGTGATGTGTATTGTGTAATGATTTATGTTAAATTTCACTCTGCCACTTTTAGCCTATTGAAGTAATTTTGAAAATCTGTTTGGATCCTCTTTCCTTTTTATGGGGGCTTATTATTTCTGGGCTTTACCACAGGTAACATAGAGAAGTGTTTTGGACAAAGTGAGTATCGGTCATGAAATAGGGTAAGTTAAGACATCACAAAGCTTGCTGTTCTTACTGAGATTGAGCCATTTTTTTGAACAAATACCTCTTGATTTATTAACATCTACAGGTCAGAATAAGTTGATTCCAACACTTTTTTTCCAGTTTTCTCATTGCATTTGTGGAGGAGAGAGAATTTTTGGAGATCCTTAGTCTGCTATTCTTACTGACATTAGCCTTATGTTGTTGATAGTAGTATAGAATAGTATTCGAAATGATGTGGACAATTTTGTCAAATGCTTTTAAGATATTGTACATCTGGGCCGGGCGCGGTGGCTCACACCTGTAATCCAGCACTTTGGGAGGCCGAAGCAGGTGGATCATGAGGTCAGGAGATCAAGACCATCCTGGCTAACACGGTGAAACCTCGTCTCTACTAAAAATACAAAAAAATTAGCCAGGCATGGTGGCAGGTGCCTGTAATCCCAGCTACTTGGGAGGCTGAGGCAGGAGAATGGCGTGAACCTGGGAGGCGGAGCTTGCAGTGAGCCGAGTTGGTGCCACTGCACTCCAGCCTGGGTGACAGAGCAAGACTCTGTCTGCAAAAAAAAAAAAAAAAAAAAAAAAGATATTGTGCATCTGTATCATTTTCCTCATGTACAGCCTTGCATATCCTGTTATAGGAGGAAATGAGATTGGTGTGAAGGGCTTGCTTATAGTAGTTTCATGTTGTTATTGATAAATCACTTCACATTATTGTATACACCTAAAATCTGACCTTTAAAAAATGCATTTTAGAATTTTTACGAAAAATTCACAGAAATCTTTTAGAAGTTTGTAGAATGGTAATATCAGAGTGCTGCTGTTCTGCATGCAAGGCTTATTTTTCATGATTAAAAAAAATTCTGGTCACAGTTTTACAACTTTCTTTATAAGATTGTTTTCAGGTCCTTAGATTATATGAAGTTTGGGACTGGAGGTTTGCAATCAGATACAGTCATAGGTGTTCATGTGTCATCTTCTCTACTATCTTAACTCATTTTCTTCTCTTCATTATATGCTTTCTTAATAAGTATATTTTAAAAACCAGATTATAAAGCAGATACATGTTCACTATCAAAAATTTAAAAAATATAGAAAATACAGAAAACACATTTTACTCATAATTTGTTAATTTAGCAGTGTTCACCATTAACATTGATGTATATCCTTCTAGTCTGTCTTTGCACTTACATGGGAGTCTTCAAATGTGTATGTATTAACTACATATATACAATTATTGGCCATACAATTTTTGCAACTGTTTTTAACAATATAAGTATTTCCTTACTTCATTTAATAGTGTTCTATAACATAATTTTAATATGCTGTACCATATATTTTATCACTTTGTTTTAGTATATTAGATTTTATACTTGGTTTTTTTTGAAATTTTCAGTATTTTAAACAGGGGTATAAGCTTTCTCTACAAATCTTTGTATATATTGCTGTTATTTTCTTATGATAAATTTCTAGATGTGGAATGTCAATGAGTATGCCCTTGGTAAAGACTTCTGATAATACTGTCAAATTACTCTCCAGAAATCATGTGCTTGCCATCCAGGAAGGATATTGCTAGCAATAACAGACATGTTTATTTCATGAGGCTCTCAGCACTACTCGTATTATTTAAAAAATGCAACTTGAGAGGTGTTTTTCATTTCTTATTGATAATAGAAAGATTTTTAAAACCATTAATGGGTTTAATTCTTGTCTGTCACATACATTAACAAAAATACTTATTTTTCATTCTGAATAGCTCTTCATTTTGCCTATTGTGGATTTTTTAAAGGAGAGTAATTTAAACATTTATGGCAGATTAATGTATATTTTTGTGCTTCTTTCTCATCTCACTGTTCTCCTCCCTTCCTCCTTCCTTCCTTCTTTTCTTCCTACATTCCTTCCTTGGAGTGAGGGGAAGGCTATCCTCATGACAAAATATGTAAGCATTTATTCTTAGTCTTTTATGGCATAATTTTTGCCCATTTTAGTGGAAATTTAATATAGCTGAAATTTGTTTTGCTGTATTATGTGAAGTAGGGATATGGTCTCTGTGATTGTTGATCTTTCGTTTCAGTCCACTTATTAAATGAGTCATTATTTTCCCTCTGACTTGAAATGTCCGATTTGTCATTGATGAAATTGTAACATATTAATATGAGTTTGTTTCCAGGCATTCTACTCTGTTCTACAATTTCCATTATTGTGCTTTTAGAACACATTTTATTATTTGGTAATTCAAGTCCATTTCTTTCCAAAATTTTTTGTTTATTTCTGTTGATAAAGTTTTCAGATGAGGTACTTCTTTTAATTGTACTAAACTTATACGTAACTTTGGATAAAGTTGATACCTCTGTGATACTGAGTCTTATGATTAAAGAACATAATATTTCTCCCCAAAAGACTTTCTTTTGTATGTGTTAGGAAAGTTTTCTAGTTTTCTTGATACAGATCCTAAGTTTGTTAGACAGTTTAGAGTTTTGTTGCCTTTGTGAAGAGGGTTTTATAATTCAGTTCCTTTTGGAATTTAAGATAGTCACATCATGCTTAAATTATATCATCTTACCTGTCTTTCTGTCAGTTATAATTTTATATAAGATAGTCACATCATGCTTAAATTATATCATCTTACCTGTCTTTCTGTCAGTTATAATTTTATATATATTTCTACTCTTATTTTATTAGCTAGAATTTTCAGAAATGCTAAATTATAGTGTAATAGCTAGTATTCATGTTTCTTGTTTCTCATTCAATAAAACTGCTTTTTGTTTCACCATGAATTAAAGAAGTGGCTATTGATATAAAGTAGATATTATTTTTCCTGTTAAAGTTTCTACAGCTAGTTTACTGTTTTTTCTTCTTGACAAAGAATGGATATTCCATTTTATTACATTCATTTTTGATACTTACTGGAGTGATCGTATACTCTTCCCCATTATCACTAGATATAATTTAGTAACAGATTTTTTTAAAAATTTCCATATTTAATAGCACACACACTTGATGATAATACATTTTTTTTTATTTTAGTATTATGCTAAGTTTCAGCCAGCAGCTGTGAGTGTTTAGAATTTTAGTATTGAGTATCTCTTTTTTTGTATGTGCTAATTTAATCAAGTTTTTAATGTCAAATTAATGCTGGTTTCATGAGATTAATTGATTAATTTTTTTCCTGTTTTTAGGAATAGCTTATGTAACATGTCAACTAAGCTTTCTCTGGAATGCTTTATGAAAGAAATAAGTTGGTTATGATACTTTGTGTGTCTGTATTTTTTTGGGACAATTTAGACAGCATGTTCAGTGACTTGATTTTTTTCATATTTTCACTTCTTTAATAATTCTTGGTAGTTTATATTAGTAAGAACATCATTTTATTCTTATTTTAACATTTATCTGAAAATGTACAAAATGTATTTTCAGAATATCTCTTCCATATATTTGGTTATACCCTTCATCTCTTTCCTAAGGTTGTAGATTTGTACTTTCTCTTTTCTTCATATTTTTTGTGTTGCCAGAAGCTTGTCTCTTAAATAGATTTTTTTTTCTGTAAAATCAATTTTTAGCTTTATTTTCCCATTGCAGTCTTTTCTTGCTCTGTTTCAGTGTTTCTCTGACTTATCATTCATTCCTTCATCTGTTTACTTTTTTTCTACTTTTAATTATGAACTAGATAATATGCAAACAAAAATATATATGTATAATTTAATAATCATATTGAGTGTACTCGACACATAGTTTTAAAAAAGGACATCTTTCTAGTCCTCTGTGTGCCCCCTTCTCAGTGTACTCCTTCCGTCTCCCCAAGAGGTTAACTCTTCTTCTGAATTTCTGCTTATTTTCTTGACTTTAAAAAATAATTTTACATGCCGGGCACGGTGACTCACGCCTGTAATCCTAGCACTTTGGGAGGCCAAGGCGGACGGATTGCCTGAGCTTAGGAGGTCGAGACCAGCCTGGGCAACACGGTAAAACCCCGTCCCTATTAAAAAAAAAACAAAAAATTAGCCGGGCGTGGCAGCGTGCGCCTGTAGTCCCAGCTATTCGGGAGGCCGAGGCAGGAGAATGGCTTGAATCTGGGAGGCGGAAGTTGCAGTGAGTCGAGATCGTGCCATTGCACTCCAGCCTAGGCGACAGAGGGAGACTCTGTCTCCAAAAAAAAAAAAAGTTTTGTAATATATACGTATGCATCCCTAAAATATATGTTGTTTGATTTTTCCTGGGTTTAAAATTTATGAAATCAGAATCCCATTATATGAATTCTTCTGCATCTTGCTTTTTTTACTCTACATTATGCTTTTAAGATTTATCCATGTTAATATCATTATAAGAATATACAAATGTACGTTAAAATATAAATACACAAAATATTAAAATATATAATATATAATATACAGATACAAAAATTACAGTATATAATATATAAATAAAAGATGGATGGAAGTGTATGGAATTTATTTATACATTCCATTATCAATAGACTTTTGGGATCATTTCGATTTCTTGTTTTGTTTCATGCTTTGATATTACAGACGGCTGCTATGAATATTTTTTTGTAGCTCCTTCCTAGTATATCCGTGCCAAAGATTATTGAAGATAAATTCTTAGCTGTGGTATTCCTGAATCCTAGTGTATATTCATCTTTTCTAGATTATAACAGATTCACCAAATTATTTCCAAAACATCTATTCTTTTCAGGCTTAATTTGTTTTTAATTTTCTAGCTAGTTGAATTGAGTGCTTAACTTACTTATTTTCACGTTTGATGTTTGAAAATTGACAGAGAAACTGCAGAAGTTTCATTATGTTGTCTTCTAATTGATATGTATTTTTCTAAGTAAAATGTACTTTCAGTTGCTAATTTGCTCTTTTACTGAAGAATTAACGTGGGAGGGTGTTTTTAAATTGCTGTATAATCAAATTAATATTATTGTTTGTTTTTTTGTTGCATATAACTTCAAGTTTTTATGCATTATGACCAGAGGTTATGACATATACGTAACTTCTTTTGCAGTGTTACTGAATTTTTGTGACCTAATAATGTATGACCAATATTTTGATGTTTGAGAAAAATACAAAGCCTCTGGACAGCACAAAAGTTGATATTTATTTTATATAAATAAATATGTATTAATAATTAAGATATAGATATATACCTATTAAATAAAGCTTATTAAGTACTATATCAAGTAAATTCT
Source organism: Homo sapiens (assembly GCF_000001405.40). Taxonomy (NCBI): domain Eukaryota; kingdom Metazoa; phylum Chordata; class Mammalia; order Primates; family Hominidae; genus Homo; species Homo sapiens. Next base: position 80,775,791 of record NC_000016.10, on the reverse strand, counting down.
GTAGATCGTTATTGGCTTTGCCATAAGATGAGAGTTAGTCTGAAGTCTTAGGTTCTCCTTCTAGATGTATTTGTTAGGTTTCCATGCAAATATTTATTGCAAATATTGATATGTTTCAAATTATTTATGACATCATATGTTATATTTTCTGTTGATCATTCTTTCCTTTTTTCCTTTCCTTGGGATTATTTGTGCTATTTCTTTTTTCTTTAAGTGTTCTAGTAGTTATATATATGCTTCTTATTTTTGTAATGGCTGTTCTTAAATCCTTTACAAACATATTTGAAGCTATTTTTTTCTACCAATGTCTAGAATTAATTAATTGTTACAACCCACCCCCCTTGAAAAAGGCAAGCTCCTTAGACACTTTATTTCTTCTCTACTAGTCCCCTTCCCGTAACTTTTAATTTAATTATTTAAACTGTATATACAGATTTTTGTTACTATTGTGGTTTTGTATCATACCTACTTCCTTAAGCATTTTATCTTTAACATTTCCTCAAGTATAATAGTTAAATAATGAACAATTATTTAGATTTAAATATAAATTTACTTATATCTTCACTTATAATATATTTTTATATATTCCATTGTTTTCTTTTTCTTGGACTTCTGTTTCAAGATGCTGAAGTATTTCTTATAGTAGCTCTTTCAGAAAGGGACTGTGCATGGGCATTTTTCTGATTTCCTGAACATATGTAATTATGTTGAATATATGTAATTATATGTTCAAGAAATGAAGATATAATATAGTTACCTAATTTGAAATAATATTTCTTTCTATAGAAATAAATCTTTTTGGTGATATAATCTATTCACAGATTTCTTAATGCTAACCTTCTGTGTCTTAGAGTAAGTCCTACTTGGTGATAAGGCATTTTTTTTTTTAATATTTAGCTAAATTCAGTCAGTTTCTATGCCTTTTCTCCTTCCTATCCTGGCCTCTTCATGTATCTTACTACTCTTACCTTTATTTTTTGTGCTTTGCTCATTCTGACCTTCCTATTGACCTTGAGTATACTGTGTTTCATCTTATGAAGTGTTGAAAATACTCTTCAGATTTGCCCCAAATAATATCCTCCTGCTACACTTATTTTTTATTTTTAATTGAAATAATAATTATGTTTATTATGGGGTACAGTATGATGTCTTGATCTCTATATACATATTACAGAAAGATTCCATCAAGCTAATTAACATATCTGTTACCTCACCAATTTATCTTTTTTTTGTGGTATGAACATTAAAGATCTATTTTAGCAGTTTTGGAGTATATAATACATTGTTATTAACAGTGGTCACAGTGCAGTGCTGTGGATCACTAAAACATATACCTTCAGTCTAACTGAAGCTTTGCACCTGTTGATCAACCTCCTTCCTTCCCCCATCCTCCCCCACCCATTCTCTGATAACCCCCTTTCTCCTCTCTGTTTCCGTGGGATCAACTTTTTTAGATTCCACATATAAATAAGATCGCATAGCATTTGTCTTTCAGCGCCTGGCTTATTAGCATAATGTTCTCCAGTTCCATCCGTATTGTTGCAAATGACAGAATTTCCTTCTTTTTAAAGTCTATATAGTATTCCATTGTTTATGTGTATGTATCAAATAAATTTTCTTTGTTTTTGTCACTTCTGATTTCTGTTATTTTCCTTGTGTATTTTTCTTCCTTTACTTTTATGCATTTATTTATTGCCAAAATTATAAATGTGCACTTTAATGAATTATAAAGTAAATACCTGTTTCATTATCAAGTCTTCACCTTATAGAACGCTGCCAGCACCCCAGAGCTCCCATATACATAAAGGTTGTTCTTAATATTCTCTTCCTTGCTTCTATAAACCTATCTGTTTGTAGAACTAAACTGAGGCTCTTATCTTTATTATTTTCTTCATTCTACTTTTTCTGTGCTTGTTTTATTAAAAAAATTCTTGACATGGTTGTTTAGTTCATTAGATTTCAGCCTGCCATTGCTCCTAAATATATAAATTAAAACTGTACATTTTAATTTAAGCATGCCTTTAAGTATGTCATACGAGTTTTAATATATAATCTTTTATGATTACTGAGTTTAAAACACTTCTAGTTTCCATTTTTGTTTCGACGTATATTTCTTAATTTTCAAACATGAAGATTTTCTGTCATCTTTATTTTATTGTACTTTCAATTTTATCATTAAAGAACATACTCTGATATTTAACTTTAAGATGTATCAGAATTGCCTTATCACCTAGTGTGGGACTACTTTTTGTAAATGTTTCATGCATGCAGCTGTTGGGCACAGCATTCTATGTGTGTTTTAGGTCAAGATTATATATTTTATATTAATTGTGTATTCAGATATTTAACCTTGCTGCGTTTTTGGTCTGATTGTTCTATCATTTATTGAGAGGCATGTGTGAAAAATCTCTGTTCCGATTATGGAAATGTCTATTTCTCCTTGTAATGTCAATTTTTACATTTTGTATTTTGGTATAGTTTTGCCAATTTTTACATTATATATTTTATGATATTAAGTGCATACACAATTATAACTTTTCTGTGTTCCTAGGAAATTGATCCTTTTGCCATTATAAAAAATTCCACTTTCTAACTCTAGTTAAACTTTTTGTTTTAAAAAATATCTGATATTAGTACAGCTACATCATATTCTTTTAATAAAATTTGCAGAGCATTTCTTTTTTTGTCATTTTGTTTTCACCTTTTCTGTATGCATATGTTTTACATGTATCTTTGTAAATGGCATACAGTTAGGTTTAAAAAATTCTATCTGATAACCTTTATGTTTTAATTGGAATATTTAGACCAGTTATATTTAATATAATTATACATATATTTGAGCTTAAAACTACCATTGCACTGTGTGCTTTCTTTTTGTCCCACCTATTCTATGTTCCTATTTCTCTACTTTCATGCCTTACTTTTTATTGACTGAGAACATTATTCCATTTTTTCTGTTATTTTTTCTTTTCTTTTAGTGGTTACTCTAGAAATTACAATATGTATACTTGAGTTAAATTCTAATTTTAATTGGCATTTTGGGCCAGGCGTGGTGGCTCACACCTGTAATCCCAGCACTTTGGGAGGCCGAGGTGGGTGGATCATGAGGTCAGGAGATTGAGACCATCCTGGCTAACACGGTGAAACCCCGTCTCTACTAAAAATACAAACATTAGCCGGGCGTGGTGGCACGTGCCTGTAGTCCCAGCTACTTGGGAGGCTGAGGCAGGAGAATTACTTGAACCCAGGAAGCAGAGGTTGCAGTGAGCCGAGATCATGCCACTGCATTCCAGCGTGGTCTACAGAGGGAGACTCCGTCTCCCAAAAAATAAAAAAATTGCAATTTGCACTATTCCCAGACAATTCAGAGACCTTAGACATCTTGAATCCAGTTTATCCACATTTGTCTTAAGTGCTGTTGTTTTTGAGTGTTTTATTTCTGTATATTTTAAGCCCCATTGGAAATTGTTATTATTCTTTTGACTTTCTCCAGTTTTTCATTTTTGTGTCTTTACTTCCCTCTCCATGTCCAGCCTTCTACCTGAAATTATTTTCTAAAAAACACTCTTTTTTATTACCTTTAGTAAAATTTTCCTCATTTTTATTTGCCTAAAAAAGCTTTATTTCACATTTAGTTTTGAAGGATGTTTTTTCATGAAGTAAAGAATTATCGGACTGCAGTTATTTCCTTAGTGGATTGAAGATGACATTCCATTGTCTTCTGGCTGCCATGGTGTTTGTGGGGCTACATGAATTTGTGAAGTTAATATTTTCCATCAGTTTAGGGGAATGCTCAGCCATTTCCTCTTTCTCCTTATTCTCCCTGGTTCTGCTGGTGTTCCCCTCATATGCAGTTATTCTCCATCACTGTATCCTCTTTGTCTCCTAAGCAGTTTTTCTCTTTCCTTCTTATTTCAGTTTACATAATCCACTAATTTTTAAATCTGGTTTCTAGTGTCTAGTTTGTCTTAAAACTCTTTCTCTGAGGCCTTAATTTTGGGCATTATATTTTTTACTTCTAGAAATCTGCTCTGCAGTTTTTTAGTTTTCATTTTTTTTTTGCTTTTGAAATGGAGTCTCACTCTTTGACACCCAAGCTGGAGTGCAGTGGTGTGATCTTGGCTCACTGCAATCCCTGCCTCCCGGATTCAAGCGATTTTCTGCGTTCAGGTGATTCTCCTGCCTCAGCCTCACAAGAAGCTGAAATTACAGGTGCGCACCACCACACCTGGCTAATTTTTGTATTTTTTGGTAGATACGGGGTTTCACCATGTTGGCCAGGCTGGTCTCAAACTCCAGACCACAAGTGATCCGCCTACCTCGGCCTCCCGAAGTGCTGGGATTACAGGGGTGATCTACTGCACTGGCCAGTTTTCGTTTGTATGTTGAAATTTCATTGTTGACTTTTAGTTCATTGGACATAATAAGCATCCTTATTTTAAGGTGTGTGTTTGACATTTCAACATCTGGAGTCCCCCTAGACCCTGGGCTATTTTTGCCAGTTCTCATCTTCTTGTCACACCTGTCTGTTTTATTTTGATTGTATACTTGACATTGCATTTGGAAGAAATATTTGTAGAACTGAACTGAGGCCTAGTGTGGTTTTACTTTCTATAGATTGGATTTTCATCTGCTTTTATCAGACAGTGGAGAAATATAGGATCATCTTAAACCACTTACAAAGATGGAGATTCTTTTCTGGGGAGTTCAGATGAATCAAAACTAGGAAATGGTCTTTATGAGTTTGGGTTACTTACCATTTACCCTTACTCCTAGAGTGCAGCCTTTTGGGGTCCCAGTGGGATTCCCAGTATTCCCAACTTTTGTCAGCTGACTCTTCTGGTTTAGAAAATGTCCTCCAGTGGCTCTGATTCTGGATTCATTTCCTGGCTTTCTGTTTTCTCCCAGATCTTGGCTGTCTAATCGTTTAATTTCTTCTCTTCCTCTATTTTACTTTTTTAAGAATGAGACAAAATCTTTAGTGGTTGTGTCTAATCTTTTCCCTAGTTTTTGATGGCATAATAGGATTTTGTATATTTTTCTGTAGATTTAAAAGTATTGTATGTCTTATTTTAAAAAATTAAAACTTAGCTTTGACATTGACAAGAATTAGACATCAAGTCTAAATTTTACATTTATCTTTGCTTATCATGAATTATTTTATGGCACATCTGCCCCATTTTTGAATTTATTGTTTCAGTTCACTTTGTAGTCAGTGGTATAATTCTATTTTTTTTTGTGGGCAGGAAAAATATATGGGTGGTATACTTTCTGGGCTTTAGCAGATCTGAAAATAGAAAATGTATTTTTTTCTTTTGTTTTTCTACATACAATATTTAGCTTGGCTGGTTGTGAAGATTTTGTTGCACATTATTTCTTTGAAAACCATGGTGTGGAGGAGAAGTCTGATGCTAACATGATTTAAAAAATGAATAATTCCTTCTGGTTCTTGTAAGATTTCTTCTTTACCTTTTAAATACATAGTTTTCTGAAGTATATATCCAGGTATAGAGTTTTCATTAACATAACTTGGTACCTAATCTTTTAATCTGCAGTAAAGTCCTTCAGGATTATATGATTGATTATTACTTTATTAACTCATGTTGCATGGCTTAATATATTTTAGTTTTTCTGGAGATACTTTTTACTATTTCTGTCATTTTGCCTATCATTTTTTTTCATCCTTAATTCTCAGACAATTGTTTTAACTCGTCTTTTAATTAACACATTCGGTTTTCTGCAGTGACCATTGCTAACTCCATTTATTTTGCAAAGTAGTTTTGTTGTTTTTGTAAAACCTGACACTTTCTAATATAAATGAGCAGAAAAATCCATTTCATTTTAAAGTTGTGTAGTCCTCTTATTCTTAAACCCTTATTTCCATTTCGTGGGTGTGGTATTCTCAATATCATTAAGAATACGTGTTGTGTAGTTTATAAAGTCTGATTTTGTTTTTAGTACTAGGAAATGAATAATCTGATTCTTTTTCAGTTTAATCTCTTTAATTTCACCTATGCAAATACCTTATTATTGTTATTATTTAGTTTTATCGTCTCTATAAAGGCATGCTATTTGCCCAGTGTTGGGAGTTGAACTGAGATTCTACCCATAAAAGTACTGGTTTCCTGTTCACATCTTTCGGCCTGGGGAGGAAGGGAGCTGGGAGAAGTTTGTACTTCCTGTTGACATGACCAGAAGCTTACATTGTCTGCTGAAGGTTCCTCCCTATGTTCATGGTGACAGCCTAATATCAGTGAGTGCAGGGTCCATTCTCTAACCCACTTGGCTGTCGTCACTGGCAGCTAGCAATAGAGTAACTCTTCTTTTATTTGGCCAACACTAAGGGATGATAATGATACCCACCTTTTATAGTTTGAGAATTAGTTGAGACAATGCTTGTTAAGCTTTAGTATAGTTACTTGCATATAGTGAGTGCTCAATAGATGTTGGCTTTCAGCATCACCTCCATTAACTCATGCTTTTACTAATAGTTTTCTAGTCTTGTAGCCTTTTGAGCCATCCTCTCAATCACATAATGATGTAATAAATGACAGCTGATTAGAATGCGATCCTATCCCAGAATGCAGGTGCTCCTAAGCACTGAAATTCCTCCATTTCTTTCATTTACTTGTGAAATGTAGAGTCACTGGCTCTGGGCATGGCTGTAGCCCATGGACTGGGGGACTGTGGTTGATGATATGTGATGGGTATTTGGGGCCTGCTTGATGAAGGCCATTCTATTCCATACTAGGAAGTTTGGACTTTATTCAGAGGTAAAAGGGAGCCTTTGAATATTTTCAAGTAGGAGGCTGGTGGCCAGACTTGTTTTTGATAGGTGTTGTACATAATATAATACTAATAACAATAGCTAATATTTATGGATACTTATTATATGCCATTTTCTAAGTGTTTTATCTGCATTATCTCTTCTAATCCTAAAGCATCTTTTACAAATATGAAGACTGAAACATTGAAAGACTGAAAAACTAAGTTACAAAGCTAGTACAGCATGGAGGAGGCAGGATCTGAACCCAGGCGACCTAATTCCATGGTGTTATGCTACATGTCATCCAGGAAGCCAGATTACTTCCTTCTCATCCAGGAAGTTATGTCTCCCCAAAATTTATATGTTGAAATCCTACCCAAAGGGGATGGTATTAGAAGGTGGGCCCACATAGATGGGATTAGTACCCTTATAGAGAGGCTAGAGGGACCTTGATCGTGCCTTGTGCCATGCAAGGACATAGCTAGAAGCACTGTTTGGGAGGAAAGAGCCCTCACCAGACCCTGAATCCACTGGGGCCTTGATCTTGGACTTCCCAGCCTCTAGAACTGTGAGTAATAAATTCCTATTGTTTACATATCACACAGTCTATGGTATTTTGTTATAGCAGCCTGAATAGTCTAAGACACATGGACACTGGTTAGTGCAGGTGAGAAACACTTGAGGTGTTGATGTTGGGGATAGTGATGAGTGGACCAAGTTCAGGAGATATTTAGAAGCCAGGTCTGATGGCCAGTGAATAGGGAGAGAGAGAGGGAATGGAGGGGAATTCCAAGTTTCGGATATTGTCAGGATCTCTAGTATGTTCTGTTTCCCTTCATTGGCCACAGTGTGGCTGTTTGACTTACTAAGAACATGGGCTGTGAAGTCATCAGGCTAGGGTTCAAACTGTTTCTCTTGTTACTGGTGTGGCAGTGGGGGAATGGGCTTTGCCTTTTAGAATCCTGGTGTTAGCTTATATGAACTGGGAGGAGTAGAAATGGTCTAACAAACAGGATTGATAGGAAGACTACATGGGTTAATTCATTTTAAGAGCTCAGTATTCATACAGCCCTGCATCCGTAAAGTTGCTCCAGAGAAGCCATTTTCACTAATATTTGCAGTAGCAGACAGAGGCGAGACTGTGACACTGCACAGTGAACAAGGTGCCACTTGGTGACAACTCAACCCCAGCTCCTTTTCGTACTTTTTAGAAAAGCTAGAGATTGTTCAGTGCCTGGCATATAGTAGGCACCCAGTGAATATTGGCAGAATGACTACTCTGCCACAAGCTGGCATTTCAGTTGCATTCTCCAGCATCCTGTGACTGCATAGACACGTGCTTTTATAGCGTGCATAGCCTTGGCCGCTTCCACCTTCTATGCCTTGTCTACCTTGTTCACTGTCTGAAAAGTCTTTTGGGATGCCTTGAGCACAAAAGAAATGATTAGAAACCAAATAATTTTCCATTAGGTGCTCATATTTTATGACCACCTGATGGCCCCTTATTTAGATCATTTCATTTTTCGTAAATGAAGTTTAGTGGGGGGATCTGTGTGCAGTGAAAGCCTCATGCCAGAATAAATGGCTGCAGTTATTCTCACTATTGCATTAAATACCTATTAAAAGTAATAACTGAAATTAAGCTCTCCTTCCCTGAGAAATTCAGCTTAGTATATTTAGTGTCTCCAAAGTAAAATAGGCTCAGAGAACTTTTCTTTGAAAATTTTCAGAGAACTTTTCTTTGAAAAATTCTGTGCAAAAATGCAGTTGGGGTATTCCTCGATGTGGTTTGGTAATTGGAGAATCAAAGGAAAAATCTGTCTACATATTTGCTGTATAGTTGGGGAAAAGTTCTAGTATGTGGAGGGCTGATGTTCTTCTATTTGTCACTGCTGTTTGGGAGAGTTTGAGAGGCAGTGTGGTGTGTGTGTGTGTATGTGAGCAATGTGCAGGTTCTGGGACCACACTGATAAGTTCACAGCCTAGGTCTGCAATGACCAGTGTCAGCATTGGCAAGCTTTCCAACTTCTCTGTGCCTCAGTTTATTCATCTGCAAAATGGGGGCAATAATAGTACCTGTTTCTTAGGGCTGTTGTGAAAATGAAATGAGTCAGTATTTGTAAAAACCAGTGCCTGGTATACAGTCAGTGCTTAGCCAGTGTTTTGTTGTGATTTACACCTGCAAGGATTGTGTGGCCGACACTTCTTTCTTCCTTTTAAATGCTACTCTCCATTTTGTGATGTTGCTTTTTACACTTTCTTTTTGTAGAGGCAGCTTTGCGTCATTTTCTAGAGCTTAGAATTGGCAGTTAGATATATGATCTATCTATCTGGAGTCAGTCCCATCGTTATTAGTTGTGTCATCTCAGACAATTTCTGCACCTCTTGGAATCTTAGTTTCTCCATTTGTAAAGGGAGTTGAGTAAGAGTAGTGCCTGCCTCATTGGGTTGTATTGGGATTGGGTTATTATAAAAAACTTCTGATACTTATTACAGTCCTTTTTTCCCCTAGAAAGGTGAAACTAAGTTTTATTTTCACAACCAACCCCGGAGAATGCCATTTTCATTGAATATTGGTCAACACTGCATGTGACTATGAAAATTTTCAGCCTTCAGTAAATTTTAGGTGAAAAATGGATTATCATTTCAAATGTATTTTTCTTTGGTAGTAGAGGTTAAATTTTTCTCTAGGTTTTATTGGCCATTTGAATGCCCTTCTTTGTGAACCTTCTCTTTTTTTTTGTCAATAAAAGTTGTATTGAGATGTGATTCACATACTGTACAATTTATCCCTTTAAAATATGCAATTCGGTAGTTTTTAGTGCATTCACAGAGTTGTGCAGCCATTATCGTAATCAGTTTTGGAACAGTGGTCATCATTCCCCTTCTCCTTCAAAAAAAACACCTCTATCCATTAGCTGTCACTGCATGCCACCCCACCCTCCTCATCCCTTAGCTCCAAGCAACCACTAATCTACTTTCCGTCTCTATGGATTTGTGTATTCTGGATGTTTCATGTAGATGGAATCATGCGATGTGTGATCATACAATAGAAGACTGGTTTCTTCTATTTAACATAATGTTTTCAAGGTTCATCCATGTTGTCGCTTGTATCAGTACTTCATTCCTTTTTTTTTTTTTTTTTTTTTGTAGATGAGGGTCTTGCAATGTTGCCCAGGCTGGTCTCAAACTCCTGGGCTCAAGAGATCCTCCCACCTCAGCCTCCCAGGTAGCCAGAGCTACCGGTACAGTACATGCCACAGCCCCCATTCCCTTTTTTTTTTTTTTTTTTTTTTTGCGATTAATACTCCCTTGTATGGATAGATTACATTTTGCTTATCCACTTTTCAGTTGATGGACATTTGGATTGTTTTCACATTTTGGCTATCATGAATTATGCTGCTGTGAACATCTGTGTACAAGTTTTTGCGTGCAGATCGGCTTTCATTTCTCTTAGGTTTATACCTAGGAACTGCAGAGTCTTAGGTTACTGGTTTAACTCTTTGAAGAACTGCCAGGCTGTTTTCCAGTGTACCTATCATTTTTTAATTGGGGGTATAATTGCTTTTCTTATATATTTGTATGCTTTTTATGTTAGGAATTTCAGATCCATGTCAAATCTGCTGAAAATATGTAACTTCTTTGCTTTTAAAGAATTGTTCTTACAGTTTTTAGTCTTTCGTCGTTTCTGTCATAACCTTTAAACTTACAGGTGTTCTGTCATCCAGAGATTGAATAAATGTTTGTTTCATTATGGGATATGGACAAGCATGGATACTCGGAGCTTTAGGAAATCATGTATGCAAGATTCATTTAGCTTTTTTGGTATATAACCAGTATATTATTATATAATATATTATATATATTGTATAACATATAGTACTATATATTATATAGTACTATATGTTATACAATATATATTAGTATATATTATATGAGGAACTAAATTCTTTTTTTTTTTTTTTTTTGAGACGGAATCTCACTGTCACCCAGGCTGGAGTGCAGTGGCGCGATCTCGGCTCACTGCAAGCTCCGCCTCCCAGGTTCAAGCCATTCTCCTGCCTCAGCCTCCTGAGTAGCTGGGACTACAGGCGCCAACCACTGCACCCGGCTAATTTTTTGTATTTTTAGTAGAGACGGGGTTTCGCCCTGTTAGCCAGAATGGTCTTGATCTCCTGACCTCGTGATCCACCTGCCTCGGCCTCACAAAGTGCTGGGATTACAGGCTTGAGCCACCGCGCCTAGCCGAGGAACTAAATTCTTTCTATTCCATATTATCAGTCAGTTGACCCAGACCCACTTAATTATTATTATTTTCTTAACTTCTTTTCCCACGGATGGCGATGACCACTACAGTATATATTAGATACCATTGATGCTAGTATCTCATGACAGTTTATTAACATACCTGAGCATGTTTTTCACCTCTATATTCTTTCCCATGGTGTGTCTGTTCATTCTTGTTCCAGCAACATAGACTTTATTATAAAGATTTTAGTATTGATAATGATTGTCTCTTTTCATTGCTTTTATACTGGAAGACTTTTTTTTCCTGTCCTCCCATTGGGATAGGGAATGGAATAGCATCAGTCCTAAAATTTAATTTGGGGAGATTGTGACACTGTACTCTTGGGTCTTCCTCCGTAGAATAAGACACATGGCTCAGTTTTCCCATATCTCTTTTTCTGTCTCTCAGAACAGTCTTGCAGTTGTCTTTATATAGGTCACATATATTTCTTTTTAAAACAGTTCTTAGGTACTCTCTACTGTTTGAGGCTACTGTGTAAAGAATGTATTAAAATCATGTTTTATAAGATGCTGTTTCTGAAATATAGGAAAATGATTTTCATATATTCATCTTATACCTAGCCACTTTATTATCTGCTTTTTATCAAATGCTTATCTTTACCACAATTCTGTTGTCTTTTAACATATTAAATCATACCATCTTTAAAGACTTTTTTTGTCTTGTCCTTTGGATATTTATAATCTCATTCCTTTTATTTTTCTTAATTTCTCCAGTGCTTTTCCTGGGTACCCTAATTCATTTTCAATACCCCTCTTTCCCTCTCTACCCCCTTCCCTATTTTGTCCTTCTCTTCAGTTTTTAACTCCTTGACACACATCTGTTAATTTTTTAAGCTTACTTATGGTCTCCCAGCAGAAAGTAAGTTCTCTAAGAGGAAGGACTTTCATCTGTCTTCACCACTGTGTTTTTTGATACAGCAGTACCTAGTGTTAATGCTTCAGTAAACATTTGGTGAGTGAATTATCTGCAAATTATTTTGGGACTCCAGATTGTACTGAACCAAGATTAATGTCACTTTTAAAGTGGCTTGATGTTCCCTTCCTCTCTTAGTCTTTGTTTTACCCTTTCTGATGAGAAGTGTTTTTTTTTGTTATTTTTTTGTTTTGAGACAGAGTCTTGCTCTGTTACCCAGGCTGGAGTGCAGTGGCACGATCTTGGTTCACGGCAACCTCTGCCTTCTGGGTTCAAGTGATTCTCCCACCTCAGCCTCCCAAGCTGCTGGGATTACAGGTGCCTGCCACCATGCCTGGCTTTTTTTTTTGTTTTTGTCTTTTTGATAGAGACAGGGTTTCACCATGTTGGCCAGGCTGATCTCTGACCTCAAGTGATCTGCCCGCCTCGGCCTTCCAAAGTGCTGGGATTACAGGTGTGAGCCACCTCACCCAGCCCTGGTGAAAATATTCTATTCTTTGTTGGAGATAATGGGGATAGGTTAGCTGTTGAGTAGCCACAGTTGATTCTCGTTACTTGTGGTTCTCATTACCTTTATTACATTCTATAAAGTTGCCCTCGAACACCGGATTAGCAAATGCTGAATCGTTGCTTCTGGTGGGAATACAGGATTAGTTAGGTTCCTGCTGGAGTGCAGTGGCACAGTCTCAGCTCACTACAGCCTCAACCTCCTGGGCTCAAGTGATCCTGCCGCCTCAGCCTCCCAAGTAGCTGGGACTACAGTTGTAAGCCTCTGGTCACAATGTTTCTGTCAACCATTTAATATATAACCTAATTTTATGGTGTGTTTCTCTTTAAAGACACATTATTAAATATATATTGTGGATCATTAACATTGAACTCATGGCCAGCAGTACTGTAGCTCATGCTTGAATGAAGCTCACAGATGTAACACACACATTCTGTCCTTAGGCACATGACAGTCTTCTTGCATTTAGGGACACCAGGGAGCAGAAAGGACACGTCTCTGCCCTATGAGAGCTCAAACAAGAAGGCAGAGAGTCACCTTGCTTCACCTCAGCTGGACACTTGCAATTGATGACATGAATTTTCCACTGCTTTGTGCTTGTGCCCAAAAGACTGGACAAGCTCCAAAAGGATAATTTTGGGGTTACAAATACTTTATAGACAGTAGGTGAATTAGCAGGTATGAAATACATGAATGAGGTCAAGTGTAGTTTTCTCTGGCACCATGGCAGCAACTTTTCCAAGCAGTGGCGTGACCTCTGCATCACGCTTTGGCCTGAAATGACTTGATGCCATCTGACGCTTTGGCGATTGTGAGTTCCTTCTGGGTTTTAGCGTTGCCCACCGTGTTCAGGCTTTTTGGAGCTGTGCTGCTTGTATGGACTGTAGTCATATTCTGCTCTTTCCACGTTTGGTTTGCTCCCGTTGAAGCCTGGCTCACCTCTTTGCACAGTCGTGCTTTCTTACGTTCTTTCTTCTCTTCCTTGCGATGGTCTGCATTTGTATAGTCAGAATTTCACTCTGCGACTCTTCTGAAGTTCATTTGAACTTTATTCCTAGCGCTTCTGGACAATAGATGTAGCCTTTGTTTTTTTGTTTTTTATTTATTTATTTTTGAGACAAGTCTCACTCTTGTCCAGGCTGGAGTGCAGTGGCATGATCTTGGCCCACTGCAGCCTCGACTTCCTGGGCTCAAGTGATCCTCCTGCCTCAGCCTCCCGAGTACCTGGGACTACTGTTGTGTACCACTATGCCTGGCTAATTTTTGTATTTTTTGTAGAGATGGGGTTTTGCCATGTTGCCTGGGCTAGTCTTGACCTCCTGGCCTCAAACAATCCTCCTGCCTTGGCCTCCCAAAATGCTGGGATTTTTGTGCACCACCGTGCCTGGCCAGTCTTTGTTTTTTTTTTTTTTTTTAATTTTCTCCTTTATTAGATTGAACATTCACATGTTATTTTATGTGCATTATATTTAATAAGTAACTTTCAAATATCCAAAGTAGTTTTCCCAGCATCTTCTTTTGTATTTTTATTAACATATAATAGTTGTATGTATTTTAATAGATGTAGATATACCTTTTGAATCTCAAAATATGTTTTAGTTTTCTAAAGTTAGGGCTTTCACATCTAAGTCACCTGGGGGCTCCTATAAGATCTGGTCTTCCTGGCCTCTCTCAGATCTATTGATTCAACAATTGCAAAGGATGATGTGTTGAAAAGGCTCCGCAGGTGATTCTGATCTACAGGGAGGTGGGAGCCAGGGAACACTCATTTTGAGAGCTGTGGCAGGACTGTCAATAATTAAAAAGAAGAACCTTCAAGACCACCAGCACCACCACTCTTGGGGCACTTTTACTAGACGTCAAGCTCTCTACTAAGCTCTGGGTGTGTTATAATCTTACAACAACCGTTTGATGAAAACGCATACTTCGATGAACCCAAATTCACAGATGAGGAAACAGAAGCTCACAGTGGTAAATAACTTTTCCAAAGTCACACAGGTCCTCAGTGATAGATTGGAACCCAGATGGCTGCCTGGTAACCACAGGTGGTTCAACCTGGAGCCCCACCAGAATCCCCTGGCGGGCTTGTTCAAACAGATTGCTGGGCTTCACCTGCTGAGTTTCTGATTCAGTAGGTCCCTGGTGGGGCCTGAGAATCTGCATTTCTGAGAAGTCTCCCCCCAGCCAGGTGATGCTGGCGTCCTTGTACCCTCTCTCCTTTGTGGGACTGAGTGTATGGCTTTTTCTTCACAATTAACAACGCTCTACATTCTGAAGTCTATTGCACATTGTCCGTTTGGTTGCCATCACCTTCACTGCCCAGGCATTAATAATTTGGTTTTTGTCACCTTTGCGCATTAAATCCACAGACGCACCGGCCCTTAATGTTTCTTTTTCCCCTTTAAGAGACAGCTCAACATCAGGGTGAGTGCAACCTTCAGTTTCTATGATTTCAAGAATACGGCCCTGGATAACTGTTCAACTCTGAATGTTCTTGCTCTAATTTCATCTATCCTGCATTCTAGATGGACTGCCCCCTCTGGTAGTTAGTTGATCTGTTTGGCTTATAAGATTTTTATCCCCCAGTCAATAATAGAAGCGTAGGTGAGAAGATACTTACAAGGAATACAATGATTTTGACACTGTTTTTCTTTTTAAATTTTTAATTTTTGTGGCGACATAGTAGGTGCATATATTTATGGGGTATACGAGATGTTTTGATGCAGGCATGCAATGTGTAATCATTACATCATGGACAATGGGGAATCCATTCCCTCAAGCATTTATCCTTTGTGTTATAAACAATCCATTGACACTCTTAGTTATTTTAAAATGTACAATTACGTTATTATTGACTATAGTCACCCTGTTGTGCTTTCAAATAGTAGGTCTTATTCATTCATTCTATTTTTTTTGTACTCATTAACTATCCCCATCTCCCCTCCAACCCCCCACTACCCTTCACAGTCTGTGATAGCCATTCTTCTATTCTCTATTGACACTGTTTTTAATGAGCCAGAGGCAGTGAACTTTCTCAAGTGTGTAACAGGAGGCTTTCTTAGGGACAGTTGCTGGTGCAGTTAAACTGCCTAGTTGAGGTGTGCCTTGCCTCGCACAATAGATTAATGCATCCCCAAGTTGGATAATATCGTCATGCATGAAAGCAGCCTGCTAGTCTAAGGGAGTCCTATAGCAAACCATCTTTATAAAGTGAACAGTGACACCCAATTTATAAATCTAAATTTTCGCCATTTTCTTAAAATGAAATATAGTTTCAAACTGGGGTACTAATGTCTGAAAAGGTTTTATGCCTCTACAGTTAATTTACCCTGAGACAGTAATTTCTAGTAACTCTAGTCATTTCTAAATAGTCTGAGTCAGTTTTCCTAGAATTTAGGACAGGACCTCAAAAAAATACAGTTCAAGCTCTTTCCCCATGTTTCAGGGAATCTTAGAATTCCCCTGGTAGTTTCCTGGTCTTAGGGAATCTTTTACAAGTGTGTTTAGGCTTGAAGTGGTTTGTGCAATTGCTGAATGTGTTGTTGTTATGCAGTCGTGTGTTGACTTTTTCTCAATGCAGTTCTTCCTCATGCACTTGCATCTTTATGGTTATACATTTACTTCCAGGTATCATTTCACTCTCCTAAATGTGTTTTTCCACCTCAGAGAAGCCACAGAAGTAGCAAACACTAACCCAAACCAAAAGGAACAATTTGATCGATGCACTCATAACCATCATCACAAAACTTTTCCTGCCCACTGATTCAGCCTGTTGTTTTAAAATGAGATAATATTTAACTGGCATATTGGTCATGACTCATCGATAGTTAACAATCATTTTGTTTCCTGACAATACACATTTGAGTTCAGTTCGTATTGAAGCGCTTGACAAAAAAATCACATTGCTTAGGACTAGACTTTCTGTGCACATTTCACAATTTTTAAAACATTAACCTTTTTTCAAATTTCAAGTGTCATCTCCATTCACTGTGGAAAATGTGAAGTATTCAAAAGGCACAAATATACCCAACACAGAAATTATGCATACATCCATCACTCAGAGACACTAACCTATATCATAGGTAGATTAACATATCAAATTATATATATATATACACACCATATATATATATATAAACCATATATTTATATAAACCATATATATATATATATATATATATATATATATATATAGTATATGGTTTGTAGATATTACATTTATACCCAGGTATGTACATATGGGGTCATATGTCTTAGTATGCTGTAACATGTGTTTTCCATTTAGCAATTATTCAAATATTTTCCTGGGTCAGATATTTTTCTACACCAAAATTCTTAATGTCTGGTTAGTATTTTCTTATATTATAGAACCCAGAGGTACTGTGATTTCCTTAACCAGTCTTCGGAATTTTAGAATATTTCTGATTTTTTGATATGATTAGAAGTGCTGCAGCAGGCCGGGCGTGGTGGCTCACGCCTGTAATCCCGGCACTTTGGGAGGCAGAGGCGGGCGGATCAGGAGGTCAGGAGATTGAAACCATCCTGGCTAACACGGTGAAACCCTGTCTCTACTAAAAATACAAAAAATTAGCTGGGTGTGGTGGCGGGTGCCTGTAGTCCCAGCTACTCGGGAGGCTGAGGCAGGAGAATGGCGTGAACCAGGGAGGCAGAGCTTGCAGTGAGCGGAGATCGTGCCACTGCCCTCCAGCCTGAGCGACAGTGTGGACTCAGTCACAAAAAAAAAAAAAAAAAAAAGTGCTGCAGCAAACTTCTGTATTTATGTGTTTACACACTTGTATGGTATATTAAAATCCTAGAAAAAAGCGTTTCTGCATCCAGTGTTGTACACATTTGGGATTTTGATTCTTACTTCGAAATTACCTCCCCAACCCCTTGCAAAACCACCTCAAGATGTACATCTAGGTTTTTTATACTTTTGTTTATTATTGTAGTTATTACTTTTGTTTATTATTGTAGTTATTATTACTTCTATATGTAAGTTATCTGGAATTTATTTTATACTAAATTTATTTTGGTGTAAAGATAGGGGTAAAATGTCTTAGCTAAGTTCTTTTCTGTGTAACTAATTATTAATAATTGGTGTCTAACACCGATTATTGACTAATCCATTTACTTCCCATTTATATGAAATCTCACATTTACCAACAATTAAGATCATTGATCTATTAATATTTCTGGACTTTTGATTTTTTTCAGTTATCTAATGTCTTATTCTTCCTTAGATACCATACCTCTGTATTGGAATGCCTTATTTTATTTATTTATTTATAGTAAAGCCTTCCTTGTATTCTTGTGTTTCGAAGTTTTATTGACTACACTAGCCCAGTTATCTTACATATGAATTTATGGAGTCAATTTTTAAGTAAAATAAAATCTTAGTAGCTGGGATCAGAATGGTATTTATTAGTAGACTTGGAAAGAATAGACTCATTTATAATAGGCCAATTGGCTTATCTCTCTAATTTACCTAGGTCTAATTAGGTCCTCCAATAATTTGTTATTTTGATTTGTGTGGATTTTACATATTGTTACATTTTTCCCTAGGTATTTTGTTCTGTTCAATTTTGCTTTTGTTGTTATTATGAATATACCTTTCCCTGTTAAATATATAAAATGTCAAATAAATATATAGATATCAAATATTTATCAAAATGGCAAATATTTTGATATAAAATATCAAATATTTTTCAAAATATATGTGTGTGTGTATATATATATATATTTTTTTTTTTTTTTTGAGACAGAGTCTTGCTCTGTCACTCAGGCTGGAATGCAGTAGAATGATCAAGCTTACTGCAGCCTTGAACTCTTGGGCTCAAGCAAGCCTCCCCTCTCAGCCTCCTGAGCAGCTAGTACTACAGGCATTCACCGCTACACACAACTAATTTTTAAGTATTTTGTAAAGACAGGGTCTTGCTATGTTGCCCAGGCTGGTCTCGGACTCCTAGGCTCAAGCATTCCTCCTGCCCCAGCCTCCCAAATATATTTTTTGCTTGTTAATTTTATAGGGTAAACTATTGGTTATTGAATACTTATTTTATAGCCTGCTATGTTTGTGACTCTCTTTTAGTTATTAAAGTCTGCTTGTCTTAGTTGATATTTTAACTTCAATTGTATCCTAAGCAAACAGTGGTCATTTTCTCTGTCTGTCCTGGTAATTGAAGCTCTTATTTCTTTTACTTGCTTTGTTTGGTAGGCTAGCATTTTTTTACTGGTGTTACATATTAATTGTGATGGGAGTCTTACCCATGGTTTTAATGGGAATGTCATTATTACATCACCATAAGTATGATGTTGGCTGTTAGTTTGAGACTAGGATTGTTCTTTTGGTCTTAGTTGACTATTTTTTAAAAACAGGAAATGACTTATCAGATGCCTTTGAAAAATTAATGAAATCATGTGTTTTTTTTTTTACTAATTTATACGATGATAATGCTAATTTATAACTTCTTTTTCTGGGACCAATCTCTGCTGATGGAAGTATATTTTCTGCTGTTATACTAGTGGATTTAAAAATATTTTATTTAATTTTTTAAAATGAATATTCCTAAGTGACACTGGACTGTGGTTTTAGTGTGTACTGTGCATTATTAGATTTTTCTGTCAAGGTCATTAAATGTTATAAAATGAGTGGAAAAGTGTTCCTTTTTTTACTGTCGTCTGAAACATTTTATAATGCTTCAGAGATCATTCTTAACAGCCTTTTCAAATTCACCTATAGCTTTTGGTTAATTTGATGTTGTTTATTTTTATTGTCAGTTGTGTTCATTTGTATTTACCCAAAAAATTCCTTGTTTCATTGAGGATTTTCAAATTTATTGTTCTAAATAATTTCCTCTCATTTTTGAATTACTGCCATTTTTTGTTATATATTCTTTTATTCTTGTTAACAAATTCCCTTGTTAAATATTCCTCATTGTGTGTGTTTGTGTTTTCTCATTTTCTTTAAATAGACTAGACAGAGGTTTGTGGATGGTAGAATTTGTTTTGGGTAAGGTTTTTCAGAGAATTGAGTTGGACCACTATTTGGTTTTTAATGAATAAATTTCCACTTTTAATTATGTTAATGCTTCATTTCTGTTTTTCTTAGTTTTTATTTTGTTGTTCTCTTTTTAACTTCTCAAGTTGGACCACTGGTGCGTTTAGTTTTATCCTTTCTTATTTAATGACAACATCATTTAATAATTTTCTTATGATTGTAGTTTTGGCCATATCACTATTATGAATTATTATGTGTGTTATTATCATTATTGCTATTTTCTAACTAATTTGTAATTCCATTTCTTTACCCCTTGACCCAGTAGTTATTTAAGAGCATGTTTCCTAAATGACTAAGGGTATAGTAGACTTTATTTTAGAGCAGTTTTAGGTTTACAGAAAAATTCAGCAGAAAGTACAGAGTTCCCATGTATTACCTCCCCCTGCTCCCATAGTCTCCACTGTTTTAACATCTTCTATGGGTGTTGTACGTTTGATAAAATTGGAGAAACAAATATTCATACACTATCATTAAGTTACATCCATAATTTAAGTTAGGGTCTACTTTTTGCATTGTACAGTACTGTTGGTGTTGTCAGATGTTCTTTGTGATTT